>NC_000002.12:69167625-69792625 GCF_000001405.40 Homo sapiens | reverse complement strand
AAATTGTAAAAAAAAACTGTAAAAATCTTGCAAAAAAAAACACTGCGTGTAAACATATTAACTAAATGCAAAAGGGCATTATATGGTTTTTTTCTGTAAATTAATCACTGAAATAAAAGCACAGCAAGGTTTTCTTAAAATGCTAATCTACTCTTTAGCAAAACTTGTCAAGGGTTATAACAGGTATGTGAAAATCTCACTTCATGGTCAAACTGGTTAAAATTAAATAGGATTGTCTATAATGTTTCATTTAAAATTAAGTTTAACATTAATAGCAAACTAATGCAAGGGTAAAATTTAACTTTCTCTCTTAACACGGGATTTTCATGGAATAGAAAAGGCTAATGAATGGTTTTTGCTTTTTCAAATTTCTGGCTCAACATTTTGGCAAAAACAAAAACTTTTGGTAATCTAAAATTCTATTTCATAATATCAAGTGTTTTAAATTTTAAATATACTTAACAGGCTTCCCAAAGTCAAACTTTAGTCTCAAGTCTGTCTTTCCTAACCCCTGGCTTTTGGGTGCTGCAGAGGACCCCTGAAGCATCTAGAAGAGAGGTAAACAGTATTATTTAACATGTTGAGGTACATAAAATTGCCAAAATGATGTCTAATACTCTTCAGGTTATACTTTAGGGAATAATATTAACATGTGTTCCAAAACTGTATGGGATGTCTATGGTTCTAGTGTCTGAATATGTGCTATTACAATTAAGGTTGTTATGCTGGGTTTTTGAAAAACACAAAAATAACCAAATTTCTTTGTCAATTGTATTTCTGACTGTATCCAAACTGGACATTTTGTCATTTACAGACAATTGTTGTTTTGTTTTAATTCTCTTCAAAAGATGGTTCATAATCAAGCCATGGGACTTTAACAAGTTCTCTCCAATGCAGGTTTGTCATGACCAAAAAATGTATGGGACTCATAAAAGGCTAAAATGTTTATAAATATCAAAACAAAAGTTAATGGAATGAACTGAACTAATAGAAAACTAAAGCAATATTCTTCACTTATTCTTAGAACACGGCTAATCCTTATTTTATTTTTTAGAGTCAAAAAAACTTGTCTTAAGCTAGCTACAGCCTTTGATAACTAAGCAAAGTGTACTACTATAGGCAAAGTTTGGAGCATGTTTATGTCTCTCTGCCTAATTCCTGTAGAATTTGGAAACTAGTTATAAATATTCTTAAATTACAACAATATAGTTGTTTGAATCAGTGCAGCAAGAATCCATTTTCTCTTGCAACAAAACACAATTGGAAAAACTGGTTGTTTTACCAAGGCTTTGACTAGAAGGGTATATTTCCCTTTAAGGAATCAAGCTTAACTTGCTGAGCCAATAAAAGCCCCTGGGGAAAACTGGCCTCATATCTGTCTACACAGTCTCCATACAGGGTTCCTGACCTGCAGTGAGTAAAGAATGTCACTTTCTAACAGGCCTAGGAACCCCATGCTTCTGGAACCTCAAGAAGGAAAAAAATTTATCCAACTCACAGGTATTTAAAAGTACAAACCTATGGCTGGGCTTGGCTTTAAAAAGTCCTATCTAAAATTCCTCATGGAACAAGGTTCCATCAAAGCCAATCTAAGAGGCTTATGTAAGGATGATTATTCTTGCTGTACTTTATGCAAATAATTAGGCCAAGTATAGGACTGAAGTCTGTTTTGCAAACAACTCAGTCCTATCATAGATTATTTTTAACAAAAATGAGGACTAGAGAAAGAGAAATTATGTTTTAAGACTTATCATACATCTGTTATTAACCTGTAGTCCCATCAGTTGTTTTTAAGTTCTTGCCTACATTTTAAACTAACCCTGCTTACTCCTGTCAACCAACCAGGAATCTCTGGCTGCAGCTCAGAGAAAACAGAAAGGCATCGGTAATAGAAAAATCTGGAAACATGTTCTAGTTCTGGGCAATTATCCTACAAATCCTGCCAGGTAAACTAGAACCCCAGGGTTTCTCCCTTTTTTGGGAAAGTAAGACCAAGGAAGCTAAACAAAGCCAAGCCCCATATACCCACTTACAGCAGCACAACCCATCTGAATGGCTCACAGGTATCAAACAAACTCTGTTGTCATGGTTACGGCCTATAGTGCCCCCATTAATAATAGTAATCTTAATACTCATATTTAGAACCTATATTCTAAACCTCCTTGTGAAGTTTATCTCTTCTCGCTTAGAAACCATCAAGCTTCAGATGGTGCTGAAAATGGAGCCGAAAATGAAACTGCCCTCCTACGAGGGACCCTTAAATCAACCCCAGGAGGAGCCCTAGCTGCTGTTCCCCACACAACGCCACTCTCCAGCAGGAAGTAGCCAGAAGAAATCGTCACCCAGTTTCCCCTAGCAGCAGTTATGGATTTCATTCCTGAGGGGGGAAATATGTTATAGGAGGCAGAAAGAAATGATTTAGGTAGACATTTAGGGTAAAGTGAGTCCCCAGCAGAAAACTTTCCTTTTAACAAAAAGCAGCTCAAAAATAGCTCCCTTTCTAACCTCATGCAGTTCAAAAAAAAAGCACTTCTCTTCTAACAACAAGCAGCCTGAAAGTTCAGGCTGTAAAACACAGAGAAGATGGCTTGAGCACAGAAAGGGAGGGGGAAGTCTCCTGGGTAATCACCAAACTTCACATTTACACAGTGGGCCCCAGTAAAACAGTGGGTCTTAATAAGCATATTCCTTCCCTTTAGGCGCAGTAAGATTGAGGAGCTAAAAACAGACTTGGGTGGATGTCTGCAGCTGCAAGAAGATGTGTGGGAACAGACACAGAAACTCTCCCTCCCAGATAAGCAAGACAAAGAAACACAGAATAAGAGTCCATCTATGTGGTCAGAGAATGGGATAAGAGCTGATTTAAAAAAACTCTGCTCTATATAGAAGGCACACCTGGTCCCAACCAAACCACTGGACCCTAGGAGGATAAGACCTCCTCTGCTCATGAGCCCCCTCCTCAGTAGCCCATTTATAAAAACCCTGACAATTTTACTACCACTTGGCAACCCGCTCGGGACCCCTCTCTGTGATGGAGAGCTGTTCTTTTCTTTTGCCTATTAAACTCCTGCTCCAAACTCACTGTGTGTGTGTCTGTCTGCAACCTCAATCTCCTTGGCCATGACACCAAAAACCTTAGTATTTACCCCAGACAACAAGGCTGCTTCACCAGCCTTCTCACATTAAATTCCACACATTGCATGTCGGTGCTGTCACAGCTGTGTCTATCACCACAGCAACAAGCAGACGGACTCAAGGCAAGAATGTGGACTTAGTGCTGATGACCCCGAGCTTGAGATGGGATCTGCCTAGTGTGAGCCATGGCTCAGTTTCACTCACTGTGCGACTTGGTGAGAGTTACTCGGCCTCTCTGGGTCTCAGTTTCACATCTGTAAAATGGGGCTAAAATAACAATAGGAATAGCTGCTTTCACTAAATCACAGGTTGTTGCATATATCCAATGAGATAATGTCTGTGAAACTGCTTTGTAAATCTGTGGCACCATATACACACCAGCACTAATTGGAAAACAAATACATTTCTAAAATTTAATATGCAGATTCATGATGTCGTAATTCAAAGCAGGTTTAAACAATAGGGGAAATCCATAATGAGTATATTAAATTTATCATTCTTTATTAAAGTGAAGAACTAATGCCCCTCCCCATCCAGTTTGTCCCAACTTATCTCAACTTGTTCCATGTGTTTTCTTTCCCTCCCTCCCTCCCTCTCCTCCTTCTTTCCTTCCTTCTTCCCTTCTTTCCCTCTTTCTTTTTTTTTTTTTTTTTGAGATGGAGTCTCGCTCTGTCGCCCAGCCTGGAGTGCAGTGGTGCAATCTCAGCTCACTGCAAGCTCCACCTCCCGGGTTCACGCCATTCTCCTGCCTCAGCCTCCTGAGTAGCTGGGACTACAGGCGCCCGCCACCACGCCCAGCTAATTTTTTTGTATTTTTAGTAGAGACGGGGTTTCACCGTGTTAGCCAGGATGGTCTCGATCTCCTGACCTCGTGATCCACCCGCCTCAGCCTCCCAAAGTGCTGGGATTACAGGCGTGAGCCACCGTGCCCAGCCTCTTTCTTTCTTTTTTGAGATGGAGTCTCACTCTGTCTCCCAGGCTGGAGTGCCATGGCGAGATCTCAGCTCACTGCAACCTCCACCTCCTGGGTTCAAGTGATTCTCCTGCCTCAGCCTCCCAAGTAGCTGGGATTACAGGTGTGTGCCACCACGCTTGGCTAATTTTTTTATTTTTAGTCTAGATGGGGTCTTGTCATGTTGGCCAGGCTTGTCTCGAACTTGTGGCCTCAAGTGATCTGCCCACCTCAGCCTCCCAAAGTGCTGAGATGACAGGCATGAGCCCCACACCCAGCCTCCCTTGTGTTTTATTAAAGGAAGACCCACGTGATGGCCAGCAGACATGGCACCCTCCTGTGTGACCCTGTGATGTGCAATGCACGCAGGAGGATTCACTTCCAGCAGGACACATACCGAGCCCTTTCATGGCCTTCCTCAGGGTCTGGGCATCTTCCATGGCATTGAATCCTGAAGCAGCTTTGACAGTACCTCCTTTGGTTGCCTGAGCACACAAGAGAGTGATGTTACTGAGAGGCAGCCTCTCACCAACACGGAGGCATCTCATTCGGCAAACATTTGTTGAGCACTGACCATAGCCTAGATGGTATTCTAGGTGCTAGGGGTACAGTAGTGACCATGAAAAATTAAGCTCTTGCTCCCCGGGACTGATGCTCTAGCTCATGGGAGGCAGACAGTAAACAAGCCAACAATTCACAATTCCATAAAGTGCCTAGGGGTGAGCATTGCTGTGAAGCAGATAGAGAGGTCCTGCAGGACCCATTCTGAGGAGTGACATTGAGGTTAAGAGCTGAATGAAATGAAGCAGCTGCTCATGCAAAGATGGAGGCAAGGGTTACAGGCAGAGGAAACAGCTCCTGCAAAGGTCCTGAGGCCGGAACTAGTTTGTAGGGAAAGCAGGACAGAGGCCAGTGTGGCTCAAGTTGGTGGGCAAGGAGTGGGGGGAAGACAAACTACACCAACGTGGAACCCTGTTCTCCCCAAAAGGGAAAAATATCAAACCTGAATCCAGTCAAGCCTCTAGAGCCAAAAACAAATTTCCAGTAAACAGGAGAAAGGAGAATGTTAAACCACACCAAAGGGTTGCAGTCAGCAAAATCCAGACTCTCAGACACAGCACTTAAAAAACGATCTAGTTTCTTCGACAAATAAATTGCAAGGAGAATTTAAAGAGAGAGAGATGGAAGGGAACTACAGTTTAAAAGATATGAAAAGGAACATCAATGATCATAATGTGAACCTGTAGTACCATAATTTGGATCCTAAATTAAACAGTAAAAAGCAAAAGACATTTATGAGACGATGGAAATTTGAACATTGACTTGACATTTGATGACACTAACGACTTGGTTTTAACATTTTTAGGTATAAGAATGGCATTATGGTGATATTTCATTTTTAAAAGAGGTTTAATCTATTGAAATAGTTTACAGATGAAATGAGATGTCTTGGGTTTGCTTCAAAATCACACAGGTGGAGAGAAAGGGGAGGAAGTGGATATAAAGAAGAAACAGGCCGGATGTGGTGGCTCACCCCAGTAATCCCAGCACTTTGGGAGGCTGAGGCAGGCAGATCTCTTGAGCCCAGGAGTTTGAGACCAGACTGGGCAACATGGTGAAACCTCATCTCTACAAAAACATACAAAAAAATTAGCTACACATGGTGGCACAGGCCTGTAGTCCCAGCTACTCAGGAAGCTGAGGTGGGAGGATCTCTTGAGCCCAGGAGGTGGAGACTGCAGTGAGCCGAGATCATACCACTGTGCTCCAATCTGGGCGACAGAGTGAGACCCTGTCTCAAAAAAACAAAGACAAAAAACAGGAGTGACCATGAGTTAATAATTATTGATAGGTACACAAAGGGGTTCCTTATAGTATTCTGTTTACTTTTGTATATGTTTAAAGTTTTCCATAATAAAAATATTTAAATAAATGAATTAAAAATAAAAAAGAAGGAAATCAGAGGGGTGGGCTGGGGCCAGAGCAAGGCAGCCCTTCAAACCAGGTAAGGAGTTTGTATTTTATTCTAAGTACAGTAGAAAGCCACCGACAGGTTTTGAGAAAGGAGATAGGGACATGTGATCTGACTTATCTATTTAAAAGATCCCCCTGGGCTGCTGTAGAGAGATGCAGAGACCATTTGAGAGCCTGGGCCAAGATCTGGGGGTGGGATATGAGCTAGACTAGGGTGAAATAGTTAAGATGGAAATAAACAGAGGAACAGACAGCTCAGCACATGTTTTGGAGCAAAGGCGACAGAACTTGCTGATGGACTGACGTGGGAGGTGAGGAAAGAAAAGAATCAAGTATAACTCTAAATCTTTTCCCCTGAGCAGCTGGGTATCATTTACCCAGATGGAGAAAACTGGAGGAAGACTACCAGATTCAGAGTGGCAGTGTGGAGTGGGATTTAGACGTTCTATGTTGGAAATGTTAAGTTTGGGATGTCCATTAAATATCCAAGTGGAATTGTCAAAAAGACAATTGGTTATACGGTATAAGTCTAGAGGTCACATCCAGTATAATAAAGTCGGGATGCATCAGCATTTGGGTGGTACTTGATGAAATGACCTGGAAAGAAAGTGAAAATAGGGAACAGGGACTTAGGATAAGCCTGGGTCTCTCCAACAGTACAGGTCCAAAAGGGGAGAGCCCAGAAAGGATGGCTGAGAAGGGGTGGTCCTTGAGCTCATAGGAAATCCAGGATCGAGCACTGTCCAGAGGCTGAGGAAGGAGGGAGTAGTTGGCGCTTGGTCTAAGAAGCTTAGTGGGAAGGAGCATAAGCACTGGAGTGGGGTATGAATCTTATCTTTACCTCTTTCTAGCTGTGTGACCTGGGGACGTTTCATTTTTCTCACTTGTATGTTGCGAATAATAACTCACAGAAACAGGATAATACAGGAATGCACTTAGCACAAAACCCAGAAAAAAGTAAACACTAAAACAAAAACTCAGAAACATCATCATCATCATCATCATCATCATCAAAGAGAACTTCAGCTGTACCTCCATAATAAATAAAATAATGAGATTCTTTTATCTATTTCTTGTATTATACCTCCACACAAGCCTATGGGGTAATGCCAAAGCAGAATCTAGGATGGAGCATTTGTACAAGGTGGCATAAACAGTGTGGAATAGAGCTAAAGTTTTCTGATAATCTAATTGGATCCAAGAATGTAATATGGGCCATCTAAAGGAATGGAGGATTTTTATACCCTTAGCACAGTTCTCTGGTGAGCCTGACTTGAGCTTACTGCACTAGACCACCCTGGCCTGGACCTCTCAGGCCCATAGTGGCCCACATCAAGCCCATCCAAGTCCTCAGGTACCCAGGGCACGGGCCTTCTCTGCTGCAAGACCAGGCTTTCATGTTCTGGATATGGTAAGCATTTGGCACTTGGTCATCACCCTCTATATGTCTGACAGAGGAAGGTAGACATGTATGACATCGACTTCCTTGGGCCCCGTTATTGGATGAATTGTATCTCCCCCCTCAAAAAAGACATGTTGAAGTCCTAACCTCCAGCACCTCAGAATGTGACCTTATTTGGAAATAGGGCCACTGCAGATTAATCAGTTAAGATGAGGTGATACTGGTGTAGGGTGGGCCCCTAATCCAATACGACTGGTGTCCTTATAAGAAGATGTGGATATGAGAAGACAGAGACATACAAGGGGTGAGCACCGTATGACAAAGGCAGAGATGGAAGTTATGCAGCAGCAAGCCAAGGAATAGCTAGGATTGCCAGCAAACCCCCAGAAGCTAGGAAGAGGCCCAGAAGGCTTCTGCACAGGTGTCAAAGGGAGCATGGCTCTGCTGACACCTTGCTTTGGATTTCTGGCCTCCAGAACTGTGAGGCAATACATTTCTACTATTCTAAGCCATCCAGTTTGTGCTATTAGGTTGGTGCAATTACTTTTGCAAATACTTTATTTTGGCAGCCTCAAGAAACTAACAGAGGCACTTTACTTCTTTTCTTCTATTATATATCAGTAGTAATACGCAAATTGGTGACTTGCTGTCAGAATTCCAACATGGCTGTTGGCCCCAGCATGAGACAGCTTTCTGAGTTGAATGTTTCACAAGGTTCTTTTGGAAATTCCGTATTGAAAAATTTTTGGATGGCACTCAAACACTGCATTCAACTTTTAAGCAAACTGCGTTGCTGTGGGACACTACTATGGATTAGGATTAATATATAACAAGGTGAATCGATAGAGGAATTGGCAAGGGTGGTTCCGTTTATCAGTTAGCATTCTTAATGACTCTTTTTCTCCAAGAAAGAGATCAAGAAATGTGTTCCCTGTTAGCATGATAAATATCCATATTGATTGAATTTCAGAGTATAATAGGCCATTATCCATTCTGGGAAGACAGGGAATTCTGTCCCAAGAGGGCCCATTGTGATAGCAGGCAAAGGAAACAGAGAGGATATAGGAAGGAATGACAAAAATGAATAGATAGAAATAGGTGCCATATCACAATTGATGAAATATTGTTATTACATTAATAATGAAGAAGATACATGCCAAAAAGATCAGAGTACAATACAATGGAATACTAATGAACAATAAAAAGGAATGGAGGAACAAAACTACTGATGCAACAATACGGATGAATTGCAAAAGAATATAATGCCCAGAAAAAGAAGTCAGACACAAAAGAGTACCTACTCTATGATTCAATATATAGGATGTTCTAGAACAGGCAAAACTAACTTATGATAACACTCAGAACAGCAGTTGCATTTCTTGTGTGGAGTGGAGGGTGGGAAGGGGAGTTAATATGAAACGGGCATGGAGGAGCTTCTAGGAATGATAAAATGTCCTACCTTGATATGAGAGTAGGTTATGTGGGTATATATATGTATTTGTCAAAACTTAACGACCAGTAACCTTAAAGGATGTGCATTTCACTATATGCCAATTATACCTCCATAAAACATGTTTTAAAATCTTGAATACAATGATTTAAAAAATATTATAGAGAATTTGGAAAATTTTTTAAAAATTAAGAAGAAAGCTGGGCGCGGTGGCTCACGCCCGTAATCCCAGCACTTTGGGAGGCCGAGGCGGGCAGATCATGAGGTCAGGAGTTCGAGACCAGCCTGGCCAACACAGTGAAACCCTGTCTCTACCAAAAATACAAAAAATTAGTCAGGCGTGGTGGCGAGCGCCTGTAATCCCAGCTACTCAGGAGGCTGAGGCAGGGGAACCGCTTAAACCTACGACGGAGGTGGTAGTGAGCCAAGATCGCGCCACTGCTCTCCAGCCTGGGCAACAGATTGAGACTCTGTCTCAAAAAAAATAAAAATAAAAATAAATTAAGAAGAAAATTAAAACACTCATAACCACTAGAGTAAATAATTTTAATGATATGAAATGTAATATAAACATTACATTATCTCATTAGCATAGAGAAGAGATAAAGCATAAGATCAGAGTGAATAACTTGTTTCCTATTTTCCTATACTAAGTGGGGTACAAGGAAAGCTACAAAACTATTATTTATGCTCTTATTACTCTTATTTAAAAATCATTATACATATGAGTAAGGTCTAAAATTAAAAAATGGCAAATAGTTGGTGTTTCCAATGTTGCGACTGTATAGTGTGATTTTCTTTTTAAAATGTCCTTTATCTGTCAATAAATAATAGTCATGATAGAAAAACAGGTTTTAGGAGGAAAGATGAGAGCAACTGAGGTAATTTTCTCCGAGTGGAAAGCACACAAAGGGCCACTTGATTACAGTCTTCATTTGTAGGAAAGCTGTGAGCCTGCTGAAGACAGGAAGAGCATCTCATTAATTCTGAGTCCTAGTCCCACATCTGCCACAAAGTAGGGGCACCATAAGCATTTCTGAATAAATATTCTCCACGTTGGCTAGGCACAGTGGCTCATGCCTGTAATCCCAGAACTTTGGGAGGCCAAGGTGGGAGGATCGCTTGAGGCCAGGAGTTTGAGACCAGCTTGGGCAACATAGCGAGCCCCTCATCTCTATAAAAAATAAAAATACGTAAATATTTTTAAAAAAATTCTCCATGGCCAGGGAGAATCAATCAGCAAGAAAATGATTTTAAACTAAAGCATGAGAGATTTGGGGCACACATGAATAAGCCTTTGACTGTCAGAGATCATGAAGAAAATTCTGGAATATCTAATGCAAAAGAAATTAAGAGTATATTACTCTTTGTTCAGGATAGTTTACTTTACACACCCATCTTCCTAAAGGAAGGCATCTCAAGCTGTCAGGCTCTCCAGTTCCTCTCTAGGTATAAGATTTCTACTTCTATTATTGCTTCCTCCAGAAGACCACGGATCAGAATTACTTGTCTATTCAGAAACCGTATTTGGGCAAGAGAAGGAGAGCAGATGTCCAGCCTTAGGTACAGCCATGTTTTCAGCTAAGAGGCTCAGCTTCCACCTCAGAGCTGAACTTTACAGAACTCTCAAAGGGATTCAATTCGATGCTTGTTCCAAAGAGCAAATAACCAAGGTCCAAGGTGTCTGATTACTGTCTAAAGCAGGAGGCAGCCAACACACCCATATTGTTAAGAAACACCCCTCTTGATGAGCCTGAAATGATGTGGCTACCTCAGAGTATCGATAGCAGTCCTCTTCAGGTGGTAGAACCTAAAGAATTTTTAGTTTTTCCTTTTTAAATGTTCTAAAATAAACATGTAGCGCTTCTGCAGACAGAAAATTACAACTTGTTTCTATATTCTCAGGATGTTAAAAGAATTCAAAGAATTCTCTCTTTGAATCAGTTTTCAAGGTCAAGTTGCTTACCACCCCTAAAAGAAATTTAAATGATGTTTAGAAATAGACCTGCCTTTTCATGTCCTCCTCCTTCCCCTCTGTTGAGTAAACAATGCTTTGTTTAAGCTAACAGTTGCTGAGCCCACATTCTGTACCTGTTGGCAGCTGGCACCAGATAGGGTTGAGGTATTTCACAACTTACCATGGCCATGACTCTAGGTCAAGATCAGAGTTCAGCCACCCAAGCAGAAGTTCTTCTGTGATAAAAGCAGAGGGGAAATTACTGTGATGAAGGAAATGGCATTAAAATCATTAATCAGGATAACTTGCAGTTTGCATGAAGCTAAGCCATGAGGAAATGACACCCAACTTAATCAAAAGGCCAGTTACTGATTAGCCAAAGATACAAGGAATGGGCTAATTAGAGAAACTGTTAAAAAAAGTCAACTTTATCACACTGGTAAAATATTTTCCCACCTGTTCTTCTGTTTGGAGATACACACTACAGAAAGGATTCCTATTGTTTTGTTAGGTTAAGTACCAATACTTGTACTCAAGCTGGACACAGATTCTGAACTGAATGTTACAGCAGATCAGAAGAGGTTCCCCCTTTGAGAAAAGAGATAATCCAACTGCATCAGAGGAAAGTACAGCATACCAGCCTCCCCTCTGTGTGTGCATCTGTGTGAGTGTGTTTGTGTGTGTGTAATGACAGGCCGGCAGCCCAACCAACATTAGAATCTTTTCGTTTCCCAGTGGCGATTTTCACCGCCACCATTCTAGGATTAAAGATTTTCTTCCCTTTAAGCTGCAGGCTTATACACTCAACTTTGTCCTCGGTTTTCAGCACCCCCTCTTTCATCATCATCACACATTTTTTTCAGTTGTTCAGAATGCAAGAAATGTCTTCACTGTAGTCTAGGACTCTTGTGGAGTTCTCATGACACATAAACAGTCCCCTAATGGCAGCCCACCACCTCCTATTCCCATATCTAAGTCATATAAACAAGGCACCTTCTCTTTTCTTGTTTTTTTGAGTCAGGGTCTCCCTCCATTGTCCAGGCTGGAGTGCAGTGGTGCAATCATAGCCCTCTGCAGCCTCGAACTCCTGGACTCAAGCGATCCTCCTGCCTCAGCCTCCCGAGTCACTGGGACTACAGGTGCGAACCACCTGGATAAGGCTCCTCTTCTCAGAGTTTAGTTAGATCCTTGATACTCAAAGAGTCATCCTAGAACCAGGAGTACATGCATTCCTGGGAACTTGTTAAAAATGCAGAACCTGGCTGGGCGTGGTGGCTCACGCCTGTAATCCCAGCACTTTAGGAGGCTGAGGCAGGTGGATCATTTGAGGTCAGGAGTTTGAGACCAGCCTGGCCCACATGGTGAAACCCCATCTCTACTAAAAATATAAAAATTAGCTGGGGGGTAGTGGCACACGCCTGTAATTCCAGATACTTGGGAGGCTGAGGCAGGAGAATCACTTGAGCCTGGGAGGTGGAGGTTGCAGCGAGCCAAGATCATGCCACTGCACTCCAGTCTGGGTGACAGAGTGAGACACTGTCTCAAAAGAGAGAGATAGAAAAAAAGCAGAATCTCAGGTCCCTACCCCACACCTACTCCCAGAATCTGCATTTTTACAAGATTCCCCAAACATTTGCCTGCACAGTAGTTTGAAAAGCACTGGTCTAGATAATCTGACCAAGCAGTGTGCCTTTTGATGATAACTAAGTCCTTCTTAACCCACCTGATTACCATTTAGGCCTTGTTTGATCACATTTGCTTTTTACCTTCCAGTTTCATTCTTCCTGTTTCCCATCATTCATTGCCGACTTACCCCCTATTACCTGGGGGTTCAACTAAGGGGAGAACCAACTAGTCCTGGGACACACCCTGAGCAAAGGTACAGAGGTGGGAATGAGCTGCAGTTTCAGGAATAATGAGGAAATGCGGGAGTGACAGCAGAGGGCTCATTCCAGGGAAGGCTCAGAAACAAGGTTGGAAAAGCCAAAGTGAACTGAATGGTATGGGCCTTGCACGGCCGGCTGAGGAGTCTGGCTACAGAATACCATAGGTCATGGGAATACTGTGGAAAGTTTTTTGTTATTTGCAGACAAATGCCATAATAAAAGAAAAGCTTTAACAAGGTACTGTACTTTACTATAGGGTAAACTGGAAAGAGAGAGACTGGAGTGAGAGAGAAGGAGTTAAGAAGGCTTGAGAGACAGCTACAGGAACAGATGGGTAGAGGCAAAAGCTTGGGCAGGGTGTGGCACTGGAATATGATATATGGGGGATGTCTGGAAGGAAGACTTTATCAGAAGTAGTGACTCATGGACTGTGTAGATTTACTCATTCAATCACCAAATGTTCCTACATGACCTCTCACAGCACCTCTCCAGGCACTGATAGAGATAATGCAGTGGATAAGACAATGAACCTGCTGTCAAGGCATTTATAGTCTACCAGGAGAGATAGACGACACATTTATTTATTTTATTTTATTTTTTACATAACTAGACATCTTTATCTTTTGACAAATAGCTTTTACAAACATAATTTTCAAGCTCTTTCCACAATATAAATCATTACTTGGCTCCCCTTATTTCATTAAAAAAAAAAGGATTCATTCTGACTTCTCTTTCCTTTTTTTTTTTTTTTTTTTTTTTTTTGAGGCAGAGTGTTGCTCTGTTGCCCAGGCTAGAGTGCAGCGGTGCAATCTTGGCTCACTGCAACCTCTGCCTCCCAGGTTCAAGCGAGTCTTCTGTCTCAGCCTCCCTGGTAGATGGATTACAGATGGATTACAGGCATGTATCACCATACCCGGCTAATTTTTGTATTTTTAGTACAGACAGGATTTCACCATATTGGCCAGGCTGGTCTTGAACTTCTGACCTCAAGTGATCTGCCCACCTCAGCCTCCCAAAGTGCTGGGACTACAGGCATGAGCCATCACACCTGGCCCTCTGATTTCTCTTTTTTTTTTTTTTTTTTTTTTTTTTTTGAGACAGAGTTTCACTCTCGTTGCCCAGGCTGGAGTGCAATGGCACGATCTTGGCTCACTGCAACCTCCGCCTCCCGGGTTCAAGTGATTCGCCTGCCTCAGCCTCCCGAGTAGCTGGGATTACAAGCATGTGCCGCCATGCCTGGCTAATTTTGTATTTTTAGTAGAGACAGGGTTTCTCCATGTTGGTCAGGCTGGTCTCGAACTCCCGACGTCAGGTGATCTGCCCGCCTCGGCCTCCCAAAGTGTTGGGATTACAGGCGTGAACCACCGCGCCCAGCCCAACTTTACTTTCTAAATGCCAGATATACATCAACCAGGCCTTTTCTGACTCCAGAGACAGTTGACTTGGTGACAGTATTGATATCCACTGTAGAGATGCATTGTAACTTGGCTAACTCTAATTAGTTCTGATATTAACAGGCCCAGCATAGGCTGCTAAAACCCTTTGACAATTTTAAAATATATTTTTAACTCTTACTTATAACTTCTATTCAACCTCTTTGCCACCAACAACAAATTTTAGAACGAATAAATAAGATAATTTCTGATTTCGGCGAGATGATGAAAATATAACAGGATGATAGCACAGAGCAAGGGTCGGCAAACCACAGTAGCTCATGGGTGAAATCCTGCTTTTGTACAACCTACAAGCCAAGAATGTCTTTATATTTTTAAATAATTGACCAGAAAATCAAATAAGGGATATTTTATTACATGTGAAAATTGTACAAAATTCAAACTTCGAAGACTTATTGGAACAGTCACACGTGTTTGTTTATATTTTGTCTGTGGCTACTTTCAAGCTACAACAGCAGAAATGAGTAGTTGTGACAGAGACCATGTGGCCCAGGAAGCTAAGAATATTTATTATCTGGCCCTTCACAGAAAACATTTGCTGACCCCTGACATGGAGGATGACAGGATCAGGTTACCAGGAAGAAGCTGGCCTGGGCAGGGCGATCCGGAAGGCATCTCTGAGTTGACATCTGAACTAAGACCTGAATGAAGGGAAGGGGCTAGCCGTTCAAAATTCTGAAGGAGAACTCTTTCAGGTAGCTGGAGCAGTCAGTGCAAAGGCCCTGCAGCAGAAATTGGCTTACTGTGTTTGAAGGATGGACAAAAGCATTGTGAACAAGGGCAAGAGTGGCATGAGATGAAGATGCAGTCAGGCCATATAATATTGTGACTTAGAGTAAGGGATATACACCTGTTCTCCTCCTGTTCCTGGTACATAACTCCTAAATCCCTTGGAATTTTGTAAGCGATAAGAACAATAAGGGTGAAAGGAGCATCTTTTGTTATTCATAACAAGCCCGGTTAACCGCACCTGAGTTCATGTTAATGAGGGGACGTCTGGAAAGCCCCCAGATAACTATAGGATGGGGGGCTGGTTGCCCTGGTAAACAAACTCTGTGATTAAAGAGTTGGAATTTTCAGCCCAACCTCTCACCTCAGGGGAGGAGAGAAGGGCTGGAGATTGATTTCATCACCAATGGCCAATGATTGGATCAATCATGCCTATGTAACAAAGACTCCATAAAAACCCAAAGGACAGTGGGAAATAGGGAGTGGAGGGGTTGAAGAGCTTCCAGGTTAGTGAACATATGGAGGTGCTGGGAAGACGTGCGCCTGGAGAGGCCGTGGAAGCTGTGAGCCCCTCCCCACGTGCCCCACCCTATGCATTCTTCCATTTGGCTGTTCCTGATCTGTAGCTCTTTATCATAAACTGATAATCCAGTAAGTAAACTGTTTTCCTGAGTCCTGTGAGCCATTCTAGCAAATGATGAAAGTCAACAGGGGGTCATGGGAACCTCTGATTTCTAGCCATTCCATCAGAAGCACAGGTGACAAGCTGGACTTGACACTGGCATCTGAAGTGGTGGAGGACTGTGGGACTGATCCCTTAACCCAAGCTTGTCCAACCTGTGGCTCGTGGGCCACATGTGGCCCAGGACAGCTTTGAATCTGGCTCAACACAAATTCATAAACTTTATTAAAACATTATGAGATTTTTTGCAATTTTTTTTTCTCATGAGCTATTGTTAGTGTTAGTGTATTTTATGTGTGGTCCAAGACAATTATTCTTCTTCCAATGTGGCCCAGGGAAGCCGAAAGATTGGACACCCCTGCCTTAACCAGTGGGGTCTGTGCTAACTTGATAGTGTCAGAATTTAGTTAAATTGTGGCACACCCAGTTGGTGTCCAAAGAGAACTGAAGAACTGCTTGATGCTTGATGTGGGAACCCCCACCCCACCCCCTCACCCATCACATCTGGTGCTAGAAGTGAAAAAGTGTTAAAGTATAAGGAAAAATAGTTTGTTTTCCTATACAATTGGTGTCAGAAGTGGGATTTGCTAGAATGGCCCTGGCTTGCAGAAATATGTGGTTTGGGAAGAGAAAGAACAAAAGGGTTGGGGATGAGAAACTTTGATTCCTGGGTGGCCACATGGTCATGAGATAGGCAGGCTGGTGGGTTCCCTATTTTTAAATGGTCTGGGCCAGGCATGGTGGCTCACGCCTGTAATTCCAGCACTTTGGGAGGCTGAGGTGGGTAGATCACCTGAGGTCAGGAGTTTGAGATCAGCCTGGCCAACATGGTGAAACCCTATCTCTAATAAAAATATAAAAATTAAGCTGGGCATGGTGGTGAGTGCCTGTAATCCCAGCTACTCAGGAGGCTGAGGCAGGAGAATCATGTGAACCCCCAGAAGTGGAGGCTGCAGTGAACCAAGATTGCACCACTGCACTCCAGCCTGGGCAACAGAGTGAGACTCTGTCTCAATAAATAAATAAATAAATAAATAAATAAAATAAAAATAAATAAAATGGCCTGGAAGAAAATGATAGAAGCCATTCACTCAAGCTTTAACTTATCTAACTCTCAGCCAATTAATAACAAAAGACCCAAGAAGCTTATTAACCACGAGTTCCTATTTCAGGGGGCTGGGGACTTCCCTGGAGCCCTGCATGCATAGCTAGACTTAAAGTCCAACCTACAGTTACCCTTCCTCATTTTAAGGCTAAAAATGCATGGGGTGGAGATTTAAAATACTAATGTTGCATATGATGCATGAAGAAGCATGAGTGCTAGAAAAGCCTCTCCTATACATGCTCTGATGTAACCCTTTCCCATGGAAAGACCCTATAAAACTAACCCACACACTATCCTCCGATAGCAGTCTGTTTCTTTTCCTTTCTCAGCACTGGCTCCCTTGTGCATGAGCCAAAACAAACTTTCTCTTTGCTGCTATGTATGGTGATTGCTCTTGATTTCTATCCTGGGTGATTACAAGAACCCATGGCATTGGTAACAGCCACTCATGGTACGGAGTAGCATACCATGCTGAGATCTGTTAGTAAAGGTAAAAGCTACCCCAAGGTGTTGGCTCACTGGAAGCATAAGGAAATGCAAACTAATAAGAAAAGGCGATATATTCAGTCCCTTGGTTATTATCTGTAACAGATAAAATAAAATTAAAAGAGAGTGCTGGGTCAGACCAAGCTCAGATTTCAGTGAGTCTGCGCTCTAGCCAGTAACTGCAAAGCCACCCACCAATGGCAAAATCATGCTGAGATTAGACAATATCACTAAGAACTCTGGTAACCAAGAAGGCAGTTTATGTGGGGTGGAAGGCAAACCATGAAACGATTGAAACCACAGGGTATAGTGTGAAGAAGTTATTTCATTTTGTAGATCAGTATCATAAACTTCCTGAAGAACCTTTATTCAAATGGGTTGTGTGAGTAACTAAGTGAGTGACAGTGTCTTAGGTTTCGAACACTGCAGAGTATTCAAAATGCTAGCATTCATGTTTGGGTTGATGCAGGACCCACAGCTCTCTATGGAGCAATCGCAGATGTTTCAGGTGGTCCAGACACATAGGAGGTTATTCCTGAGAGAACATCCAGCCTGGTGGACTGGACAAAAGCCACACTAAGGTCTGTTTACCCTGAGAAGGGGGACTGTTCCTCTCCCCTTATAAATGCCAAGTAGAATACCCCTGATGAAGCAGCTGATGTGCTTCATATGCAAACCACAGAGGACTGGCTTGATGATCATCGGGGTATTTGTCTGCTGAATATGCCTGTTACCCAGGTCATGGTAAACGCTGTGATTAAGGGGGCTCCTTTTGGCTGGACGCGGTGGCTCACGCCTGTAATCTCTGCACTTTGGGAGGCCGAGGTGGGTGGACTACCTGAGGTCAGGAGTTTGAGACCAGCCTGGCCAACCTGATGAAACCCCGTCTCTACTAAATATACAAACAATTAGTCAGGCATGGTGGCGGGTGCCTGTAATCCCAGCTACTCGGAAGGCTGAGGCAGAAGAATCACTTGAACCTGGGAGGCGGAGGTTGCAGTGAGCTGAGATTGCGCCACTGCTCTCCAACCTGGGCAACAAGAGCGAAACTCTGTCTCAAAAAAAAAAAAAAAGGGGGGGGGGGGGCTCCTTTTACATAAACACCTCATATAACCTTACTGCTGCAAAACCAAGGGAGTCTTATTGAATTTTCTCTCTCAGTTTCCCCTTATGGGTCTTACAGATGCTAATAAAAACATGAGGTTAGTTAAGAGAAGAATGGAGAAAGGCACAGAGAGTCACGGACTAGTCTTAGCAGGGTGGAAATTTTTAAATGGTTATTAACACATAGGGCAGGGTGAGATGGCTCACGCCTGTAATCCCAGCATTGTGGGAGGCAGGGGCGGGCAGATCACCTGAGGTCAGGAGTTCGAGACCAGCCTGGCCAACACGGTGAAACCCTGCCTCTACTAAAAATAGCAAAATTAGCCTGGCATGCCTGTAATCCCAGCTACTAGGGAGGCTGAGGTACAAGAATTGCTTGAGGACGGGCGCGGTGACTCATGCCTGTAATCCCAGCACTTTGGGAGGCCGAGGCAGGCGAATCACGAGGTCAGGAGTTCAAGACCAGCCTGACCAATATGGTGAAACCCCGTCTCTACTAAAAATACAAAAATTAGCCAGGCGTGGTGGTGCACGCCTGTAATCCCAGATACTCGGGAGGCTGAGGAAGTAGAATTGCTTGAACCCAGGAGGCAGAGGTTGCAGTGAGCTGAGATCACGCCACTGCACTCTAGCCTGGGTGACAGAGCAAGACTCTGTCGAAAACAAAAAAAAAAAAAAAAAAAAAAAAGAAGGAAAGAAAAGAAAAGAAAAGAAAGGAGAATAAAACAAATATTGATAAACAAACAAACAAACAAAAAATCAGGGGCAAAACTTAAGACCTTCACAGATCTTAGCCAGTCCTTGGTCTGGAGGCCCTGTTTCATGTCATGTGAATGATCCACATGTACCCATATCCCTTGGTAAGTATGATTCATATGCTAATTGGCTGACAACCCTGGCAGATACTGCTTTTCAGAGCAAGGGCCTTCCCTTTGCTTTCATGTAGTTTTGGAATAAATGACAAGTGAGGAGGCAGGGAAGGGGGACACCTCTCCAAAAGAGGCAAGCTTTAATATGAACATTCCACTCCTTTTTACCACATCAAGAAGTGGAAAGACATCTTGAGCAAAGCCTTCTGGAAATACTGAGAGTCATTACACAAGGAGCTAGAAATATTTCACTTAAGGAAAAAGAAGGTATCATACTTGAACACTGGGTACTTTTATTCAATTTATTTTGAAACTTGGACAGCACACAGTGTAATATACACATTTATATACAGACAGCTGTTGTTTATTTATTAAAGTTTTACTAGTACAAAACAAATTTCTTTCTTTCTTTCTTTCTTTTTTTTTTGAGACAGTCTCGCTCTGTTGCCAGGCTGGAGTGCAGTGGCATGATCTCGGCTCACTGCAACCTCCGCCTCCCGGGTTCAAGTGATTCTCCTGCCTCAGCCTCCCAAGTAGCTTGGATCACAGACGCCTGCCACCATGCCCAGCTAATTTTTGTATTTTTAGTAGAGACAGGGTTTCACCATGTTTGCCAGGATGGTCTTGATCTCCTGACCTCATGATCTGCCCGCCTCGGCCTCCCAAAGTGCTGGGATTACAGGTGTGAGCCACTGCGCCTGGCCACCAAACAGATTTCTAAATAGAATATACAAATAAATGCAGAAAATGGTACTCCTCGATTCATTGTTATATCAGATAGTATGTGTAAAGTCAGTCTACACAAATGCTTATTAGCATAGAGCCTGGCACCTGGTAAGGCCTCAATAACTCTTGGCACAAGGATGGGGGGAGCAGAAAGAGGAAAGAAATGCACCCCCCAAAACACAATTGCTACAGCCTCTCTTAGCAATTGCTAAGGCCTCTCTTAGCTGCACAGAATGACAGCTCCCAAGGGCTGAAAAGCCTTTCTTCTGGAAGTTCCACCTATAACCTTCCCACCTCATTTTCCACCTGCCTCGCAGTGCCATGCTCTTAGCAGAGCCTCTGCCCGACATTCTTTGCTATCTCACCTTCCTTGATTCCTTTGTTCTTTCTCTCTGAAGCCCTTTCTACAATCCATAAGCTGCACATTGTGACCAAGTCCACAATGACTCAGACTGTGTTGGGGGTTTAAAAGCTCCTTTGCTGCTCACAGATGGGGCGAAATAATTAGCAACTATGCCTCAGTTTTTACATCTGTAAAATGCAAACACGCTCCCATTTTGGGGGTGATTCAAATAACTCTAAAAGCATCAGGACTGTTCCAGATGGAAAGATGAAGGCTGAAGGTGATACACTTTTTAGTGATGTCTTAAAAACCTAGGGTTATGAAGAACATGGGTGGGTGACTACAGCTTCTTAACAGTATCTGAACTCTACGACTAGGGCTTAGGATAGGGATCTGAAGTTTTTAAGACATAGTTTTGGAGCAACTGAAAGATAGTTGGGAATTAAACATATGAGACCTATCTCAATAGCAGTTACAAAAGGGAAAAATAAGTTGTAAATAAGTTCAACTTATTTCAACTAAGATTACATAAATTCATGGAAATAATTTACAATGAATTCATAAAGAAAAAGTAGGTATGTTGAGAATACATCTATACTGGTTTCCAGGATGTCCAGAAGGATAATAATACACTGTAACACAAATTGCCCAGTTGTATCTGCCAGAAATGGGCAAGCCAGGTGCTGACTCAACTAGAAAGTTTCTTATGTCCTTATGGCAGACTGCAGGGATGTGGAACAAGAACTTCTGATTTCAAGTCCTATTTAGTAGGCTATATGTGGAGGTAACAGTGTGGTGCATTCTCCTCTCTCACCCAGCATTTGGAAAGCGGGCAAAGTAGATACTTCCCTAAGCATTAGACTAGTAAAATCAGCAAACACCCATCAAAACAAAGATATGCAAACTCATTTTAATGGGAAAGAACGGCTCCTGGGTTGAAGCAGGCTTGCTGGAAGATATTAGCATGTTTAAGGAAAACTTGTGTCCATCAGCAGAGCAAGCTCCATGCAAAACTGGCACAGATGCTTACTTTGAAATATTCATCTAAGCCCTGTCCTACGGAAAGGGTGAAGCCAGTGGTCGGGGGTCAGATATTTCCCCACTGTGAAGATGAATTCTGTCCATCTAATACTCCCTTGTTCCATGGTTGCCAAGCACCTTTTAGGCTAGAGTTTGGCTTCCCAAATCAACCTGTCTACAAATATTGGAGCATGAGGATTTTTGCCTAAATAATATTTTTCCTTTCTTTTTTTTTTTTTTTTCTTTTTTTTTTTTTTGGAGACAGGGTCTTGCCCTGTTGCCCAGGCTGGAGTGCAGTGGTACAGTCATAGCTCACTTCAGCCTCGAACTACTTAGCTCAAGAGATCCTGCCGCCTCAGCCTCCCGAGTAGCTGGAACTACAGGTACGTGCCACCACGCCCAGCTAATTTTTTTTTTTTTTAAATTTTCTAGACAAGGCCTCGCTGCATTGCCTAGGCTGGCCTTGAATGCCTAGGCTCAAGCGATCGTCTGCCTCACCCTCCCAACGTGCTGGGATTACAGGTGTGAACCACCATGCCTGGCACTGTATTTCTTAATATAAATAAATTAGCAATATGTGTGTGTCTGCACGTGTGTGTGTCTGCACGTGTGTGTTTGCATGTGTGTGTGCGTACAGGTTTAATGAGCCTGGTGAATAGGAATCCTCCCTTTCTTGTCGTGCTGAGAGAGAGTTTCTCTGGGTCTGCTGGATGTTGCATTGTGGTGAATTCACCCCGGTAACTGAAGCTCTCCTTCAGACCCCACCACAACTTGGCGGCCTCCATTCAGGTTCCTAACATTGACCCACATCCCAGAACAGGCCACCTGAGCCTATTATGAAGGGACCTGCCAGCCTTGTGGCACATTCCTACTGAATCCTTCCCTTCGCTGGAAGATCACATGTGAGTGAGTCATTCACTATTTTTCTTTGGTACATGGTTTCATTTTACAGCCCACAAGGATGACAAATTTAAACCACTGGTCTGCAGATTGCAAAGGGTGTGACTGGGCCCCACCCAAACACTAAAGGCTTTCAAAACTGTCTATGAAATAGGAAAATGAGAGTAACTCTCTTTTTTTCCTTCTTTTTTTCTTGGAACTTAGATCCTTCTAAAAGTAAAGGAAGTTTTATTGCAGTGACGGGGTTTGAGTTGGGAGAAATAACATTTTAAACGTGTATTCAAAGGCAAGATGTAGAAGGTAAAGGAATGAAAACAAATTTGGAGGCCTGCCTACTAGGCCATCTTAAATAAGAATCGATTCCAGCCTAGCACCCAGCTAGTAACTTACGGACGGTCTTTTGTCCATATTTTGGCCAGTTATTCACAGCACTGTTGAGGGCAATAATAATCCTTTCAATCCACAAGTAATTAAAAAACATGTATCTTAGGCCTGGTGCAGTGGCTCACACCTGTAAACCCAGCACTTTGGGAGGCTGAGGTGGGCAGATCACCTGAGGTCAGGAGTTTGAGACCAGCCTGGCCAACATGAGGAAACCCCATCTCTACTAAAAATACAAAAATTAGCTGGGTGTGGTGGCACGTGCCTGTAATCCCAGCTACCCGGGAGTCTGAGGCAGGAGAATCGCTGGAACCTGGAGGCAGAGGCTGCAGTGAGCCGAGATCACGCCACTGCACTCCAGCCTGGGTGACAGAGGGAGACTCCGTCTCAAAAAAATAAAAAAATGTATTTTACATATAATTTAAAACATCCCACGCCTTCTCTGCTCTTCCCACATCATGCCAAAGCCAGTTTTTACTCCAATGATTGCTTTGTCTAAAAGGCAGGGGAAGGAGGGAGGGAACACTTATTAAACACTCCTCCATGTTATCTTATCTACTCAATAACCTCTGGGACAATGACTATTATTTCCACTTAACAAGTTAAAAACTGAGAAAAGTTGTGTAATTTGCCTGAAGTTAGCATGAGGCCAGACTGGGATAAAACACCTAGTTTACCTGATTTGAAAGCCACTAGATACTACAGTAGTGAAAACTGGTTGTGGTGAGTTCTATCTTGTCTTAAGAGGTAGGGCTAAATATCTACATTTTATAACAATAAGGAAAGTCACAGTGGCCTCAATGATTGCTGGGAAAGCTGACTGGGTCCCACATGTTGATAGTTTAATCCTTGCTTTGTTGTATGGCCTTAGTTCCCAGGCTCAAGCTTCGAATAGTGCATAAATCAAAGAATATTCTAATACGCTTTATAAATGTGCAGCTTCCCTACCTTGTTTTTCTGGGCACCATCATCAACTTGCTTCAGATATAATGAAGTACCCAATATAGTGCTTTAGACTTTCCTAAGTAATTTTCTTTTTAATTTTTATTTTCTGAGTGACCCCTAGTGCCACCTGTGGACTAGAGACCTTTGGAATTTCAGTTGGCTGGTTTTTTGTTGGTGGAGGTTTTTTTTTGTTTTTTGTTTTTTAACTTTTCTTTTGAGATGGGGTCTCACTATGTTGCTCAGGCTGGGCCTGAACTCTTGGGCTCAAGTGGTCAGCCTGCCTCCACCTCCCAAAGTGCTGGGATTACAGGCATGAGCCACTGCACCTGACCTTCTGCCTTTTAATTGCAGACAAATTATTTGGATTTCCCTCCCCTCAGTCCAGTGACCTGAGAAACAAGAAGCTGATGTGGTAGTAATGCTGATTATTTCTATCATGGGACTTACAGGACAGTTTTACTGATGTTTCATGTTCATTCACCTACTCATTCAACACACATTATCTGAATGCCTGCCCCATGTCAGGTACCATTTGATTTACTAAACGGCACACTTTCCTTTCCGCCTGTATACCTTTCATGACAGTATATGATCCCCTATGCCTTGTAGGTTTAAGAGTAACCTGCCATTTAAAAAAATCCTGGAAGCTACAGAGATGACGTGGTTGAACTTCCTGCTGTAAAGACTTTACGACCTTTCTCAATGGTCCTCTCCCAGCTTCCAGTCATCCTCTCTCTGGCCCTGCGCTCACTCCTCCACAGGTAGGCTTTGCCACTGCTAAGCAGCTGTAACCATCAGGAGAGCTGGCCTTGTATTCCTTATTCCATCCTCTAGAGCCAGAGGGACTTTATTTTAAAATAAGTAGTTATTGAGCTAGTTGTACTGAATGCTTATGTGTTTTGTCACTATTATATCATTTTGCCCTATTATTTTCCAGTGGACTGGACATGATAATTTAAGTTTTAGAGAAGTTAAGCATAGTACCCCAGGTCACTCAGTAATAGGTGATAAGAGCTATGTTTTCATAGGTCTGCCTGTCTTTAGAGACCTTTATATTATACCATGCTGAATACATGCTATAATATATACTCGCATATACTATATAGTATGTGTATACGTGTATAATTATATGAATATTATATATGTGTACATATGTATATATTTACATAATATGCATAATATATACAAAGTGTATATATATAAAGAGTATGTACATATGCGTATAATTAGGTGAAAAGGCAGATGACAATTCTAGAGGCTTTTAGAATCATGACAGAATAAAAACTTTAAATTGTTACATTTCTTGCTGAGCTAAAACTTTCTCGTTCTTCATATCTTTTAACAAGCTGGATGCAAAAAACAAAACAACAACAAAAACCGTCCTCTTCCAGACTTATCTGATGGAAACTGGACCACACTTTTGACGGGCAGACAGATGGCCCCGGTCAAACATGTTTAGTACAAGGCTGGTGGCCATTTCAAGAAAGCAGCGCATTTCTAATCCCCACACGCTCTAATTCAGCCATACGGCCTTTCTGGTGGGAGAACAACGTGGCATGGCTCTGTAATATGTCTCTTTGGGCAGACACATGGTCAGAGTTTTGCCATCTCCAGCTAAAAGGGACATAAAGATTCCACCCAAGCACATTCTGTGGCCCTCCCTTAAAACAGGGCCCAGCATCCTGTGTTTAGGTTGGGAGGTCATGGCTGATCCAACCACAATAGCAAAGTTCCCAAAGTACAGCCTGCTTCAGAGACTACTGATGCATCATGACTTCGGGGTATCTGAATCCAGTGTCGAAACAGGTTAGATATAATGACCCCATCTGGTTATGTTTATTTTAGCACCAGCAATATTAAGACTATCCAGTATA
Source organism: Homo sapiens (assembly GCF_000001405.40). Classification (NCBI taxonomy): domain Eukaryota; kingdom Metazoa; phylum Chordata; class Mammalia; order Primates; family Hominidae; genus Homo; species Homo sapiens. Next base: position 69,767,251 of record NC_000002.12, on the reverse strand, counting down.
TACCAGTAGAGAAAGGAATGCCAAAAATAGCTCTTCTAGCTTTTGCTACAAACTGAAAACATTATGGGCTTTCATTCAAAGCCTCAGATGGAGTTGGCACAGCTGCAACATGTTTTTTCCAGCCCTGGATGGCAGTTGCTTATGCTTTTGGAGGCAGCGCCCCTCCAGGCTTAAAGGCACAACCCTTCTTTTGATCACTCAAGGTTGATTTTCCCTGTTTCAGATCAAAATGTGAAGTAAACCATACATGAGAGAGTAATTCTAAGGCTACAATATAAGCATGCAAAGAAAATGGGAGTAGAAATAGAGGGGAAATTCTTGCCCCCCAGAAAGAGTGCATTTCTCCCAGATTGGATTGTTAGGGTAGAAAAGACTTTAGAGCGCATCAGACCCACCCCTCCACTTTATAGCTAGGAAACAGGCCTATCTACAGGCGAGTGATGGGTTTGCCTTCTGGGCAGTGTGCTTGGTAATAACATGTTAGGTTCTGTCAGCTGACCCAAGGTCTGGAAGGTGCTGGCACTGTGGGCAACACAAGCTCACCCTAGGATGGGTGATCTATGCCACCCTTCTGATGAGAAAAAAAGGAAAAGTACAGGTCTAACTATGGTGCAGCCAACTTCCTGGCCTAGTTGCTAATTTCACATCATGGGCCATTCAGATAAACGGAAACTTCTCCTTCAATGACCACCCCATCCTTCCTCTATAACAAAGTGGTTGGAGCCCTGGAGCACAACCACCTGGGTTTATAATCCTCCTAAAGGTACTTTCTAACTGGGTGATTTGGGCCAAGGTATAATCTCTTGTGCCTCAGTTTCCTCATGGGTAACAAAGAGTTAATAACAATAGTTCCTTTATAAGACAACTGCAAAAATTAATCAAGTTATTACATCACGTAAGTACTTAGAATGGTGCAGACATTGTGTACTCAACAGATGTTAGCTATTCTTCTATTACTGTTCTCTCCAAGTAATCTTTATCACATCTACAGTATTCTAGCATTACCTGTTTAGTGAGCTGTTTAAGGTGGGGTTACCAAATCTACCCACATGAAAAACATCTGTGGCGTATAGAGTTCAGGCTTTCACATTTACCAACAAGTCAAACTAGATTCCTTTGTGGTTCTTTTGGTCACCAAGTCCGTAAGGTCCTCTGTGTGTGTCTGTCCTCTGACAAAAGCATTATCCAGTTGTATGAATTCTAAGGCAGCATCTTCCCTCTCCAAATTCTCATCCTGGGCCTCTACTTTCCTGTTTCTAAATTTTAGCAGTGCCTTGCACATAGCGGGCCTGCAAGAAATGCCTGCTGATTAATTGAACTGGCTGCCCCCGAAGCCATAGGACTGGCATTAATTGCTATGGCTCTTTGGGCTTCCTGAAGGCCTCATTGCTAGGAAGGGCCCTCTCCTGCTTCCTCAGCCCCCCTCTCCTCCTCTCACTTTCTTTCTGAGACCCATGGTATTCTCTAACCAACCATTAGCATAGTATCGAACTCCAGTCACACTGCGGTTTATTTTCCATCCACAATTGATTTTAGACTAGGGTTTTAGATAAGCCTCAAAAGCATTATTCTGGCTAAATGAAGCCAAACAAAGTATTTACATGAAACGCTAGAACGAACAAAGCTAATATATAGTGCTAGAAAGTGCAAAAGTGGTTGTCTGGGGCCAGTGATTGGGGGCACTGGTGAGGCAGAAGGGATACTAACTGTAGAGGAGCATGAGGCAACATCAAGGGGTGATGAAAATGTTCTTTACCTTGATTGGGGTAGTGTACCCGGATATATACATCTGCCAACACTCACTGAACTCCACTCATACCCATTAGAATGGCTACTATTCAAAACAGAACAACAGAAAACAACAAATGTTGGTGAAGATATGGAGAAACTTGAACCCTTCTACACTGCTGGTAAGAAAGTAAAATGGTACAGCCACCGTAAAAACAGTATGGTGGTTCCTCAACAAATTAAAAATAGAATTACCATATGGTCCAACAATTCCACTTCTAGGTATACATATACCCAAAAGAACAGGAAGCAGGAACTCGAAGAAATGTTTGCACATCCATGTTCACAGCAGCATTACTCACAATAGCCAAAAGTGGAAGCAAAACAAGTGTCCCTCAACAGATAAATGGATAAACACAATGTGGTGTGTGTGTGTGTGTGTGTGTGTATACACATATATACAGTGGAATATATACAGTGGAATATTATTCAACCTTACAGAGGAAGGAAATTCTGCCACATGCTATAACACTGATGAACCTAAGGACACTAAGCTAAGTGAAATAAGCCAGTCACAAAAGGATGAATACTACATGAATCCACTTATATGTACTCAAAGTAGTCAAATTCATAGAGACAGAAAGCAGAATGATAATGCTGGAGGAAAGGGAAGAGGGAGTTACAGCTAAATAGTACAGAGTTTCAGTTTTACAAGATGAAAAGAGTTCTGTGAATGGATGGTGGTGATGGTTGCAAAACAATGTGAATATACTTAATGTCACTGAACTGTTACATTTAAGAATGTTTAAGATGGTAAAATTTCATGTGTATTTATTTCACCACAATTTTTAAAAGTTGATTTTAAATGTTAACTCCTTAAAAGAAACGATGGCTCATCAAACTAACCACTTAAGATGGGTGCATTTTATGGTGGTATAAAACCTAAGTAAGAGGTCAAGTTCTCAACCTAAGTAAGAGGCTCACAGTGGCCTCTCAGGGAAGCACGCTGCTGTTATCCATCACTTAGCAACGCCCACTCTAAGGCAAAGTCCAAACCAGTGGAATCCATGTGGCTTTTGCACAGCATCATGAGTAAAATCCTCTCCTCAAGTATAACTGTTATTTAAAGAGAAAATGTGTCAAGCATGGTTAGGGTTATATCATGTTTCCTGATCTGTTCTCAGAGTTATTTTAGAATCAAAGTCCCTCGAGGAAACATGAAAGATCGCTTAATTTCATGTTCATCTTTCAGAAACACCATTGGTAAACTATTACAGGTGAGTGTGAAACTAATACAGAAATCCCAACAGGTTGATCACACAGGAACCCCAAGACGTTCATCACAAACTATTGGCATTGATCTCCAGTTCTTGTCTGTTCTATCACCAGGGATTCTCATCTGCACTTAGGCCCCTTCAGTCTCTTCTTATGGGTTACAAACTACAGGCCTCCATTTCCCAAGACCAAATTCCAAGGTTGGCCAGTAACGATGGTATCTTTTGTTGTCTTAGCAATCATAAGTCTTAGAGATAAAAGAAGAGGACCACGTCAGAAAAAAACTAAGGTCAGGTGCGGTGGCTCACGTCTGTAATCCCAGCACTTTGGGAGGCCGAGGAGGGCAGATCACAAGGTCAGGAGTTTGAGACCAGCCTGACCAACATGGCGAAACCCCATCTCCACTAAAAATATAAAAATTAGCCAGGCGTGGTGGCGCACGCCTGTAATCCCAGCTACTCAGGAGGCTGAGACAGGAGAATTGCTTGAACCCAGGAGGCGGAGGTTGCAGTGAGACGAGATCACGCCACTGCACTCCAGCCTGGGCAACAGAGCGAGACTCTATCTCAAAAAAAAAAAAAAAAAAGTATTATGTCCTGTGGTCACTGAAGTATTTAAAAATTAAAAATAATATCAGTTTGTCATTTAAAAAAAGAAAATGAATAAATTAAAGTACAGGAGGGAAGGGATTTGCAGTGAGTCAGTGATAAAGCTAGACCATTTTCCTTGTTGGGTTCTATTTGCCTGGAATATAGGCATTATGCAGCCCAGAACTTTCCTTCTGGCTCTAAAAACACAACATCACCACCTCTATTTGCCCACGTGGGGAAAAAACAAAAAGCCCTCTCTTTCCAGATGAACCAGAAAAGCAGCTTTGTTTCCTACACAGATTTCAACTGGCTCCACCTCGGAGATCTGGAACTGAGCAGAGAGTAAGCACTGCTCTCTTCAAAGTCTCACTTTGTTCTGGGGCCTCCCGCGCCCCGAAGTCATCAAGTTCCAGCTCTGTGGGCAACTCCTCCTCCCCTTGGATCAGCCATTCCCTCTCTGGGCCAGGGCAGGGTTCTGTCCCCACATCTTTCCAAAATTCAAGCTGATTCCGGCAGAAGAGCACAAAAACAGAACTGTAAAATTCTTCCACAGTGGATTTCTGATTCACGTGAGGAACTTACTATTTCTGATGCAGCAGCCGCTCCCAGTTTCTCATTCAAGATTCTCGTGAAGGCACAGGGAAGAAAAGGGAGAAACTCATGACACAATGGAAAAGACTAGGATGGTCATGAGATAATGTTAGAAGCTGAGAGGAAGTGAAACGGACTTACGGCAGATGGAGCTGGATGAAGAGTATGTGAGTGTGAGTGAGTATGAGTGTGTGTGAGTGTGTGAGTGAGTGTGTGTGTTTATGAGACAATAGGGAGATGGGGTCTGCCTCTCTAGCAGCTCTGTCTGATGTGGGGATCTATTCAGAACACCCTACCCTGAGGTGAGGAGCTGTGAGGTAGGCCCATAGCTGGCCCTCCTCATCCAAAGCAGGCCGAGAGGTGTTGGGGCGCGAATCATGGTGGCAGAGTAGATTCAAGGAGGCATGATCAGTGAGAAGCACCCTAGCAGAAATCCATGCTAGGAGTTATATTTTTAATATACATAAATACATACTTATTTATTTATTTTTGCCCAGAGAACCAGGCATTTGTGACAGAAAAAGAAGCAGAGAAGAACAAAGGGAAAACCAGCTAGCAACTGGGAATTAGACCAGGCCCATTACAATCCCTCCTCTGCTGTAAAGCTGATGCTAACACAGAAAGGTGCACGTGGTGGCACTAAAGTGTTCTGTTCACTATGTCTTTTTTTTTTTTTTTCCCCTAGACGGGGTCTCACTCTGTCACCCAGGCTAGAGTGCAGTGGCACTATCATAGCTCAGTGCAGCCTCCAGCTTTTAGGGTCCAGTGATTCTCCACCTCAGCCTCCCAAGTAGCTGTTGCTACAGGCATGAGCCACCTCGCCTGGCTCCTCACCCTGTCTTTTGACAGACTGTCTCTATACCCCAATATGGTGCCACCAGCTGCATGTTTCTGAGCAACTGAAAGTGGCTAGAGAGACTGAGAAACTAAATTTTAAATTTTGTTTCATTTTAATTATATTTAAATTTTGAAATTGATGCAGTATGAAATATTTCCCCATTACACACAGCTTTATTGCTCTGGTAGGGCTACATTGTTCAACCATTGTATGTGTAGGGCACATGTCAAGCATGTGGCATCTTTTCTAGTATTACACGTAATCACTAATCTAGTTGGTGCCAACAGATTTATTCACTTTGATATTTTTCTAGGCACTGATGCAATATTTTAATGTATTTATTTGAAGAAGTTTTACAGACAGCACAAGTTTGAGTTATTTTAACATAATTAAATTATTTTCTAGTTAAAAAGTAGCTATGGACACATTTTAAGTTTTTTTTTTTTTTTTTTTAAGACAGCATCTTGCTCTGTCACAGACGGGGTCTCACCATGTTGTCCAGGCTGGTCTTGAACTCCTGGGCTCAAGCGATCCTACCACCTCAGACTCCCAAAGTGCTGGGATTACAGGCGTGAGCCACTGCACCCAGCTACGTTTTAAGATTTAAAACAAAGGCACGTTACTGATGTACAATTGAGTGGAGTAGCAGAAGCATCACGGCTGGCACAGTAAAGAACAAGAGATGGAATTGACAAGAGAGTTCGTGAATTAACTTGGAAAGATGCAGTTTTAAAAGCGAGAGCCTTTTCACTTCGAAGTGAAATTCTTTTAAAAAACATGAATCAGTTTTTTCCATGTGGATGCAAATATTAAAGGAAAATTATTTTAGGTACTTGATTTAGTTATTGGAAAAATTTTTGAAGTATGTTTGAAATAATTTGAGCATGTAAATTGATGTGAAAACTGAACATTTCATGAAATCTAAATACAGACATTTGATGAAAAATTTGCATTCAGATTTGGATGTGCTATCAGTTTAAAATACACATCAGACTGCTACAACACAGCACGAAAAGAAGCCTATAAAATATCTCATTAATAATGTTTATATTGATTACATGTTGAAATGATATTACTTTGGGTATATTGGGTAAAATATATCTATATTATTAAGTTAATTTTGCCTGTTTCTTTACTTTTTTGAATGTAATTACTAGACAATTCAAACTTGCATTTGTGGCTTACTTTATATTTATTTATTTTTTAATTAATTAATTAATTAATTAATTTAATAGAGACGAGGTGTCACTATGTTGCCCAGGCTGACCTTGAACTCCTGAGCTCAAGCTATCCTCCCACCTTGGCCTCCCAAAGTGGTTCACCAGTGTGAGCCACCACACTCAGCCTCACTTTGTATTTCTACTGCATAGCAAACTCTACACATATTTTATCTTATTTGATAATAATTGTTATAGCTAATGTTGATTGAACATTTATTATGGCCAGATACTGTTCTGAACACTTTACATGAATGGTCAGACTATCTCTTTAAATCACGCACACAAAAACTTGTTTATTTATCTTCTCAGTGCCTTCATTTCCCCATTTGCTAAAAAAGAAAAAGAAAAACATAATATGCACCTATGTCAAAATGCTAGAAAACAAGGGAAAAAAACAAAGCCCCAGAATACTTAAAAGAAGAGTCTATCTCTGAAAATAATCCACTTAATTATTCAGAAGAAACACTTAGGAAACTATTAGGTATCCTCAGTGTTTGGCAGAAAAACATAGCATTCTAAACAGGGAAGAAGACTGGCTGGCAATAAAACATCAATAAATCCTTTGAGACTACAGATTTTGGCTTAAATATTCCATACTCATCACATCAAGGGCAAGATTCATTTTCTATGACCATCCTTCTCCTCCCTCTCTCTATTTAATCAAGTGTCAAGAGATTTTAGATTTTTAAACCATATGTGTATTCAAAAACGACTTACCAACTCATATTTAAATATCACTCTTTTCACTACTGTTTGGTTTCAATGAAATTGTTTTTTCATAAAAATGGAATCCTTCCTAAAAGAAATGAAGACTAACTGCAGAGGTCATAGAAAATGTAATACTAATACCTCAAAAAATCACAAAAAAAGATAAAACAGGCCGGGCGTGGTGGCTCATGCATGTAATCCCAGCACTTTGGGAGGCCGAGGCGGGTGGATCACGAGGTCAGGAGATAGAGACCATCCTGGCTAACACGGTGAAACCCCGTCTCTACTAACAATACGAAAAATTAGCCGGGCATGGTGGCGGGCACCTGTAGTCCCAGCTACTCGGGAGGCTGAGGCAGGAGAATGGCGTGAACCCAGGAGGTGGAGCTTGCAGTGAGCCAAGATCACACCACTGCACTCCAGCCTGGGCGATAGAGCCAGACTCCGTCTCAAAAAAAAGATAAAACAAAATACTAATTGTCTTTTTAATATTAATCTTTATTTAATTTTAAATTTTAAAGATAATATATGTACACGCCAAAAAATTATTTTTTGGTTTTGTTTTAGCAGCCTCAGGATCTTATGGCAGTAACAATGAAGTATGCATCCTGGACAGTCAGTGCTGGTTTTATTTATCACTATTAACCTCTCCTTCCCTCTAGCTGTTATTATTATTGTTATTATTAAAGTAAACTGTGTGATCTGATAAACTTGTTTTCCAAACCCTGCAGAATCTAGGTAGAGGTAGAATTTTTCACTGCAGTGTTGAAAATAATGAATCTTTCCACGCTTACAAATACAAATGATTAACTTTCATAGAATTTTAGAGACTGGAAAGCCTTTAGCAATCATCTATTTCACCCTTTCATTTTATTTTGTAGATTATTAAATCAACTTTAAACACTGTAAAGGACATTTTTTAAAGTAATGTAAACTTACCATCTACTTTCTGTTTATTCCAGTGTTTCAGCACAGTTGTAATCACAGTATGTATATAATTTTGTGTTCTACTCTTCTACTTAATTTTCTATATTTTATACAATCACCATATTTATTATTTTACTATTTTACTATAGTCATCCATCAAACTGATATAATTTACTCAATGTCCCTACTATTGGTTGTTCAGATTTTCTATCTCAGAATTATAATCTTTTTTTTTTTTTTTTTTTGAGACAGAGTCTCTCTCTGTCGCTGGAGTGCAGTGGTGCTATCTTGGCTCACTGAAACCTCCGCCTCCCGTGTTCAAGGGATTCTCTTGCCCCAGCCTCCTGAGTAGCTGGGATTACAGGCATGCGTCACCATACCCAACTAATTTTTAGAACACTTTTAGTAGAAATGGGGTTTCACCATGTTGCCAAGACGGGTCTTGAACTACTGACTTCAGGTGATCTGCGAGGCTCAGCCTCCCAAAGTGCTGGGATTACAGGCATGAGCCACTGTGCCTGGCCTATAATCTTTACAATTAGCCTTGTAGATACTTACTTCTGTTGGCTTATTCCTTGTGATATCTGATAATTATGAACATTTCTAGTTGTCCTCAAAATTTATAAGGATATCCAAAGCCCAACCACCCATAAGTTAGCTTGCTTGCTCAATTTATTTATTCTTAATTTAATATTTAGGCGTAAAATTGAACCTTATTATTATTAACTTGCCTTATCATTTTTATTTTTTTAAGAAACAGGGTCTCACTCTGTCACCCAAGCTGGAGTGCAGTAGCACAGTCATAGCTCACTGCAGCCTGGAACTTCTGGGCTCAAACAATCCTCCCATCTCAGCCTGTTGAGTAGCTGGGACTACAGGCATGTGCCACCACTTCCGGCTAATTTTCAAAATTTTTTTGCAGAGGTAGAGTCTCCCTATGTTGCCCAGCAGGCTGGTCTCAAGCTTCTGGCCTCAACCAATCTTCCTGCCTCAGCCTCCCAAAGTGCTGGGCTTATAGGCGTAAGCCTCTGTGCTTGGTCTCCTTTTAACCTTAGTAGTAGGGGTCAGGTACGGTAGCTCACGCCTGTAGTCGCAGCGCTTTGGGAAGCCAAGATGGGCAGATCACTTGAGGCCAGGAGTTCAAGACCAGCCTGGCGAACATGGTGAAACCCTGTCTCTACAAAAAACACAAAAATTACCTGGGCATGGTGGTGCACGCCTGTAATCCCAGCTATGCCGGATGCTGAGGCACAAGAATTGCTTGAACCCAGGAGGCAGAGGTTGCAAATATTTGTTTTCATGTTTACTACACTGGGATAGAGATGAAAAAGAGTAAGACACAATATTGGGTATACTCTCCTGTACTGCAGGTGGGGAGTATAAATTGGACAGTACTTTTTTTTTTTTTTTTTTTTTGAGACAAAGTCTCATTCAGCCGCCCAGGCTGGAGTGCAGTGGCACGATCTTGGCTCACTGCAACCTCCATCCCCTGGGTTCAAGCGATTCTCCTGCCTCAGCCTCCCAAGTAGCTGGGACTATAGGCACACACCACTATGCCCAGCTAATTTTTGTATTTTTATTAATAGAGACCGATTTCACCATGTTGCCCAGGATGGTCTCAATCTCTCGACCTCGTGATCCACCCACCTTGGCCTCCCAAAGTGCTGGGATTACAGGCGTGAGCCACCCCACCCGGCCCTGGACAGTACTTTTGGAGGGCAATTTGGCCATTAGTAAATTGTATGCACCACGCAACAAGAATTCTACTTCTTGGGATTTATCTTTTAAAATATAACAGAAAAGGCTGGGCATGGTGGCTCACACCTGTAACCCCAGAACTTTGGGAGGCCGAGGCAGGCGGATGACGAGGTCAGGAGATCGAGACCATCTTGGCTAACATGGTGAAACCCTGTCTCTACTAAAAAAAAAAAAAACAAAAAATTAGGCGTGGTGATAGGTGCCTGTAGTCCCAGCTACTAGGGAGGCTGGGGCAGGAGAATGGCATCAACCCGGGAGGCAGAGCTTGCAGTGAGCCGAGATCATGCGACTGCACTCCAGCCTGGGCAACACAGCGAGACTCCACCTAAAAAAAAAAAAAAAAAAAAAAATATATATATATATATATATATATATATAAAACAAAAATGGCTGGGCACGGTGGCTCACACCTGTAATCCCAGCATTTTGGGAGGCTGAGGCGGGCAGATCACCTGAGGTTAGGAGTTCAAGATTAGCCTGGCTAACATGGTGAAACCCCGTCTCTACTGAAAATACAAAAAAATTAGCCGGGCATGGTGGCACGTGCCTGTAGTCTCAGCTAGTCGGAAAGCTGAGGCAGAAGAATTGCTTGAAATTAGGAGGTGGAGGTTGTAGTGAGCCGAGATGGTCCACTGCACGCCAGCCTGGGGAACAGAGTGAGACTCTGTCTAAAAAAAAAAAATAATAATTAATTAATTAATTTAATAAGTAGTAGGAACACTGAATCTTTCTTTTTTTAAAACTTGTATTCTTTGTGAATTATTGGTGTGTATTTTTTGCCCATTTTTAGGATCTTGGTGCTTTACTGACATATACATTATGCATATATTATAAATTTTAATATTTTATACCAAAAATTAATTCTAAGTATGTTTCCAATTTAATATTCTTCTTTTAGTTTTGTATAGTCAAAATTTGGAAGAAAAAATTTAAATTATACCTGTCCATCTTTTCCTTTGTATTCCTCATTATAATATTTCAATAGTTAGAAAAGTCTGGTTCATTTTGCTATTCTCTCACTTGGGTGTATATTGGAAAATGTTCATAATAAAAGCTTTTTTTAAAGCTAGTCAAGGGAAACAGTACAAGTAGAGAAGGAACAAAGAAATCTCTGTAACTGGCTGTGATCAGTAATAAAAACTTTTTTTAAAAAGTATCTCTTTCTCATTGCTAGAAAAATGATCTTACTTTATTTCTACTAGTTTTTCTCCCACCCCTTTCATTTTACAGTTGAGGAAAGGCACCCATGAGGTTAAAAAGTAACTAGCTGACTATGTGACTCATCTTCCCCTGCTACTAAACTCAGCCACCACCCTTTTTTTTTAGGCACAGCAAAAACGCCCCAAGGCAGGGCTATTTGGAAAGGGTTAGGATTCAATTAAAGAAAGCTGGGCTGGTAGCTTCCAAGTGACTGGTGTTTTATTCCTACAAACTTACACCAACCCTAACCCACAAGGTAAGGCCAGGGATATGCTGATAAAGCTAATAGCCAGCTCTCCAAGGAAAGGACACCCTGATGTGTAGCCACTTTTTTGGTGTAAATCTTTGCACCCTGACCAATTTCAAGTTACTAATGTGATGTCACTCAACTTGGAGTTGGGAGTAGATGGTCAGTAGCACCCCATTACACATTAATACTAGTTTCACCACACAGATATAATAGACATAAATACCCTCGAGAGCATAGATAATGGTAAAAGGTAGGAAAAAGAATTAGGAAATGATGAATTGTTTTAAATACAAATTACTTATAAATATTCATATTTCAATATAACTTATTTACTCATTAGTTCATATAATTTAATTTTAAATCACGGCTGGCTATTTTTAACAATCAGCTTGCAAAACCTCTAAAAATTTAACAACTAGCTCTCAGGGGCTGATACAAGGACAATTCAGCACATCACTGGGAGATAGAAGAATAACAAAAGCAAGATTTATTTTTTCAATCATGGTAACATATATATAGCAAAATTTACCATTTTAACCATTAAAAAAATTTTTTTGAGGTAGGGTCTCACCATGTTGCCCAGGCTGGAGTGCAGTGGTGTGATCTCAGCTCACTGCAGCCTTGACCTCCCTGGCTCAAGCTATCCTACTATTTCAGCCTCCCAAGTAGCTGGGACTACAGGTGCAGGCCACCATGCGTGGCTAATTTTTGTAGGGACAGGGTTTCACCATGTTGTCCAGGCTAGTCTTCAACTCCTGACCTCAAGTGATCTGCCAGCCTCGGCCTCCCAAAGTGCTGGGATTACAGGCGTGAGCCACTGTTCCTGGCCTATTTTAACCATTTTAAAGTGTACAATTCAGTGGCATTAAGAACATTTACAATGTCTTGCAACAATCACCACCATCTATTCCTAGATCTCTTCTATCATTCCAAACAGAAACTCCGAACACGTGAAACAGTAACTCCCCATTTCCCCCTCACCTTAGCCCTTGGTAACCTCTATTCCACTATCTGTCTCTATGAGTTTGACTATTCTAGGTATTTTATATAAGTGGAATCACGTAACATTTATCCTTCTGTGTCTGGATTATTTCACTTAGCATGTTTTCAAGGTTTGTCCATGCTGTACCATCTAATAGAATTTCATTCCTTTTAAAGTGAAACCAAAATTTCAAGACCAACATTTAGAGCCACCTTCGTATACAGACAATGAACCAGGCCTGGAGGGAAGATACATAGACCTCACTCTACCTTCTCACTTCCAAAGAACAAGCCCAGCCTAGAGTCACCAAAATACAGAAGGCTAGGTGAATCCCTCTGTGCAAAACACAGCCAGAGGGGAAGGCCCCAGGACAGCCTTAGGAGGGAGCATAAAAGAACCTGGAAAGGATAGGATGTGTGTGGTACACATGATAAAATCCTATTATATCATCTTTTCAATAAACCCAGATCAGTATCATTTGTTCTAAAAGTGTGGTTTCCAGACCAACAGCATCACCATCACCTGGGACCTTGTTCAAAGTACAATTCTTAGGCCCAACCCTAGATCTACAGAATCCTAAACTCTGGGGATGGGATCCAGCAGTTTGGGTTTTAAGAAGCCTCCAGGCCATGCATGGTAGCTTGTGCCTGTAATCTCAGCTACTGGGAGGCTGAGGTGGGAGAATCCCTGAGTGCAGGAGTTTGAGGCCAGTCTGGGTAACATACCAAGACCCCCATCTCTAAAAAATAAAAATAAATAATCTTTGTAAAGTGCAAGAATCCCGCCAGGTGATTCTGATACATGCTGAGGTTTGAGAACCCTGGTTCTATAGTAATAATTCTAGACTCAAACTATTGATGTCTGAAAGGGTCCCCAAACCACACCATGGGCATTTCGTAAGTATAGATCGCCAATCATGACCTTACATCAAGTATGAGGAAATGGGAACGGGGATAAGTTATGTTAATGGGGGAAGTTATAACACTTTTAAAACACTTGCATAAACATGACTTAGGAAATACTGTGTTTGCCAAAGATTATTTAAACAGCAGAGTTCTCAAAACCATCCACTGCAAACATGCATTACTCCTGGTAGGCCAGATCTGATATTCCATGATATCTGTGAAACTTCAAATTAAATTCTCTTCCCACAGATGGATGCTGGCATAGGCTGTCATGAAGATCATTCAGGCTTAGAATCCAGAACAAGAACCAAGTTCCAGTCCCTGTTCTGCCCTCCAGATTTAACCCCACCTATGAGAGCTGGTTTATTTTGGCATAAAATTGGGATAGTAGCAGTTATTGCAATGCACAGACTTTTTTGCAAGAATCAGCAATAATGTCAACCTCCACTACACCTTCCTTCTTCCTTAGGAGAAACTTCTTTCTGTTTGGAGATTGGGTTTGGTAAACCAGGAAGGTGGGGCTAGCCCCAGGAGGAAATAATAAGTGGTCCAAGGCAACCCCCTTTGAACAGCCATGAATGGGTTAGGAGTGGCCATGTGACCCACTTCTGACCAAAAAGAAATAAGGACAAACCTGCTAAGACGCTTTGAAGTTCCTCCAGGCTAAAAAGACAGAGTCAGCCAGCCAAATTCCCCCTTTCTCCTGGCCCTGGATGTTGTCAGGACATGATGTCTGGAGCTACAGCTTCAAAAGGATTCTACTTAATATCGATTGTACAGCATCTGTCTAGCTTGTTACCTGAGGAAAGTTCTCAAATTCAAAAGTACACAAAAGTCACGTGGGGAGCAGTTAAAATATAGATTTTCGGTGAGGACCCTTGACTCTGGAAATCTTGGGTGGGCCCCAGAGACTTCATTTAATCAAGTTTAAATAAGCAACCCTGGCATTCTCCTCATAAGAATCAGCCCAGGCCCTGATTCTTATGCAAGTGGTTTTCAGACCCCAGTTCCAAAACTGCCACTCGCTATGTGTGCAGGCACTCATAGTCCTTACTTAAAATTTATTTTGCCCCTATCATATACTAGGCATGGCAAGAGAAAGATGGAGGAGACATGATCTTGCTCTCAAGAAGCACGTAATCTAAGAGAAATAGAACAGGTACATAACTAGTTTAAAGACAAAGCGGCATGTGAGAACTATTACGAATTGCAGGGTAGGGGAAGATGGACAACGTCCACCTAAGAAATTAAAAGAGCTCTCACGTGACTTAGGCTTTGAATAATAATGGGATTTCAATAGGGAAAGAATTTTCCAAGCAGAGTAAACAGTAAAAGCAAAGCTCCTGCTATGATTATGAACGTTAAGACTTATTTGGAAAAGACTAGTTAGCTTGGAGTTGAGTGGGAGTTTAAGGACACCATGAACGGAGCAAGAGCTACAGAAGTAATTTTCAAAACTGGATCATTTTTGTGGCAGGCCAGGCCTAGAGGGTGGACTAAATTTTCTAGGCCATGGGAAATTGTCCATTCATACTGCACACTTCTAGCAAGGGCCGAGTATGTGCTCAGCAGCACTGTGCTAGCCAGAGGGGGCTGCATCGTCCCTGCCCTCAGTGGAGCTCAAAGCTGAAGAGAGGAGGCAGGTATGTGATCAGATATAATAAGGTGTGAACATTCCCATTCCCATGCTGGGGAAATCACAGAAAGTGTCAGGAGTGTGTAGGAGAGGCCCCTGACCCAGATTATGTCAATCAGGGAAGGAGACCATGTCGAAGATGAATATTGGAGGTCTGGACAGGGTAAGCAGGGAAGCAAGGAGTCATGTTTCTCCAAGGCTAAATCTCTGCCTTGATTTCCTTCCTGGTACCCAGCACTTTCATTTTATCTGAAAACATTTATTACATAACTTTGCCAGGCACTGGAACAGATGCAAAGGGAAGTAGGGATTTATATTCCAGGCCAGCAGTTCCTTACATGGGATCCTTGGACCCTCTAGGACCTGTCCCTCAATACTCATCTGCCCTGTCTCCCATACACCTACAGAATGGACTTAGTTTCTAAGGAACCTCCATCTCCACCTCTGGGACTTGCCTGCTGTAACAGACATGCCATTCCTTCAGTGTGCTTTGGCTTAGCTTTCTCATCTCCACAACTGTGCATAAGCCCTTCTTCTCCAGCCCTGGCTCAATATAAACCTTCCTCCTCCAGGAAGCCTTCTGTGACCACTAATGATAGAGTTAGGTGCACCTCTTCTGTTACTCCATGGCAGTCTGCACATATATATCAAATTATTATACTGATCATACAGTCCTATGATTTTTTAATTATTGATTTACTTATCTCCCTGAGTCAGTGTGTTTCATTCTTGAATCTCTAGTGCCCGCCACTTACATATATAATAAATAAATGCACCTTTGCCCATTTGGCAGAGGCCACTGACCTCCTGCCTACCTCTTGAAGACCCTACGCCAAGGTTCTGAGCTGCCTCCCCTGCCTTTAGATGCTGCCCTAAGTCTTGATCCCAGAAGGATGGGCCACCAGAGTCATGATGCAGCACATGGTCCTGATTCAGCCTCTGCTCTCCACTCCTCACCTGGATCCCCTAGATACTCAGAATGACCTAAATCAATATCAAGTTCATCTTGGACAAGTGGTTTGGACTTAGGCTCTCCTCCTTCCCCTCTGAAAGAATTCATCCCCATAGCTTAATCTCCCAGCCCTGTCTTTTTCTGCTCATTTCCCCACTTTGTATTTTTTTTTTTTTTTTTTTTTGAGACAGGGTCTCACTCTGTCATCCAGGTTGGAGTTCAGTGGCACGATCTTGGCTCACTGCAACCTCTGCCTCCAAGGCCCAAGCGATTCTCCCACCTCAGCCTCTCCAGTAGCTGGGACTACAGGAGTGTGCCACCATGCCTGGCCAATTGTTTTATATCTTTGGTAGAGAAAGGGTTTCGCCCAGGCTGGTCTCGAACCCCTGAGCTCAGGCAATCCACCTGCTTAGCCTGGGATTACAAGCATGAGCCACTGCGGCTGGCCTGATTCCCCCACTTTTAACCTATTACACAGAGTGGTAAAGCATAGGATATAGAGTCATACTGACAAGTTCAAATCCTGGCTGTGAAGCTCGTCAGTGTGCAACTTTGAGCAAATTACTCAACCCCTTTGTGCCTCAGTTTCCTCATTTACATTGGCAATGATAATACTAGTACCCACCTAATATGGGTGAAAATTTAATAAAATATCATACCAGATGTCTGGCACAGGGTCAGGATCATAGAAGACACTTGGTGAACATTAGCTATCAACATCTCCAGCAGAGAGAGGCAGGTCCCTCACAGACTAAGACATAGTCTGGCTGAAGATAGGGGTCCAGGCTCCAAAGCCAAGGTCAGGCCCCTCAGTGCCCATGGCCATTGATATCACTGGGAGACATTTCTCTGACAAAGGCCCCTGCCCTAGCAGGTCTACCTAGTCTACAGGCCCTGATTTATCCCATCTACCTCCTCTCTCTGCTTCTGCAGCTAAAGACACACTGGAACCAATCAGACCATTTAAAAACAGAGCTAGGTCAGGCACCATGGCTCATGCTTGTCATCCCAGCACTTTGGGAGGCTGAAGCAGGCAGATGGCTTGACTCCAGGAGTTTGAAACCAGCCTGGGAAACGTGGTAAAACTCTGTCTCTACAAAAAATACAAAAAATTAGCTGGGTGTGGCAGCGCGTGCCTATAGTTCCAGCCACCTGGGAGGCTAAGGTGGAAGGGTCACCTGCGCCCAGGAGTTTGAGGCTGCAGTGTGCCATTGTTGTGCCACTGCACTCCAGCCAGGGTGACAGAGTGAGACCCTGTCTTAGAAAAACAAAAACAAAACAAAACCAAAAGCAGAACTTTCTCCACCATCCAACTAGAGGCACTTTACATTCTTTTGGAACCAGCTACCCAAGTGAAACACACGGCAAGAATGAGCGGTGGCTGCTTCATCTCATTGGAAACTGAAGGATACTTGCATGCTAGTCCTTTGTACACATATAAGGAAGTATATGATCGAATGTTAATTTTAAGGTTGGAAATCTGATAATTATACATTCTTCATTTCTATTTAATTCTCCTTCTTCACAAACAATGTTCAATGGGCAGGTGATATCTGTAACACTATTTTTTTTTAATTAATTGGTAATACATAAACATAACAAATTCAAATAGTACAAATAAGTACATAACAACAAGTCTGTAAGACTTTCCTTCCCCCTCCCCAGGCAACCACTCTTATAATTTTCCTGTGTATCCTCCTAGAAGTATTTAATGCACTAATAAGCATATGAGAATATAGACAGCCTCCATCTTTTTCTTTTTTTTTTTTGAGATAGAGTCTCGCTCTGTCACCCAGGCTGGAGTGTAGGGGCATGATCTCGGCTCACTGCAACCTCCGTCCTGTGTTCAAGCAATTCTTCTGCCTCAGCCTCCCTAGAAGCTGGGATTATGTGCGTGCACTACCACACCTAGCTATTTTTTTTTTTTTAGTAAGAGACGGGGTTTTACCATGTTGGCTAGGCTGGTCTCAAACTTCTGACCTCAAGTGATCCGCCTGCCTCAGCCTCCCAAAGTGCTGGGATTACAGGTGTGAGAGCCTCCATCATTTTTATACACCAAAATGGTAGCATACCACACACAGCTGTACTTTACTTTTTAAAAAATATCTTCACTGTCATTCTATATCAGTTCCTATCAACCTGCACCATTTTTTAATAGCTACATAGTATTACTCTGCATAGATGTTCCATAATTTAACCAGATCTTTACTGATGTTTAGGTTGTTTCTACTATTTTGCTACTACAAACAAGGCTGCAATGTGTATGTCTGCTGGGGCTCAGAAACTGATATCCCAAAATATGGTGCTTTGACATGCTGAACCAAAGACATCCCCCCTCCTACCTCCTGTCTCTCAATCCTCTGTCTCTCCCAAAGTTGTTCTCTGAAGTTCCCTTATCTGACTAAAGTCTGGACCTACCAAAAAAGGAAACCATTACCCCTAGTCCCTTCCCTGAGTTTTCATTAGCTGAATTCATATTGTAGTAGGAAAGACAAAAGTCTGTCAACACACCTGGATGGACTTTTGTCACAAACCATTGTCTGTTCTGTGGGCCCAAGAGGCTCTGTCCCGGGCCATTGTATGTTCTTCGAGCCAGCTGAATTCCCCCAAACATCAGTTGCCACCTCCCTAAAACATCCACACTTCCTCAACTCTCTTTCCTCTAAAAAGTAGGGTGTAGGCCAGGCACAGTGGTGCACGCATGTAATCCCAGTACTTGGGGAGGCTGAGGCAGGTGGATCACTTGAGCCCAGGAGTTGGAAACCAGCCTGGGCAACATGGCAAAACTTCGTCTCTACAAAAAAATACAGAAAATTAGCCAGGTGTGGTGGCATGCACCTATAGTCCCAGCTACCCAGGAGGCTGAGATGGGAGGATCCCCTGAGCTTGGGAGGTCGAGGGTGCAGTGAGCCACGATCATGCCACTACACTCCAGCCTTGTGCAACAGAGTGAGACCCTGTATTAAAAAAAAAAAAAAAAAGAAGTAGGGTATACAAGCATCTGCACCCCACTGGAATATTAAGTAAATTCACTCTGTGATTTTCCTTCATGTATAATATGGGGGAAAATGAATATTCCCCCATAAAATATGTATTAATATAAAATTAATGTGAAATTAATATGTAAAATTAATAATGCAAGTTAACATAATTTATGTAATATAATTTATAAAAGATAGTTATAATTTTATAATTAATATATTA
This sequence comes from Homo sapiens, assembly GCF_000001405.40. Taxonomy (NCBI): domain Eukaryota; kingdom Metazoa; phylum Chordata; class Mammalia; order Primates; family Hominidae; genus Homo; species Homo sapiens. The sequence goes on along the minus strand of NC_000002.12, from coordinate 69,748,487 downwards.
ATATAATGTAAAATTAATGAAAAATAATGCAAAATTAATATTCCCCCATAATATATGTATTTTCCGCATGTGTGCCTTTTCTCTCATTTTTTTTTTTCTTTTTTTGAGACGGAAGGAATCTCACTCTGTCGCCCAGGCTGGAGTGCAGTGGCGTGATCTCGGCTCACTGCAAGCTCTGCCTCCCGGGTTCACACCATTCTCCTGCCTCAGCCTCCTGAGTAGCTGGGCCTACGGGCACCCGCCACCATTCCCGGCTAATTTTTTTTGTATTTTTTTAGTAGAGACGGGGTTTCACCATGTTAGCCAGGATGGTCTCAATCTCCTGACCTCGTGATCCACCCGCCTCAGCCTCCCAAAGTGCTGTGATTACAGGCATGAGCCACCGCGCCTGGCTTGCCTTTTCTCTAATTATCTCCTTTTGTGAGTTGATTTTTCAGCAAACCTTCAGAGGGCAAAGGGGATCCGTTCTCTTGTCCCCCACAGTAATTTTATACAATATTTTTAAATAATTTCGGGCCAGTGGTTCATGCCTGTAATCCCAGCACTTCGGGAGACCAAGGCAGGAGGATCACCCAGGAGTTTGAGACCAGCCTAGGCAACATAGTAAGACCCTATCTATGCAAAATTTTTAAATAATAATAATAATAAGCTGGGCATGCCTGTAGTCCCAGCTACTCTAGAGGCTGAAGTGGAAGGATTGCTTAAACCCAGGAGTTTGTGGGTACGGTGAGCTATGATTACACCAGGGCACTCCAGGCTGGACTACAGAGCAAGACCCCCTTTCTGAAAATTAAAAAAGTAACAATTTTGTGTAGTTTTGACTGCAACTCATTACACATTGCTCAACCTGTATCCATGACTGAGTTTAGAAGTGTGTCTATAAACTCCTTGAAATTGTACGAAAAATGTTAAGTGTGTATTTATTTTTATCAAGAAAGGATCCATGGCTTCAGTCAGATTCTTATAAGGGTCTGTGACTCCAAGAAGGGTGAGAACCACTGAGTCAACAGGTGCTTGCACAGCATCAAAAAGTAGCAATAGCAGAAGCTAAAGTTGGGTAAGACTCAGAAAATGTTTTCCTAAGTCCCCTGTAGAGGAGTAAGAGAGAAGATGCTGGGGGCTGATCATGGCAAGGGCTTATAGCTCTAAAGGACCTACTCCAGGGAATATGGTTCAATCGCATATAAATCAGGAGAACTTGTTCCCAGTAATCACAGGGCCCCTTTATATTAGATTCTGTTAATGATTTAATATGCTACCTCTCTGGGGTGGCGGGGAGGTGAGTGCCTAAACCCAGAGGAATGAATTCACAGTGACTGGGCCTGGAGGTCTCTTGAAGACTTGACAAAATGAGGTAGAGGTGGACATGGGGGGGCTTCCTGCTCTGTTACATGTCAGGCTGCTTGTTCTGTGTGTTTCTTCTAGGCCTCAAGGGTTAGTTATTTCGTGGGGAGGAGGAGGAAAATGGAAGGATTTTTCGTTTTTGTTTTTTGAGACAGAGTCTTGCTGTCACTCAGGCTGGAGTGTAGTAGTGCAATTTTGGCTCACTGCAACCTTTGCCTCCTGGGCTCCAGTGATCCTCCCACTTCAGCCTCCCATATAGCTTGGACTACAGGAGTGCACCACCACACCTGGCTAATTTTTATAGTTTTTTTTTTTTCATTTGTTTGTTTGTTTTTGGTAGAGACAGAATTCTCCATGTTGACCAGGCTGTAGAAGGTCTTTTCCGTAGTAATTTACAGTCTGACACTTAGCTGCAATATAATATTCACTCTGTTTTTTCACGTCAAGCAGTGTGGACCAAGAAGCATTATGGCAATTTACTGACATCAAACAACTTGAATCTTTAAAAAGAATTCTTCAAAGGTGGTGGTTCAGGTTCCCATAGCAAAAGCTCTCAGTCCAGTTCAAACAAAACCAAACACTAATAAATTACTCCCGATAAAACCAACAACAAGCCTTAGATAGAAATCCTAAATTCCTCAGGGAATTAATGTAGTAATCTATTCAGTTTCAATTAAGTTAAACAACAAACAAACAAAAAAACCTTTAGTTGGAGCTCTACATTGTTCTAGAGGTGTTAGCACTATAAGACTATGTGGTGAGTTTGCAGGGGAAAAAAAACCTGTTAATCAAATCACAAGGGAGATGTGATTGGTATAATAAAGAACTATCCTTGGCCGGGCGCAGTGGCTCACATCTGTAATCCCAGCACTTTGGGAGGCCGAGGCGGGTGGATCATGAGGTCAGGGGTTTGAGACCACCCTGGCAAACATGGTGAAACCCCGTCTCCACTAAAAATACAAAAATTAGCCTGGCATGGTGGCGTGTGCCTGTAATCCCAGCTACTTGGGAGGCTGAGGCAGGAGAATCACTTGAACCTGGGAGGCAGAGGTTGCAGTGAGCCAAGATCGCACGACTGCACTCCAGCCTGGGTGACAGAGCAAGATTCTGCCTCGAAAACAAACAAACAAATAAACAAACAAAAGAACTATCCTTGAGAAGGAAGGTTTTAGCATTTACCACATTACCTAGAGTTTATACATAATGACCAAAACCTAAGTTTCCTTGGGAAGGTGATATGTTTTTATTAATGCTTTATTCAATTTATGAAGTATGCACATATTCATATAAGTGTTTCTAAAGCATAGTTTCTCAGCCGGGCGTGGTGGCTCACACCTGTAATCCCAGAACTTTGGGAGGCTGATGCAAGCGGATCATCTGAGGTCAGGAGTTCGAGACCAGCCTGGCCAATATGGTGAAACCCCACCTCTACTAAAAATACAAAAATTAGCTGGGTGTGGTAGCATGCACCTGTAGACCCAGCTACTCAGGAGGCTGAGGCAGGAGAATCGCTTGAACCTGGGAGGCAAAGGTTGCAGTGAGCTGAGATGGCACCATTGCACTCCAGCCTGAGTGACAGAGAAAGACTCTGTCTCAAAAAATAAAAAAATAAAAAAAATAAAGCATAGTTTCTCAAAGTGAGGCCTGAATCACAATCATCCAAGGAGCTGCTTAAATAAGCAGAATCTGCATATTGTACAAGCTTCCTGGGTGATTCTGATGCACCCTGAAGTTTGGGAACTATAGATTTAGAAGTTAACTGAGCTTAATCTGCTAACCCTTCCCAGCTCCATCAGAAAAGGGCTGTGAACCTCTGCCTAAACTTGTAGTGACAGAGCTCTCGCCAACATCAAGGCCACCCAGCCTATGGGTTTTAAAAACTACTTCCTCAAATTCAACCAGAGCCCACCACCCAGCTCTGCCAAACACCTCAAAGAGCGAGTTTATTCCCTTATCCACATGTCAAACCCCTCTGGCATTTAGGGCTGCTGGCTAGCATGCACCCCTCACACTCACTGCAAACTTATTTTTTTTTCTTTTTATTTAGAGACAGGATCTCACTCTGTCACCTAGGCTGGAGTGCAGTGGCACAATCATAGCTCACTGCAGTCTCAAACTCCTGGGCTCAAGGGATCCTCCTGCCTCAGGCTCCCAAGTAGCTGGGACAACAGCAGTGTGCTCCCTTTCCAGTTGAAACAGTTCTTGTTCATTCAACCCCATTTCATATCAGCTTGACAAGAAGAAAATAAGAAAAAGGAAAACACTTGTTCAAGATTTAGTTAACAATCTACGAAGCCACAAATCCAAATTACTATGAACCAAGCACTGATGGAGTTATGGTAGGGCAGAGAGGATAAGAGAACAGGCTTTTGTATCCTGGCAGCTGGATTTAAGCTTTCGTTCACAAATGGTCTGAACTTGACCAAGGATTATGATATGGAACCTTGGGATCCTCAGCTGTAAACCAACGTTAATAACCCCATTGCAGGTTGAAGTGAAGATTAGATAAGACAGCCTAGGATGAGTGTTACTCAAAGTTGCTCCAGGGAGGACACTGCAGTGTCTATCAAACTGCCTCCATAAGTAGCCCTAATTGCAGTGAAAACAAACCCTCAAGGGCTAGGTTTGGACCAAATTGCAGCTCAAATCCCAAGCAAAATGTTTTTGAGGTTTCTTGTTTTAGATTTAAAAGGTATACAATTTTTGGATTCTACTTCAAAATATATCTGTGATTGTTTTAGTATAAAAAGTGTTTTTTAATTTCAAATATTTGTGTAAAAATGACACTCAAAGAAAATCTCCTCCTCTTGTTTTTGTTTGTTTGTTTGTTTGTTTTTCAGACAGGGCCTCACTCTATTACCCAGGCTGCAGTGCAATGGTGTGATCATAACTCACTGCAGCCTTGAACTCCTGGGCTTAAGTGAAACTCCCTCCCAGCCTCCCAAGTAGCTGGGACTACAGGTGGGTGTCACCATGCCCAAGTAATTTTTAAAATTTTTGTAGAGACGGGGTCTTGCTATGTTGCCCAGGCTTCCCCACCCCTTGTTTATTCTGGAACTTCAGGTACTCCCTGGCACACTGCCCACAATCCCCAGTGCCTGCCACTCATCTTTATCTCCCTTGGAGAAAAGCAGGCTTAGTCTAAAAGCAGATAATAAATGAGCTCAGGAAAACAAATGAGTGGCTGGACATAAACAAAGAAACATGCCACTGGACATGAGCCTGGGGATGACCAGGAGGCTCACCCTTTAAACACCAAGGCCTGGAGTGGTACATGGCTTGACTGTGCGGGTTACTCTCTAAATTGCTTGCAGAGAAACATTATCCCTAACCAAATGCAAGAACATCTAGGAGGGAAATTCACAGAAGCCCTTGATCCAGTAGTTGTGTGTCTGTGCCTGTCTATGTGTGGGTGGGGGCAGGGGTGTACTTGTGTCTCTATCTTCAATCAACAGAAATCTGACATGAGCTGAATGAGGATGGCCTTGGCCTGATAGGGCTCTGGAGAGTCAGCAGCTCTTGGGTCATGGGGTTATCCGTTTTCTTATCCCTGTCCACTTCCTCTCCTACTTGCTCTTCCACCTGTGTCTGAGAATTCCCTGGCAACTAAAAACCTAGGGTTTGGCCGCTGGGCACGGTGGCTCATGCCTGTAATCCCAGCACTTTGGGAGGCTAAGGCAGGTGGATCACCTGAGGTCAGGAGTTCAAGACCAGCCTGACCAACATGTTAAAACCCCATCTCTACTAAAAATACAAAAATTAGCCAGGCGTGTTGGCACACGCCTGTAGTCCCAGCTACTCGGGAGGCTGAGGCAGGAGAATCTCTTGAACCCAGAAGGCGGAGGTTGCAGTGAGCAGAGATCATATCACTGCGCTCCAGCCTGGGCAACAGAGCAAGACTCCATCTCAAAAAAAAAAATCTAGGGTTTGGTTATCAATAGAGTTACCAGTTACCTCCTGAATAGCTGAGACTATAGGCACGTGGTGGCATGCACCTGTAGTCTCAGCTACTCAGGAGGTTGAGGTGGGTGAAACACCTGAGCCTGGGAGGCAGAGTGAACTGTATCCAGCCACTGCACTCCAGCCTGGGCTACAGGAGTGAGACCTCGTCTCAAAACAAAACAAAACAAAAAATTAAAGGGCAAACAGTAGGGAGTGGAAGGGGGTGGTGGGGTGTCATGGACTGGTGGGCAGGAGAATGGATAACTTGGAGAGGGACACCTTATCTATCCTTCCCACTGTCAGCAGGAGAGAGCAGATGCCCAGTTCCATGTAAAGCACGAGTTATGCAGGACCCACTCTGCTCTGTCAGCTCAGAAGACTTGCATTGCCCCGGGGGTCACTTCTGCCGGTAAATGGTTGAGAAGCCTTCCTCCTTGGCACCAAAGTCTCCAGCTGGTCAAAGTCATGACAAAATGCTGAGACTGCGCCACCAGCCAACTCAAGTCATGGACCCTATAATAATCAGACTCCGATGTGCCGGGCACTGTGCCGAGGGCATTAGACACACGAGAAGGTAAGAAAGTGGTAAGGATCTAGGAGAAAGGAGTAAGTTTCTTAAATGGAGTAAAGAATTAAAAAGTAAACTGTAAGAGGTGTTAGGAGGAGTTAGCTACAGGCAAGATTATCTCGGTCCTTTCTTTTTGATGCAAAGCCTAGCACATGGACTGAATAAATAACTGCCGTGGTCTCTGACCCGCGTCCTGAGCCGTGTAAGCGGCCCTGGATGTCCTGGATGGTGCCAGCGGTTAAGCACCGCGCTCGCCTCCCTCTCGCCCACCCGGAGCGAGTCCAGGGCCCGCTGGCCCCCTCCACCCTGTGGCCGCCCGGGCTTGCCCGCAAGCCGGCGGCGAGCACCCACTCTGGGGTGCAGCGCGGAGCCGGGCATCCCCGCGAGACGCTCCCGGGCCACGCTCCCCGTTCCCTGAGCCCAGGACCCCCGGCCCGGAGCCCCTTTACCCCTCGTACCGAGGCCGGGCTGCGCTCCTCCTCTGCGGCTGCGGAGGTCACACCCTACTCAGGGCCAGACAGCGGGTCTTATCCGGGACGGATCCGCCCCACTGTGGGGTGGAGACTGAGCCCAAGTTCCTGGTTGTTCCTCTGCCCACGAGACCGGAAAATCCCTCTCTAGGGGAAGCGCACCTGGGGCCCCGGGCCGGGACGGCCGCGCCAGGAGCTCTCGGAGAGGCAGGCCTCGACCCCCGGCGGGTCCGCCCTCCACACGTGCCTGCTCCCCAGGCCCGCCCGGTCCCCCGGCCTCGCCCCCTGCCCGGATTGGACAGTGTCCCCAGTATCGCCAGCCCCGCTCCTGGCCGCGCAGGGTGGGAGCAGTTGGATTCTTGGGGTCCCGTTTCCCGGGCGCTCCACACCCTCGGAGGGCCGAGCCCGGGCCACCTCGCCAGTTCCTCCCTGCGCCTGCCGCGCCCAGCTCCGCGCCAAGCCGGAGTCCCGCGGCAAATCCGCGCTTCCCCCCACCTCGGGAAACCGTTCGTCTCCCAACGGCAGGTCGTGCCGAGCCCGTGGCCGGAAAAGTAGAAAGTGAAATCTGAAGGATACATTTCATTCCCCTCTTTCACATGAAAACACACATTCCCAAAAGTTTCCAGCACTTCCCTCTTCCCTGTGCGCCCAGCAGGCCAGGAAAGCTTTGGAGTAGGAGTTAGGAGCAGCCCCGGATCTTTGTACTCCTGTGAGTGACTAAAGTTTAGACACTGTCCGTAGCTCCCAGGTTCGGCTTGGCGCGGCGCTCATCCCTTGTAATAGTTCTGTGTTTTCATATCTGCTTCCCCTGCTGGACGCAGCCTCTTGAAGACACCAACTAGGGCTAGGTCGTCTTTGCACCCATGCCCAGCACCGATTTCGCCACGTAGTGAATGCTTGCAGAATGAATCCGTTGAGTCTATAGGCAAATTCAGTTTTTTTAAAAAACAGAGAATAGCCCGTTTGGGGAGTGTTTTCCATCCGACACATCAAAATCTAAGTGGTTAATGGCACCCTTAAAGCTGGAGAGGTAACATTAAATTATTTCATTAAGATGTAATTTTAAAAGGTGGTTTAATATGGTTTAGAGCACGGGTTTTAGGATCAGACTGATTTGGATACTAAAACTGGTTCTGCCTCTTTTATCTGCATATGATAACTTAAAAAATTAAGGCTGGGCACAGTGGCTCATGCCTGTAATCCCAGCACTTTGGGAGGCCAGGGCAAGTGGATCACTTTAGCCCAGGAGTTCGAGATAAGCCTGGCCAATGTGGTGAAATCCCATCTCAAAAAAAAAAAAAAAAAAAACATATATATAGCCGGGTGTGGTGGCATGCGCCTGTAGTCCCAGCTATTCAGTCGGATGAGGTGGGATAAACACCCAAGCCCGGGAGGCAGAGGCTCAGTAAGCTGAGATTGCGCCACTGCACGCCAGCCTGGGCGACAGAGTGAGACATTGTCTAAAAAAAAAAAAAAAAAAAAAGAGGAAGAAAGAAAAGAAAAAGAAAGAAAAAAAGAAAAGAAAACAAAAAATAAATAAATAATTAGCCGGGTGCATAGCCACGCCTGTAGTCCCAGCTACTAGCCAGGCTGAAGCAGGAGGATCACTCTAAACCCAGGAGTTCAATGTTGCTGTGAGCTATGACTGCACCACTGCACTCCAGCCTGGGCGACAGGGTGAGACCTTGTCTCAAAACAAAAACAAAAACAAAAACAAAACAAAACAAAAAATTAAAGGTCAAACAGTAGGAAAAAAAATGAAATACAGATAATTCATTTCTTAAGCAAGATTAGAGAGACACTGCATCCCTTACAAGCAACAATTAGGCCAGGTGAGGTGGCTCAGACTGTAATCCCAACACTTTGGGAGGCCCAGGTGGTTGCTTGAGGCTAGGAGTTTGGGAGATTATCCTGGGCTACATGGCGAAAACCTGTCCCTAAAAAAGAAAAAGAAAAAGAAAGAAAAAATTAAGCTACATGAAAAAAATAAAGTTTAGGAATGAAGTAGATGCGTTGGCACCCCGCGTAAATAACCTTTACTAGGTGGGTGCATCCAGCCCCAGGTCACTGCCCCTTCATTGCCCCCATCTGCTGACATCTGCGCTCAGACCAGACTGAGGAAGCCATGGCCAGAGGCTAACTTTTTTAGCTTATAAAAGGCCAGGAATAAATCTGTGGTACCCTTCATATGCCAGAGTTCCCATGGGATCAGACTGAGGATAAACTTCATCAGAAACCATATCTTTGCTCAGTTTCTCCCTCTGGCCTATCCTATTTCCCTCACTTACTCGGAGGCTTCCCTCGAGAATACCCTCACTACAGCACTTGCACAAGAATCCTAGGGTCAGGCTCTGTTTCCAGGAAACCTGATCTAAGAGTATTTAAAAAATTAATATAATTGTTGAAATTCCACTCCAAGGAGCCTTTAAATTAAAGATAGGGCTGGGTGCTGTGGCTCACGCCTGTAACACCAGCACGTTGGAAGGCCGCGGTGGGAGGATGGCTTGAGGTCAGGAGTTCGAGATCAGCCTGGGCAACATAATGAGACTCTCTCTCCCACCCACCGTGTCTCTTTAAAAAAAAAAAAAAAATTAGCCAAGCCTAGTGACGCACGCCTCTAGTCCCAGCTACTGGGGAGGCTGAGGCAGGAAAATCACTTGAGCCCAGGGGTTTGAAGCTGCAGTGAGCTATGCCTCTGCACTCCAGCCTGGGTGACAGAGTGAGACTCTGTCCCCACCCCACCCCCCTAAAAAAACCACTTTTTTAAATAAAAAAAAATTAAAAATCTCACAAGGACAAGGGAACAAGAGAGGAAAAATAATAAGAGTTTGGAACCTGGAAAGCACGTGGACAGGTGATAACTGACTTAACAGACCTCAGAAAGCCGACTTCCAAACCAGGAGTAGGGAAAACCGAGAAGCAACATGACAGTAGGATTTCTCGGGATAGGAGAGTTTGCTGCACTGGATGTGTCTGAAAGTGGGTGTGTAGGTGAGACTAAACCCAGGACGATTTCTTGTAAGTCTGTACAAGAAGCAGTCAGCATTCCCAACACTGCACAGTGGCCACGGTCCCTCTTCCACGAGGGTGGATGATTGGAAGGATGTTCTCTGAAGAATCATGCAGTGGCTCTCTGGAATGGGGACATCAGATGTAGTTGAGGTGTTCTGGTTATCTAAGGCTGCCTAAAAAACCATCCCAACACTTGAAGGTTACATAAAACAGTGACCATTATATCTCATGATTTTGTGGGTCTGAATTTGAACTGAGCAATTCTTCTATTCCACCTGGCATCAAGAAAGGTCACTTGGTGTTATCCAGCTGGCAGATGGGCCAGTCTGGAGAACTCACATATTGGGTACCATGATAAGAAGAGCTGGAAGGTTGGTCTCAACTGGCACTGTCAACTAGAGCATCTACACATGCCCCTTCACATGGCAGGCTCAGGGTCAGATTTCCTTCATGGAGGCTCAGGGTTTCCAGAAAGTTTACTCCAAGACATCCAGGCAGAAGTTACAAGCCTTCTTATGCACGCTTGGAAGCTGTTGAACATTATTTCTGTTGCATTCTATAAATCATGCCAGTCACTAGGGCCAGTCTAGATTTAAGGGAAGGGGATTAGGCTCCATCCCTGAGTGGGGAGGGGTGGGAGGGTGCAAAGAATTTGCAGCCATCTTTCATCAAGGCCATGAGATTAACACAAGACTAGGGCTACTGTACTGAAATTGAAGAGCCATATGAAACTTAAGATGATGCCTACTGAGCTGCTTGGTATTCTTCCCGCTTGGCTCCTAGAACTCTGGCAGCCAAGTTCAAACTCACCAGGCTGGAGAGTTTGGAATACTTTTCTTTGGGGAATCTAAGAGGAAAGACCTGAAGAGATGTAATCATTTATGCAATGAAACTGGAGCAACCTGTTGGTAAACTCACCCTTGTCAAGCCCCACCCACTTACACACGCACTCAGGGCTTCCAGGCAGCTTTGTAGACCTCACTCTTAGGGTTGCGAGATAAAATACAGGACACTTAGTTAGATTTGATTTTCAGTTAAACACCAATTAATGTTTTACTAAAATATAAAATACTTATGTACTATAAGTATGTCCAAATATTGCATGAGACATACTTATACTAAAAATTATTCATTGTTTATCTAAAATTCAAATTTAACCAGATGTCCTGTCTTTTTTTTCTTTCTTTTTGTTGCTAAATCTGGCACACTTAAGTAAGAGCAGGCAGCTGAAGGTCATCACAATGTAGGGGAAGGATCTGACATTAAAAACAGAACCCAAAACATGCTAACAGGAAAAAAGAGAAAAGGAAGAAAAAGAGTATAGGGGGAGAAGAAAACTGAGAAATCTATTATTGATCTTCTCTGAGAAAGATCAAATAAAACAGAAAAGCTGGGTGCGATGACATGAGCCTGTAGTCCCTGCTGCTTGGTAGGCTGAGGCAGGAGGACAACTTGAGCCCAGGAGTTTGAGGCTATGACCACACCTGTGAACAGCCACTGCACTCTAGCCTGGGTGACATAGCGAGACACTATCTCAATAAGTAAATAAATAAATACCCTAAAAAAGGAACACTCATAGAACCAAACACAGCTCTTTTAAATTAAAAATCTGATAGCAAAAATAAAAAACTGAGTAGAATGTTAAGAAGATAAAGTTAGAAAATATCCTAGAATGCATAGACAGAAGGCAAAGAGAAGGGAAAGAAATAAGAAAGGATAAGAAGATTAGAAAGCCAGCCTTGGACATCTGGGAAACAGGGGAAGAAATGAATTAAATAATTCAATTATATATTTTGAGAACTAAAGAGCATGAATTTCCACATTGAAAGTGCTCACTGAGCATAGTGCAATGGACAAAACCAGAACCACACCAAGGCAACATTGTGATAAAACTTTAGAAGACTGAGGACATAGGGAAGATCTTACAAGTACCCAGGAGGAAATAAGGTTTCACATAAAGGATCCAGAATCGGAATGGCATCTGATTTCTCAGTAGCAACACATGAAACTGAAAGACAATGGAATAATGTCTTTAAAATGCTGAGAGTAGGCTGGGTGCAGTGGCTCACACCTGTAATCCCAGCACTCTGAGAGGCCAAGGTGAGTGGATCACTTGAGGACAGGAGTTCAAGACCAGCCTGGCCAACTTGTTGAAATCCCATCTCTACTAAAAAATACAAAAATTAGCCAAGCGTGGTGGTGGTCACCTGTAATCCCAGATACTCAGGAGGCTGAAGCATGAGAATCACTTGAACCTGGGAACTGGAGGTTTCAGTGAGCCAAGATGGCACCACTGCACTCCAACCTGAGTGATAGAGCGAGACTCTGTATCTAAATAAATTAAATAAATAAGTAAATAAAATGCTGAGAGAAAATTATTTCTAACATAGATTCTCATACACATACAAATTAGCAGTCAAATGTGGGGGTAAATATATTCCAGACACGTACAATTTCAAAATGTTTATCTCCCATGTACCTTTTCTTAAGAAGTTTTCAGATGGTGAAAGCTTTTCCACCTAAACAAGGACATAAACCAAGAAACTTTTTTCTAAAAAAAGGGAATAGCAGAATGAACAACTGAGAATTGAATGATGGGGAAGGGTAATTAGTTAATACTATAGTTACAGACTTCTAATTTTTCTTAACTATAGAGTACAGCTAACATTTACTTACTGTGTGCACTTACTATGTGCCAGTCAGTATTCTAGGTGCTTTAAATATATGATATTAATGATTTAATCCTCACACGGTTCGATGAGTTAGATACTCTCATAGAGTAGGTGTCAAGAAGTGTTACTATTAATGGTATACAATCATTTATTAATTCTACAAGTTGCATTAAACTTCCTGCTGCAGATTGTATTTTTCAGAATTGCAGCAACAATATGTTCAGTCCCATGTGCTCTTCCAAAAACCCTGCCCCCCACCTCAATCAAGAGGTGGCATCTAAGTCCTTTCCCCTTGAACCCAGGTAGGCTTCTTAGATGGGTTTCTGTGACTGCACAACCAAAGTAATGCTATGTGACTTTCAAAACTGGGTCTTAAAAGGAGACCTGGTCATCTAGCTCTAGGCATCGGTTAGCTCTCTTGCTCAGAACATGTGCCTTTGGAGTATATAAGTACAGCAGCCCTGAAACCACCATGTTGCAGAGATCATGTAAATAGAACCCATGAAAATAAAGAGTCAAGGAGCTTTGGCTGTTTCATGCCCCAGCAGTTTGAGTTTTCCCTGTCTCAGTGCCAGACATGTGACTAGGAAGCCTTCAAGGCCACTCCAGTATGATCGCTGTCTCATGGTAGCCAGTTGACACATTCTGAGTGGGAACTAACTAGCTGAGCCCAGTCAATCACCAGAATCATGAGAGATAATAATAAATGATTGTGATTGTTTCACACCCCTGAATTTTGAGTGTTATTTTTTGGAGCGATAGACAAGCAGAACACTGCCAGGTAAAATTGGGTTTTAGCCTAGACTTCTGAATCTCCTCTCTAAATACTCACTGAAATGGCCCAAGACATGCAAATAGGGGATTTTTTTTTTCCCAGAGTGGCAAGTCTCCCCTCTGATACTGCAGTTGAGTCCAAAGCTCATACTGCTTACTGCACAGCAGCCAACAAGTTGAGAGACAAGGTGTTGGGGCAAGGAAGATGACTTTGTTTCAGGGAGCCAGTAAACCAAGACGATGGTGGACTAGTGTTCTAAAGCACCCTAAGTCGATAGATTTTTAGGCTCCTTTTATGTTGGGGGAAAGGGGAACAGGGAAGGAGTTAAAGTCCAGAGGTGACTGGTGACCACAGACATCTGGGCATCAGCAGGGGTCCAAGGAGGTTGCACATCTTCTTTGTTCATAGTTAACTGCTTGTCAGATCCACCCTTTTCCTATAAATCTTTAAGATAGCATTGTTACTTGTGTATATACTTCCTTACCTCCTCAGAGGTCTGTTTCAAAAGACAGATAGTCATTAGTTCTACAGTTAAAATATAAAATAAATTCTTTCCATGATTAGCTTGGCCTACAGGCAGGAATGAGCAAAAGCAGTTAGCTTGTGAGGTTAGAAGCAAGATGGAGTCAGCTATGTTAGATTTCTTTCACTGTTACAATTCCCCAGTATCAAAGGTTCATTCCATAATCTTGTGGAGTTGGGGACAACAGGATGTTGTCTCTCATTTGGCTACTTTCAGTGGAACTGGGCAGGGTTGACAAGGGGTGACTGTGGAATGACACCTAGAAGGAACAAGTGAATGGGATTGTTTGAGATGTTGCTGAATACCCACTCATCAGTGAAGTTTGCTGGAATAAAACTGTGGGTACACTATACTCAAGTTGACACTACTAGAGGGCCCCTCCTATCTCAAAAACCGGAGAAACAAAGTGCTGGGATTACAGGTTTAAGCCACTGCACCCGGCTGGAAGATGACTTTTTTGGGGGGAACAAGCAAACTGAGAAAATGGTGGCCTAGTGTCCTAAAGAATCATCTTAAGTTCATGGATTTTTTTGGCTCCTTTTATGTTAGGGGAAGGGAGAACAGAGAGGGGTTAAGGTCTAGAGGTGACTGGTGACCACAGACATCTGGGCATCAGCAGGGCTCCAAGGAGGTTGCAAAACTTCTTTGTTCATGGTCAAATGCTTGTCAGGTCCACGTTATTGCTATAAATCGTCAAGACAGCATTGTTTAAATGTTGTGTGCATACTTCCTTATCTCCTCAGGGGTCTATTTCAAAACAGAGGTAATCATTAGTTCTACAGTTAAACTATAATCTAAATTCTTTCCATGATTAGCTTAGTCTACATGCAGGAATGCACGAAGGCAGTTAGCTTGTGAGGTCAGAAGCAAGATGGAGTCAGCTATGTTCGATTTCTCTCACTGTTACAATATTGGCAATGGTAGTCTCAGGAGGATGGCCAGGCCACGTCCAGTCTGGCTGCTGGCCAGTGAGGAGGAGAGACTAGAGGCCAGATAACCTTTGGCTCCTTGGGACAGTGGGTTAGCAAAGCCTTGAGAAGAAACTTTGCCAGGGTGACTTTCCTTGCCAGATGGCTTCCTCCACCATCCTTTCAAGCTGCTGGAAGGTACCCAACCCTGCAGCCTAGGATAATGAGAGGAAGATTCTAAGAGCATCAAAATAGACAGGCAGGGAGCCAAAAAGAATTAGCTCATTGATTCAGTAAGGCCAGATTAAAAAAAAAAAATAGCTCATCCCATATTGGAACAAATGCAAAGCATGGATAGAGTTTTCAACCTTCAAGGATGAGTAAGCATAAAAAATTATATAGAACTGTAAAAAAAATTCGGGAACATAAAAAACATAACACCTAAGAGGTCAAAGAAGAAAGTATTTTTTAAGTTTTACAGTATGAAGCAAAAGTAAATTTTAAACAGCTTCTGCTTTGTCTTTCATAGATTAAAACAGGCCAAAAATGGACAAATCTGAATATTATTATTCATAAGGCAGAATTAATATTTATGAACTGGACTAGAGTTCACAGAAAACACCTTATTTTCTTTTCCTGTCTTTTCTTTTTTTTTTTTTTCTAAGACAGGGTTTCACTCTGTCACCCAGGCTGGAGTGCAGTGGTGCAATCACTGCTCACTGAAGTCTCAACTTCCTGTGCTTAAGTGATCCTCCTGGCTCAGCCTCCTGAGCTGGGCTCCTCAGCTGGGACCACAGGCATGCCCACCATGCCCACCTAATTTTTTCTATTTTTTGTAGATGGGGTCTCACTATATTGCCCAGATTGGTCTCAAACTCCTGGGCTCAGGTGATCCTCCAGCCTCAGTCTCCCAAAGTGTTGGGATTACAGGTGTGAGCCACCAGGCCCAGCCAAATTGCAGATTTTTACCAACAGTTTTCTGGTGTTAGATCTAAGATGACAGCTGTTATAGCAGATTAATAGCTTAACACCAATAATTCTTCATGTTTTATTTTCCAGTAAATCTTAAGACTAATTCAGATGTTAATTTTCATTAAGTAAATAAACATTTTGCCTCAATATCCCTAAAGATGAAAATTTACTCTATCTACAAGAACAAGCGTTTTTAATAATGCTTCATTTTACTATTAAAGGCTATTTTTTTCAGTTGTCTACTAAACATTTACAAAAACTGACAACATATTTATTTGCAAAGAAAACCTCACTAAATTCCAAAATAAAAATAGGAGTTTGAATCTCAACTTTACCATTTCCTAACTGGTGACCTTAAGAAAGTCACAGATCATGGTCTCCAAGGAAAAGGTGGCACCCACAGCTTGCTCCACATCCAACCTGGGCCTCTAAATAATGTATGGCATAGCAAGGTAACTGATAAGCAACATGACTTCGATCAGCACCGCTTCTTGACTAAGGTCCGCTTTTGGCACTGTAGTAATCTTTTTTTTTTCTTTTTTTGAGACAGAGTTTTGCTCTTATTGCCCAGGCTGGAGTGCAATGGTGCGATCTCAGCTCACTGCAACCTCCGCCTCCTGGGTTCATGTGATTCTCCTACCTCAGCCTCCAGAGTAGCTGGGATTACAGGCATGCACCACCACGCCCAACTAATTTTTTATTTTTAGTAGAGACGGGGCTTCTCCATGTTGGTCAGGCTGGCCTCGAACTCCCGACCTCAGGTGATCCGCCTGCCTTGGCCTCCCAAAGTGCTGGGATTACAGGCGTGAGCCACCACGCCCAGCCAACACTGTAATACTCTTTACTCGATGAACTCTACTGCTGTTTGGGAAGAGGTATTGCCCAGTTTATATCACTTCTAGATATCAGATATTAGATATTCTCAGAACTTCTCGTTTACCTGATCTACAGACACAGCGAGCGACACCCACAACCCCACTCCCATCAAGGGTAAAATCTAATATTCTACAGAACACATAACTAAGGGCTGGGCGCGGTGGCTCACGCCTGTAATCCCAGCACTTTGGGAGGCCGAGGCGGCCGGATCACGAGGTCAGGAGATTGAGACCATCCTGGCTAACACGGTGAAACCCCATCTTTACTAAAAATACAAAAAATTAGCCGGGCGTGGTGGCGGGCGCCTGTAGTCCCAGCTACTCAGGAGGCTGAGGCAGGAGAATGGCATGAACCCAGGAGGAGTTTGCAGTGAGTCGAGATCGTGCCACTGCACTCCAGCCTGGGCGACAGAGCCAGACTCCATCTCAAAAAAAAAAAAAAAAAAGAAAGAAAAGAAAATGTAACTAAGAAATAGCATCAGCATTTGGTATTTCTGTTTTTTCCTGCCCCAAAGGAGCGACACCCTTTCTTTCCTTCCCCAAAACCTGTTTTCCTTGCCATGAACTGCTGCAGCTCAACAAAAAGAGAAACCTTATTTGACCACAGGGAGGTTCATCATTTGCATCATATCAGTATAAAGTTCAGCATAGTTTGACAGTCAAATAATGCATTTGCAGATCATTGCTTCCAAGGAAGTGTCCTACCCCACCCTTTACTCAGATGCATGACAGCTGACAAGGAAGCCTTTTTTAATTCAATTATTGGCTTTTTAAAAAACATCTGCTTTTTGAGGTTGTGCCCTTCTGCTGCTGAGCCGCAGCTCATATTCAAGCGTCATCAAACCAAGCCATCATTATGAAAATAAGCTCTGATCATAGGGGTCAACATGGTCTCATTTGTTTTCACAAATACTCTAGGTGGATGTGGATTGCGCTGAAGTGACTGCAGTTAAGTTGGCTATTTTCAAAAACAAAGCAGCTGCAAATAGTCCAGGGCGAGAGTCAGCATCATCACTCAGCTCTTTCATACAGGTTTTTGTAGTAGAGCTTTCAGCTTGAGCTAAGTTTGTGGCCACTGCTAAGTTCGAGCAAGTCTGGGTAGGTCTGGCAGATGGATAGAAAAGTCCACTAGAGGTCTGAGAAGCCTCATGCAAGAAGGGAAGGGAGCCAGTTGTGCTGAAGTTAATTAACAAAGACCCAGTCATTGCAGGAGACTCCAGACCCCAAGAATAAAACTAGGACCCAGCCTCCAGGAAATAAGTCTCAAACATTGAGTGGGATGGAACCAGGCCCTATGTTGTTACCTTCTGCATCCTGGTAGACACAGGGAGGCCTACTGGTGACTACAACAAACTCATGAATTTTAATATAAATAGTGACATCGTGGCTTTTGGCTTCTTGAGGCCAGCACTCCTCAGGGCCAGCACTTCAAACCCATCGACCTAAAAGGCAGGTTTGGGGAACTGTTGGTGGAGACATAATTTTGCCTTACCCAGCAGCACTTCCCTGTCATCACTACTGGATGGAGAAAGCGAATATATGACATTAGTAGTGCCTCCTCCCGTTCCTACATTGGCAGTAGGCCTTGCTAATGGGTCATTATCAAGCAATCCCTAAGCAGCAGAGATTACTGCAGCTGTTAGGTCAATTTACCAATCTTCCATAGATTCAACCAGTAAGGAGAAAACACACCCAAACAGATTTAGACAGTTTCTTACAGTGCAGCTGGCAGCATGAGCAGCATGTTTACGTAGGTTCTCTTTTACCTCCAAGTCGCATAGGGGCCATGTGGAGGCAGGCCCAGGTGGATACTGAGCAGACAGTGGGTCTATGTCACAGCTGAAGAACATTGAACCTCAGAAACCCCCATCTTAGAAGGAGACTGCTCACAAATTTGCTTATCCTCCTGGATGTTGTTGTTGTTAAGACTGAATTTCATTCTTGTCGCCCAGGCTGGAGTGCAATGGTACAATCTCGGCTCACTGTAACCTCTGCCTCCCAGGTTCAAGCAATTCTCCTGCCTCAACCTCCCAAATAGCTGGGATTATAGGCATGCACCACCATGCCTGGCTAATTTTTGTATTTTTAGTAGAGATGGGGTTTCCTCATGTTGGCCAGGCTGGTCTCGAACTCCTGACCTCAGGTGATCCACCCACCTTGGCCTCCCAAAATGCTGGGATTACAGGTATGAGCCACCATGCCCAGCCCTCCTGGGTTTAAAAAACAGAATTTTTTTTTTTTTAAATAAAAGTAGAGGTGCGGTCTCACTATGTTGCCCAGGGTGGTCTCAAACTCCTGGCCTCAAGCGATCCTCCCGCCTTGGCCTCCCAAAGTGCTGAGATTACATGTGTGTGCCATCGTGCCTGGCCCCTCCCTGGAGAATGTAAGCAAATCTTCAGGGAATAAAGGGCACGGTCTCTAGCTCTGTTACCCTGGAATATCTCAGGAAGAGGCAGCTCCAAATCTCTTTGCAGGGAGTCACTATCTTTATCTTTCCAAGACTGTCTGTTATGCAAATATCTGTGAATCAAACTGTCAATGCCTTTTGCTCAGAAGGTTTCCAGAAACACAGAAGCCATGGAGAATTATCTCCCAACAATTATAACATCTTTTTATAAACTGAACACAGTACATTTTATTCACACCCCAGTAATAAAAACTAATATGATGAAAATGTCACTGTAAATCACTTCGTGTGAAATATAAAAATCCATGAACAGTGTATAAAAATAATGACTATGAAGTGATATCTTTCTGGAAGTTCTTAACTTTATCCTGGGATTTCCCGAGAATAGCATTGTGGACATTTTGGGCTGGATGTTTCTTTGTTGTGGGGCGGCTGTCCTGGCATTGGAGGATGTTAGGCAGCATTTCTGCTTATCCACCAGACACCTGTAGCACCACCCCTAAGTTGTGCCAAAAATGTCTCCAGACATTGCCATACATGTCCTGGGTGACAAAAATAGCTTCCCATTGAGAACCACTGCTCTATGTTACTCTCTTCTCGTGTAGTCATGTTTTAAAAATAAATTGTCAAACATCAAATGCCTAGGAATAAATCAATGGAAGTTGTATAAGACCACTACACTGAAAATTATAAGACGTTATTGAGGGCCGTGCATGGTGGCTCACACCTGTAATCCCAGCACTTTTGGGAGGCTGAGGCAGGTGGATCACTTGAGGTGAGAAGATAGAGACCAGACTGGCCAACACGGTGAAATTCTGTCTCTACTAAAAATGTGAAAATTAGCTGTGCATGGTAGCTTGCACCTGTAGTCCCAGCTACTTGGGAAGCTGAGGCACGAGAATTGCTTGAACCCGGGTGGTGGAGGTTGCAGTGAGCCGAGATCGTGCCACTGCACTCCAGCCTGGGCGACAGAGCAGACTCCATCTCAAAAAAGAAAAATATTATTGAGAAAAATAAAGAAGATATAATGGAGGAAGGTACTTATGATTTAATATGGTAAATATGTAATGCTCCCAAATTGATCTATAAATTCAAATGAGCCAAAAAATCTCATCAAGAGTTTGAGGTATGTATATAGAAACTGACAAACCTATCCTAAAGTTTAGACCAAAATGCAAACGACAAAAAGAGCAAAGTCTATCTTGAAGAAAAAGATCAATGCCAGAGATATAAAACTATCAAGACTCAACAATATGACACTTAAAGTCAGTGTGGTATTCATATACAGATAGAGAAATAGACAAACGGAATGGAAGACAGAGGGCAGAAACAGGCCCTCACCTTTCTGGTCACCTGATTTATGACAAAGTTGGCAGTGTAGTGAGGAAAAGACAGACTTTTCTATAAATGATGCTAGATCAGTTGGATATCATGTGAAAAAATAATGAATTTTGATACCTATTTAAATAAGAATGAATCACAGATAGATTGGCCATTCAAACATGAAAAGGAAAACACATTTTTAGAAGAACACATAGGTTAATATCTTCATGACCTTGTGGTAGGTGAAGGTTTGATTTCTTAAACTGGACATAAAAAAGACTAACCATAAAGAAAAATAAATAAATTCAGTTATATTAAACTTAAGAATTTCTGCTCATCAAGACACTAAGAGAGTGAGTAAGCAAGACTTAGAGTAGGATAAGATATTTACAATACATGTATCAAAAAAGGGCTCATAGCAAGATCATATAGAGAAGCAACGAAGTAAAAGCACTATGGAGCAAAAGCATGAGAAGAACAGGATATTTACATATTGCCTCATTATATATTTATTAACTACAAGAGAAATAAAATAGTAACAGTACAGTGGAGACACAAGACAGATACCACCTTAACCAAATGATCCAAGCTAACTTTACCACTGATAAAGTATATTGACATTGTGTTCTTCCTGATATGAACTGAGAAGGATACATTATTTCTTGCAAAGATCCATAACCATATTTAACTTGAGTGTTTCCTTTAGACAAATACAAATTGAGGGCACTTTACAAACTAACTGGCCAGTTCTCTTCAAAGACGTTAAGGTCACGAAAGACAGACTGAAGAACTGACTTAGGTTAATGGAGACTTAAGGAGACATGGCAAGTAAATACAATGTGTGATCCTGGCTTGATTCCTGGCCCAGAAAAAGACATTAGCGAGACAATTGTTAAAATCGTAATAAGCTCTGAAGATGGGTACCAATGTTAATTTCTTGATTTTGAGATTAGCTACAGTTATGTAAGATATCGAGATATCAAGCCAGATGAAGGAAACACAAGATTTTTTGTAGGCTTTTTCCTGAGGTCTAAAATTATCTCAAAATGAATAACTAAAAATAAAGAAAAAATTAAATTTTTGTAAAGTGCCTATTCAAATATTTTGCAGTAAATTGGTAAAAGACTTCAACAGCACTTTATAAAACAGAATATCAAAATAGCCAATATAGCACATTAAAAAAAAATGCTCAACTTGATTAGTCTTCAGGGCAATGCAAATCAAAGCCTGGTGAGATACTGCTGCACACACCAGAATGTCCAAAATGAAAAAGACTAGTTATACCAAATGTTATCAGATTGGAGCAACTGCTACTCTATACACTGCTGGTGGGGATGTAAATTGGTAGAACCACACTGAGAAACAGTTTGGCAGCATCAATTTAAGCTGAACAAATGTGTGTCCTATGACCCAGCAATGCGTAACAGTGTTCATGAAAAGACATTTTCAAAGAATTTTATAGGAGCATTATTTGTAATAACTAATAACCGAAATAATTTACATGTCCATCAATAGTGAAACGAGGCTAGGCACAGTGGCTCATGCCTATAATCCCAGAACTTTTGGAGGCCAAGGTGGGAGGATTGCTTGAGCCCAGGAGTTCAAGGCCAGCCTGGGCAACATAGGGAGAGCCAGTGTCTAAAAAAATTAGCTGTGCGTGGTGGTGCACACCTGTAGTCCCAGCTACTCGGGAGGCTGAGGTGGGAGGATCACTTGAGCCCAGAAGTTCTAGGCTGCAGTGAGCCAGGATCATGCCACTGCACTCCAGCCTGGGCGACAGAACAAGACCCTGTATATATATATATTTGCTTGTGTGTGTGTGAAATGAATAGACCGTGGCATAGTCACATAATGGAATACAATACAGCAAGAGAAATATCAAACTACAAGTACACACAACAACGTGGATGTTAATATTGTGTGATGAAAGCCAGGCACACAACAGTACTTCTTATTTTATGTTATTGATAGAAAATTCAAAAGCAAGTGCAATTCATCTATGGTTTTAAAAGTCAGGATAATGGTTACCCTTGGGGTGACTAGAAGGGTTTCTGGGGTTCTGATAATATTCTGTTTCTTGATCTAAGCACTGATTACATGGTTGTGTTCACTTTTGGCAAATTCATTGAGCTGTGTGTTTCTCTGTATGTATGTTATGCTTCCATTAAAAGTTTATATTAAAGAAGTCAATCTTTTAGGCGAAATCATCGCATTTTTCTAGCATAGTAATAAAGACACAGCTAGTGTAAGCTGACAAATGAGTTAAACTCCTGAGCTGAAGAATGCTTGGATTGGCCCTGTATTAGTCTGTTTTCACATGCTATAAAGAACACCCAAGACTGGGTAATTTATAAAGAAAAGAGGTTTAATTGACTCACAGTTCTGAATGGCTGGGGAGGCCTCAGGAAACTTACAATTATGGCAGAAGGTAAAATGGAAGCAAGGCGTCTTACGTGTTGGCAGGAGAGAGTGAGGGGGGAAGTGCCACTTTTAAACTATCAGATCTCATGAACTCACCCACTATCATGAGAACATCACGGGGGAAACCGCCCCCATAATCCAATTACCTCGAGGTCCCTCCCTCGACACCTGGGGATTACAATTCGAGATGAGATTTGGGTGGGGACACCCAAGAGCACCCAGAGCAAAACCATATCAGGCTCTTCAGGAAAAATTATTTTCAAAATACACAATTGATCTCACTGAATAGCTCTGATAATTTTCTCAGCTGCATCCTGACAACTGCATAGTGAAAAAAAAGTCACAAGAACCAAATCATGAAGTGATGACTAAACATATTTTACAGAATTTTGTGCATTTATATATGTGAAAGAAAAACTAATAAAATGTCAGGTAAAATGAGGTGGCTCTTAAAATGCCATTGTTTTCCTTAAAAATAAATGATTACTTGATTTTTCTAGGAAAATACAAAACAGAGGCTGTGAGTGATCAAGAGTCTCATTTAGCCTCTTACAGTGCACATTAGCCTGAAGGCCACACACTCCCTTCACCCACTGTTTGCTCTTCTCTGAGCCTTGAGCCTCTTCAGCTCATGGGAATTGACTTTGAAGGTGGACAAGACGATGTACCAGCGTGATGGAAGTGTTCTGTGTCCTAATGGGGGCGGTGGCTACACTGGTGTATACATTTATTAAACTCACTGAACCGTACACTTAAGGCACACTTTTAAATACATTTAAAGGCACACATTTGAAGTGTATGGTATATTTATTTGGGGCAGCATTCATATATTTAAATAAATATACAATAAATAAATATATAAATAATAAATATACCATGTATTTATATATAAATAAATAATAAATTTATATATTTATAGATTTAAGTATATGGTATATTTATTTGGGGCATCATTTATATACATTTAAATATATAAATGATGCCTCAAATAAAAAGATGCCGAAATGATTAATGCTAAAATGATAGATGTTAATATATATGTTAATATGTTATATCTCTGTAAATAGCTATATGTCACCTTGAGTCAGAATTTATTAAACTGACATCCATTATGTTATCAGTAAGCCCTCCTGGCATTTCTCAGGTGGATGTCAGGAAGCTGAGCTCCCTGTGGCTTGACCTGCGTCTCCTGGGTTTAAACATCGGCTGACTGCAGGAGTCAGAGGGAGAAGAAAAGGAGACAGGCTGTGCATGAACTTGACGAGTGCCATGAAACAATTATTCCACTCAATAAAATTTCTTGACAGGATGAGCAGGTATTTTCAAATCGCATAATAATGAAGCTGGGATCAGCTAAACGTTCCACACGGACAGCGGCTGCAACCCAGCTTCCTCTCAAATTCCATCCTCAGGAAAGTGTTTCCAGTACTTAGGCGAGGACGCCATCTAGTGGCAGAAGAAGCAACCACAGGGCGAGAGCAGCGTGGCCGAATGAGTTCATCTTTCTTGCCCCAGCTTATCTTTCTTTCTTGCCCCAGCTTATCTTTCTTTCTTGCCCCAGCTTATCTTTCTTTCTTTGCCTTTTTACAGAACTAAGGTCTCTTGGCAGAAGGTAATTCTCCACTAGTGGACTGCCGGTGGTGGGTTAGTCACTCACCAAAGGGCTTGAAAGGATCTTCTGAAAAGATGCTTTGACACTGAAGAGAATTGAGGGGGCTCTTTTGAAGGGACAGAGTCAGACACTAAATCTCCCCTAGCCAGGACAGTAATGGTGACAGCTGGGGACACAAGGCTGCAATTAGCCCATACCTGCCTGACGTATTTGTACTAATTAGAAAAAGTCTTCTTTTATATGGGGGGATGAAGCCCCAGGGTGCACGACTTGGTAAATGGAATACTGGCTGTTTTTCAGCGGCCCTCCCTGCTTCTGCCAGGAACTCTTGTACAGTAGACAACCTGCACGACCATGTGCTGCAGCCCTTAGGCAGCAATAGTACCTTCTCCTGGCACCTCATTTGCCCACAGCAAACACCAGTTTCTAGGAGATGGGGCACAAGATGGGTACACCCACCCTCAAATGTATCCTTAAGGTATTTGGATAGCCATTGTTGCATGTGGATTTCCATTTCTTTTCTTTTTCTTTTTTTCTTTTTTTGAGATGGAGTTTCACTCTTGTTGCCCGGGCTGTAGTGCAATGGCGCGATCTTGGCTTACCGCAACCTCCGCCTCCCGGGTTCAAGTGATTCTCCAGCCTCAGCCCACCGAGGAGCTGGGATTACAGGCGTGCGCCACCGCGCCCGGCCCCATTTCAACAGTTCAGAAGTTTTTAGCTTTCGGGCCTAGGTTTTGAAAGCCTCTTGCAGCTGAAATGGAGAAAGGGTAGGAGCTTCTCATGTAGTGTCTTTAGGAAAATAGCATCACAGGCTGGGTGCAGTGGGTGGTGCATGCCTGTAATCCCAGCACTTTAGGAGACCAACGTGGGAGGATGACTTGAGCCCAGGAGTTTGAGATCAGCCTGGGGAATATAGCAAGACCCTGTCTCTATTAGAAGAAAGAAAACAAAATAAAATAGCATCACACAGCTATGTCATAAAAGACTGTAGTGTGGGATTGGACATCCAAAGTTATAGATAAACGGCATAAGAAATTTTATGTCATAAAATTTGTGGATAGACAAAAGACACACTGCAGAACTAAAGGAAAATGTTTATTCACTTAGCTAACATTTCCTAAGTACCCTGGTTGGAGACATTGGACTAGGAAGAGGGAACAATGGTGACTAGAACAAGAGTCTCTCTGCTTGGCAGACTCCATGGTCATCACCACATCCTTGCCCTAGAAAATGCCTGCTCTCCTCCCCTAGTCCACACTGCAAAAAGCTTGTCTTTTTTTTGAAGCCTTCTGGAGTTCAGGAGTTTCTTCATATCACTTTGGAGGCATCTTTTAGCACATCTTATTATAATTACTACATATTTATTTAGTAGCTTTTACCTCCCCCTGAATCAGCTTATTGTTTCTTTGTTTTCTATTTCATTGGTGTTTGCTCTTATCTTTATTATTTCCTTCATTATACTTTTTTTTTTTTTTGAGACAGTCTTGCTCTGTCGCCGAGGCTGGAGTACAGTGGCATGATCTCGGCTCACTGCAACCTCCACCTCCCAGGTTCAAGCGATTCTCCTGCCTCAGCCTCTCTAGTAGTTGGGACTACAGGATCGTGCCACCATGCCCGGCTAATATATATATATATATATATTTTTTGGTATTTTTAGTAGAGATGGAGTTTCATCATGTTAGCCAGAATGGTCTTGATCTCCTGACCTCGTGATCCGCCCACCTCGGCCTCCCAAAGTGCTGGGATTACAGGCATGAGCCACCATGCCCGGCCTATTTCCTTCATTATTCTTTCTTTAGGTTTACTCTGCGCTTTTTTCTATTGTCTTTAGTTGAACTCTGACCCATTTATTTGTTTTTGCTATTTTTTATTGTAGTTAAATACATATAACATAAAATTTGCCGTTTTAAACATTTTGACGTGCATAAATTCAGTGGCATTAATTAAATTCACGATGTTGTGCAACTATCATCACTATTTCTAAAACTTTTCATCACCCCCAACAGAAAGTCTGTATCCATTAAGCAGTAAATCCCCATTCCTACCTCCCCCGAGACCCTAGTAACCTCTAATCTCCTTTCTGTCTCTATGAATTTGCCTGTTCCCGATATTTTATACAAGTAGAATCATATAATATTTGTCCTTTTGCGTCTGCCTTATTTCACTTAATGTAATGTTTTTAAGGCTCATCCATGTTGCCGCATGTGTCAGAACTTCACTGCTTTATATGGCTGAATAATATTCCATTGAATATACATACCATATTCTGATCCATTCATCTGTTGATGGACACTTGGGCTGTTTCCACTTTTTGGCTATGGCGAATAACGCTGCCGTGAACACTGGCATGCAAGCGTGAGTTTGAGTCTCTGTTTTAAATTCTTTTGAGTATATACCTATAATTATGTCTTTACATCACTGCTACTTCCAATAGACCATAGACCTTTAAGGTTGGTCTCATTCATTTTTACATCCCCAGACTTAGCACAGGCCAAATACACAGTAGGAATGGGTGTGAGTTTGGTAAATAAATGAATAATGATAACAATATTTTACATCCATGAATCACTTTGAAGGTTATAAAACACTGGTCATTTTTTTTTATTTAATCTTCCCAATGACCCTGTGAGATACTTAGGAGAGTCTAATATTATTATTTCTATTTTATAGAAGAGGATAGCCAAGGTAAAAGAATCAGTGTCAAAGTCACTTAGGATTCAAATCCAAACCTTTCACCATCTAGTTCAATTCCATTTTCATCCTAACTTGCTGTTTCTCCTGTTATTTCTGACAAAAAATATTGGTGAAAATATCCATTCTTACTGAAAATTAACTACAGGAATATAATAAAGGTTTTTCTATAAAAGAGCCAGAGGAGACTGGGGGAGGTCTTGATTTGTCCTTATTGTCTAGTCAAATAGCTGCTTACCTGGAGTTTAAACAATCCAGAGTAATTTTTTTTTTTTTGAGACGGTCTCACTCTGTTGCCCAGGCTGGAATGCAGTGGCATGATCACAGCTTGCTGCAGCCTCTACCTCCCAGGCTCAAGCAATCCTCACCTTAGCCTCCCAAGTATATGGGACTACAGGCGTGTTCCACCGTGCCTGGTTAACTTTTCAATTTTTTTTGTAGAGACAGGGTCTTGCCAGCCTTGTCTCCAACTCCTGGGCTCAAGCAATCCTCCTGCCTCAGCCTCCCAAAGTGCTGGGATCGCAGGCATCAGCCACCAAGGCCAGCCAGAGTGATCTTTCGACATCAGATTTGCTTGTGTTATTGCTGCTCTACGTGAAACCTTCCAATGCCTTTGCAGTGCTTCCAGGGTAAATAACAAAATCATTAACAGGCCTACCCACCCTGTAGAGTCTAGCTTTTGAGATCTAAACTCCAATCTCAACAGGGACTAGACAATTAGCTTAAATGAGCAAACAGGCTGGGTAAGAGATGAAAAACAGCAGCTGGCTTTTGGCTGCAGTGGTGGGAACTGACAAAGAGTGGCCGGGCTGTGGCAGCTCGGAGAGTCCATGCCACATGTGAAGCAGCAGCCAGGGCTTGATTTATTGCCATGGGGGCATGCAGGCCCAGGGTGGCCAGACCTCCCAAGTTTCTTAGAGGAGCAGAAATCTGGATATTTTGTGTGACATCTATATATGTTTAATAATGGCAATGAATTCAAATTTAAAAATCATTTGGGCCAACACTTTGGTGAGAATCAGAGGAAGCAGAACAGGCCAGATGCTGCCCACAGAAGATGGAGACCTCAACTCTTTGCTCTGCATGTCTCTCCTGGCTTACCTCCGGTCCCTCTGTACTCTGGCCATACCAGATATCTTCTAGGACCTCTTATGCAGTAGTTCTCAACCCTGGGTGCACACAGGAATCACTGAGGGGACCTGGAAGAAAAAAAAAGTGACATTTGGACCCCTCCTCTGGGTATTTCTTTAATGATGTTCACATATAGGCAGATTGAGAATGTCTAATTACCAACTGGACTTCTGCCTCCAGCTGTGCCCCCTCTGGTCAATTTCCCATATTGCAGCAAGAGGAATCTTTTAAAAACATAAATCTGATCAAGTCACTTCCCTACTCAAAATCTTCCATGGCTGCCCCTTGCCATCAGGATACATAACTTTGCACTCTTGGAAGGTCCTTCATGCTGCATCCCATGCAGAGCCCTCCATCCTCACTTCTTCCCCTCACTGCCTCTGCTCCTCCCCACCGTGAATGAACTTTGCTTCAGCTCCCCTGAATTTCTTGAAGTTCCATGGATGCACTGTGCTCTTTCACCTATGAGCCTTTGAACATGTGCAGTTGGCAAAGCCTGCGTGAAAGTGGTCACCAAGGCACTGATGGAGCGAGAGGAGGGACCGGGGGGATTTGAAGCAGTGCAGAGAGGTGGCCAACACTAGTACTATGTTCAAAAAGGGGAAAATTGAAGGCAGAGATTACAATTAGTATTGCTTGTTTCCCTCTCCCCAGCCCTCCGAGGGCCAAGTCCTGAGCATATGAAACAAATTCTGAATTGAATCGGAATTACATTCTCAGGAAATAGTCTCTAGTCTGCTTGCTTATTTGGAGGGGGAGCTCGTTCCTAATCTGAATGAGAGTCAAAGCAGAACAGTAGCACTAATGACCTATGTATTCACCCAAAATGCCAATATTTATTGATCATTTACTGGTTGCCTGGCACGTTGGAACTGTAATGACAACCAGAGAGCTTATTGCCAATTGGTAAAGACTTCGCCAGGCACAGTGACTGATGTCTGTAATCCTAGCACTTTGGGAGGCCAAGGTGGGACGATCACTTAAGCAGGAGTTTGAGACCAGCCTGGGCAACATAGTGAGACCCCATCTCTACTAAAAATACAAAATTTAATGATTTTTAACTAATGATTTTTGTATAATTAATAATTCAAAAAATAATTTTAGGCAGGGCATGGTTTCTCATGCCTGTAATCCCAGCACTTTGGGAGGCTGAGGCAGGTGGATCACTTGAGGTCAGGAGTTCGAGACCAGCCCAGCCAACATGGTGAAACCTGTCTCTACTAAAAATATAAAAATTAGCCAGGTGTGTTGGTGGGCGCCTGTAATCCCAGCTACTCAGGAGGCTGAGGCACAAGAATCACTCAAACCCGGGAGGCAGAGTTTGCAATGAGCCGAGATTGCACCACTGCACTCTAGCCTGGGCAACAGAGCAAGACTCCGTCTCAAAAAAAAATAATAATAATTTTTAAAAATTACTTGGATGTTGTGGCACATACCTGTAGTCCCAGCTACTCAGGAGGCTGAAAGCAGGAGGCTTTCTTGAGCCCAGGAGGCTGCAATGTGCTATGGTTGCACTATCATACTCCAGCCTGGGTGCAGAGCGAGACCCTGCCTCAAAAAAAAAAAAAAAAAAAAAAAAAAGACTGGAAAATAGTCAATGGTTAGAAAACTGTAAAAATGGGGGTGTGGCAAGGTCAGGAGTTCAAGACCAGCTTGGCCAACATAGTGAAACCTTGTCTCTACTAAAAATACAAAAAATTAGCTGGGCGTGGTGGCAGGTGCCTGTAATTCCAGCTACTTGGGAGAATGAGGCAGGAGAATCACTTGAACCTAGGAGGTGGAGGTTGCAGTGAGCCGAGATTGTGCCACTGCACTCCAGCCTGGGTGACAGTGTGAGACTCAGTCACAAAAAAAAAAAAAAGGAGGGTAGCTAGCTTGAGACTTGGAATATCAGGAAAAGCTTTATAAGAGACTCTGGAAGGACAAGCAGAGGCCATGCTGTGTATGCATGTGTGTGTATGCATGTGCGTATGCACACATGTGTATGCATGTATGTGTGTGCATGTATATGTGTGTGCATGTGTGCAGCATGTGTGTGTATGCACGTATGTGTATGCATGTGTGTGAATGTGTGTGTATGTGTGTGTATGCATGTATGTGTGTGCATTTGTGTATGCATGTGTGTGCATGTGTGCGCATGTGCATGCATGCATGTGTATACGTGTGTACATGTTTGTGTATGCATGTGTGTGCTGTGGATAGGGCTGGTGGGAGAGAAGGAAACCCCAAAGCACAAGAAGCAGCAGGTATAAAGCCCTGGAGCCAAAGAAGTCATGACAGGTTCTGGAAAGTGTAAGTAATTCCACAAGTCTGAACCTGAGTGATTCTATGACCTCTTCCAGTGACCTCAAATTCTGGCTAAGCATTTCCCAAACGTAGCTGAAATAGTATCTACTTGAGAAAGTTGAATATAATTTAGTTCCTGGCTGGTGTATTACATCCCCCCAAGAATCTCTTAAGAGATTGTCAGGTAAAGAAGGAAGGGTGAAATGACAAACATCCAGAGGGTGGGGGTGCCATTTATATTGCAATCCATCTCCCAGTGGTAGCCTTCTTTGGGAATTCTGACCAGCTGGGGGGACCTTTCCCCACAGGTTCAAGCTTTTGTCTAGCAAATCTGGGGTCCTCACTTCTGTTATGTAGATGGGAAGCAAGGTTCTCCTGGGGTTACACAGCAGGAACTTGACATTTGGAGAATGTGATTGATGAGTTCTGTCCTCCCACAGAGAAGTCCCATGGTGAGAGAGGGCTCTAGAAGCCAAGTAGCCAGGGGACTTTCCAAACTAAACATCTGCTATGAAATGCAGACCGCACTGAGCTATGCCTGACCTAGCTAGACATACAGCCTTAGGGTATCAAGCATCTCCCTAGCCAGGGTTTCCCCATTAAAACTATTCCTTTTAATTCCAGCTTTCTTACTTAGAGGACCCCTGCTGAAACATTCTAGAGGGAAGGGAGTGCATAGGTTGTGTACGTCTCTTAGTTTGCCTGTCATCTGGTAGAAAGCCAAGGCCCATAGGGATCCAGGCACATTCTAGTTTAGTTAGTGCCTGAAACAAGCAAACTGGATGAGGTACCAGTCCCAGGCATCAGGAAGGCTCAGGGCATCTGCTGCAGAGGCAAGGCTTTGTGGGGAGGGGTCACAGGGAACAACATATTCCAAAGAAGATGAAACAAAGAAAAGCAAAGTTTCCAGTTAGATACGTGGAGTTAAAGAGGAAATGGCGGTAACAGAAAGATGCAGCGACGGGTAATTCCAGAAATGAAAAGGATGGGACATCAGGCCTTTCTGCTTCAACTCAAAGTCAGATCCCTTGAACTCACAAAATAATATTGGCTGATACCCTGGAGAGGGAGGCCTTTGTTACCCTCATTTATGATGCAGGAATAATGATCAAATGCCACCTGCTTGTGTCGATGAGCCAGGCCTGACAATTAAAGGGTGGGCGCCAGGATGGGCTTTGGGAGTGTGGGATGAAAGGCACTGGATGAGAACAAAGGGGCCATGGTGGGAGTTTTCCAGCACCAGCCTCAGTTTTCTGCACAGAAGCCTCCTGCCACCTCAATGCCAGCTTTGAAGGCATAGGCAGGCAAAGAAAACCAACAAGCCAAACAAAATGCATATGGATGCTTTTAAATGGGCATGTTCCTATTCAGTGGGCATGAATTGGAGAATATTCATCTTCAGCCACCTCCTGCACCCTCAGGGCGTCAGCTCCTCCTTCCAGGACCACTGAAGAGATGGAGCCCCCACCCCAGCCCCTCTGCTACACGATGCTGCTTTACGGTCTCCCCTGCACTTCCCTTGTTTCTTGATTGGTTTCTCTGGTTATCATCTGTTTTGTCTTGCCACAGTGTGATGCCAGGGAGCAGAGGCTGGACGGTGTTCTCCTCCACACAGTGCTTGGCCAGTAGTAGGCAGACAGCAAACAGCTGAATTGATGACTCAGAAAAACTTAAACATCGCCAACTCTGTCATCTCTTTTAGTAAACCTACTGGACAATTCCATTTAAATGTATGATACTTACTTCAAACTGCACATGAACAAAACACAACTCTTTTCGTTCTTGCCCTCCCCTCTGGCCAATGACCAAGTCAAAAACGTCGAGTCATTTTCCATCCTGAGCTCTTCACCTGGATTCCCGGAGCAGCCTCATAACTAATCCGCTGCCCTCCTGTTGTGCTGTCTCTCAGACCCGTTCTCCCGAGTGATCTTCTCAAAACGAGCTTGAGCATGTCACACCACTGCTTGAAACCCTTTGGGGGCTCCCTGTCGCCCTCACATAAAGACCAAACATTTTAACCTGACAAACAAGGCCTTCCCTGATGTGGCTCTCGCCCGTCTCTCCAACCCCCTCTGCACATCTCAGCTCAAGTCATCCTGAGCTGCTCGCAGTTCCTCGAGTGCAGCTGCTGTTACGTTCACCCTCTGCCTCTCCTCTTATCTTTCTGGTGAATCCCTTTTTTCCTGGTTCACCTGTTCTATGAAGACTTTTTTTGACCAGTATTGTATTTCTCAGGACTCTTGACTTTAAGGGACAGAAACCCAACACAAACTAGCTTCAGTTAAAAGGGGATGTATTAACTCATTTAAGTAAGGACTAGACAGAGCCACCACAGGAATGGCTAGATCCAGACACCCAAACAATGCTGTCAGCTCTCTCTCTCTCTCTTACTCATATGTACATGTATTTTGGCTTCTTATTATGAGTTGGTCTCATCCTTTCTTGCTAGAGGAGACTGTACTCACAGAGAACTCTAGACTTACATACAGTTTGATCACTCCAGGAGAGAGTGAGGCTTCTTTCTCCCAGTCTCAGGTTATTAAAATTATGGGAAAGGCTAAGAGTAGCCTGGCTGGTGACGTGTGCCCAGCACTTGGCCCATGACTAGAGGGACAGTGTTGTGATTGACCATGCCTTGGACTCTCTTTCTTGACCTAGGAAGAAAGAATGGGTATTCCTCTTGAGGGAGCAGCTGCCAGATAAAAGAGGGAGTCTGTTATCACATAAAGAGGGTAGACCACTGATGTCTCCTTCTTACCCCTCCCTCCACCTCCATTTATGTTCCCACTGCCCTCTGTGCATAGGCACAGAAGGGGACAAAACACATTTTGGACTCAGATAGACATAGAGCCAGTTACTGGCTTTATAGTAACTATGTGACTTTGGGAATGTTTTAAGCCTCTTCGTGCCTCTGCATTTGCATCTGTACAATGTTTTAGGGATGTGTTGTGAGGGTTAAAAACCTAGGCAAATTATCTGGGACATAGTAGGTACTATGGCAGTCATAACAATTATATTTGACCATCTCCCTTTTCTAAACCATGATTTGGCCAGGCGTGATGGCTTATGCCTGTAATCCCAGCACTTTGGGAGGCCGAGGTGGGAGGATCACTTGAGACCAGGAGTTCAAGACCAGCCTGGCCAATATGGTGAAACCCCGTCTCTACTAAAAATACAAAAAGTAGCCAGGCATGGTGGTGCGTACCTGTAATCCCAGCTACTTGGGAGGCTGAGGTGAGAATCGCTTGAACCCAGGAGGGGGAGGTTGTGGTGAGAGGAGATTGCACCACTGCACTCCAGCCTGGGTGACAGAGCGAGACTCCATTTCAAAAAATAAATAAATAAAATAAAATAAAAAACAAACCATGATTTGCTTGAGGCAGGGCCTTATTTTAGGCAAAATTTAACTTGGTTATAAGAGCAGGGCTCAAATATATGATGGATTGATTTCTGTCCACTGAAACAGGATGATACTGAAAGATAAGGCAAGTTTTGCAGATGAGGGAGATATTCAGTTCTGTCTTCTTCAATCTTGGCTTTATGATACTGGCCCATTGTTATTATGTAGTCTTCTGTTTCAAGCTCTCCAAAGCATCTCCACATCTGTTACTTGACTTCACTGTGTCACCCTGGAGGGAGGACCTTGCGTTAGGCTTCATGAACAGATCTGATGAGGTATCCACAAGACACAAGGTTAACCAAGAATGGGCAGCAGGGGGCGTTGTGGACAAGCCCCGGGGAAGCCAAGGGAAAAACTGCAGAGGTTCTGAACCTAGACCTGCCCAACGTCCTGCTGACCGACTCAGGCACCTCCGGACCTGGGTGTCTGGCTATTGATTGGGTACATGCTGAAGCACGCTTGCCTCCCAGGGCATCCCATCACAAATTAGGCCCCAGCTCTGGGATCTGGCCCAACGCAGGCCCTCTCCCATGTATAGGAGCTGTGGGGACAACACAGGAGGTTAATGGGAGCTCGGCCAGGATCCCAGGAAATAAAGCACTGAGGTTTGATACACTGATGGGCACACTGTGGACAGCAGGCTGGCTGGACTGGGGCAGGTGGAGTGTTATGTGAGTTTTCGGTCACGTGCCCTCGCCGAAGCCCCGTCTCTTATATTCTTAGGCTTCCTTCGGCTTCGGTTGCCAGGAGTAGGTGCTTGTATTCTATAGAGTCGTTTATATTTGAAATCCTGCATGGATGCATTTGGTCCTCACCGCATCCTTCCTCCCTTCCGGAAACTGTACGCTCCCCTCCTTAGAAGGTCACTTCTCCACTCCATGGGGTTCTGGTGGGGCTCCCAGAATGTGCCCACATCTCCACCCTTACCCCACCCCCCGGCCCACCCAGCCACTGGAGGTGGGAAAGAGCTAGGGCTTGTCAGAAGGCAGACCTTGAAGGAGAAGAGCCTCCCAGTAGGGAGGTCAGGAATGTGCTCAAAATCCAGGCTCAGATGTCTTCAAAAGCCTGGAGAGATGTCACCCACCAGGCACTGTGGTCTTTGGCAACTCATGTGGGACAGAGGTGTAGACTAAAGAATGTTCTGCCCCATTCTCTTGCGGAGGACAGAGCAAGGGAGAGTAGAGCTCCTTCCATATTCGAATTTCCCTTTCTCCTCTTCACGGCAGGGAGTCCGACCTTTGTGTTCCTCCATCAAGTGGAATTTGTGCTGCAGGGTAGACAGCGAAAGCTGCTGAGGCATAACCGTTTTTCCCCCATTCTTTCTTTTTGTGAAAGGCAAAACTCCTCAAAGTCCTAAACTGTTAAGAGAGTTAGGTGCCCCAAGAGGAGACGGGAGAGCGGTGATGCCTTCAGGGCAGCAGCAGAAGCAATGGAAGGATGGATGAGGAACCCCACAAAGGGGAGAGAACTCTGGAGTCTGTGAAGAGCGGGGAGCTGAGACCCAACTCGTTATGTTACGGGTTGTGTGTTGCTGGATCCGGCAGGTAACAGCTTGCTGGACTGAATGTTAAAGTCTCAAGAGTTTTACAAACTGATTGACTTTACTTTTTAAATTGGCTTTATTGAGGTGTACAATTTACATACTTGGAAGCAGCTATGGTAGAAGTGTTTTTACACCATGGAGATTGGCACATACTACAATTCAGGGCTTTCTCTCTGCCCCAGAGCCAGCTGCTAAACATTTACCAGCACACCACCGAACATAAGAGTGGCTTCTTCCAATCTTATCATCCACATATCGCTTCTTCCTTGGGGAGAATGAGTGACAAGAATGGGAGGGAGAGGGCCAGAAAGTGTGTTACACCAATAGCACTCCCCTGAAAATGGAGTAGAGGTTCTTCATGGAAACAAAGAATGGAGATAGAGGGGCTCCCTCTACCTTCCTTCCATCCTTTCATTTTCTTTTTTTTTTTACTTCATAATAATGACTATACTGAAGATTTCAGGAAAGAATAGGAGGCAGCAGGGTGGTGGTTGAGAGTAAGGCTTTGGAGTCAGATGGCATTTGGGTTCCCACAGCAGCTCTGCCACTCTCTAGTTGTGTGGTGTTGTATAAAGTGAGCAAGGTCAGAGTGGGAAGTATTGTTGTATGTATTTAGGGTAGAAGCCAGTCCACTCTGGTCATCTGAGCTCTGTTGGGGATCTTCATTGGCCCCAAAGAGTCCTGTTTTCATCTTCTCTGAGCCACTGCAATGAATGAATGGTGGTAGGCGTCCACAAACCTGGTGCACAAAATGTGGATAGGATTTAGGTGATATCTTCACAACTCAAGAAGAACCCAGGCTTCAACAGTCCAAGAAGCTGTAATCTCCTTCTTCTAGGCACATCTGAAAACAAAATGCCAAATGGGAGGTCCTGTTGCTAATGTTGGTCCTCCAGTTCTTTACGAGGGAGTGGGTAGATCCCATGGCCTGTCTGAATGTCACTTTCCTCATCCATAGGGTAGAAATGACAGGATAACCTCATTATCTTTTGTGAATCCATATTAAAAGGCCCAGAACCATTGCAAATTTGTTACTGAAACTTTCTGGAGTTCCCCAGTTGGATCCAATTAGGATCATTACTGAGATGGTTGTCTCCCCTAGGCTGAAAGAAAAATGCCACCGTTAACCTTTAATCATTCACAACAAACCCAAAGAAAAAGTCCTTGGCCCAGGTCCTAATAGGGCTATTAAAGCTATTTTCCTATTCAGCTGCTTAGACTCGGAGTGAATAACCCGGTAATTTTCTACTGCTTCTCCCCACGGAATGTAAAGGACCAAGAGAGTGAACTCTCCTAACTAATGCGCTTTAAGGCAGGGGCCAGATTTTACCTTCCTGTCTCTTGGTTTGCTTCCACCCTCCAATTTTCTCCTTTGGTTGTTTTATTTTAGTGTGAGGGGTATGTGTTTGTGTGTATGTGGTGGTGGTGGTGGGGTGGGGTTGGGGAACATTTGGTTGTGTGTGGTGTGTCTGTATGTATGTGTGTGGTCTGTTTAGTGGAAAACTTTGGAAGCACGCAATAGTTACACATGGTGTCTAAGACCCCCCAGGAAAAGGAGAGACCAAGAGAATGAAGAGAAAAAAATAAAAATAAATTGAGACAAAATAGGCAACACATACAAAAATCCTATGTATAAAAACTGTTTTCTCAATTTCTTGCTCTCCTTTTTCCTTTTTGCTGCAGTAGAGACCCCCCCATCATGCCCCATATTTCTCTATGTCTCTTTTCTCTCTCTGTGCCCTCATTAACTCAACCTCCTTAACACTTCCAAAACCAGAAATCATTGTCCTGACACCATCCCCCACACCCTTCAAGTCCTATTTCTCTTTCTGAATTCCCCAATCTGTTTTCAGGTTCTATTTTAGGTCAGCTGCCCAAACAAACAAAACCCAAAAAACCATATATCAGAACCATTTCTTATTTTCTTAATTGGCTTTATTGAGGTACAATGTACATACTACAAACTCACTCATCTTAAGTGTTCAGTTTAATTCTTCTTGACAAATGTATACAGTCATACAACCACCACCACGATCAAGGTGTAGAACATTTCCTTCATTCCAAAAAGTTCTTACCTCCACTCCCAAGCCCAGGAAACTAGAAATATCACTATAGTTTTGCCTTTTCTAAAATATCATATAAATGGATTTATACAGTGGGTAGTCTTTGATGCCTGGTTTCTGTCCTTAGCACACTGCTTTTGAGATTTATCTATGCTGTTACATGTATCGGTAGCTTATTCATTTTTACTGCTGAGAAATATTGCATTAAATAGACACATCACAATTGTTTGTTTATCCATTCATCAGTAGATGGACATTTGGGTTGTTTCTCGGCTCATTGCAACCTCTGCCTCCTGGGTTCAAGCGGTTCTCCCGCCTCAGCCTCCCAAGTAGCTGGAATTACAGGTGTGTGTCACTATGCCCAGCTCATTTTTGTATTTTTAATAGAGACAGAGTTTCACCATGTTGACCAGGCTTGTCTCAAACTCCTGATCTCAAGTGACCCACCCATCCCAGCCTCCCAAAGTGCTGGGATTACAGGTGTGAGCAACCACGCCTGGCCAGTTTGGGCTATTATTAATTAAGTGCTCTGAATATTCATATACAGGTTTTTGTGTGGATGTATTTTCACTTCTCTGAGGAGTAGAATTGTATTTTATTTCTAGGAGGAGAGTTGCCGGGTTGTATAGTAAGTGTAGTTTAACTTTACAAAACACTGGATAAACTGTTTTCCAAAGGGGCTGTATCATTTTCATTTCCACCAGCAATGTATGAGAATTCCAGTTGCTCCATATCATTGCTAACACTTTGTATTGCCAGTTAAAAAATGTTAGCCTGTAGTGTTTGTAGTATTACCTCATTGTCCTTTTACTTTGTATTTCTCAGGTGACTAATGTGGAGTATATTTTCATGGGGTTATTTGCCTTAAGTAGATCTTCTTTGGTAAATTATCTGTTCACTTTTTTTTACCCATTGAAAAATTGACTCATTTGTCTTTTTATAATTGATTTGTAAGAGTTATTTATATATTCTGGATGCAAGACCTGTATCAGATATATATTTTGCCTATGGAAATAATCTGAAATACAGACAGAGTCATGCATAAGGATTTCCATATCAATGTTACTTACAATTGTGATGAAATTGGAAACAAGTTACAATCTAATAAAAGGAAAACTTCATTTCTTTATGATTCAAGGTGATATTTTACAGCCATTTAATGATATAAAAAATTTACAGACATGGAAATCTACTTTTAATATAATTTTAAGCAGAAAGTAAAATTACATATAATATCAGCAATGCATTTAAAAAGCCTGGAAGTGGGCCGGGCATGGTGGCTCACACCTGTAATCCCAGTACTTTGGGAGGCCGAAGTGGGCAGATCACAAGGTCAGGAGTTCAAGACCAGCCTGGCCAATATGGTGAAACCCTGTCTCTACTAAAAATACAAAATTAGCCGGGCGTGGTGGCACATGCCTGTAATCCCAGCTACTCGGGAGGCTGAGGCAGGAGAATCGCTTGAACCTGGAAGGTGGAGGTTGCAGTGAGCTGAGTTCACGCCATTGCACTCCAGCCTGGGCAACAAGAGCAAAACTCTGTCTCAAAAAAAAAAAAAAAAAAAAAAAGCCTGGAAGTGCATGCTGCCATAATAAGTGATACCATCTATGTGGTAAGATTATGGCTGGTGTTTAAGTTACCTATTGTTTGTCAAAATTTATACAGCAAGCATGCTTTAGTTAAAAAGGGGGAAAGTGTCATAAATAATTAAATGGTTGAAGCAGTGCTTGGTGCTTCCCTTACAAGCACACCTGGCTTGCATAATGATTCGTGATACTATTAATAACAAAGTGAGTTGGTTAATTGCATAACAGACCACCCCAAAGCTTTGAACTATAATTCCAGCTCTGCCCTTGAACTCCAGGCAGTGTTTCTGAAATGGGTTTCAGAGTTAAGAGTTACCTAGCGAGGTTGCCATGTAGATTTCTGGGATGTGGCTTCCCGTGTATGTACTCTAAAATGTGCAAAAGTTCTTGATGTTACGTTCAGTGACTTGGGAAGATCATCTTGGGAAGTCAGGCATGCCTTGAATACTTAGAAGAGAGCGTGTCTGTGCTTCTGCTGATGGAAAACAATGACCAAAGAGAACACAGACTCAGAGGGCTGGAGGCAAAGCAATGCAGGCAGTTAATGAGAAAAGCCTTTGTTTGAGGAAAATATTGGCACTAAGAAGAAAGGTGGGAATGGAAAGAGGAAATGGAGGGAAGAATAGAGAGGCTAAGCAAACAGGTCAGACTTTGACGAAGTAAACTTTATAGATGTATTTTGCACATAAAGTCTTATCCTGTAAATAATTTGTATCCTTTACTCACTTTAATTTCTTAACTCTAAGTAATTTCTGTTGCCCTCTGAAGACTGTCAGGAGGGTACAATTACTACTGGGTTTATTGAGAGGAAAAAATTTAAGGAACTTAAGATGCTCCTATAGGGATTACTCTCATACAAAGGCAATTTCTTAAAGCAACATGTTTTGCGAGGGTCAGTGATTTGGTTCATATCAGAGGCATCTTTGAACCTGGTCAGTTACTTTACCTAAGGCAGACACACTATATATGTTTGCTGATGAGTGACCTAAGAGACAAAGAAATAATATTCAAATTATTATTCAGAAGATATAGTAGAGGTTTTTTTTTTTAAGTTTGGTAGCTGGGATTATAGGCACGTGTGACCCTTCTTGGCTGATTTTTGTATTTTTAGTAGAGACAGGGTTTCACCATGTTGACCAGGCTGGTTTCGAACTCCTGGCCTCAAATGATCTGCCTGCCTAGGTGGATGGGATGCAGATGCAGTCGAGGCAAAGAAGCTGACCTCGAGTACACAGGCACCCTCGATTGTTGGAGGACCATCTTCAGAGAGGAAAGGGGCAAAGCTTTCTTCAAGGGCATGTGGTCCTCAGAAACAGGGACCTGCTGGTCCTGCAGGATGAGCTGAAGAAAATCACCTAAATGCATCTGTCTCCCCGATAAAAAAAACCAAGAGACCCATGAAGAATACTTCTCTCTCTCTCTCTCTCTCTTTCTTTCTTCTCCCAGGCTCAAGTGATCCTCCCACCTCAGCCTCCCGAGTAGCCGGGATCACAGGCGGATGCCACCAGCCTGGCTAATTTTTGTATTTTTTGTAGAGACAGGGTTTCGCCATGGACAGCCTTAAAATACTTAACTGTTACGGACCACTGACCGAACAATTCTAATGGTCTTTATCCTGGCTAGTCGTGTCCGTAGAGAGTTGCGGAAGGCTCTAGAAAAGGAGCTCATTGCGATCACGTTTGACCATTGGCACTCGATGCCACGTATTGATCACTGAGAGGAAGGGGGGAATCATGATATCATTGTGGGCCCAAGTGGGACTCAGCTCCACTACTCAGACCTAGAGTCCAGATACTTGCAGGACCTGAGCTGTGTTTAAGTATTTATTTAAAGCAAAATAATCATGTCTCCCGTTTGTGCTTAAGCACTAGCACCTCTTTTCTGCAGTGGAATATTTGCGATTATGTTCTATGTTGGGCACTCTGCTGCAAAATACTGAAAACAGGAAATGGCAGGAGAAAACCATGTTGCTGAGTGGAACAAACCAGTCCATAAGAATAAATATTGTGTAACTTCGTTTACATAAAATTTAAATACAGTGATAGAGAGTAGGAGGATGGTTACCAGAGGCTGGGAAGGGTAGTGGAGGTGGCTGTGGGTAGTGGGGATGGTTAATGGGTACAAAAAAATAGAACGAATAAGACCTAGTATTTGATAGCATGACAGAGTGATTATAGTCAATAATAATTTAATTGTACATTTTAAAATAACTAAAAGAGTATAATTGGGTTGTTTGTAACACAAAGGATAAATGTTTGAGGGGATGGATACCCCATTTTATATGATGCGATTGTTATGCGTAGCATGCCTGTATCAAAACATCTCATGTACCCCATAAATAAATACACCTACTATGTACCTACAAAAACTAAAATTAAATTTTTTAAAATTTAAATACATGCGAAGAACAACTGTCGTGTTTGGGGTTCCACGGTTATGAGATAAAACTATAAAGAAAAGCAAGGAAATAATTATCATTGAAATTAAGGTAATAATTACTTTGGAAAGAAAATAAACAGTAATTGGGAGGAATCACCAGTGGGATTCCTGGAATATTGGCAATTTTGTATTTCTTGACCTGGGTGTTGTTTTGTGATATCTCATCAAGCTGTTTTGTACACATTACTGCTTGCACATTAGACTGACCCAGGAAGAAGTAGAAAGATTGGATAAACCAATAACTATAGAAGAAACTGAAATGCTAGCCGAGACCTACTTTCCAAAAGGGAACAGATCCTATGACTCTATGGCTAGGGTCTATCAGACATTTAAGGAAGAAATATTTCCTATCTTATACAAATATTACTGTGCTAGCATAACCCTATACCAGAGCTAAATGAGGAGAGCAAAAGAAATATAAAATATAGGCTAAGCTCACATATAGAAAGATACCAGTATTCTACATACAATACTAGCAAATCGAATCTAGCAATTTATTAAATGAATAATAATCACAACCAAGTCAAGTGTATTTCAGGAATGAAAGGGTTTTCCAACACCAGAATATCTACAATGTAATCCACTAGAGATGTGAAATAAAGGAGGAAGATGATACGAACATTAACTTGGTAGATGACATAAAAGCATTTCTATGTGGTCTATCCATACAATGAGAAATTATTCGGCCATAACAAGTAATGATTTACTGATACATGATATAGCATAGAGGAACCTTGAAAACACACTAAGTGAAAGAAGCTAGACACAAAAGGTCACGTATAGTA
This sequence comes from Homo sapiens, assembly GCF_000001405.40. Lineage (NCBI taxonomy): Eukaryota > Metazoa > Chordata > Mammalia > Primates > Hominidae > Homo > Homo sapiens. The sequence continues at coordinate 69,706,739 of NC_000002.12, read as the reverse complement.
TGATTCCATTTCTATGAAATGTCCAGAATAGGCAGATGTATGGAGACACAATTGTTCTATACCAGCAATAACAAAAAAACTCCTCAACCCAGTGAGGTTCCAGAAATGCAGGCATGGCCCATTATTAGGAATTGTACCGACTGGGCGCGGTGGCTCATGCCTGTAATCCCAGCACTTTGGGAGGCTGAGGCAGGTGGATCACCTGAAGTCAGGAGTTCGAGACCAGCCTGGCCAAACTGGCGAAACCCCCGTCTCTACTAAAAATACAAAAATTAGCCAGGCATGGTGGTGGGCACCTGTGATGCCAGCTACTCGGGAGGCTGAGGCAGGAGAATCGCTTGAACCCGGGAGGCAGAGGTTGCAGTGAGCTGAGATCGAACCACTGTACCCCAGCCTGGGTGACAGAGTGAGATTCCTCAAAAAAAAAAAAAAAAAAAAAAAAAAAAAGGAATTGTACCAATGTGCTACTATATTAACAGATCAAAGGAAAAAGTATAATCATCACACTAGATACTGAAATGCCATTTAGCAAAATTGAACATTCATTCCTGATTTAACAAACAAACCAAAATCAAAACAAAAACCAGAGTCTTAGTATCTTAGAAATAGCTAGATTATTTTTGCCATTATAAAAATTCAGCATCATACTTTAATTTCCATTAAAGAAAGAAGATATTATGCTTTTTCTTTTTTTGTTCTCACACTACACAGATATATATATTTTTTAATAAAAAATTTTAATTAAAAAAATTAACATGTACCTTAAAGCACTTTGAGGAAGTATGTGCTTTGTTTTGTTTTGTTTTTTGAGACAAAGTCTTGCTCTGTTACCTAGGCTGGAGTCCAGTGGCATGATCTTAGCTCACTGCAACCTCCACCTCCTGGATTCAAGCGATTGTCCTGCCTCAGCCTCCCAAGTAGCTGGGACTACAGGTGCCCGGCACCAGGCCTGGCTAATTTTTGTATTTTTAATAGAAACAGGGTCTCACCATGTTGGCCAGGCTGGTCTCGAACTCCTGACCTCAAGTGATCCACCCGCCTTGGCCTCCCAAAGTGCTGGGATTACAGTCATGAGCCACCACTCCCAGCCAGAAGTATGTGCTTAAAAGACACGTAAGAATACATTATAAAATCGAAAGTGTTAATATGTTAACAACTACAAAATCTTTAGATTATAAGGAGACTCCAATTCCAAATTGTAGAACAAAGATTCTGGTTACAACCAGGATGGTTACTGCAGCTTACACTTTAGGGTGAACTGGGACGCTCTGAGCCATCCCAAAGTGATGGTGTGCCAACAAACCAATGATTTGATTATATAAGCAGCACATATTCATTGTAGAAAAAGTAGAGACTAACAAGAGGCAAAATAATAAAAAGGAAGCCCTATAATCCCACGACCCATTAGATAACCATTAGTAACTTTTTTTTTCTTTCTTTTTTTGAGACAGCATCTCACTCTGTCACCCAGGCTGGAGTGCAGAGGCATGATCTTGGCTCACTGAAGCCCAGACTTCTCAGGCTTCAGTGATCCTCCCACCTCAGCCTCTCAAGTAGCTGGGACCACAGTTGCACACCACCACGCTTGGCTAATTTTTTATTTTTTATTTTTGTAGAAGTAGTGGGCAGTCTCTCTATGTCACCCAGGCTGGTCTCAAATTCCTGGCCTCCAGTGATCCTCCTCCCTCAGCCTCCAAAAGTCCTGGAATTACAGGCCCATCAGTAACCTTTTAAAGTAAGATACTATACTTTAATAATGTTTTGGAAATCCTAACCAGTATGATTAAGTAAGAAAATAATTTAAGAGTTAAAATTACCTCTTGAGGTAAGGAGGATTTATTAATTTAAATGATATCAAATAATAACTAGAAACCTGACAAAAATAGGCCAAAAAGAAATGTTAGGAATCTGGGGGAGATTGCAAAAACAGCTACAATCTTTTGCAGCTCTTCTCAGAAATGAAGTATATTTCTTCACACTATGAGCTCAACCATGTGACTTTCTTTAGAACAATGGGACATTAGCAAACATGATGCAAGCAGAAACTTGAAAACTGTTTGTGTGTTAAGACTTGCCTTCTTTTACCATTTTAAGAGGCTGAGACCACTGCTCTGTGAATGAGCCTAGGTTAGCCCGCGGCATGATGAGAAACACACAGACTCTTCATCCCTGTTGCTCCAGCTGACACAGAACCAACTACCAGACATCTGAGTGAAGCCACTCTCGTCTATCGAGGCCAATTAAAGTGCCAGTTTTCTGCAGAAATAAACCGAGTTGGCCCAGACCAGAAAAACTGCCAGTTGACCCACAGAGTTGAGAAATAATGTTTCTTATTTTAAGACGCTAAGTATTGGGTGGTTTGTTTTGCCAGAAAAGCTAACAGAAATTATAAGAGAATTTTAGTAAAGTAGTTAGTTACTTTTTGTATAATTACTGTACAAAATGGCTCGTTAGAAAATATAATGAAAGAAAAGATCCCATTTAAATAGGAACACTATGATCAATTTATCTGAAAATAAACTTAACTAGAAATAGGCAGGACCATATAAAGAAAATATAAAATCTCTATTAAGGGGTATTATTTCTTGCTGTATTTAATCTATCAATTCAATGTGATCCCAATAAAAATATTTAAAAATTTCTTTTCAACATTTTACAAGATAATATTGGGGTCATCTGTAGAAATAAACAAGAAAGAATAGCCAAGAAGAAAATCTCAACAGAAAGATATTAGGGGAGGGGAGGCAGTTAGATTAAATATTTAAATACATTTTGAAGTTACAAGAATTAAAACATTTAAGCTGCGGGGGGGTGGCACGCACCTGTAGTCCTAGCTACCTGGGAGGCTGAGGTAGGAGGATGGCTTGAATCCAGCCTGAGCAACGTAGTAAGACTCCATCACTAAAATAAGTAAATAAGTGAAAAAAATAACCCAGTTTGATTCTAGCAGAGATTTAGATAGATAATGGAATAAAATAGGAAATCCAGAAATAAACTAAAATGAGAATTTAGTAGATGATAGTGGTGACATTTCTAATCCATGAGAGGAAAGATGAATTATTCAGAAAACAGTGTTGAGACTATGGCAGGACTATCTGGGAGAAAAAAAGAGTCAAGCTGTATAACTCCTCTTCTTTCATCAAAGTAAATTCCAGAAAGAGTATGATGTAAAATGTTAAAATGAGACTCTAAAAGTACTAGCAATAAAGAAGTCAGACACAAAAGGCCACATATTGTGATTCTATGTTTATGAAATGTCTTGGGAATCCATAGAGACAAAGTAGATTAGTGGTTGCCGGGGACTCGTGGGGACATGAAAATGGGAAGTGATCACTTAATGGGTGGAAGGTTTCTTTTGGGGGTGATGAAAAAAATGTAAAATTAGATAATGGCAAAGATTGCACAACTGTGAATATACTGAGATCACTGAATTGCATACTTTAAAAGGGTACATTTTATATGTGAATTATATTTTAATAACACTCTTATTAAAAAGAAAAAAAAAAAGGAAGCCAGAGGCGAAAGAGTCCATAGGGGGTTCTGACCCACACATGAGGTCAGGAAGGTTGTCTACAGAGGGAAAAGGAGGACAGGGTCTGAAAAGGGGTTTCATGGCAGCAGATGTTTTACAGGTGAGAAAGGGGGCAGGGAAATTAACTCTCTTGGCTCTGATTACCCTGTGACTCTGTGTCTTTCCAGAACTTAAGAACTTTGCATGCGCTGGACAATAATTTTGAATTTAATGAATGGTTTTTGAGTAAAATAAATGCTAGAAGAAAACATGGGCGAATTTATTTATAATACTGTTATGAAGACTTTGCAAACATGGCACAAAACCCAGAAATCATATAGAAAATGACTGATGTTTGCTTAGAAATGAACAGTTTTATATTTTAAAACCACATACATATGATTATAGTTTTATAGTTACGTTTTAAAAAAATTTTGTCTTTAGAGATACACGTTGAAAACACCTGTGGATGAAATGATGATGTCTGGGATCTGCTTCAAAATAATTTTTTATTAAGAGACAGGGTCTCACTCTGTCACCCAGGCTGGAGTACAGTGGTACAATCATAGCTCACTTAACCTCCAACTCTTGGGCTCAAGTGATTCTCCCTCCTCAGCCTCCCGAGTAGCTGAGACCACAGGTATACACCACCACACTCAGTTAATTTTTTTTAGAGATGAGGTCTCACTATATTGCCCAGGCTGGTCTCCAACTCCTGGCTTCAAGTGACCCACCCACCTCCGCCTCCCAAGTGCTGGGATTACAAGTGTGAGCCACCATGCCTGGCTCTCAAAATAATTTGAGGTGTGGTGGAGATTAAACTTGGTAATGGGTACACAGAGTACTCTTTTCTCTACTTTTTAAATATATTTGATTTATATATTTTGGATTTTTTCATAATAAAAAGTAAAAAATAGGCCAGGTGCAGTGGCTCACACCTGTAATCCCAGCAGTTTGGGAGGCTGAGGCAGGCGGATCATTTGAGGTCAGGAGTTCAACACCAGCCTGGCCAACATGGCAAAACCTATCTCTACTAAAAACACAAAAAAATGAGCCATGGGTGGTGGCGCACACCTGTAATCACAGCTGCTCAGGAGGCTGAGGCAGGAGAATTGCTTGAACCCAGGAGGTGGAGGTTGTAGTGAGCTGAGATCGCGCCACTGCATTCCAGCCTGGGTGACAGAGTGATACCCTGTCTCAAAAATATATATAAATAAAATAAAAAGTAAACAGCAAGAAGATCTGTGTACAAAGTAAAAAGATAAATAAGCTGGGAACAGGTATTTGCAACATAAGATATTAAAAGGGCTAATTTCTTAATTTATTAAGAACGCATACAAATTACTAAGAAAAAGAAAGCCCAAGAGAAAACAATGGGTAAAGATATCAACAGATGCAACAATAAAAAAAAAAGTCGCCAATAAATCTGTGAAACGGTGACCAGCCTTACTCATGCATGCAAAGGAAAACAATAACCAGATTCCTCTTCCATGGAGTAAACTGGCAGCATGAAGAGGCTGGATAGTAAGCAGGATTGGTGAGGGTGGGGGAAATGTGGCTGGACCTACTTGCTGTGGTGGGAATGAAGGTATCACCTTTTAGAAGGACAATTTCAGCATATCTGTCTGCAAATTTAAAATACATACCTCCATACAGTGAATATAATACTATTCAGCCTTAAAAGGAAGGAATTTCTGATACATGCTGTAACATGAATGAACCTTGAGGACGTTACGCTAAGTGAAATAAGCCAGTCACAAAAAGACAAATGATTCCGCTTTTACAAGGTAGCCAGAGTAGTCAAAATCATACAGATAGAAAATAGAATGGTGTTTGCTAGCGGGAGGGACACGGAGGGCAGTGGAGAGAATGGGGAGTTCATGTTGAATGGGTATAGAGTTTCAGTCCGAGATGAGGAAAAGAGTTCTGGAGATGGCTGGTGGTGAGGGTTGCACAACAATATGAATGTACTTAAAACCACTCACCTGTACACTGAAAAAATGATTAAGATAGTAATTTTTAGGTGTCTTTTGCCACAGTTAAAAAAAAAATTAAGCCAGGCACAGTGGCTCACTCCTGTAATCCCCACAATTTGGGAGGCTGAGTTGGGCAGATCACTTGAGGTCAGGAGTTCGAGACCAGCCTGGCCAACATGGTGAAACCCCGTCTCCACTAAAAATACAAAAAAATTAGCCAGATGTGGTGGCGGGTGCCTGTAATCCCAGCTACTCAGGAGGCTGAGGCAGGAGAATTTCTTGAACCTGGGAGGCGGAGGTTGTAGTGAGCTGAGATCACACCACTGCACTCCAGCCTGGGTGACAGAGTGGGACTCTGTCTCAAAATCAGAAAAGAAAGAAAGAAATACATACATACCCCTTGACCAAGTGATTCCACTGCCAAACATTTACCTTAGGTTACACACAAAAAAATATGCCAAGTATGTTCATTTCTATAGCTGTAACAGCAAAATCTTCAAACAGCTTAAATGCCCAACAATGGTGAATTCACTAAATAATTATGTAATACCATATAGCACGCTACTCCGTAGAGATTTTGAAAAGGTGGTTTGAGCTCTGAGATATATGACTATGCAATCAAGGCAATAGCATGCCACAGAATGTGTACTGTACGACCCATGTGTACGCATTTCTAAAAGTGTGTGTTGTGTATGTATGTGATAAATTATGAGTCATTTCTATATAATTGTAAGATACTTTTCTGCAGTCATGAATACATTGTTAATAGTGAGAAGAGTACGGATGGTGGCAGTGATAGTAAGACTTTTTAAACCTTTTTGTAGTGCTTGGACTTTTTACTTTATTTGAATGTAATTATTTGTATTTATTTATTTAGAGACAGCCTTGATGTGTCACCCAAGCTGGAGTGCAGTGGTGCCATAGCTCACTGTAGCCTCCAACTCCTGGGCTCAAGAGATCCTCCCGCCTCAGCCTCCTGGGCAGCTGGGACTATAAGCATGCTTCACCACATCCGACATTTTTAATTTTTTAAGTTTAAAATAAAAATGTGATGTTTTGTATTCAGTCTGTGAGCTTCGTCGGTTTACAAGATGTGTTTCCATTTGGATGTTTTATCTAATCACTTTCTTTAAAAAAATTTACATTTCCTCATGCTGCTTTGTCTAAAATCGTAATGTTAAGTCTTATTTTTGTCTTTCTACACATTTCTTCAGTTTTTCCCTCTCTCCTTCCATTCTCTCTGGGTGCTCACTTTCCTGACTAACTTAACTGCCTGTGGCTATTATACACTGCATTGGGACGTCTTTGGAATGGCTGCCTTCCTGCTGGGGCGACTAAATTCCCTGGAGGTCGCCATCTTCAGACTTTTTATAGTACTCCTTGCATCTGGTACCTGCACAGCATGTGCTGAAAATTTTTTCTTGGTCATGATGGACCCTCTTCCCTTGAAAGCCTCAAAGCTGCAGTCTTGGATTCTTTGTTCCTGGCACCTCAACCTGCATCTTTTTATTACCCCTCAGGTTTTAGGAGTATCAAGTCCACCTCAAGTGGTAAGCCTAAATTTGTTTTTTTTCTGTTGTTGTTTGTTTCTTGTTTTTTGTTTTGTTTTGTTTTGTTTTTTGGGACAGGGTCTCACTGTCATCTAGGCTGGAACACAGTGGCATGATCATAGCTCACTGCAGCCTGGGCTCAAGGAATCCTCCCTCCTCAGTCTCCTGAGTAGCTGAGACTACGGGTTCACACCACCACGCCTGGCTTATTTATTTCTCATTTTCTCATAGAATGAGGTCTCACTATGTAGCCAGGGCTGGTCTTGAACTCCTGGGCTCAAGTGATCCTCCCACCTCAGTCTCCAAAGTGCTGGGATTACAGACATGAGCCACCACACCTGGCCCTAAGTTTCTTACTATGTGGGTGTCCTCTAACTTTTCACATGTGCTTTCCACATCTTTGATCTTTTAACTCCCTTCTCTGAGTGCACAAAATAGAGAAAAGAGCCCTGGAAGGTGGGGCCAGGAGACCAAAGTTTACCCTGGCTCTGCCACCAGTTTACTGAGTGGCTCTAGGCCCAGGTCCTCCTCTATGTCATGAACATGAGCGCTAGACCCCACCCCACACACTCCCACTGCCAGTGCTGGTGCTTGGCAAAGACCATCACATCCTCCTCTTTACCCATGATTCATATCTTCAGTTGTCCCCCCTCACCCGAATCTTTCCTTCAATCCATCAGCTTTTTAAGATATTAGTATAGTCTATTTTCCAGGCTTTGTTGTTTAGCTCTTGTTCCACTTTTCCTGCCTTATCCTCTTATATCCTTTTGATTCTTTCAATCAATATTCCAAAGCATAAAAATAAACCTAGTTTCTTTCTACTTCTTCTCCCTCTTCATTGAAATTACAACTCAAAACCACCACCCTCTTGCAGAGCTTTATGAATTAGTAGTTGTATCACCATCTTGAGAAGCAGAGACAAAGCTTGGTAGCGCAGAAAGGACACAAGCCTCAGAGTGACAAGGACCAGAATTGAATCCCCCTCATGATCGAGTCTCAGTTCCTTCATCTGCATAATGGAGACAGTAACAGTTCACACTTGCCCATCGCACAGTCCTGCCCCGCCCCACCTAGTCAGAGCCGACAACGCAGCTTGTCCCCAGGATCCATTCCTTCCATAGGTGACACTCCTGCCCCCAGGCCCTCTGGTCATCCTTCTCTGCCGCCCTAGGCTCCCACTATCTGCACCTCATGGCTGTCCCCACTCTGTTCTGGCCTTCTCAATGAATAAAAGCTCCCTGTGGAGAAACAACAGGGAGATGTCGGGGGAAGAGGCCAGCCAAGGAAATGGAGGGAGTTGAAGGGCAGTTTTTTAGCTCCATAAATTTCTGCGGGTGGGGGCTTCCTAGAAAGCTGGGCTTCATCTTCCATCTGCTATAGACTGAATGTTTGTGTCCCGCAAAATTCATAGGTTAAAATCCCAATCCTCAAGGTGATGGTATTAGGAGGCGGAACCTTTGGGAGGAAATTCATGAATGAGCAGAACCCTCATGAATGAGATTAGTGCTCGTATGAGAGAGACTCAGAAGAGCTTCCTTGCTCCTTCAGTCATGTGAGGACAGAGCAAGGTGATAACAACTATGAACCAGAAAGCAGGCCACATCAGACTCTGAATCTGCCAGTGCCTTGATCCTGGACTTCTCGGCCTCCAGATCTGTGAGAAATAAATTTCTGTTGTTTTTAAACCACTCAATCTATAGTATTCTTTTTTTTTTTTTTTTTTTGAGATGGGGTCTCACTGTGTTGCCCAGGCTAGCCTCAAACTCCTGGGCTTAAGAGATCCTCCCATCTCAGCCTTTCAAAGTGCTCAGGTTATAGGAATGAACCACTTTGCCCAGTCCCTGAGCCACCACACCTGGCCCCAGGTATCTTTGATGTTACCATTGTTAATGTTTAGGGCACCATAAACTGTGCCCATACAGAATAGCAAGCTTAATTAATAAATGTTATATACTGACTGCTCCACTGCTCAGACACAACAATATTGACATTAGGCCAATTAACAACCCTACGATGGCCTCTCAGTGTTCAAGTGAAAGGAAGAATCATGTGCATCTCTCATTTTTGAATCCGAAGCTAGAAATGATTAAGCTTAGTAAGCAAGGTGTGTCAAAAGCTGAGACAGGCCAAAAGCTAGGCTTCTTGTGCCAAACAGATAGCCAAGTTGTGAATGCAAAGGAAAAATTCTTGAAGGAAATTAAAAGTGCTACTCCAGTGAACACAAGTATGATAAGAAAGCGAAACAGCATTGATACGGAGAAAGTTTCAGTGAGCTGGATAGAAGATCAAACCAGCAACAACATTCCCTTCATCCAAAGCCTAGCCTAGAACAAGGCACTAAACTCTTTTCAATCCTGCGAAGGCTGGGAGACGTAAGGAAGCTGCAGAACAAAAGTCTGAGGCTAGCAGAGGTTGCTTCATGAGATTTAAGGCAAGAAGCCATCTCTATAACATAAAAGTGCAAGGTGAAGAGGCAAGTGCTGATGGAGAAGCTGCAGCAAGTTATCCAGAAGATCTAGCTAAGATCATAGATGAAGGTGGCTACACTGAACAATAGATTTTCGATGGAGATGAAACAGCCTTCTACTAGAAGAAGATGCCATCTAGGACTTTCGTAGCTAGAGAGAAGTCAATGCCTAGCTTCAAAGGACAGGCGACTCTCTTGTTAGGGACTAATGCAGCTGGTGACTTTAAGTTGAACATGGTGCTCATTTACCATTCTGGAAATCCTAGGACCCTTAAGTATTATGCTAAATCTACTCTGCCAGTGCTGTATAAATGGAGCAACAAAGCCTGGATGACAGCACATCTGTTTATAGCATGGTTTACTGAATAATTTAAGCCTGCTGTTGAGACTTACTACTCAAAAAATAAAAAAGATTCCTTTTTAATATATTACTGCTTCTTGACAATGCACCTAGTCACCCAAGAACTCTGATGGAGATGTACAAGGAGCTGAATGTTGTTTTCATGCCTGCTAACACAACATCCATTCTGTAGCCCATGGATCAAGGAGTGATTTTTGACTTTCAAGTCTTGTTATTTAAGAAATACATTTGTAAGGCTGTAGCTGCCATAGATAGTGATTCCTCTGATGGATCTGGGCAAAGTAAATTGAAAACCTTCTGGAAAGGATTCACCATTTTAGATGTTATTATAAATACTCATGATTCATGAGAGAAGGGCAAACTATCAACATCAACAGAGTTTGGAGGAAGCTGATTTTAACTCTCGTGGATGACTGTGGGGTCTGAGACTTCAATGGAGCAAGTCACTGCAGATGTGGTGAAAATAGCAAGAGAACTGGAATTAGAAGTGGTACCTGGAGATGTGACTGAATTGCTGCAATCTCATGATTAAACTTGAACAGATGAGAAATTGCTTTCTGTGGATGAGCAAAGAAAGTGATTTCTTGAGATGGAAGCTGCTTCTGGTGAAGGTGCTGTGAGCAGTGTTGAAATGACAAGAAACGATTGAGAATGTTCCATAAACTTAGTTGATAAAGCATCAACTAAGGGTTTGAGAGGATGGAATCCAATTTTGAAAGGAGTTCTCCTGTGGGCAAAATGCTATCAAACAGCATCTCACAATACAGAGAAATCTTTTGTGAGAGGAAGAGTCAATAAATGCGGCAAATTTCATTGTATTATTTTAAGAAATTGCCACAGCCACCCAACCTTCAGCAACCACCACCCTGATCAGTCAGCAGTCACCAGTGTTGAGATGAGATCCTCCACTAGCAAAAAGATTTCAACTCACTAAAGGCTCAGATGACTGTTAACATTTTTTTTTAGCAAAAAAGTATTTTTAAATTAAGGTATATACTTTTTTAAGACGTAATGCTATTGCACACTTCATAGACTGCAGTATAGTATAAACATAACCTTTCTATGCACTGGGAACCAAAAAATCTGTGTGACTCACTTATTCCAAATATTTGCTTTATTGCAGTGGTTGGGATTGAAACCCACATAAACTCTGAGGTATGCCTGTATCTCAGAGGTAAGATTGCTGTTTGGTTGGAGATTAATCTTACAGGGTAAGGTAACTCATGCTTTCAGTCCACTGTTGGAAAGGCTTCTCCCAAGGGGATGCCAGCTCTCCCCAGCGTGGTTTCTCCTCCACTTCGTTGCTTCCATTCAATCACTGTCAAGAAGAGCATGCGGGTGTTGTTTTATTTCACACTCATGGGCTGCTGTTCTATGCTGCTTATTACAACACTTTCCACAACTTCTTTTTTCTCCCTCATCTCCAAAAATAGCAAATGACATTGCATGCCCAGATTTTCCACCTGAGTTTGTTTTTCATTTTTGAGGGAAATCAGCACGGGTGCTGAGTGCTGCCTCAGCACCAAATGAATACTGGTATGAACCCCAGGACAAAGTCAAAGGTTATACTCGTCTGCAATGCAGCTGCAAATCTGCCTTGATTCTCAGCGTGAGGAGAATGGATGCTGTTTATGGTGTGAGTACTATATATGGAAATAGCTTGAATGTGCCTGGATTTCTGCATTAAATATGTTCCTGGAATTTAATGTGTACTTTTTTTTTTTCTTTTTTGAGACAGAGTCTTGCTCTGTCACCCAAGCTGGAGTGCAGTGGCGCAATCATGGCTTTCTGCAACCTCGACCTCCTGGGCTCAAGTGATACTCCCACCTCTCAGCCTCCTGAGTAGCTGGGGCTGCAGGCATGCACCACCATGCCGGCTAATTTTTGTACTTTTTGTAGAGACGAGGTTTCGCCATGTTGCCTAGGCTGGTTAAATTTATCTTATAACAGCCTGGGCATGGTGGCTTACGCCTGTAATCCCAGCACTTTGGGAGGCCAAGGCAGGTGGATCACTTGAACCCAGCAGTTTGAGACCAGCCTGGGCAACATAGCAAGACCCCCTCTCTGAAAATATTTAAAATTTAACAATAAATAAATAAATTTATCTTACAACAAAGTTTACCCAGAATGACTGGTGTCTTAGTCCATCTGAGCTGCCATAGACTGGGTATTTTATAAACCATAGAAATGTATTGTTATGATGCTGGAAACCATCATTCTCAGCAAACTATCGCAAGGACAAAAAACCAAACACCACATGTTCTCACTCATAGGTGGGAATTGAACAATGAGAACACATGGACACAGGAAGGGGAACATCACACACCGGGGACTGTTGTGGGGTGGGGGGAGGGGGGAGGGGGGAGGGATAGCATTAGGAGATATACCTAATGCTAAATGACGAGTTAATGGGTTCAGCACACCAACATGGCACAGGTATACATATGTAACAAACCTGCACGATGTGCACATGTACCCTAAAACTTAAAGTATAATTAAAAAAAAAAAAGAAATGTATTGTTTACTGTTCTGGATCAAAGTCAAGGCACCAACGGATGTGGTATCTGGTGAGGGCTTACTTTCTGCTTCACAGGATATCTTCCTGCTGCGTTCTCACATTGTGGAAGGGGCAAACAAGCGCCCTTGGTTCTCTCTCACAGGGCAGTAATCCCATTCACCCCATTCACTTTAGGACCTCATCACTTCCTAAGGCACCACTTCTTAATACTACTGCATTGGGGATTAAATATGAATGTTGCAGGGGTTGAGGGGAGACACAAACATTCAGACCATAGCAACTGGTAAACAGTGTTTCCATGATAATCAGATACGTTGGAATAGGGAGACCAACTTTTTATATAAACCATGCGTAACCTGGTTTCTCCAGGCCACAGTAGCCAGGAGATTCAAGTGGGCTTTAGGACCACTGAGAACTCTCTGGCAGCTTCATGGGTGTGCAACCTGTACAGTTGTCCAGAGGTCTGCATTCAGAAGGGCCTGGTGCTTGGTTTAATGCTCAGCTGTCACAATCATGAAATTCTTAACTCTAAACAAGGGGCCTGTGTTGTCATTTTGCATTGGGCCCTGCAAATATTGTTCCCCATAGCTACTGCCCCTTGTTAAACCTAACCCCAAATATGTCCAGGAACCCCCTGGGAGTGGGTGTCACAGATGTTGATGAAACCACTCAGTAACCTACTTTGTGCCTGCTTCATTTCCTTCCTCTCCTGTCCCCACAGACACTGTGGCCCTGACATGTGGCAGTCCTTGGGGACCTGCAGGCAGGGTGCCATGTCCTCTGGAATCCCCAGAGGCCTGAAGACATGCTGCATGTTCCTGCAGAAGTGCTCCTGGCTCTCCTTGTGAAACACCTTATCTCTTGACCCCAAAGCCCATCTGCTTGAGCCCCAAATGTCTCACTGAGCTTAGCATGGAAACATGCTCCTCAGTTGTCTGCTTATGGCCCCTGTCCCTCTCTTAGACCCTAGACAGTGACCTGCTACCTCCCGTGTCTTCCTGGTTAGCTGCTCCTTCTCCGGCCTTCCCTTCTCCCCTTCCATCCACTTTCCTCCCCAGGGAGCTTACAGTTTCCCTTTGAAGTCCTCACTAAACACAGATGAGGACTCTTCAAAGAACTGCACCGACCAACTCTATGTTCTTCCGAACTGCATTGCAGGCAGCTATTAATAGGAGCAACAAAAAAGGGGAGGTTCACTAGGCAAATAAATTTGGGAAACAGTGCATATTAGATGCTCTTCTTGGAGATTTAACTAGTCACTATCAAGCATGTTGAAAGTTCAGGGAAGAATCTATTTAACCTAATATAACCCAGTGTTTCCTAAATTGGGCATTATATTGGGCATTGAACACTCTGACCATCCCTCCCCCACCTCACACACACACATTAGCAGTATGCAGATTGCATTCTTGGGTGATACACACTTAGAGTACAATAAAATAAATTGATATAAACCAATTCTGAACATAATTCAATATTGCTTTGAGGATTCATGAGATGCTGGCATTTATCTTTTGATCTCTGGACAAATGGAAATTAAGCATACTCCAAATGATATTTAAAATACACTAAAGACATTTAGCCTTACCTAGCGCTAGGCACATTGTAAATACTCAGTATATACTTGTGGAATTACTGAATTTATGGAAATCCTTTGGGCCTCAGTTTCATCTACTTAGAGGAACTGGATTAGTTGGTCTCTGACATCACTTAATAAACATCAAGTGTCTTTTAAGTTAGTCACTGAGGTATGAAGACTGGGCTCCTCTCCCAAAAGAACTGACAGCCTAGTAGAAAACAGGCAATATGCAAACAATTATAATACAACATAATATTGTTACAGGAAATATATATACTGTTATGGAACTATAGAGGAGGTAATAGCATTGAGTCTTAAAAAATAAGTAGGCGTTCATTAGGATGAAATGATACAGGGAAAGGGAATTCCAAACCAAGTGCACAGCACAAACAAATAAATGAAGACCTAAAGCATTGAATCTTTCATGGACACTTCTAGGCCTAAATCCCTTGACTTTATAAATGTCATGGTAAATTGCATAATGCATATCATCATGCCCAAATTCATATTTTATAATGCCATATGTTAGATCTCCTTACTGTGGTTTCACCTGAGGCAATCTTCTGAAATTTTCTTTAAAAAAATGAAGAGTTGTCTGGGCGCGGTGGCTCACGCCTGTAATCCCAGCACTTTGGGAGGCCGAGGTGGGTGGATCACCTGAGGTCAGGAGTTCAAGACCAGCCTGGACAACATGGTGAAACCCTGTCTCTACAAAAATACAAAAATTAGCCAGGTATGATGGCAAGTGCCTGTAATCCCAGCTACTTGGGAGGCTGAGGCGGGAGAATCGTTTGAACCCGGGAGGCGGAGGTTGTAGTGAGCCAAGATCACGCCACTGCACTCCAGCCTGGGTGACAGAGTGAGACTCAGTCTCAAAACAAACAAACACACAAAAAACAAAAAACCTGAAGTTACTGAATAGTAACCAATCCCCCTTCCCTTCAAGACAGATGCCAGGAAACCCAGCTATAATGGCTAGGCAGCTCTAGTCCTGCCAGCTGCTTCTACGCTGCTAACTTCTGTCCTGCTAATGTGAGGTCTGGGCTGCTCAGAAGGCTCACTCCAGCCCTCCTGTCCCAGGCCTTTTCTAATTGTGTTCCACAGCTCTCTGGGTTTCAATGGGTTCTGTGGCTAGTTTCTAAAGAAATAAGCTATAGGCATGCATATGTGCATGCGTCTGTGTGTGTGTGTGTGTGTGTGTGTGCATGTGTGTGTGTGTGTGAAATCACTGACGGTTCTCATATTTTTAACTCTGAGCCTATCATTTTGATGCAGTTCATTCCTGTCTTCTGTCTCCAAAGTAAACTCCCATCTTTATACTGTGGTAGGTGCATCCGTTTTTCAGTGTAAAGACTGTACCAGGGGCTAGGAGCAGTGGCTCATCCCTGTAATCCCAGCACTTTGGGAGGTCAAGGCGGGTGGATTACTTGAGGTCAGGAGTTCGAGGCCAACATGGTGAAACCCCGTCTCTACTAAAAATACAAAAATTAGCTGGGCATGGAAGTGGGCGCCTGTAATCTCAGTTACTTGAGAGGCTGAGGCAGGAGAATCACTTGAACCTGGGAGGCAGAGGTTGCAGTGAGCCGAGATAGCACCACTGCACTCCAGCCTGGATGACAAAGAGAGGCTCCGTTTAAAAAAAGAAAAAAAAAAAAAGACTGTACCAGAAAGAGAAAGGTACAAGTGGCGGTTCTCCCAGGCAGAGTATTTGCAAACTTGATATTTCTGCTACCCACATAAGGAATATTAAAAGGAAAGAAAGACTGTTGCCACAGCCTTCATCTCTAGAATTCATTTATACATATGATTTACCATTATTGTTATTTCTTGGTTATTTCAGGATGTTTCTTCCCAATAAGATCCCAGGATAAATTCTGATTATTAGTTGCTTTGTTTTACAAACAGTACTAAGGCACTGAAACATGGTGCTTAATAGAGCAACCGGTGATGCCCTGGCATATGTGGAGTTTGAGATCAAGGCCTCTTGTTACTCAGGAGAGATGGCATGTGATGGGTAAAGGTTTTGCAGAAATTACCTTTAAATGAACTCCTCAGCATGCATTGTCACCTAAAAAGGAATAAGGTTTCAAGGGGTTGGACCAATAAAGGGCTAATCTTAGATGTCTGAAAATCATTTGAAAAATGTAGAACCTTTGCTCAGGCTGGAGAGGGTATCCCAGGGGTAAGTGTGTAGGAACTGCAAAAACAGGGTGGAGCCACTAAGTAGATGAAAAGACTGGGCCGGGCGCAGTGGCTCATGCCTGTAATCCCAGCACTTTGGGAGGCTGAGGTGGGTGGATCACTTGAGGTCAGGAGTTCAAGACCAGTCTGGTCAACATGGTGAAACACCGTCTCTACTAAAAATACAAAAATTAGCCAGGGATGGTGGTGCGTGCCTGTAATCCCAGCTACTTGGGAGGCTGAGGCAGGAGAATCACTTGATCCCAGGAGGTGGAGGCTGCAGTGAGTCGAGATAGCACAACTGCACTCCAGCCTGGGCAACAGAGTGAGACTCTGTCTCAAATAAATAAATAAATAAACAAAAATAAAACAAATAAATAGGTGGGAGGACAAATTTTGAGAGACACCTGAATTCTATTTCAGCTGACCATGCTAAAATTTCCTTAAATTTTAATTTTGATTAAATGTGTTTAACATCCAAATAATACTATGCACAGTTCACATGGCAGAGTACTACACAGCTGTAAAAAAGAACGAGGAATATATGGAGTGATCCTTAGACTTTATGGCTAGTGAAAACAAAACAAGGTAGAAAAAATTGTCTATAGTATGCTACTGTTTATCTAAAAAGAGAGAATTTGATATATGAAAATGTTTCCTTATTTTTTTAATGAGAGAATATGCCATAAAACTTTATTTCTTAAAAAAGACTTTGTTGGGAAGTAGATAGGGTAGAGGGACTGGGATAGAAGTCACACTCCTCTGAATATGCCTGCTGTTGTAGATTTGACTTTAGAAATTTGTAATCATTTTACATAATTATAAAATATTTTTAATTGAAAAGCAATCCCTATGAAACAAAACCAAAATGAAACAAATGAACTGAAATGTACACTCTGAGTTGGCGGAATAACCACACAGGAAGGAACTACTTCAAGTGACTTTAATTTGATTTTCATTATTATGATACGCCATAAAACCAAAAAGAACTACATAACGACCTTAAATGTATTTCAATAGTCATATGGTTGGTGGTGGGTCTTAGAACAGTTATTGTAAGACAGTTGCATTTTTTTTGTGAAATAAAGCAAATAAGTAATTTTATTGATGTCTTTGAGAATTGGGATTTTCAATAAGGGAAAAAAAGTATAAATGTGAGATTGACGAGGTTGAAAAAACATCTCGTAGTCTTGTTTGAAATGTCATATGGGCTGGTCATGGTGGCTCATGTCTGTAATCCCAGCACTTTGGGAGGTCAAGGCAGGAGGATCACTTGAGGCCAGAAATTTGAGACCAGCCTGGGCAAAATAGTAAGACCCTCTCTCTATAAAAATAAAAAAATTAGTAAGATATGGTGGTATGTGCCTATAATCCCAGCTACTCAGGAGGCTGAGGCAGGAGGATCACTTGAACCCAGTTCAAGGCTGCGGTGGACTATGATCATGCCACTTTACTCCAGCCTGAGTGACAAAGTGAAACTCTGTCTCCAAAAAAAAAGGAAAAGAAAAGAAAATGTCGTATGAACCACAATATATTTTCGAAGAGGAAGAAGAGAAAGGAGAGGAGGAAGAAGAAAGGAAGGAGAACTTCCTAATTCTTTCTACTAAAAAGCCCCAGAAACTATGATCAACCTAGTAGGCTGACAACACTGGAGCCCAGAGTTTGGTCTCTAAATTTCATTTCCCATTGAAAGGAACCAGGACTCTTTGGAGAAATGGCCAATTCCTGATCTGGGGCAGAAAATACATGAGTTGAATGTGGAATGTAAGAGATCTTGTCATATTAGAAATCAAGGAAATAAGTCAGATCATGTTAAAAAGACTTGGAAGCCAAGTTGAATATTAATAAAAATAACAATAGCAATTGATTAAAACACATCAAATATTTTTAAATCCATTAGTTCATCATAATGCTTAAAAAGAAACAAAACAGCTCATTGTTCTTCCTAGGCAGATGCTTGGGAGCCAACTCATTGCTTTGAATTTCACAGGTAATGAAGCATTTATCTTACATTTTCTGTACTTCAGCGTAACCATATCATTGAAAAGGGGATATTTCTCTTTATAAAAGTATTCCAGCTAATAATTAAAGGAGCAATGAGAAAATTAGAAGATCACCGTTTAGAACTGCAAATGAATTAACAGATCTAGACGCTTATCATCAGTGGCTGCTGACGTCACAATTTCTCACTGTATTTCTCACTATTCTCCTAGTTGAATTGAAAAGCAATCCCTATAAAACAAAATCAAAATTCCACTATTCTCCTAGTGAGAAATACAGGACACCACCAACAAAGCATTCCTTCCCAAAGAATCAAACATAAACGTTATCACAGAAAATATAGGGGAAAGAGAAACTTGTTAAATATGCCATAATGCAATTTTTAAAAATTCAGACTGGGAAATTCTATATGACAAATAACACGGCACCTTCAACAAATAAATAATGAAAGGGAAACTTACAGCCTAAAAGAGGTTTAAGAAACCCATCTAACCATGGCGATGTGTGGACCCTACATCCTGACTTGAGCAAGCTCAAATAAAAAGTTTATGACACAAATGGGAAAATTTAAATAATGACTGGATATTAGATGATATTAGAGAATCAATATTAATTTCTTAAGTGTGATAAAAGTATTGTGGGTATATTTTCAAAATGCTCTTATGTTTTAGAGATGCATACTGACGTGTTTATGGACTCAATGATATGTTCAGGCATTTGTTCCACAAGAATCTGGAGGAATGGATGGTAGGTAGATGGGAGGATAGATGATGTAAGATTAGATATAAAATTGATAGTTGTAAGCTGGGCGCGGCAGCCCACGCCTGTAATCCCAGCACTTTGGGAGGCTGAGGCAACTAGAAAGCACAATGGATCAAAAATCAGGTAGTCAGAGACTTGGGGGACGTCTTCAAGATTATCCAGCCCCATCCCCTCTTTTGATGCGTGAACCATCTCTACACCATCCCTAAAGGTCATTGCCCATATTCTGCAGGATTGCCTTCAGCCCATTCCTCTTTAGATAGCTTTGCCTGTAAGAAATTTCTTTCTTTTTTCTCTCCTTCCCAAAAATATCTTTTTTTTTTTTTGAGACAGGGTCTTGCTCTGTTGCCTAGGCTGAAGTGCAGTGGAGTGATCCCAGTTCCCTTCAATCTCTGCCTCCCAGGTTCAAGTGATTCTCTTGTCTCAGCCTCCTGACTAGCTGGGACCACAGGTGTGTGCCACTATTCCCAGCTAATTATTTTTATTTGTTTTTAGTAGAGACGGGTCTCACCATGTTGCCCAGGCTGGTCTCGAACTCCTGAGCTCAAGCGATCTGCCCACGTTGGCCTCCCAAAGTGCTGGGATTACAGGCATGAGCCACCATGCCTAGCCAGAAATGTCTTCCTTATACTGAACAGAAATCTGTCTCCTTGTATCCTTTTCTACCCACCAATTAGAGCCCTAATCCTTCCTTACACAACAGCCTCTCAAATATTTGAAAACAAGCTCTCCCCTGTCCCTCTCATCTCACCGCTCATGCAAGTGTCTTGAGCTCCAGGCTGCACAGCGCCGCTCCTCTCCGTTGTTTCACACACTCGTGACTTTGGTTCTCTGCCATCCTCTGCTCTGATCTCAGGAAAGTGTGACTTTAAGTTATGTGTTCTGGAATAAAGGGATCTGGGTGTGTCCTGACAAATGCAGAGAACAGCAGGGTTATCACCTCCCTTCTACCAGTGACTGCATTTCTGGTTACCATGGTCCAGAGCCCATGTGCACAAACTTGCAAGAGCTGATAGTTAAATGTTCAAGAATTTTCTGAGCTAGTTGTAAAATGCAGTTCTAATTAAAAGTTAAATTATGCTGGGCAAGGTGGTTAACGTCTGTAATCCCAGCCCTCTGGGAGGCCAAGTCCAGAGGATTGCTTGAGCCCAGGAGTTCAAACCAGTCTGGGCAGTATAGTGAGACCCCGTTTCTACAAAAAATTTAAAAAAGTATTAGCCAAGCATGGTGGGGCACGTCTGTGGTCTCAGCTATCCAAGAGGCTGAGGTGGGAGGAGCGCTTGAGCCTGGGAGATTGAGGCTGCAGTGAGCTGAGATCACGCCACCGTACTCCAGCCTGGGTAACAGAGCAAGACCCTGTCTCAGGCCAGGTGCGGTGGCTCACGCCTGTAATTCCAGCACTTTGGGCAGATCACGAGGTCAAGAGTTTGAAACCATCCTGGCCAAAATGGTGGAACCCCATCTCTACTAAAAATACAAAAATTAGCTGGGTGTGGTGGCACGTGCCTGTAGTCCCAGCTACTTGGGAGGCTGAGGTAGGAGAATTGCTTGAACCCAGGAGGCAGAGGTTGCAGTGAGAAGAGATCACGCCATTGCACTCCAGCCTGGGCGACAGAGCCAGACTCTGTCTCAAAAACAAAACAAAACAAAACAAAACAAGACCCTGTCTCGAAAATAATAATAATAATTTTAAAAATTAAAGTTAAATTACATAAGCCTACAATTAGATATATTAAAAACAAAGGTAATAAGTAATTAAAATACTACTTCCTAGTAATTTTACTGTGTTTAATTATTATCTCTCCTCTTGAGGTTAATCACATCTACTGCATCTGTGTGGTGGAAATACCACATAATGGCATGCTATCACACATCTCTTCCAACCTCTGAGTTCAGTGCCACAAAGTCAGTACCTTGAAACTGGCCAAGGTGAGAGTATTTACACTACAGAGATTGGTCAGAGCTATAAATCAAGGTCCCTCCCTCTCTCCGCCCCCAACCCAGGGCCAGTTGTTAAATATTTACCACACCACTGGATACAGCCTAAAATCTTAGTTTTTTTGGCAACCACGTTACACTTCTGACTCATATTGAGTTAAGGCTCTTAGTTACCGTTAAAGCAAGTATTGCTTATTCTCACTGATAGATTTAATTCCTTAGACCTCATATTAATCACCCTTAAATTTCATCCTTTTAGATTCAACCTAGGAATTTTCGTTCTGCCATTCAAGTATTCATCATACCCTCTAACTTCATGTTGCCTATAAATCTGATGAGCACACCTTCTGTATATTTATTCTGAAAGCATTTATGAGGAGACAGTGAAGGACAGACACAGCCTGGGACTCACCACTGCATGCTTCTTTACAGTTTGTTAGCCAGCACCTGTGCGTACAATTGACTGGTTTCTAATTCATTCAGTGTGCCACAATTCAGTTTATATCTCTCTGTCTTGTCCAAAAGAATATCATGAAAAAAAAACTTTATTAAATGTCTAACTGATAACAAAATATTCTATATGTATGGGCATTCCCTGAGGTACTGGGCTGGTAACTCTGTCAAAGCCAAGAGATAAATTAGCCCTGACTTGTTTTTAGTGAACTCATCTGGATCTTAATCATTCCTTTTTTATCTAGTGCCTGAAACTGTTCCTCTAATAATCCCCCCTTCTAGACTCTGGCCTGAGATTGAGGTTACAGACCATTATCTACATTTTTTTCTGGCTCTGCTTTCTCTTTCTGAAAATCAGAATACTCCACTGTTACCAGTCTTCTGGAATCTCTCCTATTCTCTATGATGCCCCAAATATCCCTGACGATTGTTGGTGATCCCACAACAATGTTTTCTCAAGACCCAAAGACATCATTCTTCAAAACTGGGGACTTGAAATCACTTGGAGCAGCTTTGGGCTCTTTCTCACTCTATTATTCCATCTTGGGCTTCTATCTTCGCTTACCAAAGTTTATGCTCTTTCTCTATTTCTCCTCACCTTACTGATAACATGTGGAGAAAAAATGTCCTTGTCCCGAAAGTTAGAAGCAGAAGAGAATTGAAGATCTCTGTTTTCTCTATGTCCCCCATTGACAGTGGCCCTACATTTTACCTGATGGGGTTTTTTTTTCTCTTTCTTTCTTTTTTTTTTTTTTTTGAGACAGTCTTGCTCTGTTGCCCAGGCTGGAGTACAGTGGCACAAACATGGCTCACTACAGTCTCAACCTCCTGGTTTCAAGTAATCCTCCCACTGGAACCTCCTGAGTAGCTGGGACTACAGGTGCACACCACCCCACCATGCCTGGATAATTTTTGTATTTTTTGTAGAGATGGGATCTCACCATGTTGCCTAGGCTCATCTTATAGGCATGAGCCACTGCACTCGACCATACCTGGTGTCATTCCTCAAACTTTACTACAAAGACTGTAACACCCAAATTATATCCATCACATAATCTGATAGTTTCAGAATAATGTGAACTTATTTGGAGCTTTAGCCTTTCTGACGCAACTGTGTCCCATGTACATTCGGGCAGATGTAATGGCAATTTGATGGTAGGATAGATATTTGATAAGAGATTCCTTTCATGAGTTGTGACACCACATCCTTGTTTGAATTTGCAACAAGCTCCCTACTTTCTAAAGTGAAGCATGGTATAGAGTAGTCTTAAGCTTTTCAATTAATTGGACTTGAGAATTTTTCATCTTAAAATTTTTGAGAAAAACTGTTAATACTTCTGAGCTCGCAAATCACAATCAAGGAGATCCACAAAAATGAAATAATTCAGTATATTTAGCAGCTTTTCTCTTTAATTTTACTTAGCTGATCTTTAACATAACACAACTTAAAACAATCAACTCTTGTTATGCTGCATTCTCTTACCTGGAACTCTCTAAGTTGCCCTTATGCATAGTTCCAAAAAAATGTGAACAATGTTTATGGGTTTTAATCCAGAGGCCCTGAGCTAGGAGATATGAAATCTAGGTTCACCACCGCTTTGTTCTGCCATAACCAGCTGTGCAATCTGGGACAAATTCTCTTGCCTTATTTGTTCACATCTAAGTGTTGTCATAAGTTCCATCCAAATTCAAGAGAACAGAGTAGTACATTACCCAGCTATCTTTCTAAGGGCTCTTGGCTGTCTCCATATACTCTCTAGTAGATGTGTGAGTGTGCAGGTATGTATGGAGGGACAGACTGAAAAACAGTCTGAGTTGGGAGTCTTGGTAGGAAGAGGAAAAGGAGGAGGAGGAGGAGGAAGAAGAAGACAGCGCATATCGTTCCTCTTTGGTTTCTCAGAAGAGGTAATTTCAAAACAAAACTAAGCCAACCTATCAAAACAAGATAATGACAAGGGAGAAAGTAAAGGTTTTTGGCCAAATTCATCTCACAATCATTCTTCCTGTCCCCACAAAGCTATCTGAACTGAGATCTTATTAGCAGACTCCATTTCCAGTAAACATCACTCAATTAGAACAAAAACGGGAAGCTCCCACATGTAGCAGCTGGAAAGAGTCCCAGATGCAGGAAGAGGTTTGTATGACATCATCCAGAGTTATGCAGTAGGAGGGTCTGCAGATTAGAAAATATAGCTCACCTAAGAGTTCTTTTCACTGGGAACTTTTAGCCGCATTTAGCAGGCCTGAGTTTGTTAGAATATATGTTTATTGACATATGTGTGTTTATTTAACCCATATGTAGGAATGTATATACTTCTTGGAAATTATTTAAATGCTAAGGAAAACTTTATTCCTGTCTCTCTGTGTGTATAAACACTTAATTAAAAGACCAGAAAAAAATATAGACAAATACTATTATCCTTGTGCATGTAGAAAAATTTTGTTCCTGTTTTAAACAATAACGTGGATATTTTAGTAAAAATGATACATGCTTACTGTAAAATATTAAACAAATTAGAAAAGCACAAAGAAGATCATAAAAATCATCTGACGTCTCAAGACTGAGAAATAAACACTGACAGCATTTTGTTAAGAACTCTCTAGACCTTTCTCATGCCTGGAGATAGATGTTCACTCTTACATGAGTGGCATGTTCTTGATTTGCTGCACTGTATTTCTCCTTACTTCTCAATGATGTCATTCATCTCTTTAAATGTCACCAAATATAGGGATGTAATGTGACTTCTAAGGACCTCATAGTTTTCCATTTTATTTTGTTTATTTCATATTTTCATATACTTAGTCAATTCCACATTAAAAAAATACAGTTGTTGAGAAAGAACTTGTTAAGCTTCAAAAGAACCATTACATAAAGAATGTGAAGTTATATAAAGAAACTCATTTACACAAGAATCTGTTTTAGTTGTCCCTATTCCAAAAGCTTGAAATAGTGTATGTAAACAATGAGGTACTGTAAACATGTAAAAGGGTATCTTTATTATTACTGAACCATTAAATAAAATTAAATGTTTTAAAAAGCAAGGATGAATCATAAAGTAAAACTCAATAGATTCCACAACATAGAAGAAACGTAAAATATCTTAAAGAAAATTTAAAAAAAATTTATTGAAACAAATGGAAATTGACATAGAACGTACGAAAACCTATGGGATACAGCAAAAGCAGTGCTAAGAGGGGAGTTTATATCAATAAACACCTACATCAAAAAAGTAGGAAGATTTCAAATAAATGATCTAAAGATGCCTTCAAGGAACTGGAAAAGCAAGAACGGGCCAGGCATGGTGGCTCACTCCTGTAGTCCCAGCACTTTGGGAGGCTGAATCAGGAGGATGGCTTGAGCCCAGGAGTTTGAGACCAGCTTAGGCAACATACTTAGGCAACATAGGGAGACCCTGTCTCTACAAAACATTAAAAAAGTTTAGCCAGACACAGTGGTGCACAATTGTGGTCCCAGCCACTTAGGATGCTAAAGTGGGAGGTTCACTTGAGCCCAGAGGGTCAAGGCTGGAATAAGCCATCATAGAGCCATTGTACTCCAGCCTGGGCAACAGAGCAAGACCCTGACTCAAAGGAAAAAAAAAAGCAAGAACAATCCAAACCCCAAATTAGTAGAATAAAATTAATAATAAAGATCAGAGCAGAATTAAATGAAATACAGACTTAAAAAACAATACAAAGGATCAATGAAATGAAAAGTTGTCTTTTTGAAAAAGTAAGCAAAATTGATAAATCGCTAGCTAGACTAACCAAGAAAAAGGAGAGAAGACACAAATAAATAAAATCAGAAATGGGCCGGGCACAGAGGCTCATGCCTGTAATCCCAGCACTTTGGAAGGCCCAGGCAGGTGGACCAACATGGTGAAACCCCATTTCTACTAAAAATACCAAAATTAGCTGGATATGGTGGCACGTGCCTGTAATCCCAGCTACTCAGGAGGCTGAGGCAGGAGAATTGCTTGAATCTAGGAGGTGGATATTGCAGTGAGCTGAGATTGCACCACGGCACTCCAGCCTGGGCAACAGAGTGAGACCTTGTTTCAAAAAAAAAAAAAAAATCAGAAATGAAAAAGGAGACATTGTAACTGATGCCACAGAAATACAAAAAATCATCAGAGACTGTTATGAACAACTATACACTAACAAACTGGAAAACCTAGAGGAAATGAACAAATTATTGGACACATACAGCCTACCAAGATTGAATAAGAAAAATATGGAAACCTGAACAGACCAATAATGAGTAATGAAATTAAATCAGTAATAAAAAGTCTCTCAACAAAGAAAAGTCCAGGACCAGATGGCTTCACTGCTGAATTCTACCAAACTTACAAAGAACTAACACCAATTCTTCTCAAACTATTCCAAAAAAGTGAAGAGGAGAGAATTCTTCCTAACTCATTCTATGAGGCCAGCATTATCCTTATACCAAACTAAGACAAGGACCAAACAACAAAAAAAGAAAACTAAGGTCATTATCCCCGATGAACACAGATGCAAAAATCCTCAATGAAATACTAGCAAACTGAATCCAACAGCACATCAAAAAGGTAATACACCATTATTAAGAGAGATTTATCTCAGGGATGTAAGGATGGTTCAACATACGCCAATCAATAAATGTGATACATTACATCAACAGAATGAAGGACAAAAACTATATGATCATCTCAATTGACCCAGAAAAAGCATTTGATAAAATTCAACATACCTTCATGGTAAGAATTCCCAACAAACTAGGCATAGAAGGAACATACCTCAACATACTAAAGGCCATATAGGACAAACCCACAGCTAACATCATACTGAATGGGGAAAAGATGAAAGCCTTTCCCCTAAGAACTGGAACAAGACAAGGATGCCCACTTGCACCACTCCTATTCAACACAGGATTGAAAGTCCTAGCCAGAGCAATCAGGCAAGAGGAAGAAATAAAAGGCATCCAGATTGGAAAAGAGGAAGTCAAATTGTTCCCCTTTGCAGATGACATGATCTTATATCTAGAAAAACCTAAAGGGTGCACCCAAAAACTTTTAGAACTGATAAATGAATTCATTAAATTTGCAGGATACAAAATCAATGTACAAAAATCAGTAGCATTTCTATACACCAATAATGAACTAGCTGAGAAAGAAATCAAGAAGGTAATCCCATTTACAGTAGCTACAAAAGAGAAATGACTAAGAATAAATTTAACCAAGGAAGTGAAAGACTTCTATAAGGGAAACTACAAAATGCTGATGAAAGAAATTGAAGAGGACACAAACAAATGAAAAGACATATTTTGTTCATAGATCAGAAGAATTAACGCTCTTAAAATGACCAAACTACCCAAAGCAATAATCAGATTCAATGCAACTCCTATGAAAAGACCAATGTCATTTTTTACAGAAATAGGGGAAAAAATCCTAAAATTCATGTAGAATCAAAAAAGAGCTTGAAGAGCCAAAGCAATCCTGAGTAAAAAGAACAAAGCAAGAGGCATCACACTACCTGACTTCAAAATATATTACAAGGTTATAGCATAGCAATCAAAGTAGGGTGGTATTGGTATAAAAACAGACACATAGACCACAGAACACAGAATCCGGAAGTAAATCCACTTATTTCCAGCCAACTGATTGTCTACAAAGGTGCCAATAACAGACATTGAGAAAAGGACACCCTCTTCAATAATTGGTGCTTAGAAAATTGGATATGCTTCTACAGAAAAATGAAATTGGAACCCTGTCCATCACCATATGCAAAAATAAACTCAAGATGGAGCAAAGACATAAATATAAGACCTACAACTAAAAGCTACTGGAAGAAAACATAGGGAAAACACTTTAGGACACAGGTGTAGGGCAAGAGTTTATGGCTAAGACCTCAAAAGCACAGAAAAAAACCCCCACAAAAATAAGCAAATAGGACTATATTAAACTAAAAAACTTCTGCACAGCAAAGGAAACAATCAACGAAGTGAAGAGACAACCTGTTTAATAGGAGAAAATGTTTGCAAACTATTCATCCCACAAGGGAATTATATCCAGATTATACAAGGAACTCAAACAACTCAAGTAATCCCACTGAAAAGTGGGCAAAGGAGATGAATAGACATTTCTACAAAAAATAAAAACAAATTAGCCAGGCATGGTGGCACATGCCTGTGGTCCATCTACTTGGGAGGCTGAGGTGGGAGGATCACTTGAGCCCAGGAGGTTGAGGCTGCAATGAGCTGTGATCATGCCACTGTGCCACAGTCTGGGCAACAGAGTGAGACTTTGTCTCAAAACCAAAAACTTTTTAATAAAATAAAATTTAAAAAACCACAAAATATTACATATACTTAATAAATATGTAATGTGTATCAATAAAAAACCAAAACAATAAAAACAACTCAAAAAATAGCTAAAGCAGACCTGACAGAGGGTTAATACAGCAATATATAAACAGCTCATGTAAAACAATAAGGATGGTAATTCATAATAGAAAAATAGCTTACAACTACAAATACTTACAAATAACTTAAAATTTAAATATAGCTAAATATCACTATTAATCAATAAATAAAATTAAAACAACAGACAACTTTTTCACCAACAGTATACAAGATTTTAAAGATGAGCTGTTACATATATAGTAACTAGTACTTGGTTAACAAATAAATGCCTCGTGAATATTAGGTCTTATTATTCTTACTCAGTGGTGTAATATATTTCTGTTGAAAGTAGAAATAGAAATTTGTGGGCTGGGCACGGTGGCTCATGCCCGTAGTCCCAGCACTTTGGGAGGCCTAGGCAGGAGAACTGCTTGGGCCCAGGAGTTGGAGACCAGCCTGGGCAACATGGCAAAACCCAGTCTCTACAAAAAACACACAAAAAATTAGCCCGGTGTGGTGCTGTGTACCTGTGGTTCCAGCTACTTGGGAGGCTGAGGTGGGAGTATCTCCTGAGCCCAGGAGGTTGAGGCTGCAGTGAGTCATGATGGCACCACTGCACTCCAGCCTGGGTGACAGAGTAAGACCCTGACTCAAAAAAAAAAAAAAAAAAAAAAGAAAAGAAAAGAAAGTGTAGATTTGTAATGCCCTTCTGAAAAAAAAAAGCAATTTAGCAACATAAACCAAAAGTTGTAAAAATATTTGTAATCTTTACATAGTAATTCTACTTCTAGAACTGTCATTAAATAATAATTTGAAAGGTAGACAAAGGCTTTATACACAAAGAAGCAGATCACCACATTATTTATAACAAAAATTGTAAATGGCCTAAATGTCATAGGGGCAAAACGTGTACAGATAAACCTCGCAGATATTGCAGTTTCAGTTCCAGACCGCCGAAATAAAGCAAATATCACGACAAGGTGAGTCACACAAATTTTTTTGGTTTCTCAGTGCATATAAAAGTTATGTTCCCTTCACAGTAGAGGAGGGGGAAAAGTTGTGTTTGCACCATACTGTAGTCTATCAAGGGTGCAATAGCATTATGTCTAAAAATACAAAAGTAGTACTCTTTTCTCCAGGTACAGGGCAGGATGCCTGTCACATGAGGGTCTTCAGGGGAGAAGGGAGATGCTCAGAGGTTAATTTCTAGGTTTTCTGGCTTGCTTTAGGGGTAAGAAGTTCTAGTTTCTACTATCTTCCTTAAGGAAGAATAATTCCATTTTCTATCACCTGCTTCTGTGGAGAAATGGGAGAAAGAGAAAGGAGGGAGGGAGAAGGTCAGAGGGAGCTTGCTGTTTCTGAGGCTCTTCCAGTCTCCTTCAGCTCAAAACACTCAGCATGCCAAAGTGCCATCCATTAGGGTATCGTGTTCTGAGCTCCTACAATATCCAATAATAAAGAGATGGATATTAAGCAAATTGTGATGTAGCTATAAGAGAGAATACTCTGAAGGCATTTAAAATTATATTTATGAGGCCAGGCACAGTGGCTCACGCCTGTAATCCCAGCACTTTGGGAGCTCGAGGCTGGTGGATCACCTGAGGTCAGGAGTTCAAGACTAGCCTGGCCAACCTGGTGAAACCCTGTCTCTACTAAAAATTCAAAAATCAGCAGGGCGTGGTGGCACACACCTGTCATCTCAGCTACTTGGGAGGCTGAGGTAGGAGAACCACTCGAACCCAGGAGGCAGAGGTTGCAGTGAGCCAAGATGGGCCATTGCACTCCAGTCTGGGCAACAGAGTGAGACTCTGTCTCAAAAAAAATTATATATTTATGAAGAACCTTTAATAACTTAAAGAGATATGATACAATATAATATTAAGCAAAGAAAAGAAGAGACAAAATTTTATGTACAATAATTTTAATTATATGCATAAGAAATAGGCTTGGCAGGGTGTGGTGGCTCACGCCTATAATCCCAACACTTTGGGAAGCTGAGGTAGAATGACTGCTTGAGGCCAAGGAGTTTGAGACCAGCCTGGGCGATATAGTGAGAACCTATCTCTACAAGAAATAAAAACGAAAATAAAAAAAGAAATAGCCTTAGAAGGAGATACACCAAAATATTAACAAATTTTATCTATTAGGAATGGGAATAGGGGTGTTTTTTTGTTTTTTTCCCCCGCTCTGTCGCCCAGGCTGGAGTACAGTGATGCGATCTTGGCTCACTGCAACCTCCACCTCCCGGGTTCAAGCAATTCTCCTGCCTCAGCCTCCCTAGTAGCTGGGACTACAGGCATGCGCCACCACGCCCAGCTAATTTTTGTATTTTTGGTAGAGACAGGGTTTCACCATGTTGGCCAGGATGGTCTTAATCTCTTGACCTCATGATCCGCCAGCCTTGGCCTCCCAAAGTACTGGGATTATAGGTGTGCGCCACTGTGCCCGGCCAGAGATGGTTTTTAATTTATACTTTATTTTAAAATTGTCTACAAAGGACATATGTACTTTTATAACCAGAAACACTATTTTTAAAAAATTGAAGACAATACATATTTAATGAATTTAAAAGCAAATTCAAATACAATATAACATTTAAAAATTCAAATTCTCAAGAGGTTGAAAACTTGAATCATTTTATACTGTCTAGTAGACATTGCCTAGGTTTTCACAAGTCTCTGTCATTCACTACGCATGAGACTTTGAACTAGTTAACTAATTACCAATTCTGGGCCTCCCAGAATTTCAAAGACTTCATTTCCCATAGGTCTATGAACCACATCTGTTTAGTTTAATTTTTATTTACTTTTAAGGTGAAATTCCTTTATTCACTTGTTTCTGAACCTACTATTCTAAACTCAAGAAGTTTTTAACATTAATATATTTCTTATTCACATTTTTTCACATTTCAAAATGACTGAAGAAGCAAACATTATTTTCTAATGATCTTGATTTAGTTTTTTAAAACTTCTTTTTATTGTGGCAAAATATAGATAACATAAAGTTTACCATTTTAACTATTATTATTATTATTATCATTATTATTTTTTTTTTTTTGAGACAGAGTCTTGCTCTGTCGCCCAGGCTGGAGTGCAGTGGCACAATCTCGGCTCACTGCAAGCTCTGCCTTCCGGGTTCACACCATTCTCCTGCCTCAACCTCCCGAGAATCTGAGACCACGCTTGGCTAATTTTTTGTATTTTTAGTAGAGACAGGGTTTCACCGTGTTAGCCAGGATGGTCTTGATCTCCTGACCTCGTGATCTGCCCGCCTTGGCCTCCCAAAGTGCTGGGATTCATTTTAACCATTTTTAAGCATACAGATCAGTGGCATTAGATACGTTCACGTTGCTGTGAATCATCATCTATCCCCACAACTCTCCTGTTAAACAACAACTCTGCATTCCTCCCTCCCCGCAGCCCCTGGAAACTGTCATTCTGCTTTCTGCCCCTATGACTCACTCTTCCAGGTATCTCACTTTTGCTCAGCTTTAGGCTCTAAACAAGTCTTTTCTCTATCTTAGTTGAGAAGCCTGACAGTGTGAAAGAGGTAACTTTTAAAATTCTGAATGGTTTTAACATTGAGATGACATGTACATACAATAAAAATGCACACAGATCCTTTTAAAATAAAATTTTAATCTATATTTATGTAAATACATATGTGATAGAGTATTGTCAACATGACTATAAGGTCATGAGACTCACATGCCATTTTATTTTGAAGTCATATCATATACGTAAGTGAAATAACAGAATATAAAACTATATGCTGCGATTCTACTATGTAAAGAGAGTATCTTTGTATGGGGCAGGATGACTGAGGAAAATAAAAACAGTTTGGGCCGGGCGCGGTGGCTCACGCCTGTAATCCCAGCACTTTGGGAGGCCAAGGCAGGTGGATCACGAGGACAGGAGATCGAGACCATCCTGGCTAACACAGTGAAACCCCGTCTCTACTACAAATACAGAAAATTAGCCGGGCATGGTGACAGGCACCTGTAGTCTCAGCTACTCAGGAGGCTGAGGCAGGAGAATCGCTTGAACCCGGGAGGTGGAGGTTGCAGTGAGCCGAGATGGTGCCACTGCACTCCAGCCTGGGTGACAGAGCGAGACTCCATCTCAAAAAAACGAAAAAAAAAAAAAAAACAGTTTATGTTAGAGTACAATTTTTGAAATGAGATTTTAAAAAAATTATCAATAGTGTTACTGAGTTGGAGAATCAATTATTTTTTATTGTAAGAGGATGACAGAGAATAGGTATTGAAGTCACAGGTTAATAATTTAGAAGAGAAAGGGCTGATAATGTCTTATATTTCAATATTTCTAGAAAATCAGCCTGTGTGGAAACTTTTCCCAAGCTTACCCAATTTGAATCTTAAAAGTGTTTCTTTTTCCTCCCTAAAAATAGACACAGAAATTGCTGAGTGCTTCTGTAAAAAGACAGAAGCATAAAATGACCATTGTATTTCTATACATTAGGTACATGTTCCTTCACTAGCTTGCCCAGGAACAAAAGCAAATATCAATGGTTTGCTCTTATCAATTCATAATTCTTTATTTCCGTCACAGTGTGTTCCCATTGATTACACACAGGAATAAAAATAGAAAACTCTGAGCTGGTGCCTTTGCCAGTTGCGCAGATGACTTTCTGAACAAGGAAGTTTTATATGGGTGGATGGGCATAGGAACTTGGCTTGAAATGTTAAAAAGGCAGGAAAAAAACAGCAGAATCTATTTTTCATTGTGGGAGAGCCCAGGTTGTCCTGCTTATCTGAAATTAAGCCCAAATCCTAAAATTTCTGAATACCTGCTGTCAGCTTCCTGCAAACGGGCCAGGTTGCCTAAGGAATGTCATGAGAGAGCTGGCAGAGGCAGGGGACAGGACAGGCACCAGCAAACACCACTTCACCATGCAGCTATTTTCATGTCCTCCCAGCCCACTGAAGTGCTGATAATGGCTTGGATCAATTCAACAAACACATTTCGTATACCTCCTTTGCACCAGACAGTGTTCACCGAGGCACGCAGGGTGGCCGCAGGTAAGAAGCACAGTGGGCAGCCAGCTGGGGGAATGTGTGACGGGACCCACTCTCCCTATCCCCTTCACCCCAAAGCCTCGTGTAGGGTAAGGAACATCAAAATGGGACAGATTCAGTCCAGCCTCATATCTCCCCAGGTGCCTTAGTCTGCAGGGAGGCAGAATCCCAGGGGGATTCTCCCAGCCCACAGTCCTGTTTGGCACTGGGCTAGGGCCACTGAGTGAGAGAGGGAGTTGGTGCAGAAGTCAGCTCCCACTGAGGGTGGCTGCAGGTCAGCACTTTTCTCCTTCACTTTGTGTGTGTGTGTGTGTGTGTGTGTGTGTGTGTGTGTGTGTCTTTGAAAAAAATGTTTCTTTTCTTTTTTTTTAATATACTTTAAGTTCTGGGGTACATGTGCAGAACGTGCAGGTTTGTTAGATAGGTATACACATGCCATGGTGGTTTGCTGTGCCCATCAACCCGTCATCTACATTGGGTATTTCTCCTAATGCTATCCATCCCCTAGCCCCCCAATCCCCAACCCCCAACCCCAGCGTGTGATGTTCCCCTCCTTGTGTCCATGTGTTCTCATTGTTCAACTCCCATTTGTGAGTGAGAACATGCAGTGTTTGGTTTTCTGTTCTCATGTTAGTTTGCTGAGAATGATGGTCCAGCTTCATCCATGTCCCTGTAAAGGACATGAACTCATCCTTTTTTATGGCTGCATAGTATTCCATGGTGTATATGTGCCACATTTTGTTTATCCAGTCCATCATTGATGGGCATTTGGGTTGGTTCCAAGTCTTTGCTATTGTGAACAGTGCTGCACTAAACATACCTGTGCATGTGTCTTTATAGTAGAATGATTTATAATCCTTCGGGTATATGGGATTGCTGGGTCAAATGGTATTTTTCGTTCTGGATCCTTGAGGAATTGCCACACTGTCTTCCACAATGGTTGAACTAATTTATGCTCCCACCAACAGTGTAAAAGTGTTCTTATTTCTCCACATCCTCTCCAGCATCTGTTGTTCCCCGACTTTTTAATGATCGCCATTCTAACTGGTGTGAGATGGTATCTCATTGTGGTTTTGATTTGCATTTCTCTAATACCAGTGACGATGAGCTTTTTTTTTTATATGTTATGTATACTAATTGACTATATAGAGAAAAAAAATATTGACTTTCCATAAAGCCACTACCAGCGTCATAAAATATTAGTGTGTTCCCTTAATTGTTTCAGGTCTTTAAAAAAACAAAGTGATTAACACTGTTGAAACTGTTTATGAACCTCTCCCCAAACCCATTTACTTCCCTCTCTCCCCATGCATAGTCATCATTCTGAATATCTTCTTTGGCATTTACTAGCATGTTTTTATGCTATTTCTACACATGTAGGTATCCACAAAAATATTGTTTGGTTTTGCTGTTTTTAAAAGGTATAATTTATATAAACAAAATTATACTATAATGTATTTATTAGATACATAATATTGTTTAAAATACATAATAGGCTGGCTGTGGTGGCTCACACCTGTAATTCCAGCACTTTGGGGGGCCAGGGCAGGCAGATCACTTGAGGTCAGGAGTTCAAGACCAGCCTGGCCAACATGGCAAAACCCCATCTCTACTAAAAATACAAAAATTAGTTGGGTGTGGTGGCACATAACTGTAAACCCAGCTACCCAGGAGGCTGAGGCAGGAGAACCACTTTAACCCAAGAGGCAGAGGTTGCACTGAGCCGAGATCACACCACTGTACTTCAGCCTGGGTGACAGAGCGACATTCTGTCTCAATAAATAAATAAATAAATAAATAAAATACATAATAAAGTACATAATTTTTTTCACTCAGTAGTGTTTTATATTCAACCATGTTGATCATGTAACTGTGGTTCATGAATATCCCACAATTTATCTCCAATCTATAAATAATGGGTTGCTTCCAATTATATTTGTTTGTTTGCTATAAAAACAATGTTTTAAGATCATTTCCCACATGTCTCCTGCTACCCATCCTCAAGAGTTTTTCTAGGATGTAAACATGTGAGAATTGAATCACTGAGTCATAAGGTTTTTGCACTTTTAATAAAATATCAAACTGTTTTGCAAATTAGTTGTACAGTTTATACTCTCAGTTGCAGTGAATGAGAGTTCTAGTTGCTCCACATCTTATCAACACTTGTTGGTTTCTGACTCTTTAGCAGTGATAGCATGCCTTACCAAGGATTGGTGTTGCATTTCCCTGACTATGAATGAGGTCAAGCATCTTTTTTGTGTACTTATTCACAATTCATATGTGTGTATATATATATATTTTTTGAGATGGAGTCTCATTATATCGCCCAGGCAGGAGTGCAGTGGCGCAATCTCAGCTTACTGCAACCTTTGCCTCCCAAGTTCAAGCAATTCTCCTGTTTCAGCCCCCCGAGTAGCTGAAATTACAGGCATGCGCCACTACACCTGGTTAATTTGTATTTTTGTATTTTTAGTAGAGACAGGGTTTCACCATGTTGGCCAGGGTAGTCTAGAACTCCTGACCTCAGATGATCCACCAGCCTTGGCCTCCCAAAGTGCTGGGATTATGGGCATGAGCCACCATGCCCAATTCATATTTTTTATTCTGTAAAATGTCTTGACAGGTCTTTTTTGCATTGCTTTTTCTCTTGTGTTGTTTCTTATTGATTCACAGGAGTTCTTTACATATTCAGGATGCTAAACTTTACTGTTACTAGAGTTGCAGATATTTTGATTGAGTTTTAGCCTGTCATTTTATGCATTTTATGGTATTTTTATAAACAAAAGTTATTGATTTTAATGTAGTCTCAAATTTATCATTTTTTAAAGGTTTGTGCTTTTTGTGTTTTATTTAAGGAATCCTTCTCCACCCCAAAGTCATAAAGCTATTCTACTCATTCTATTATCTAAATATTTAAAACATTTGCTCTTCACATTTTAGGTCCATTCTGAATTGATTATTGATGGTATTCCCTTCTTTTTTTTTTTTTTTTTTTTTTTTGAGATGGAGTCTGACTCTGTCACCCATGCTGGAGTGCAGTGGTGTGATCTTGGCTCACTGCAGCCTTGACCTCCTGGGCTCAAGTGATCCTCCCACCTCAGCTTCCTGAGTAGCTGAGCCTACTGGTGTGCACCATCATGCCTGGCTAAATTTTGTATTTTTGGCAGAGACAGGGGTCTCACTATGTTGCTCAGGCTGGTCTCAAACTCCTTAGCTCAAGCAGTCTGCCCTGTTTCAACCTCCTAGAGTGCTGGGATTACAGGTGTGAGCCATCACGCCTGACCCTGAATTGATTTTTATGATTGATGTAAGGTAAGGGTCCACTTTCATTTTTTCCGTAGATAACCAAATTTTCCAGTACTATTTACTCTTCCCCATGTATATGTCATCTATCAGGTCTCCATTTATCCATAGGTCAATTTCTGGTCTCTCTATTCTGCCAGTTGTCTATCCCTGTGCCCATGCCACATTGTCTTAGTTACTATAGCTTTATAATTAGGGTGACCTTGCTTCAAGTTTACTGTGGACCAGTCGCCATCTCTATTTTAGCATTTGTCTCATTTGTCTTTTTTTTTTTTTTTTTTTTTGAGATTGAGTCTCGCTCTGTCGCCAGGCTGGAGTGCAGTGGTGCGATCTCAGCTCACTGCAACCTCCACCTCCCAGGTTCAAGCAATTCTCCTGCCTCAGCCTCCCAAGTAGCTGGGACTAGAAGTGTGTGCCACTACACCCAGCTAATTTATGTGTTTTTAGTAGAGATGGGGTTTCACCATGTTGGCCAGGATGGTCTTGATCTCTTGACTTCTAGTGATCCACCTGCTTCGACTTCCCAAAATGCTGGGATTACAGGCATGAGCCACCGTGCCTGGCCATTTGTCATTTTTTAGCCACATATTCATAGTTGCTTTATAATATGCTGGAATGATTTTGGTAAACTTTCACTTTGTGCTTCAGTTCCTACCCTGTCTCTAGTGTATAAGACACGTGTGCAGCAAACACAGGTTTGTGACACAAGGTTAAAAGTGGAATATCACTAGTAATGATCAGTACTTTTCCCCCCAACTCTTCCCAGAGGCAAGATAACTATTAAGTCTCTTTCAAGGGCAGTCTGCTGGGCACTTATCAGTAAAATAAGGCAAGGAAGGTGAAGTCTTTACAATCTTGAGTAGCGGTGGGAGAAGTATTAGATGTGCCTGCTCCTGATAACTATTTGGTATACAAGACAGTAGGATGAGGCCAGCCAGGCAACAGAGTCAGTGGGAAACATGAGAAATTCTAGATTAGATTATATAAACTATGTGCAGGAAATAAAGGCTGAACAGTCCTGCAATAAAGAATATAGAAGGTACATGGACACTCTTGTTACAGTGGTTTTGGTATTTATTGTATGGTAAAATCTATGATTCTTTTTTTTTTTTGAGATGGAGTCTCACTCTGTCGCCCAGGCTAGAGTGCAGTGGCGCGATCTCGGCTCATTGCAACCTCTGCCGCCTGGGTTCAAGCAATTCTCCTGCCTCAGCTTCCCAAGTAGCTGGGATTACAGGTGTGTACTACCATGCCTGGCTAATTTTTTGTATTTTTAGTAGAGACAAGGATTCATCATGTTGGCCAGGCTGGTCTCAAACTCCTGACCTCCAGTGATCTGCCCACCTCTGCCTCCCAAAGTGTTGGGATTGCAGGCGTGAGCCACTGCGCCCGGCCTTATGATTCTTTATAAACAAAAATTTGTTTGGTTACACCCTTATACTGGTAATAAATTGTTTGACAAAAATGGGCTCAAAGAAGGCCAGGCGCAGTGGCTTAGGCCTGTAATCCCAGTGCTTTGGGAGGCCGAGGCGGGTGGATCACCTGAGGTCAGGAGTTTGAGACCAGCCTGGCCAAAATGGTGAAACCCCATCTCTACTAAAAATACAAAAATTAGCCAGATTAGCCGGCGTGGTGGCACACACCTGTAATCCCAGCTACTCGGGAGGCTGAGGCAGGAGAATCACTTGAACCTGAGAGGCGGAGGTTGCAGTGAGGCGAGATCGCACCACTGCACTGCAGCCTGGGTGATAGAGCGAGACTCTGCCTTCAAGAAAAAAAAAAAAAGGCTCAAAAGGAATGGAAATAAAGTATATGTTTAAATAAATAATTTTAATTTCTCAAGAAAATACATGATGACTATATAACATTTGTGTGTCAGCGTTTACCATCTTGTGGGACATGTGGTAATATTACTGACCACGTGAATACCAGAAGGCAAGCCTGCTGCAGAAGCCAAAGTGTCTCATTCCACAGACAGGAGTTATACACAGCGTAATATGGCTGTGCCTGAAGACAATGAATTTCCACATGCAGAAGGTGAGTTTTACATATCACTCAGTGAAACCTAACTTCATCAAGATGAAATGACGGTTCTAAATTAATATTTTTTATTATACACATACATGTATGTGTCTATACATATATAATGAGAAAGATATATATGTGTATATTTACCTATACACAAATGTAGAGAGAAATACCTGGAAGACTGTATCTCAAGAGTGATTGTCTCTAGGAAAGGGACAATTCATACTTTTTTTAAAAAAATTTTTTGTAGAGACAGGGTCTCACTATGTTGCCCCAGGCTGGTCTTAACTCCTGGGCTCAAGCAATCCTCCCACCTCAGCCTCCTAAAGTGCTGGGATTACAGGCATGAGCCACCATGCCGTATATCATACTTCTTTGTCTTCATTTAGCTTGTCTATGTTCTCTGACTCATTCCTTATACTTCTGTAATAACAAATAAAAATAGAAAAAAATTTCACTTGGAGGGGAAATGACTGAATTCATAATCTTTAGTAAACAACCTAGAGTTTATAAAACAGATAAGCATGGACTTATAAACCGGTCCATGCATAGTATTAATGGCCCCAATTAAAGGCTACCCGGCTCCACACTCTTTGCCTTGTAATTTTATTGTCCCTTCCTCCTGTTACTGAACATTCCTCTGGTAACATACTTAGGCCAATGGAATGTTATCAGACATGAGACGAGCAGGGACTTGAAAAGCACCTGTGCATTTCTGCATGCTCACTAGTGCATCTCTGCCTCAGCATGACGGCTTGTCCCGGCTAGCCCAATGGAGGAATGCAAAGACACATGGAGAAAAGCAGAGACCATCCTAGTCCCACAAATTCCAGTCAACCCCCAATACACAAGAGAGCCCAGCCAAGATCAACTGCTGATTCCGGGTGCAGCAGCAAGTCCCATCTAAGCAGGAAGAATGGCTCAGCTGCCATGGCCTTGGGAGCAATAAAAATGAGTCTTCAGGTGCTTTGTTACCCACATTGTTGGGTCAATAGATAACTGATAATAAAGAATAGATCACATGCTATGTGGAGAGGAGAAGAAAAGGACAAAAGAGACAAAAAAGAGAGAGAAGAACTGACATAAATGTTGCCACAGCATCCCCATACATCACATCACAGGATATCCTGTCCAGTTCTCTACAGATAGGCCAGAGTATTTTGTACATCGGACTGAATCAGTCTATAACACTTTTATGGGACTTTTATTTTTCTTTCCTTTTTTTTTTTTTCAGGTCAGATGGGTAATGTGCCGAGGTCATAACAAGGTTTGAGTGTGGCACATCTCACACATGTGCGTGAATACCAATCATTATGCCCATGAACTACAAAAGGATCTCTTTCTTTTTTTCAATAGCTTTGTCGAGGTATTCACGTGCCAGTTTACCTGTGTGAAGTGTACAATTCAATAGTTTTTTGTATATTCACAGAGTTGTGCAACCATCACCACAATCAATTTTGGAACACTTGTATCACTTCAAAAAGAAATGCTGTACCCATTAGCAGTCTCTTTCATTTCCTTCCCACCCTCTCTGCCTCCTCAGCTTTAGGCAACCACTAATCTAATTTCTATCTCCATAGAGTTGCTTATTTTACTATTTTATTTTATTTTATTTTATTTCATTTTATTTTATTATTTTATTTTATTTTGAGATGGAGTCTCACTCTATCGGCCAGGCTGAAGTGCAGTGATGTGATCTCAGCTCACTGCAACTTCCACCTCCCAGGTTCAAGTGATTCTTGTGCCTCAGCCTCCTGAGTAGCTGGAACTACAGGTGTGCACCAACACGCTTAGCTAATTTTTGTATTTTTAGTAGAGGCAGGATTTTGCCATGTTGGCCAGGCTGGTCTCAAACTCCTGGCCTCAAGTGATCCTCCCACCTTGGCCTCCCAAAGTGCTGGGATTACAGGCATGAGCCACCACACCCAGCCTGATATTTTATATTATATGTGGTCCTTTGTTACTGGCTTCTTTCACTTAGCATAATGCTTTAAAGATTCATCCATGTTGTAGTATGTATCAGTACTTAATTCTTTTTCATTGTAGAATAATATTGCATTGTATGAATATTCCATATTTTGTTTATCCATTCATCAGTTACTGGACATTTTGGTTGTTTCCACTTTTCGGCTACTATGAATAATGCTGCTATGAACATTTGTGTATAAGTTTTTTTGCATACATATGCTTTTATTCCTCTTGGGTATATCACTATGACTGGAATTCCTGTGTCATATGGTGATACTGTTTAACCTTTTGAGAAACTAGCAAACTGTTTTCCACCAGTTGCACATTTTACATTTCTACCAGCATTGTATGAAAGTTCCAGCTTCTCCACATCTTTGTCAACACTTGTTATTGTCTGTTTTTTCAATTACAGCTACCCCAATGGCTGTAAAGTAGTATCTCATTGTGGTTTTGGTATGCATTTCCCTAATAATCAATGATGTTTAGCACCTTTTCATGTGTTTATTGGCCATGTGTGTACCTTCTTTGCAGAAATACCTATTCAGCCCACACTGGAGTGCAATGGTGTGATCTTGGCTCACTGCAACCTCTGCCTCCCAGGTTCAAGTGATTCTCCTGCCTCAGCCTCCCAAGTAGCTGAGACCACAGGTGCCCACCACCACGCCCCGCTATTTTTTTGTATTTTTTGTAGAGACAGGGTTTCACCATATTGCCCAGGCTGGTCTTGAACTCCTGACATTGTGATCCGCCTGCCTCAGGCTCCCAAAGTGCTGGGATTATAGGTGTGAGCCACCATGCCTGGCCCTTGTGCATTTTAAATTAGGTTATTTGTTGCTTTTTATTGCTGAGTTGTAAGAGTTCTTTATCTATTCTGAGTACAAGTACCTTATCAGACATATGCTTGCACATGCTTTCCCCCATTCTGTGGGTTGTCTTTTTGTTTTCTTAAGTGTGTTTTGAAGAGTTCTTAATTTTGATGAAATCTAATTAATCTGTTTTTTTATCACTTGTGTCTACAAGCTTTGGATTCAGCTACAGTATCAGAAAGGAGACTTGCCACTAAGGATAAAAATTCCCCTCTTTACATGCCTTGGGCTATTTAAATGAGTATAGGGATAGGAGATTCAGAAGTCTAGGCTAAAACTCACTTTTATCTGGAAATGTTCTGCTTGTCTATTGCTCCAAAAAAATAACACCCACAATTCTGGGGTGGAGTCTCACTCTGTCGCCCAGGCAGATGATTGAAACAATCATTTATTGTTGTTATCTCTCATGATTCTGGTGAGTGACTGGACTCAGCTAGGTGGTACCACTCAGAGTGTGTTGCCTGGCTGCCATGAGACAGGGATAATGCTGGAGTCATCTTGAGGGCCTCAGAATCATTCACATGTCTGGCACTGGGACAGGGAAAACTCAAACCGCTGCGGGCTTCAACAGCCAGGGTTCCTCGGACTCTATTTTAACGTGGTCTGTTCACGTGATCTCTGCCGCACGGTGGTTTCATGTACTTATATGCTCCAAAGGCACATATTACGAGCAAGAGAGCTAGATGGAAGCTGTACTACCTTTCAAGATGCGGTTTTGAAAGTCACATAGCAGTACTTTATTTATTTTTGTTTATTTTGAAACAGAGTTTTGCTCTGTCACCCAGGCTAGAATGCAGTGGCGCGATCTCAGCTCATTGCAACCTCCACCTCCCAGGGTCAAGTGATTCTCCTGCCTCAGCCTCCTGAGTAGCTGGGATTACAGGTGCATACCATGACACTCAGCTAATTTTTGTATTTTTAGTAGACACGGGGTTTTGCCGTGTTGGCCGGGCTGGTCTCGAACTCCTGACCTCAAGTGATCTGCCTGCCTCAGCCTCCCAAAGTGCTGGGATTACAGGCATAAGCCACTGCGCCTGGCCAACATAGCATTACTTTAGAGGTGCAGTCACAGAAACCCGTCCGAGAAGCCTACCTGGGTTCAAGGGGAAAGGACATAGATGCCATCTCTTGATTGAGGTAGGGGGTAGGGTTTTTGGAAGAGCACATGGGATTGAACATACTGTTGCTGCCAATTTTGAAAAATACAGTCTGCTGCAGGAAGTTTAATGTGACTTGTTGAATTAATAACAATTGTATACCGTCAATAGTAATACTTACTGACACCTATTCTATGCAAGAATGTAACTGATATAGCTGTTGTGAAGATTAACTGATTGATACCATTGATGTGAATCACCTAGAATAATGACTGGCACATAGTAAGTGCACATAGTAAGTAAATGTTAGGTGTACTCTAGAAAGTACTTTAGAAAGCTGTAACTATAGTGTTAGCTTATTACCCTTCCCCACCATTCAATTTTTAGTTGTTCATTTTGCTATTCATTTAAAAAAACACACACACAAAAGCTTTCTTGATTTATGTCCTTATTTTGGTGGAAAAGCTTTCACCTTCTGAAAGCTTCTTGAAAAAAGGTACATGGAAGATAAATATTTTGAAATTGTACGTGTCTGAAATACATTTACCCCCACGCTTTACTACTACATTTGGATGGGTATGAGAATCTATGTTGGAAGTTATTTTCCCTCAGATTTTAAAGACATTATTCCATTGTCTTTCAGTTTCATGTGTTGCTACTGAGAAATCAGATGCCATTCTCATTCTGGATTCTTTAAGTGAAACTTCATTTCCTCCTAGGCACTTGTAAGATCTTCTCTATGTCCTCAGTCTTCCATATCACAACGTGCCCTGGTGTGGTTCTGGTTTTGTCCATTGCACTGTACTCAGCACTTTCAATGTGGAAATTCATGCTCTTTAGTTCTCAAAATATATAATTGAATTATTTAATTCATTTCTTCCCCTGTTTCCCAGATGTCCAGGGCTGGCTTTCTAATCTTAACCTTTCTTATTTCTTTCCCTTCTCTTTGCCTTTTGCCTATGCATTCTAGGATAATTTCTAACTTTATCTTCTTAACATTCTACTGAGTTTTTCATTTTTGCTATCAGATTTTTAATTTAAAAGAACTCCATTTGGTTCTCTGAGTGTTCATTTTTTAGAGTATTCTTTTTTTATTGACACAGGGTCTCTCTATGTCACCCAGGCTAGAGTGCAGTGGCTGTTCACAGGCATGATAATAGCACACTACAACCTCAAACTGGGCTCAAGCAATCCTCCTACCTTAGCCTGTGGAGAAGCAGGGACTACAGTCTTGTGTCACCATGCCCAGCATTTCTGATCTTTCTCAGAGAAGCTCAATAGTAGATTTCTCAAAGTTTTCTTCTCCCCATAGTCTTTTTCTTCCTCATTTCATTTTCTCTGTTAGCGTGTTTTGGATTCTATCTTTATTGTCAGATCCTTCCCTTATATTGTGATGACCTTTGGCTCTGCTCTTATGTAAGTGTGCTATATTTAGCAAAAAAAAAAAAAAAAAAAAAAAAAAAAAAAAAAGGCCGGGTGCATTGGCTCACGCCTGTAATCCCAGCACTTTGGGAGGCCGAGACGGGAGGATCATGAGGTCAGGAGATCGAGACCATCCTGGCTAACATGGTGAAACCCCGTCTCTACTAAAAATACAAAAAAAAATAGCTGGGCGTGGTGGTGGGCGCCTGTAGTCCCAGCTACTCAAGAGGCTGAGGCAGGAGAATGGCGTGAACCTGGGAGGCGGAGCTTGCAGTGAGTGGAGATCATGCGACTGCACTCCAGCCTGGGTGACAGAGGGAGACTCCATCTCAAAAAAAAAAAAAAAAAAGAAAAAGAAAAACCAGGACATCTGGTTAAATTTGAATTTTAGATAAACAACAATTTTTAGTACATGTATGTCTCATGCAGTATTTAGGACATACTTATAGTACATGAGTATTTTATATTTTAGTAAAAAATTATTTACTGTTTAACTGAAAAT
This sequence comes from Homo sapiens, assembly GCF_000001405.40. NCBI lineage: Eukaryota > Metazoa > Chordata > Mammalia > Primates > Hominidae > Homo > Homo sapiens. The sequence goes on along the minus strand of NC_000002.12, from coordinate 69,662,839 downwards.
CAAATTTAACTAAGTGTCCTGTATTTTATCTCGCAACCCTAAGAGTGAGGTCTACAAAGCTGCCTGGAAGCCCTGAGTGCGTGTGTAAGTGGGTGGGGCTTGACAAGGGTGAGTTTACCAACAGGTTGCTCCAGTTTCATTGCATAAATGATTACATCTCTTCAGGTCTTTCCTCTTAGAGTCCCCAAAGAAAAGTATTCCAAATTCTCCATCCTGGTGAGTTTGAACCTGGCTGCCAGAGTTCTAGGAGCCAAGCAGGAAGAATACCAAGCAGCTCAGTAGACATCATCTTAAGTTTCATATGGCTCTTCAATTTCAGTACAGTAGCCCTAGTCTTGTGTTAATCTCATGGCCTTGATGAAAGATGGCTGCAAATTCTTTGCACCCTCCCACCCCTCCCCACTCAGGGATGGAGCCTAATCCCCTTCCCTTAAATCTAGACTGGCCCTAGTGACTGGCATGATTTATAGAATGCAACAGAAATAATGTTCAACAGCTTCCAAGCGTGCATAGGAAGGCTTGTAACTTCTGCCTGGATGTCTTGGAGTATCCTTTCTGGAAACCCTGAGCCTCCATGAAGGAAATCTGACCCTGAGCCTGCCATGTGAAGGGGCATGTGTAGATGCTCTAGTTTACAGTGCCAGTTGAGACCAACCTTCCAGCTCTTCTTATCATGGTACCCAATATGTGAGTTCTCCAGACTGGTCCATCTGCCAGCTGGATAACACCAAGTGACCTTTCTTGATGCCAGGTGGGACAGAAGAATTGCTCAGTTCAAATTCAGACCCACAAAATCATGAGATATAATGGTCACTGTTTTATGTAACCTTCAAGTGTTGGGGTGGTTTTTTAGGCAACCTTAGATAGCCAGAACACCTCGACTACATCTGGTGTCCCCATTCCAGAGAGCCACTGCATGATTCTTCAGAGAACATGCTTCCAATCATCCACCCTCGTGGAAGAGGGACAGTGGCCGCTGTGCAGTATTGGGGATGCTGACTGCTTCTTGTACAGACTTACAAGAAATCGTCCTGGGTTTAGTCTCACCTACACACCCACTTTCAGACGTATCCAGTGCAAAAAAAACTCTCTTACCCCGAGAAATCCTACTGTCATGTTGCTTCTTGGTTTTCCCTACTACTGGTTTGAAAGTCAGCTTTCTCAGGTCTGCTAAGTCAGTTATCACCTGTCCACGTGCTTTCCAGGTTCCAAACTCTTATTATTTTTTCTCTCTTCTTCCCTTGTCCTTGTGAGATTTAAAAAAATTTTGAGATCGGGACTTACTCTGTCACCCAGGCTGGAGTGCAGTGACAAGATCATAGCTCACTGTAATCACAGCTCACTGCATTTTTTTTTTCGGTAGATCTGGGGTCTCATCATCTTGCACAGGGTGGTCTTGAACTCCTGGGCTCAAGCAATCCTCCTTCCTCAGCCTCCCAAAGTGCTGAGATTACAGGAATGAGCCACTGTGCCTAATTACTCTTTTTCATTTAATAATAGTTTCTTGCATTGCATTTCTTCCTGAGTTTGATTTTCTTCTTTCTGAAATACAAATTTTAGTAGCTCCTTTAGGAAAGGTCTATGAGTTTAAATTTTCTCAGCTTTTTTTTTTTTTTTTGTCTGAAGCTTCCTTTATTTCATCTTATGCTTCAAGTATGCTTAACTGGGTACAGAATTCTAGATTTATTTTTATATTTTCCTACCCACTTTGAAGATATTAATCCTTTGTTTCTGGCCTGTATTGTTGTCATGAGAAGTCTTCTGTCTAATTGCTGTTTTCTTGTGAGTAATCTATATTTCCTCTCTTTGAGTTCTTAAGTCCGTCTGTATGTCTTTGTCAGTAAATGTAGCTATATGTGGATTTGCTTTTCTCTATGCTTTTAGGACTTATGCTTCTGGAATCTGAAGAGTTACATCTTTTTTCAGTCCTGGACATTCTCAGCCATTGTCATCTTCCCCCTCCCTTCTATTATCTCTCTTATCTCTCCCTTCTATTTTGAGTATGTTCCTATCTTCCATATCTCAACTTTTCACTCATATTCTCTCTCTCTCTCTCTCTCTCTCCCTCCCTCCCTTCTGGCAAATAGCCTCAGCTTTAACTTCTAGTTAATTGGTTCTTTCTCTTTAATTGTGTCTTATCTGCTATTTAACCATTTGCTTTAAATTTTGGTGATTATGTCTTTCATTTCTAAAATTTCCCTTTGGTAGTTCTCTAGATTTATCTGTTGTTTCTTCATACACTCTTTTTCCTAATCATAGGGTTTTGATTTCTTATTTCATTTGTAATTATTTTAAACAATACTTATTTTACATCACCTTTTAGAATGTTAGTCTAATGTTTCAGGATTTTAAGGCTCCAGTGCTCTTGTTTTGTTCTCTTAACTGAGCTTATGGGTGATTTTTTTCTTGTGTTTTACGCTGTTTTTCTATGAACTCTGTTTTACATTGATTTGTTTTAGTCTATGAGACCTTCATGTGACCTTGGTTGAAGGAGTATCCAGAGTGATTTTACGTTTGCTCCTGTAAGTGCCTCTAGGGTTTACCATTGGCCCAGAATCAATTTTTATGTTAACTTCTTAATTTAAGTGTTTCTTGACCACAAAGAGAGTATTAAGCAAAGTCAAAAGCAATGTGAAAAGCAGGTCTGGGTTTTTAATGACTCTGCAGAAATTCTTTTTTCTAACTCTTTCTTCTGCATATATAAAGACAGACAAGAAATACATACATACATACATATGTGCATACATGCATACACACAGATAGACAAGAAAATATGTATTTTCTTGTCACCTCTCTGGGCTGGTGAGTAGATTTTTTGCTATGTGTCCTTTCACTGAGGGTGCCACTCTTTGAGAGTTCCAGCTTCACACAGGATTATCTGTCTGTACCAGGCCCAGGACTAAGGTGCTTCATTCCTAGGTATGCCTTAAAATCCAAGTTCTTGACTTATGACATTTTCTCCCCAGCCCCCACTGCCACCAGCAATTGCAATGGTAGCTGGAATCTTTTCCCTCTGATTTCAAGACCTGCTTCCTTTCTGTCACCTGCAAACTCACATTTCTTTCTTGCAAGCACGAAAGCTCTACATTTAAAGTCTCATCATGTTGCCCAGACTGGTCTCAAGCTCCTGGCCTCAAGCAATCCTCCTGCTACAGCCTCCCAAAGAGCTAGGATTACAGGCGTGAGCCACCATGCCCTGCTCTATTGCTGATTTTTATACATGATTCTTACTTAACTATTCTGAAAGCCAAATACTTGTATTTGACACATGCCATACATAGTAACAAAAGCATCACTTGAGCCCAGAAGTTCAAGGTTGCAGTGAGCTATTGATCACACCACTGCACTCCAGCCTAGGCAACAGAATGAGACCCTTCTCTCTAAAAGAAGAGATAATAAACAAATAAATAAGAGAAGCATACAATGCCTTTAATCATACTGCTCACTTAATGACTTACTTGTAACTTTAGTGACACATTTTAGTGCATTGTTTCAAAATAAGTAATAAATAGCATATTCTTTTCATCTTGGTTTATAACATAAAGTGGAGAAGCCAATTACACTAGAGCAGTCTAACTTTCGTCTTGTCTTTACTAATGTTTCTAGATGCTATCTCTAATTTATTTCCCAATGGTTTATAATCTTTCTTGAAACATATATGAACACATATTTGTATTGAAAATGAGCTTAGACAAAAAAGAAGTTAGACTTTTTTTCACAAAGTAACTCTGATTTACCTCGTTTGTTTCACAAATAGGACTGACTTTACTAACTAGATACATTTTCATAAATTAAATGAGCAAAACCTGCATCTCCTCAGGTTTGACAAAAATAAATTTAAAGTGGCCAGGCATAGTGGCTCACGCCTGTAATCCCAGCACTTTGGGAGCCTACGGCGGGTGGATCATGAGGTCAGGAGTTCGAGACCAGCCTGACCAACATGGTGAAACCCCGTCTCTACTAAAATTACAAAAAAAATTAGCCAGGTGTGGTGCTGCGCACCTGTAATCCCAGCTACTCAGGAGGCTGAGGCAGGAGAATCGCTTGAACCAGGGAGGCGGAGGTTGCAGTGAGCTGAGATGGTGCCACTGCACTCCAGCCTGGGCGACAGAGCGAGACTCAGTCTCAAAAAAAAGTAAACAAATGAATAAATAAATAAAAATAAATTTAAATCACATTATAAGAACAGCATTTTACCAAGAAATATTGTATTGAAAAGGTGCTTTGAAATGAACATTATTTCTATTTTCTGAACTCTCCCTGAGAATACTGGGTTAAACAAGGTACCTCTAAGAGAAATAATAGCAGTCATTTGTTAAATCTTCGTGAAACTGTTTTGATATCTTTCCTAGAAGGTGAGGGTATGAACAGCCTCAACAGCTGGGGAATAAATGTCTGCAAGGAGCGGCTTCTATTGTTTGCTTTTTTTTTTTTTTTTTTGAGACAGAACCTTGCTCTGTCACCGAGGCTGGAGTGCAGTGGGGTGATCTCAGCTCACTGCAGCCTCTGCCTCCCAGGCTCAAGCAATTCTCCTGCCTCAGCCTCCCAAGTAGCTGGGATTACGGGAGTGTGCCACCACGCCAAGCTAATTTTTTTGTATTTTTAATAGAGACAGGGTTTTGCCATGTTGGCCAGGCTGGTCTCTAACTCCCAGGCTCAAGTGATCCTCCTGCCTCAGCCTTTCAAAGTGCTGGGATTACAGGTGTGTGCCACTGTGCCCCGCCTATTTTTTTTTGCTTTTGACAGAATTTAAAGAGGATCGTTCAAGTTAAAGTTGATACATTATTAAGAATAATTTTTGAGAATAAAACCTTTGAGTATTTTTGCGTATATTTCAGGAGTGCAAAGAAAAAAGTAATAGTATTAAAGGGAACTTCTTCAAGCCTCATCCACTTATATATTGAACAAGTTTCCCCAATGCTTATATCTATAAAAAATTTTTAAATAGGCATGGAATTGATAGAATTAGTGAACAAAAATTTTTAAATCCCCATTCATCTTGTGAATAAATGCATTTCCAATATATTTTTATTTTTTGTGTTTATCAAAATTTGTATTATACATATACTGTTCTAATCAATTGTATAAAGTTAATAAGTAGCATAAATCAATCCAGAAGAAAAATTTTAACACTTAGAGACTTATACTCACAGGAAGTTAAAAGCTTAAATTTACATGTATATCCATATGTTGTTGTAGAGAATTATAATATAAAATCAATAAATGAATTCCCAGCATAAAATTATTACTTTAGAATAAAATATTTGGGGAGGCAAAAATATATGTTCTAGAAGAAAAAGCAATAATGTGAAATTTCTAACTGTTGGAGAATAAGTAGGATGATGGTGAATATAGTCCATCGAATATGTGGTATTTAGTCTCCATTGCGTACATTAAAAATAGTAATGTAAGTTTTATTTTATAATATCAGTATTTATAAGATGCCAGAAATATCCTTTGTAATTATTTAGAGTTGTGATGAAAATTTCTATATGTCAACTTTAAAATATATGAGCGAGTACAAGGTGTTAAAAATTAATGTAGTGTGCTGGGCACGGTGGCTCATGCTTGTAAATCCTAGCACTTTGGGAGGTCGAGGTGGGTGGATCACAAGGTCAGGAGTTTGAGACCAGCCTGGCCAAAACAGTGAAACTCCGTTTCTACTAAAAATACAAAAATTAGCTGGGCATGGTGGCGGGTGCCTGTAATGCCAGCTACTCGGGAGGCTGAGCCAGGAGAATTGCTTGAACCCAGGAGGTGGAGGTTGCAGTGTGCTGAGATTGCGCCACTGTACTCCAGCCTTGGTGACAGAGAGACTCCACCTCAAAAAAAAAAAAAAAATGAATATAGTGATTATATCAGTAAAAACATTGTAAAGCCACTATAATAGCTCACAGTGTATGATATTTCACAGTTGTTTCCAGCTGAAAGGCTGTAGATTTCTACTGTGGCCTAATCTCTGCCCTCCTGTTACACCAGCAAGAACTAATGAGCAGGCCCAGTGGCTCACACCTGTAATCTCAGCACTTGAGGAGACTGAGGCAGGCAGATCACCTGAGGTCAGGAGTACAAGACCAGCCTGGCCAACATGGTGAAACCCCATCTCTACTAAAAATACAAAAATTAGTTGGGTGTGGTGGCGCATGCCTGTAGTCTCAGTTACTCAGGAGGCTTAGGGAGAACAGCTTGAACCCAGGAGGTGGAGGTTGCAGTGAGCGGAAATCAGGCCGCTAAACTCCATCCTGGGGGATAGAGCAAGACTCCATCTCAAAAAAAAAAAAAAAAAAAGGAACTACTGTATTTGGAAAATATGTGCAGAGAAGCACTAAACTCTGAAGTTTCTAATGAACTGGGGTCAATACTGTATTCAGTAGTTCAGCGGTTATGACCAAGTATCATATATATATATACACACACATATATATATACATATATATACATATATATACACATATATATACACATATATACACATATATATACACATATATACACATATATATACACATATATATACATATATATACATATATACATATATATACATATATGTATATATATACGTATATACATATATATACGTATATACATATATATACGTATATATATACATATATACATATATATGTGTGTGTATATATATATATATACGTATATATATTTTAATTATACTTTAAGTGCTGGGATACATATGCATAACGTGCAGGTTTGTTACATAGGTATACACATGCCATGGTGGTTTGCTGGACCCATCAACCCATCATCTACATTAGGTATTTCTTCTAACGCTATCCCTCCCTTAGCTCCCTACCCACTGACAGGCCCCAGTGTGTGATGTTCCCCTCCCTGTGTCCATGTGTTCTCATTGTTCAACTCCCACTTACGAGTGAGAACATGTGGTGTTTGGTTTTCTGTTCCTGTGTTAGTTTTGAGAATGATGGTTTCCAGCTTCATCCATGTTCCTGCAAAGGACATGAACTCATCTTTTTTATGACTGCACAGTATTCCATGGTGTATATGTGCCACATTTTCTTTATCTAGTCTATCACTGATGGGCATTTGGATTGGTTCCAAGTCTTTGCTATTGTGAACAGTGCCGCAATAAACATATGTGTGCATGTGTCTTTAAAGTGGAATGATTTACAATCCTTTGGGTATATACTCAGTAATGGGATTGCTGGGTCAAATGGTATTTCTGGTTCTAGATCCTTTTGGAATCGCCACACTGTCTTCCACAATGGTAGAACTAATTAACACTCCCACCAACAGTGTAAAACCGTTGCTCTTTCTCCACATCCTCTCCTGCATCTGTTGTTTCCTGACTTTTTAATGATCGCCATTCTAACTGGCATGAGATGGTATCTCATTGTGGTTTTGATTTACATTTCTCTAATGACCAGTGATGATGAGCTTTTTTTCATATGTTTTTTGGCTACATAAATGTCTTCTTTTGAGAAGTATCTGTTCATATCCTTTGCTCACTTTTTGATTGGGTTGTCTGTTTTTTTCTTGTAAATTTGTTTGAGTTCCTTGCAGATTCTGGGTATTAGCCCTTGGTCAGATGGATAGATTGCAAAAATTTTCTCCCATTCTCTAGGTTGCCTGTTCACTCTGATGACAGTTTCTTTTGCTGTGCAGAAACTCTTTAGTTTAATTAGATCCCATTTGTCAATTTTGGCTTTTGTTGCCATTGCTTTTGGTGTTATAGTCATGAAGTCTTTACCCAGGCCTCTGTCCTGAATGGTATTGCGTAGGTTTTCTTCTAGGGTTTTTATGGTTTTAGGTCTTACATTTAAGTCTTTAATCCATCTTGAGTTCATTTTTGTATAAGGTGTAAGGAAGGGGTCCAGTTTCTGTTTTCTGCATATGGCTAGCCAGTTTTCCCATCGCCATTTATTAAATAGGGAATCCTTTCCCCATTGCTTGTTTTTGTCAGGTTTGTCAAAGATCAGATGGTTGTAGATGTGTGGTGTTATTTCTGAGGCCTCTGTTCTGTTCCATTGGTCTATATATCTGTTTTGGTACCAGTACTATGCTGTTTTGGTTACTGTAGCCTTGTAGTATAGTTTGAAGCCAGGTAGTGCGATGCCTCCAGCTTTGTTCTTTTTGCTTAGGATTGTCTTGGCTATCCAAAATTCCTCAATAAAATACTGGCAAACCGAATCCAGCAGCATATCAAAAAGCTTATCTGCCATGATCAAGTCAGCTTCATCCCTGGGATGCAAGGCTGGTTCAACATATGCAAGTCAATAAACATAATCCATCACATAAACAGAACCAATGACAAAAACTACATGATTATCTCAATACATGCAGAAAGGGCCTTCAATAAATTTCAACACCCCTTCATGCTAAAAACTCTCAATAAACTAGGTATTGACGGAATGTATCTCAAAATAATAAGAGCCATTTATGACAAACCCACACCCAATATCATATTGAATGGGCAAAAGCTGGAAGCATTCCCTTTGAAAACCGGCACAAGACAAGGATGCCCTCTCTCACCGCTCCTATTCAACATAGTATTGGAAGTTCTGGCCAGGGCAATCAGGCAATAGAAAGAAATAAAGAGTATTCAAATAGAAAGAGAGGAAGTCAAATTGTCTCTGTTTGCAGACGACATGATTGTATATTTAGAAAACCCCATTGTCTCAGCCCAAAATCTCCTTAAGCTGATAAGCAACTTCAGCAAAGTCTCAGGATACAAAATCAATGTGCAAAAATCACAAGCATTCCTATACACCAATAATAGACAAACAGAGAGCCAAATCATGAGTGAACTCCCATTCACAATTGCTACTAAGAGAATAAAATACCTGGGTATACAACTTATAAGGGATGTGAAGGACCTCTTCAAGGAGAACTACAAACCATTGCTCAAGGAAATAAGAGAGGACACAAACAAATGGAAAAACATTCCATGCTCATAGATAGAAAGAATCAATATTGTGAAAATGGTCATACTGCCCAAAGTAATGTATAGATCCAATGTTATCCCCATCAAGCTTCCATTGGCTTTCTTCACAGAATTAGAAAAAACTACTTTAAATTTCATATGGAACCAAGCATCATATTTTAAAACTTCACAAGGAGGCATGGCTAAGGACTGGTGCCTGGCCCTCCAAAATACCCTCTAGGGGAAAGACAGTCATTTTTAAGAGTTCTCAGCTTAGGCAAGAGGGCAAGACATAGTGTCCAATCATAAGTGAGTTTCCAGGGCTGGTTTAGGAAATGGTGTCACAAGGGGCCCAGGGGTAATTGCTAGGCTATCCTAAGAAGTATGTGGAGGCTGGGATTCAGGAATTAGGGTATTTTCCTCTCAGGAATGGAGAAATGCAGGAGGGCATTTGGTTCCTGTGTCCCCAGGACTCTACTGCTAGTGAAATCTAAGGATGAGGTGAGTATATGTTCCAGTTTACCTGGACAGTCCAGTTAATGATTTTTGTCCTAGCATAATTTTCATTGTCCCCACTTTCACTCCTGAAGCATCTCAATTGGACTGTAAATCATATATCATTTACGCATACTTCACATTTATTCTCCATTTCTGTACTTACCTAACTGTGGACCAGTAACAAAGTTCAAGCACTGGCACTGGTTTGTGGATCAACACTTTCGGTAGCGTGGTTTTAGGAGTCAGAATAAGACTTCTAGTAGAACATCCTTTACTCCAGTGTTGAGTGATTATTCGCTCAAATAGTCCTGAAGAACTGAGACCAGAGTTCCAGATTTGGCTCCTGTGTGGATGACGTGTAGCTTCTTGTTGTTCCTCAGACACAGATCACACCCCATAGCCAAAATGTGTTCTGTGACACAGGGGCATCCAACTAAGAGGCTGTGAACTAAGGGAGAAAGATCTTAAGAATACATGTCTCACTAAGGTTAGGCCAGGAATATTCCCTGACCATTTCAGGAACCCCACTCTATATTTTATGTCAAGTATAACAAAGACGTCTTAGCTAAATTCTTTCCTTTTTGTGGGGGACGAAATCTTGCTCTGTCGCCCAGGCTGGGGTGCAGTGGCACTGTCTGGGTTCACCACAACCTCCGCATCCTGGGTTCAACTGATTCTCCTGCCTCAGCCTCCTGAGTAGCTGGGATTACAGGCACCTGCCACCATGCCTGACTAATTTTTGTATTTTTAGTAGAGACGGGTTTTCGCTTTGTTGGCCAGACTGGTCTCGAAAGCCTGACCTCACGTGATCTGCCTGCCTCAGCCTCCCAAAGTGCTGGGATTACAGGTATGAGCCACCGCGCCCAGCCTTAGTTCAATTCTTTAATGTGCCCATTCCAGTCAGCACAACCGGTTTTCAAAATGAAAAGTCTTAAGTTCTAATTTAAGAAGTCATCTGACTAGAGATCCCTAAGCTTCTCCCAACAACCTATTAAAAGTCTTTAAAAGAAAAAGATTGACTCATAGCAACACTGCTCATCTAAGGATGAGTAAACAGAAAAAAATTACAACCACCTCATAGGTTTATGAGAAGATTCTACAGCATATAAAAAGAAAACACAGCACTCAAGATGAGGAAGAGGCTGGGCGTGGTAGCTCACGCCTGTAATCCCAGCACTTTGAGAGTCTGAGGCGAGTGGATCATTTGAGGTGAGGAGTTCGAGGCCAGGCTTGCCAACATGGCAAAACCCTGTCTCTACTAAAAATACAGAAAATTAGCTGGGCATAGGCCTGTAGTCCCGGCTTCTTGGGAGGCTGAGGCAGGAGAATCTGTTGAACCTGGGAGGCAGAGGTTGCAGGGAGCTGAGATTGTGCCACTGCCCTCTAGCCTGGGTGATAGAGTGAGACTCCATCTAAAAAACAAAAAACAAAACTACTTTATGTTTGCAATAAAAATTCAATAAAAAGGCCGAGAATATGGGGGTTTACGCCTGTAATCCCAGCACTTTTGGAGGCTGAGGCAGGATTGCTTGAACCCAGGAAGTTGAGGCTGGAATGAGCTGAGATCACGCCACTGCACTCCAGCCTGGTCAACAGAGTGAGACTCTGTCTCCCCGCCCCCCCCCCCCAAAAAAAAAAAAAAAAAGCCGGGCGCGGTGGCTCACGCCTGTAATCCCACCACTTTGGGAGGCCGAGATGGGGGGATCACGACGTCAGGAGATTGAGACCATCTTGACTAACATGGTGAAACGCTGTCTCTACTAAAAATACAAAAAATTAGCTGGGCGTGGTGGTGGGAGCCTGTAGTCCCAGCTACTCCGGAGGCCGAGGCAGGAGAATGGCGTGAACCCGGGAGGCGGAGCTTGCAGTGAGCCGAGATTGCGCCACTGCACTCCAGCCTGGGCGACAGAGCGAGACTCTGTCTCAAAAACAACAACAACAACAACAAGACAAATGGATACTAAAAAACAGGTAATATATGAAGTATACAGATTGAGGTAAAAAGGAAGAGCTGGCAGTAAGGCAAGTAAGAATCAAAAGAAACTAGACAAGGTAATGAAAATCTCTAAGAAAACAAAAATACGTCTTGCTCTGTCCCCTAGGGTGGAGTGCAGTGGTGTGATCATAGTTTACTGCAACCTCAAGTTCCTGGGCTGAAGCAATCCTCTCGCCTCATTCTCCCAAGTGGGTAGGACTCTAGGCACATGGAACCATGCCTGGCTAACATCCTCACCTGTTCTTTTCCTCATCTGTTTGTTTTGCACCATATTGTTTAGTACATGGTAGTTCACTACATACTGATTGAATAAAGGAACACTCTCAAATCAATTCTTAAAAATAAATGCTCCAATGGAAAAATGGAAGAGGATACAATTTAGAAATGAAGAAATATACACAACCAATAATTACTACATTATAAACTCTGTGAAGGAAAACACATGTCCATCTTCTTTATCATATTTCCAGTGCCTAGCATTGTTTTGGTATATAACAGATTCTTAATAAACAACTGATGAATAAATAAATGAACAAGAAAAATTGTTCAGCCTCACTAATTTAAACAATGACAACAAAAAACACCATTCCTACCTAACAAAATGAAATCGATTTCTTTTTAAACTGCACAAACTCAGTGCTGGCAAGGGTATGGAAATACTTAGGATTTAATGCCTTCTTTTAAGATCAAAAGCTCTAGCTGGGCACAGTGGCTATGCCTGTAATCCCAAGCCTTTGGGAGGCCGAGGGAGGAGGATTGCTTGAGGCCAGGAGTTCAAGATCAGACTAGGCAACATAGAAACACCCTGTCTCTACAAAAAATTAAGAAATAATTAGCTGGCTGTGGTGCTGTGCACCAGTTATACAGGAAGCTGAGGTGGGTGGATCCCTTGAAAGCCTCAGGTTATGATCATGCCACTGCACTCCAGCCTGGGTGACAGAGCAAGACCCTGTCTCAAAGAAAAAAAAAAGGATACAAAAACCACCAAAAGCTCCTTGAAGGCAAGGAGTGTAACTATTTTGTTTATTGTAATAAACTTTCTAAAGTCTAGCACATGGTGCTTAATAAATATTTGTTTACTGGATCAGTGAATGGAGAACAAATCAATATCAATCTCCTGGAGGGTACTTTGGCTCTCTAGCTGTAAAAACATTCATACCTTTTGACCTAATTATTCCATTTATAACAACGTAGCCTTAGAAAGAAAATCATGGGGCCAAGCACGGTGGCTCATGCCTGTAATCCCAGCACTTTGGGAGGCTGAGGTGAGTGGATCACCTGAGGTCAGGAGTTCAAGACCAGCCTGGCCAACATGGTGAAACCCTGTGTCTACAAAAAATACAAAAATTAGCCGGGCATGATGGCGGGTGCTTGTAATCCCAGCTATTCAAGAGGCTGAGGTGGGAGAATCTCTTGAACCCGGGAGGTGGTGGCTGCAGTCAGCCGAGATTGTGCCATTACACTCCGGCATGGAAGACAGAGTGAGACTCCGTCTCAAAAAAAAAAAAAAAAAAAAAAAAAAAAATCAGGCCAGGCACAGTGGCTCACACCTTTAATCCCAGCAGTTTGGGAGGCTGATGCGGGTGGATTGCTTGAGTTCAGGAGTCCAAGACCAGCCTCGGCAACATGGTGAAACCCTGTCTCTACAAAAATAAAAAAATAAAAAAATAAAAAGCCAGACGTGGTGGTGTGAGCCTGTAGTTCCAGCTACTCAGAAGGCTAAGGTGAGAGGATTGCTTGAGCCCAGGAGGTCGAGGCTGCAGTGAGCTGAGGTTGTGCCACTGCACTCCAGCCTGGGCGGTAGGGCGAGACACTGTCTTAAAAAAAAAAAAAAAAAAAAAAAAAAGAAAGAAAATCAAAGAAGCACACAAGAGAATACAAGAGAATATTCATTCTAATCATATAAAAAGTAACATTTAAAAATAAAACATTTGACAGTAAAGCACTGATTACTAAGCAACTACTAAAAGAATATTTTTAGAGAATATACAATGAAATAGGAAACTATGGAATGAAAAAAATAAAATATAAATATATAATGTGATCTAATATAGTAAAAAAGGTACTTATATATGGAAACATGCTAAAAGGAAATTGATCAAAATGTCAATAGCAATTATCGCTGAGTGGTAGAATTATAGCTGATTTTTATTTTCTTCTATCTACTTTCTTCAATGAGCACATAATTACTTTCTTAAACAAAATCCAAAACCAAAATCAACTGGAAAATAAGAAGACAAGGCTCAGTTTAAAAGAGAAAATTAGGCTGGGCGCGGTGGCTCACACCTGTAATCCCAGCACTTTGGGAGGCTGAGGTGGGCAGATCACCTGAGGTTGAGAGCTCGAGACCAGCCTGACCAACATGGAGAAACCCCATCTCTACTAAAAATGCAAAATTAGCTAGGCGTGGTGGCACATGCCTGTAATCCCTGCTACTCAGGAAGGCTGAGGCAGGAGAATCGCTTGAACCTGGGAGGCGGAGGTTGCGGTGAGCCAAGATTGTGCCATTGCACTCCAGCCTGGGTAACAGAGCAAAACTCCATCTCAAAAAAAAAAAAAAAGAAAAGAAAGAAAGAAAATTAAAAATTAAAAAAATCAAGAAACGTCTTTTTTTTTTTTTTTTTTTTTTGAGACTGAGTCTTACTCTGTCTCCCCAGATGGAGTGCAGTGGTGCACTCTCGGCTCACTGCAAGCTCCGCCTCCTGGGTTAAAGTGATTCTCATGCCTCAGCCTCCCGAGCTGGTATTACAGGTGCATGCCACCATGCCCGGCTAATTTTTGTATTTTTAATAGAGACGGGGTTTCACCATGTTGGCCAGGCTGGTCTTGAAGTCCTGACCTCAAGTGATCCACCTGCCTCGGCCTCCCAAAGTGTTGGGATTACGGGCATGAGCCAGCATGCCTGGGCAAGAACTGTCATTTTTTTAAAAAGGACATGGTTCTTACAAGTTCGCTTCTGCTAAACAGTGGTTCTCAAACTTGAATGTGTATTAGAATTACCTGAAAGGTTTGTGAACAGAAACTGCTGCCTCTGCCCCTCCCTCTTACTCAGTAGGTCTGGATGGGGCCCCAAAATTTGCATTTCTAACAAGTTCCACTTCGCTAAAAGACGGCAACATAGAAAGCCCATATGGTGTAATGAAAATGATGTGGGTTTTGAGGTCAGTCTTGGCTCTGCCCTTTTTAAGATGTTTTGTAGAAATAGTTGACAGACTCTAATCCTGCTCAGCCTCTGTTTCCACACCAATAAAAGTAATGCACACTTCATAGATGTATTGTGAGGGTTAAATGGTATGATTAAATACCCAACATAGTGCTTGACTCAGTTAAGGATTTTAATTAATGGTGGTCCCCTTTCCTTTGATTTCCTCAAAGATACAGCACACTGGGTTTATGGTAACATGATTTAGGTGTACCACAGGTCAAATCATTTCCTTCAAACTTAACAAACCATACATGTTCATCTGCTACTAACAAAATCTTCATTGTTCATCTATAAAATTGGGAATAATAGTGTAACAGTATTTTCTTTGATAAAATAGATAATACTGTCTACTTTGTAGGCAACCATGAAGATTAAATAAAATAATATCAGTCAGGCACGGTGGCTCACATCTGTAATCTCAGCACTTTGGGAGGCTGAGGTGGGAGGATCACCTGAGTCCAGGAGTTTGAGGTCAGCCTGGGCAACAAAGCAAGACCCCATCTCTATTTTTTATATAATTATTTTTTTTAAAAAGTGGCTGGGCGTGGTGGCTCATGCCTGTAATCCCAGCATTTTGGGAGGCCAAGGTGGGTGGATGGCCTGAGCTCAGGAGTTCAAGACCACCCTGGGCAACATGGTGAAACCCTGTCTCTACTAAAATACAAAAAATTAGCCAGGCATGGTGGCACACACCTGTAGTCCCCGCTACTCGGGAGGCTGAGGCACAAGAATCGCTGGAGCCTGGGAGGCAGAGGTTGCAGTGAGACGAGATCACGCCACTGCACTACAACTTGAGCTACAGAGTGAGACTCTGTCTCAAAAAATAAATAAATAAATAAATAAATAAATAAATAAAATAAAAATAAAACAATAAAACAATATATATATATTTTTTAAATTCCATAACTGGCATATGGAAGATACATAGTGTTAACTGAAGAATCCCAAGGTTTATAAATTTGGAGAGGGGAGCTTTACTTTTTATAAAGGGTTGCAGCCTGCAGGCTGGTGATCCTGACAGGCTGGGAAGTGTAGACTCTGGCAGAGACTGAAAGCAGGTATTTAGAGGGAGGAAAAAGTGGAACACAAATTTATGCCAAATGAGTTGGCTAAGAATACACACTTAAGTTACAGGAGCTTTGATTATTCACAAAGCGGGGGGCAGCACATGCATGCATAGTGAGCAAACATGCATGTTACATATGTCCTATGTTCTCTTTGGGGTGGAGATTTAACATTTAAATGCATTACAATTAGGTGAAGCAAAGGACATGAAGACACTCAGTGCACAGCCTCTGAAAACCAGCCAGAACCAGTCTGTGGTTGGTAGTCTCTTACTAGGATGTTACTGAAATCAGTCTCTTGTCCAATCAAAGAAATAGTTATGGTTTGTGGAACAGGGGTTGGGGGGATACAGTTAGTCAGCATCTAGTGGTCAGTGAGCTACAATTGATTCAATATTGCTTATCTCCAGGCCAGTGTCTATTTAGCTACCAGAGAAAAAGAAAAACCTTGTGGCAGTTAGAAGATGGTTTACTCTTCAAGTGTAGGGATGTGTGACTTAACCCTTGCCTGACACAGCCTTAGGTCTTGTTTATAATTTGGCATCTTATTGCCTCAAAGAGTCTGTTCCATCGGTCATATGATCACTATTGTAACAATAGTAAATGGCACTTTCTTTTCCCACTCCCTTTGACTATTTACCCATAGCATCTTCCACACCTAGTTCAAAATTCATCTAGGATACTTCAAATCAATCTTTCCACCTTAATCAGATAGCTCTGTTTTGTGTCACATTTAAAGTAAATTATTTACTTTAAGTACTGCTAAGAACACACTCTATGTAAACTATTATACTGGATGCCCAAGGAGATAAGTAGAAGATGGTTCTCTGGCTTTGAGGTGTTTGGTTGAGACAGCAATATACATTAAAAGTTGAACAGGAATGCAAAGCAGCATGGGACAAATTATACAGAAAGTGTGATAGTTTTGAGATTATAGTGGCTGATCTGTTCATTATTTTGTACTCAGGAACTAAAAAATTACTAAGAGTTGTAAGAGCTCTGGTTTTATAGCTGAGATAATAAGCCCAGTGACACAAGTGGTCTAGGATCCCAGCTATGAAGTGGCAAGAGGTTTCCTGTCTCCTGGTCCTATGCTGCTTGTGCGTGGGTTTCTAACTATTCACGAGTCTTTTAATCAGTTAATGTTTGCTCTCTCTAAGTAGACAGTTTAGTATAGCCAGGTAAGAACTGGGCTTTGAAACTAAAATGTTTGGGTTTGAATCCTGGCTTTGCTATTTACTGTGTGACTTTGGGCAAGTCACTAATCTCTTTGCTTTACTTACCCACCTATAAAATGAGTATAATAATGGTACTTTACTTCATAGGGTGGTTGTGAGCATTATATACTTAATATATGTAAAGCATGAAAAACTGTGGATTTGTCATTATAATTGCTATTAGTCTGTGAGGGAATGGAGGGCAAGGAATCTAGTCATGTTTTTTGTTTTTTAAACCTCTTCCCTCAGCTTCTGATCAGAGCATTCACGTGGGTGTTAAATAAATGCATGTTAGCTACCTTAAGCATATTGGGAGTTTTTGTATCACTGAAGTAAGACTTGAGATTTGTGTAAGCCTGGACTAGTCTGGTACCAGAGAAGTCTAGAAAGGTAAAAACTGAGATAGCATCAGATTGATTTTAGGACCTAGCACAGCTTGTTTAAAAAAGTCAGTCAAGACAAATAAGTGCTGAGAGAAATGGGGGTCAATGAGTCTAATTCCAAATGAGCTTTCTCATCTATTTTAAGATCTGCTTCAAACTTCCTCAGACAAAAATCTGGCCTTTTAAGGAAAGTGCAGAGAACATGCCTTCGTGGGCTTAGTTTGAGGGAATAGGGGCTGCATTTCACCCTGGAGGTGGCTACATGAATTCGTGAACTGAGGTGACAACACTGACTCTCTCCGGAAGAAAAGATGCTATCTCTTCACGGAGTTTAATTACAATGGCACTACTTGAAACAAGCTGCAGCAGCAGCAACAACAAACGCTACTGTTAACCCAGTCACAGCTCAGCTCAATATTCAGATTAGAGAAAGCAAGAACCATTTTTTTCCCTGGGACACCCTTCTCTACTCAAATACCCGCTGAAAAAAAAATTCTGAGACAAGCACTAGGGAGTGGGGAAAGCGGGCAGAGATGAACAATAACCCATATTCAGGGGTTAGAAAAATAATATTAATAAATCATGGTAGGTTTTTTTGTTTGTTTTTGGCAGCAACTTGCCACTCTTCAGCATCATCCATCAGGAAATCTAGGTCGGAAAAGTGTACCAACTGACCTTCCAAATTTTCTGCATTTGGCAGATGCAAATCACACAGTCCATCCCCGCCCTCAGCACTTGGACGGTATCAGGGAAACGTAAGTATCAATGGAAGAATCTTGAAGTGAAAAATAAATAACTGGTCAGGTTAGGGTTAGTGTTCTTGTGTGCAAGGGAGCTAGTGAAGTTTAGGCTTTGATGCGCACCCACAGCGTCAGCAAAGGAGGAGGAATTAAGGGACAGCATGGGCCGAAAAGCCCCCGAGTTTTGAGGTCAAGCCAACGGGCTGGGTCTCCGGTATCCTAGGATCTGCCCTGCACACAACCTTTGGCAGTTTCTCGGTTTGAATCTCGCCTGTACATTTCCAGACGAGACACTGTCTTACTGAGCGTTCTCACAGCGCCTAGCTCAGAGCTGACCGCAGAGCCGGCTCTCAATAACATCGAGACGCAAAAGCAGCTTTTGAGGTTAGGGGCGGAAGGGCATCGGTTTTACTTATTTCAAGGCTGGCGCTCGGTGCAGCCGGATCCAACTGCCAGCACAATGTTCCCGATCACTTCTCGCTTCCATTTCAGCCCAGGAGACGTCGGGAAACCCACAGGACCCGCTAGGGGCTAAGCGGTTAAGCCGCGTCCTTCAGGTGTCAGTCTCGATCCGTTCGGAAACCACAACCTCCAGAATCCCTTGTGCCAGGAGGCCAGGCCGCAAATAAGATGGCTCCAGAAGGGTGGAACATACAGCGGGGGGGGGGGGGGGGGAACTTAGTTGTTGGCAGTTTCTTCACGGGATGTGTTTAAATTGCCGAGTCCCCACATACGCGCCACCCCACAAATCTCCTTCGAGGCCGTGGAGGCCACACGGCTGCCGCCTCGCCCTCTCCTCCAGGAGTATGCTGGGATTTGTAGTCCAGCAGCCGGACTGTGCCGAGCTACCTTTCCCAGCTTGCCCTGCGGCTCGGGTGATATCAACAGTCTTTTCCAGAACTCTGTCTGCACTGAGACCCTCTTCCCCCAGTCCTCTTCTCGCGGTCGACTCCTTCCCATCCGTGGCGACAGAACGGCGGTTGCAGGAGAGGCCCCGGTCCCTCGCCGCGCCGCCCCGAGGGGCACTTCCGGCGGCGGTTCACTTCCTGGTTGGGTGGATGGAGCCGGGCGGGAGCGCGCGCGGGGGAGGGGCGGCGGGTCAGTCTCCGCCCGGCGCTCCCGGGATCAGCTGGCGGGCGGGCGGGAGCCGAGCGCGGCCCCGGCTCTCGCTGCAGCGCCGCCTCTTCTCTGCGTCGCAGGCCGGCCCGGCGGCCGTGACAATGTCGCGGGGCTGGTAGCAGGGCGCCGGCCGCCGAGCCGTCTCAAGTGGGTGCTGCCAGGATGCCGCCTCGAGGGGCGGCGGGGAGACCCGGGAGGAGCGGGAGGCAGTGCCCGGGAGGGTCGGCGCTGCCGGAGCAGCTCGGATCCCTCCTTTCTCCGAGCTCCCGGCTCGGGGGTCCCGGGTTCTGGGGCCGGGGTCGCGTTTTCAGCCCCACGGTTTTTCTCGCCGGGAAAATACATGAAGCGTTTCCCCAGGATGATGGCTTTTGCTCCCCCTAGGACTCAGCGGTTGAATTTTTAAGCGTGTTACTGATTCATCCTCTCTTTCTTCCTCTGTCATCACAGGTTTAAACTTACACGAATCGCTTTCTGGAGGAGGAGGGGACCCGCTGCGCGATTGACACGCATATTCCTATAGGCATCCTCCCTCAGCCCCCACCCCCACGGCCGGATTCGGGTGGCTCCTCTCCGAGGTGAAATCTGAGAAGAAATCCTTGGATCTCTTTTCTTAAAAAAAAAAAAAAAAAAAAAAAATCTAGAAACCATCGGTATTTTGCTTTGCTGCTCCCTATTCGCAAGATGAAGAAGTTTTTCGACTCCCGGCGAGAGCAGGGCGGCTCTGGCCTGGGCTCCGGCTCCAGCGGAGGAGGGGGCAGCACCTCGGGCCTGGGCAGTGGCTACATCGGAAGAGTCTTCGGCATCGGGCGACAGCAGGTCACAGTGGACGAGGTGTTGGCGGAAGGTACGGTGGGGCTCAATGCGCCGTAAATTAAAATCTTGTGCTGATGCGGCAATACTGTGGTTTCTAGTTGTTGCATGTATGAATGGGCTTTGACCAGTTGACCCTCCCTTCCCCCTTCACTTGCCCTGTGAGTCATTGTCCTTGAGAGATTTAAAATTGAGATTTGAAAGTGACTGGGCTTATGGGGGTGTGGGGAGGTTGCCGAAATTGTTTACGTTAGTGGCCTTTTATTTTTATTTTTTTAATATTGAGAAGCCAAATTTTGAGGATCACACAAGAAAACGTATGTGTGAAAGTGTAAAGCTTTATGCCAAAGGCAGGGTGATGGGCTTGTCATCCTCCTAAAACTTAAAATCTTGATGTGAAGGCTGAAGGGTGGGGGGACTTTTAAGAAGAGAGGGGTTTCTCCTTCTCCTACCCAACTTTCCCACTTCCATGAGCAGGCATTGGAAGGAAGAGAGGATTTTCGGAGAACGTGAACGTGTTTTTCCAAGGGCCAAGGCTCTTGGTGGATTTCACTAGTAGATTTGTTTCCTGACCCAACTGTAATCAGGTCCCCAGGTTATAGCAAAGATAACAGAAATTACATAAAACAAATGTGGTTATTTTGAACTCAGTCTAGTAGGCCCCTCTTCCTTCTCGCTTTAGGTTTTGTTTTTTGTTTTTTTAATCAAAAGAAAAATTACTTGAGAGTGGCTCTGATTTTGTTTTTTCGCTATCAGAGAGGATGTTATTTAGATCTGCTGCATAAATTCCCTCTGTGTTTCATCTGTGTGTCTATACTCACGTAGATATACATCTTGATTCCCCCAGGCTTTCGGGAAATCTTTGCATGTCTCTTTTGGTAACCTTAACCTCGACCTTCATAATTATGCCAGACTCATACTTTTCACAGCCCTTCGCCTGCCTAGTGTGCTTTTATTTTTAATAAAAGCAGCAATTTCCTTGGCATGAAGCAATTCAGACTGATTGGATGGGGCCAACCTGCTGTAGGTTGTGTTATAGACCGAGAGGGGTTGGAAGAAGGGAGAGGTCTCTCTTACTGCAACATGGTGATGGTAGGGAACAGTTTTATTAGCAAGGGAAGAGAGAAAGCTAAGAGGCCTCTTTAAAAAGGGGCCTTTTGCAAGCTAAAGTTGAAGCAAGGGTCCTGACCTGGGCCTGGGAAATGCTTACCATGGTGGATGTTGCGGGCTGGTGGGTGGGTTTGGAAGAGGAAGAAGCTGTGTTTGGCTCTCAGCTTGTGTAAGCACTGGATTCAGCAGGGCCCAGTTTTCTGGGAATAGAGTTGAAGTCTGTACTTTAAAAACATGATTTTTAAAAAAGATCTCTGACAGTTAATGTCCATGTGAAATTATTGCTCTTCCAATCTCAGTACTGTTCTAGCTGCGCTTTATCTGGGGCCAGAGTCACTGTCCCCTTGGATCTTTCCCGTGGACTTTGGTGCAGGCTAGGAGATGCTTCTGTGCCCGCTGCCAGATCCGCACCCTTGAGTCTGATCTGTCTCTTTCATCCCTGTGCCAAAGCCCTTAACTGCAGTGGGGTGGAGAAACAGTGAAAAGGAGAGTGTGTCAGAGAGAAATCAGGAGAAACGAAGGGCCACAGAACACTTTCCTCCCCTCTGAATGGCCTCTGCTGACCTTATAGCCCACGAGCGTTTTGTTCAGCTAGGATGTTGTCTCATCACGGATGATGCTGCCCTAAGCGGTGCATGTTCTCCAAGTGTGAGAGAAGTGATAGGGAAAAGAAAAGGCAAAATTGGTCTTTGTTACCTAGGCTGCCTTCCTCTTCTCTGGGATTCATCTTTGAGAACTGCGCATCACGTATTGTGATATTTTTACACAGAATTTAGGACTTGTAGCTCTGCATTTATTCATTCAACAGTTTATGGAGTTGCCTGTGAAGTGCCAGGTGCTGTGCTAGGCTCTGGGGGTATACTGTTAAACTAGATGCTAGCTTTTACCAACTGCTTTAAGAGATGGAAAATAGCCAGTTATAGTGGATTGGTAAATGCCATCATAGAGATAAACTTAGGGTGCAGTGGCCCCCAGTTTTAGGGAGCCCAGGATTTCTGAAGGAAGTGACTGAAGAGTGAGTAGGAGTTAGTGTGGTGGCACCATGGGCAAAGACAGAGTAGCGAGAGAGAATGTCACGTAAAACTGGGTCTGGCTATGCGCCCTTTTTGTGTTCTTTGGCTTAAGTTGAGTTTGAATTTGTGGCTCTTAGAAGTATGTAGATATGTAGGAGCCAGTATACAAAGTATTTATGTAGCACCTACCAAGTCCAAAGACCCTATGAAGTTCTGAGATGGATGAGGGAGGTCTATAGTGTGATTGACATCTGCCTTTAAGGATCTGCCAATGAATTTGGGAAGATGAGGCATACATTCACACATACAGTAGCATGGTTACCAGCACTGTCTGTAGAGTCAGACAGATCTAGGTTCAAATTCTGGATCTGTTCTTTACTAGCTGTGGAACTGTAGGCAAGACATTCCAAACCACTCTTGAATCTCTGTTTCCCTGTGGCAGTGGTTCTCAAAGTGGGGCATACTTATCACCTGCGAGCTTGTTGGAAATGGAGATTCTCAGGCCTCACTCTGTAGGCTGTGGGTGTGGGGCTTAATAAGTTCCTGGAGAGATTCTGACGCAAGGTCAAGTTTGAGAACCACTGCTTAATGGGCTGGTCATGAAGATTAAATGAGGCAATATATATAATTAACATTTTCAGGTGTTCAATAAATGGTAGCCATTACTTACCAGCAACGTTATACATCATATGTATATATGTGGGGGGGGAGAGAGAGAGAGAGAGAGAGAGAGAGTGTGTGTGTGTGTGTGTGTGTGTGTGTGTGTGTGTGTGTTAAAGGGGAGTGGGAGCAATGTGAAAGCTAGTTGAGCTGCAGCAATCTGAAGCAATTCCTTTCCCCCATTGTTAGGGGACAGAGCCAGATGTTCTTTGCAGAGTCCTCACCAGCTCCTTAAAGGCTTAACAGACGTTTTGGGTAGCCATGCTCCTTCCCTGGACTCTCTTCTCTGTGAGTCCCCGAGTGCTGACTTATCTACAGTTCTAGCCAGAGTTGTTTAAGGACCACAGGAGTTGTACCCTGTGTGCCCAGAGCGGTGGCTAGGCAGTTTAGGGAGGAGTGGTGTGAGAGGCTTCAAAACACAGACCAGATTACCACCACATTCCGCTGATGATCTCTTTTTCTCTAGCGTGGGTATTGGTCTGTGCTTTTTCATAAGGAATTGCAAGAACCCCAAGGAGCAGGTGCTGGGTAAGACAAAAAGATGTCGCACTGCCATACCTCCCCTGGTAGCATCAGCCTTCCTGGCCTGGTTTCACTAACTAGTCCAGCAGGGGCTGTTTGGGGGAAGTGAAGGCTTTAAGTTATGAGTTTAGAGGAATATGGCTATTTCTAGGCTGGGTGCCAGGGAGAATATTTTCTTTCTAGCTTTCTCAGCAAAGATGCCATGATGAGAAGCTAAATCATGTCTAAGTTAATGGGCATATGATATCAAGGGAAGATTTGGTTTAAGCTTCCAGAATGAGCTCAATGGGAAAATTGGAGCAATGTTCAAAGAAGGATTGAGAAGCTGTGCTTTTATCATACTTCCTTAGCTATACGAGGACTTATATCTAAGCTTTAAACAATAAATGTTTATTTATTACTGTGTTGAAGACAACATTCTGGAACTATAAGGTGGACTAGATGGCTCCTCAGAACAGCTTTCTAATTTATATTCAAGGAATCCAGGTCCAAGGCTGATGAGAAGTACCAAATGTCCACATCAGTAAACTTTGATAATTTCTCCTACCTACAGAGCAAACTAGTAAGGCTTAAAAATGTGTGTGAAATCACCAAAAATTCCATTAAAGGCACATAATATGTTGGTGGTATCAATATGATACACGTACGTGCCTCTTTGTGGCAGGCACTGTATTAGGTTCCAGAGATCCTAAGATGAATGGGACACAGGCCTGACTCTTAACAGAGCTCAACACCTGAGATAAGTGTCCAGCACTTAAGCGTGGCCTTTGACATACATACCTTAGATGGTAAAAGATGTTATGATAAAGAGCCTGGGGGTGAGAGTTCATAGGTGACATGAAGTTTGAACAGGAATAGAAATTGCCCAGCAGATGTTCCAGATGGGGGTTACTCAGGACCTCTCAGGCTGAGAGAATAGTATAGGCAAAGTGGTGAAACAGCATGATAAATTTTGAGAATACTGACTAGTTTAGTGTTACCATTTTCATCAGTACACATTTCCTCCCCAGAATCAAGGAAAGAAGGACAGAGGACACGGAGTGGTAGAATGAAATTCTTTAAGTTGCTCCCTGGAGGTGCTTGCTACTCACTTTCTTCAGTGGCCCTGGGCCTTTTGAAAGACTGATGAATAGGTACCAAGAATGCACGGCTCCCCTCCTGTGCCTCAGCCCCGTGCCAATTGTGGGGAAAGGGAGCAGCGAGTGTCTGGGGAAAGAGTGGTCCCAGAAGGTTTGATAAGAGGCTAGAAGCTTAAGCAAAAGCAGGCAGGGAAGGGAAATGACCAGTGTTACCGAAAGGTATGAACAGGGGAGATATTGAAGGTGTTTGACCAGAGCAGAAGGTACATTGGAGAGAAAAGGAAGGACTAATTTTATGGAGAATCTTGAGTGCCAGGCAGAGAGATTTAGTTATAAGCACCTGAGACCTTCTCTTGACGCAAACACCAATTTGATCCCTCCCACTTCAGATGTCTTTGCCTGCTGGGAAGTCTGGTTTTTTAGAGGCAACTGCAGATTTTCAGGGGGTGGTTTGTGAATGGTGTCTTCTTCCTGGCTTTGGGCATGATGACGGTTGTAGCTTTGCTAAATATAGCCAAATCTAGAATTCAGAAATGAAGTCCAGAATAAGCAATTGCCATGGTCAAACTCTTTCTTTCAGTCTTTCTAACAAAGTAAAGCTCATTTAATAACAAATAATGATGAAGAGAGAGCAGCAGTTTCACGTGACTTTTGAGTGGGAGGGTATGAGGGGAGACATACACTTGTACCCTGGTAGCTAAAACGCCATGTAGAGTACACAAGAAAGGTTTGATAAATATTAACAAAACACACAAAAAATATTACTGCATCAGAGCCGTCATTTTAACTTGCAATATTTGAATGTTGACGCTTCGGAAAGGGGACTAGTACCACCTTCATCTTGCACCCTTTCAAGGATGCATGCCTTCTGAGCCTACTTATGAGGTAACTGTGACATCCGCATCTGAAAGAGAAAAAAATGATAATAATAGAAACGTATTGTCTATTAAAGTAGCATCTAGCACTGTGAGCTAGCAGAGACTTGCCTCCGGTCTATTTTATGGAGCCATATTTTGGTGTGGTGGAAAGAACACTGCATTATGAATTGGGAGATCAAGGTTTGTCAGTTCATTCACTCCCTTATTCAGTAAATGTTACTGAGCATTCATTATGTGCCAGGCATCATGCGGAGATAAATGAGACATGGCTGTGCCTTGAGGACCTCACAGTCATAGGATTTCAGATATGTGAGCAAATAGCTGCAGATGCTGCGCTGGAGTCATGTAAAAGAGCTGGGGAACAGACCCAAGGCAACAATTTTGTGGGTTGGGGAGTAGTCAGGGAAAGCTAAAGAAAGGTGACATTTGAGGTGTGTCTTCAAAAATGAGAACTTATTGCTAGATGGACAAGGTAGAAGAACATTCTAGGCAGAGAGAATAACATGGCCAAAGACACAAAAGCAGAAAAATAACTGCTTACTGGGGAGCTGTATGTTTTGAGATAGCGATAATCTACTAGTGGCCCAGGGCTGTGCTGTTCAATAAAGTAGCCCACTAGCCACATATGGCTATTTAAATTATCTAAAATAGGCCGGGTGCAGTGGCTCATGCCTGTAATCCCAACACTTTGGGAGGCTGAGGCAGATGGATCACCTGAGGTCAGGAGTTTGAGACCAGCCTGGCCAACATGGTGAAACCTCGTCTCTAGTAAACACACAAAAATTAGCCGGGCGTGGTGGCGGCTACCTGTAATTCCAGCTACTTGGGAGGCTAAGGCAGCAGAATCGCTTGAATCCGGGAGGCAGAGGTTGCAGTGAGCCAAGATCCTGCCACTGTACTCCAGCCTGGGTGACAGAGTGAGTCTCCGTCTCAAAAAAAAAAAAGAAAAAGAAAAAATAAATTATCTAAAATAGCAGTTCATCAGATGCACTAGCCACATTTTGATTGCTTAATAGTCACATGTGGCTAGTGCTTACAGTTTTGGACAGCACAGGTGAGATGTATTTCATCATCACAAGTTCTGGCAGTGTTGGTCTAGAGCAGTAGTCTCTAAACTTTTTGGATAGAATAGTGCTCTAGTTAAAAAACATGCCATATCTTCATGTATGTGTGCTTGTTTATTTGTAAGTTATATTCATGTCCTGCTATCATTAGCTAATATCTGAAGTCACATTATATACTTAGGATGAAGTTCATCATAAATGATAGTGGATGCAAATCTATATTTTAAATAATCTCAACAAGATTTTGGTTAACTTATTCAATTGTGATTGTGTCTACATTGCAGTGTGACTATGTATGAAGAGTATGCCAGGAATAGATATGACAGCTCTGCCATTCTCTTGTTCATTTTTGATTGCATTATCTTTAATCCAAGGTTTTTTTTTAGTAGAAATCTTTTTAAGCCTCTAGTTTGTTTTGTGATGATTAATTAATTTAAAATAATGTAATCAGTGAATCCATTTAACCAAGCACACATGAACTATAGTATATCTCAGTGTGCTATAAAGATGTCACCCCATCAGCCCTCAATAGTGGACATGTGACTGAACATTGACTGAATGGGAGTGCTAGTGTTGGGCCATATGTTATATATTAACAAGGACAAAATCTTATTTTTTCTAAATTTTTAAATGTAAAATACACATAACCTAAAATGTATTATCTTAATCATTTTTAAATGTACGTCTAGGTGTTAAATATATTCATAATATGCAACCATCACCACCATCCATTCCCATAACTCTTTTCATCTTGTAAAACTGAAATTGTACCTATTAAATGACAACTCTCATTCCCACCTCTCTCTAGCCTCTGGCAACCAGCGCTCCACTTACTGTCTCTATGATTTTTACTACGTTGAATACCTCATATAAGTGGAATATTACTGTATTTGGCCTTTTGTCATTGGCTTATTTCACTTAGCATAATGTCCTCAAGGTTCATTTGTTTTGTACCATGTGTCAGAATTTCCTTCCTGTTTAAGGTTCAGGAATATGCCATTGTATATATATGCCACATGTATCATTCATCAGTGGACACTGGGTTGCTTCCACCTTTTAGCTATTGTGAATAATGTTGCTACAGTTATGAACATGGATGTACAAATATCTCTTCAAGACCCTGCGTTCTTTTGGGTATATACTCAGAAATGCAATTGCTAGGTCATATGGTAATCCTATTTTTAATTTTTTAAGGAATTGCCACATTGTTTTCCATAGCGGCTGTACCCATGTTTCATTCCCATCAACAGTGCACAAAGGTTCCAGTTATTCCTCATTCTCACCGACACTTGTTTTCTGTTTTGTGACAGTGGCTATCCTAATGGATGTGAGGTGGTATCTTCTTATACTTTTGATTTGTATTTCCCTAGTAATTTGTGATGTCACGCATCTTGTTATGTGTTTATTAGCTATTTGTATATCTTCTTTGGAAAATGTCTATTTAAGTCCTTTGCCCATTTTTGAATTGGGTTGTTATTTTAGGAGTTCTCTGTATATTCTGGGTATCAATTCCTTATCAGATACATGATTTGCAGATATTTTCTCACATTCTGTGGGTTGCCTTTTTACTTGGAAAATCTTACTTTTTAAAATGAAAATAAATAAAAATAGAGGATCTTTTATTTTCTTTGTCTACCCCAGTGCATTGTCATCTTGTACACTACTGTTTTGAGACCATTGTAGTCTAGAGCAGTGGTTCTGTACCATTTTTTGTTCCTCAAAAAAAGACCAAAAATATTGCAATACTTACTTTAACTTTACTAAGAGAAAACTAGAACATAGGTAAAGATGGTGAACTAGATGCAGCAAGGTTCCATGAAGGTGAGGTTACAGAGAAAAGACTCAGTTAAGAATAGTCTGTCTTCATGAAATCTTTCATAACCATTGCAGTCCTCTCTGATCTCCTTCCTTCAAACCCATAGCTTAGAGACTACACCACAGACCCCATCACTGCAAGAGATATGTAATTGCCTTTTGGGGTTCAGTTGTTTCTTGTGTGTTGGTCATATCATGCCAACTAGCAGGACAGGAGCCGAGTCTTCCATTACTTCTCTGTTTGCCATAGCATCTCAGACAGAGAACATATGAGATGCTTAGTAAAACCTTGCTGCCTCTTTCACTGGCAGGACAAGCTGCTCTTATGCGAAATAGCCTTATATCTACATACTCTCATTTTGTGATTGCGTCATCCCTGCAGAGGTAGAAAGCATGGTTATTACTCCAGCTGTACAGATGAGGAAGCAGTGGCTGACATTGGTTGAATGACTTCTTCAAAGTCATATTGGCAAGAAGTAGCAGTGAATGAACTTGAACCCGAGGCTCCTAGCTACAAGTATAGGATTCTTCCTTAAAATTCTTCCTTGTACAAAGGATCATCAGTATCTTTTCTCATAACATTCTTTTTATATATATATTTTTCAGACAGAGTCTTGCTGTCGCCCAGGCTAGAGTGCAGTGGCACAATCTTGGCTCACTGCAACCTCTGCCTCTCAGATTTAAGCAATTCTCCTGCCTCAGCCTCTCGAGTAGCTGGAACTATAGGCATGTGCCACCACACCCAGCTAATTTTTGTATTTTTAGTAGAGGTAGGGTTTCACCATGTTAGCCAGGCTGGTCTTGAACTCCTGACCTCAAGTGATCCACCTGCCTCAGCCTCCCAAAGTGGTGGGATTACAGGCGTGAGCCACTGTGCCCGGCCCTCTCATAACATTGTTGACCTTTAATAACCAACCCTTCCCAGCTGAATCTCCCTGTGAGCTTTTCAAGTCAGATAATGCTTCCATAGCATTTGAAGGTTGCTTACTGGCTTAGTTCCTCTGGGCTGCTGTAACAAAATATCAGAAACTAGGTAGCCTATAAACAATAGAAATTTATTTCCCACAGCTCTGGAGGCTATGAAGTCCAAGATCAGAGTACCAGGATGGTCAGGTTCTAGTCAGGGCCCTCTTCTGGGCTACAGACTACTGAGTTTTTTTTTTTTTTTTTTGAGACAGCGTCTCATTCTGTCGCCAGGCTGGAGTACAGTGGTGCGATCTTGGCTCACTGCAACCTCTGCCTCCCGGGTTCAAGAGATTCTCCTGCCTCAGTCTCCCAAGTAGCTGGTACTGCAGGCGCGTACCACCATGCCCAGCTAATTTTTGTGTTTTTAGTAGAGATGGGGTTTCACCATGTTGACCAGGATGGTCTCGATCTCCTGACCTCATGATCCACCCACCTTGGCCTCCCAAAGTGCTGGGATTACAGGCGTGAGCCACCGTGCCTGGCACTGCTGACTTCTTGATGTCAGCAGTGGAAGGGACTGCTGCTTTCTGGGACCTCTTTTTGCCTGTTTTCTTTCTCTTTTTTCTTGGGGCCTTTTTTTTTTTTTGAAACAGAGTCTCACTCTGTTGCCCAGGCTGGAGTGCAGTGGCGCGATCTCGGCTCACTGCAAGCTCCACCTCCCGGGTTCATGCCATTCTCCTGCCTGTCGGCTGAGTAGCTGGGACTACAGGTGCCTGCCACCATGCCTGGCTAATTTTTTTTAATTTTTTTATTTTTATTTATTTTTTTTATTGAGACGGAGTCTTGCTCTGTCACCCAGGCTGTAGTGCAGTGGCCTGATCTTGGCTCACTGCGAGCTCTGCCTCCCGGGTTCACACCATTCTCCTGCCTCAGCCTCCCGAGTAGCTGGGACTACAGGTGCCCACCACCATGCCCGGCTAATTTTTTGCATTTTTAGTAGAGACGGGGTTTCACCGTGATAGCCAGGACGGTCTCGATCTCCCGACCTCGTGATCCACTCGCCTCGGCCTCCCAAAGTGCTGGGATTACAGGCGTAAGCCACCGTGCCCGGCTTTTTTTTTTGTATTTTTAGTAGAGACGGGGTTTCACCATGTTAGCCAGGATGGTCTCGATCTCCTGACCTCGTGATCTGCCTGCCTTGGTCTCCCAAAGTGTTGGGATTACAGGCGTGAGCCATCGCGCCTGGCGCTAGTTCATTGATTCTAAGAAAACAAATTTGAAAATTAGGTGATTTGCCTAAAGTCACACCGCCAATTAGGCCCTTCTGAGCAACTCCCAACTACTGTCTCTTCCCACATTGGTCAACAGTCATTTGTGCTACCTTGGCACTACTAACATTTTGGTCTGGGTAACTCTTTGTTGTGGAGGGCTGTCTTGTGCACTATGGGATCTTTAGCAGTATCCATGGCCTCTACCCACTAGTTGCCAGAATTATATAATACATACACAGCCTACTGTGGCAATGAAAAATGTCTCAACATTGCTAAATGTCACCTGTGGGGCAAAATTGCCTGTTTTAGAGAACATGTCTAGTTCAGCATGTTTGTATATGTTCTGGTCTTCTGTTGGTAAAGTTGAAGTAAGTATTGCAATATTTTTGGTCTTTTTTGAGGAAGAAAATGGTCTACATAAATAATTCAGATGTTCTGTGTTTATACCCAAAGCAAAAAAGCCTTTTATTTGCTGTGAATTTAATCACTCAGGAATGATAAACTATTAGCTTGTAAGGTGATACTGGCTGTAGCATTTTATACCTCCTTTCTCCCTTTTTTGTTTTTATTATTATTGATCTATTATTTTTATTATTTAGCCTATTATGTATACTTTATTTATTTTTGAGACAGGGTCTCACTTTGTCACCCAGTGGGGTGATCTCAGCTCCCTGCAACCTCCGCCTCCCGGGCTCAAGCGATCCTTCCACCTCAGCCTCCTGAATATCTGGGACCACAGGTGCGCACCACCACACCTGGCTAATCTTTGTATTTTTTGTAGAGGTGGAGTTTTGCCATGTTGCCCAGGCTGGTCTTGAACCCCTGGGCCCAAGCAATCCACCTGCCTCAGCCTCCCAAAGTGCTGGAATTACAGGTGTGAGCCACTGCACCCTTAAAACAATCCCACTTCTGTTGAGTCACAAGTAATTGTTAGGAAAGAGGATTCCTTTTGGAGGAGACTTCCACCTTGGCAGAGGACAAGTTCCTGAAATTTGAAGTTTCATTTGAGGTCTGCTGTGGGTGAATCAGTTTGAGCTGGTCAGTTTTCTCCTTGGGCTCTGTGTTAACCTTGGCAGACAAGGAATGGCAGTGCCAACTGAAGCTTTGTTATTTTTGTCAAAAAACAGAGATTATTGGACCAAAGAGCTCATGGTATCTATTATTATTATAGAAGGCTAAGCATAGCATTGATGCTAGATTATCTTTTGTCGTTATAATGAGCTTAAATAATGATGCCTGTCATCTAGGACTTGAATCCTGTAGAAAGCAACATAATGCCACATAATTTGTTTGCTGCATGTTTTCAAGGACACTTACAGCTATTGTACTGGGACCTTTAGGGTAAGAGAAAGATTATTGTCCTTTTGGTACTGAGCATGAATTTGAGAACAAAATGATGACTTTATTACCTATGGGGACAGGAAGAAGGAATGGAACTAAGGCATCGTAGGTTGGGTCCTTCCTGGAGGACTGGGGCCTGAGCAGCATTTACTGAGATGGCAGGTCTCCTGCTAGTACCTTGGTTCATTTTCTCTGGTCAGTGAATCTGATTGATTCAGGAAGTGCTGATTATTTTACAGGTTTGTTAGACTTGTTTAATCTCCCCTGGGATAGCCCACCCCTGTTCCACAGGCCTTTGTTCTCTGCTGTTTTTAGAAGCCTTGGAATCTTGGTATTGGAGGGGAAGGGGGCAGCACTGGAAGAAATAATTTCATTGGGCTTTTTGGCTGTAGAGAAAAATCTTGGCTTGACCAGGTGTAACTCAGTAATGATTATGGAAAACCTGATATCCAATACTGTCTTTCCTCCCCTTCCCCCCTGGAATAAAGGGAGTGCTATGATGTTCTCCTTAGGAGAAGACTTTCAAGGTTAGTACTGTGTGTGATGGTTTAAAAGCATGAGAATTGAAGGTAAATAGCCCTTGGCTGGAATCCTGGACATGTCCCTGTGATGTTAGGAAAAGTTAACTAAGATCTAGTCTTCTCATCTATAAAATGTAGATTTGTAAAATGCAAAAGCATGGGTTGTTGTAAGAATTAAATGATGTATGCAAAGCACTTCACACAGTGACTGGTGTATGTTAGTTAGCAGTTTGTAAATGGTAACTCTTAGTATTGAGGTGCATGAATTTTGTTTTTATCAGGCCATATTTGTATCACTATGTATATAACCTGGTGGAGTTAGAGTTTTGGAAATACACACAGGAGGTCTCTCTCTCTCCCTCCCCCTCCCTCTCCCTCCCCCTCCCCCCCCACCCCCCGCCCCACTCAGAGTATTCACAAACCCCCAGATGAGGAATAGGGAGAAGAGAAAGAGAAATATTGTAGTTTGATTTTTGTTTTTTAAACTCTCACCTCTTGAAAGCTACCTGTGTGTCAGGGAGTTTTTCTTAACCTATCAAGTTTTTATAAGTATGATGGGCCTCTCTACCTGCCAGGAATGCCTGGCACCTGCTGCCTATCCAATTTAAATGCTTGTGTGCTAATGCCGCAGGTCTGCTGCTTCCACCAGGCCTGCGCCCTCCTCACCATCTTTGTACCGTGGATTTAGTTCTTTCCAGTTCTTTACTCATGGTGTTCCCCGCAGCTGGGATATTTCCTCCTTCCCCACCCGCCTACCTTAGTCCTACCTAAGATTTATTTTACCTAGCCTAGGTATTCACCACAGCTGCCTCTGGATGCCTGTCTTTTTTTGCTGGCTATCTTAACTTTTTTGGGCCCATAACCTCAAAGTTTTATTTTACTGTTTATTTTGTTTGTATCTACTTTCTAGTGTTAGATAATTAGTTATTGCCTTAGGCTTATTTTGTATCCAATTGAGTACTCGTAAATTTGAACATGGCAACAGTGGGTACTGGAGAATGAATTAACTGGATGAATATTACAGTAAATCAGTACTAATTAAAACTTGCTGGGCAGGCAGGAGAGACTAGACGGATTTGAGATATACAAACCTCCCTTATTTATCCCTATTCCAATCGTATAATAGATCTGTGTTTGAGGACTTCACCTCGCTTATTACAATAAGAACTATTGAATCTTATAGAGTTTCAGTAAAGTTGAGAAATAACAAAATCCAAAGCAAAGTAGAACATCTTTCAGAAAGCCATGTGAATCTCTATTGATTGGATTAAATTATTGGCGTCTGGTACCATTGATCTCAAAAGTAGAGATATAGGGTGTATCTTAGCTATATAAAGGAACTCTAAACCATTTAAATGCTATACTGTAAAGATGGAGACAATTAGCTCATGTGTCAAAAACTCAGATATTACTGAAATTCATCTTTAAGCAAAGCATACATTCATTTTCTAGTTGATGATTGGCATTGGCCTGCAGTAAATTAGGACAGTGATTTTTAACTTGTATTTGGGGTAGTGAGCATGCAGACAGGTCACAAATAGGAAGGGAATATATAATTTGAAAATGCATAGATTGGCTCCAGGTCCAGCCAGAAAAGGAGAGAACCTCAAAGAAGATGGGGATTGGCTGTATACCCTCTAAAGAGGCACATTATAGACTTAAGAGGTCGGAGTGTGGAGAAGACGTGAGATTTTCATATTTATCAAAGAAGATATGGTTTTTAAAAGACTGATAAATATGGCATTAAGCAGCTGAGTTATAAAATGAGTCTAGAGAGGTGGTACCTGTAGTTGAGTACTGTATGTACCTCTGGGAACAAACATATTTCTTCCTGTTCTTGCTAGTTTCAGAGAGGAGGAGTGAAAAGAGCAATCAACAGCAAATTCTGCGTGGTGGTTTGCTGTGAGCTCCACAGCATTTTTGAAAGGTCAGCTCTAGGTGGCTCGCTCACCAATGATGAGAATTTCCTTGAAAAAAGTTAATTTTAGATCATAGAGACTTCCTCAGAAGATGAAGTATTCCTTTCTCTTTTAAAATCATAGTGTTAGAATCAGTATAACATCAAATGGGTTATTTAAGTGGCTGTCTACTCACCCAGCAATTATGTGGTGATTTTTAAGGTGGTATGACAGAGTGTTGTTCAAGTCTACCATCAAATCCTGCTTCTAGGGTTAGCTCACAGAACACAAATGAACAACTGTATGAGATAGGGAAGTAGGTTATCTGGTCTCTTCAGTGATCTTGGATATATCACTTCCCCTCTCTGAGCTTGTCTTATGTGAATAAGGAGATCACCGGGTGATCTTGAAGGTCTCTTCTAGTGCAAACATGGTTTTTAAGTTCTGTGGTTTTTGTTGACACTATTTGGGAGGGAGAATGAGATTGGGTTGATGAGACGGAAATGTTAGACCTATGTAGCTGGGATAAGAAAACATTAAAAAAAAAAAGAAAAGAAACAGGGTTTTGCTATGTTGCCCAGGCTGGTCTCAAACTTCTGGTTTTAAGCAGTCCTCCCACCTCGGCCTCCCAAAGTGCCAGGATTACAGGCGTGAGCCACCACGCCCAGCCAAGACAATAGTTTTGAGGTGGATTGTTAACCTTGGCCTACGTATGGTCCTCACAGGGAGGTATCATTCTTACTGGAGGTGAAAGATTCCATTCCTTTTTTTCTGCTTTCCTTCTTTCTATATCTTTACCTTAAACTTAGAAAAATCAGTGTTAATAATTAGATGTTGCAGATGACAGAAAGCTAGATTGGATCTTGGGCTACTGGCTTAAGTGACTGGGTAGATAATGGTGTCAATAA
The DNA here is from genome assembly GCF_000001405.40 of Homo sapiens. NCBI lineage: Eukaryota > Metazoa > Chordata > Mammalia > Primates > Hominidae > Homo > Homo sapiens. Next base: position 69,627,925 of record NC_000002.12, on the reverse strand, counting down.
AAAGAAGAAAGAATAGTGTTTGAGGAAAAGAGACGGGCTTCAGTTAGGGACTTTTTAATGAGCCATCAGTGGAAATCCAAGTATGGATGTAGTTCAGGATGCTGTTGCATAGGACTGGCCTGCATTGTAGAGAAAAGTTGGAGTGGGAGTTGTCATAAAACCACAAGATAGGAATGAAAACTGAAATGGAGTGAGATCTCATAAGGAGACTGTGTGGAGGAAGAGGAGTCCACCTGGAATAAAATCCAAACTCCTCACACTGACCTGCAAACCCCTACAATAGCTTGTGTCTCTCTTCCCCTCAACCACTTGCTTTTTAGTCACAGTGATTCTTGTTCATCTTTTTTGAGCATAGAACATAGTTTCTTCTTTAGTGTCTAAGGCTTGGCTGGTGCCTTTTCCTGGAATGTTCTTCCTTCTTGTCTTCCCTTGGTTGGCTTTTTGTCATTCAGAGCTCACTTAAATCCCACTTCATAGAGGCTGTCCTTTACCGCCCAGTGTAAGGAACCAATCCTGTTTTATTTCACCGTGTAGCATGTATCAGCAGATTTTCTTGCTTATTATTTATTTATCACTCCCACTCCCCCCACTAGAATTTCAGCTCCATGAGAATCTTTTTTTTTTTTTTTCTCTTTTTGAGACAGAGTCTCACTCTGTCACCCAGGCTGGAGTGTAATGGTGCAGTCTCGGCTCACTGCAACCTCCGTCTCCTGGGTTCAAGCGATTCTCCTGCCTCAGCCTTCCTAGTAGCTGGGACTACAGGCGCCCGCCACCACGCCTAGCTAATTTTTGTATTTTTAGTAGAGACGGGGGTTTCACCATATTGGCCAGGCTGGTCTCGAACTCCTGACCTCAGGAGATCCACCCGCCTCGGCCTCCCAAAGTGCTGGGATTATAATTGTGAGCCACCATGCCTGGCCTCCATGAGAATCTTGTCTGACTTGTTCATGGCTGGATCCCCAGTGTCTAGAATAGTGAGTGCCTGGCACATCTGCAGAGCTCAGTAGAAACCAGTTGAATGAAAGAGTAGGCACATGAAGGAGGCAGAAAGAATGATTGACGGTAGAATCAGGAGGATGTGAAGTGACGAAAATAAATCCTAAGTAAAATTAAAAGAAGAAGGGGCCGAGTGCCCTGGTGGCCCATGCCTATAATCCCAGCACTTTGAGAGGCCAAGGCAGGGGGATTGCTTGAGCCCAGGAGTTCAAGACCAGTCTGGGCAACATGGCAAAACCCTGTCTCTACAAAAAAAAAAAAAAAAAGCCAGGCATGGTGGAATGCACCTATAGTCCCACCTACTTAGGAGGCTGAGGTGGGAAGATCGCTTGAGCCTGGGAGGTTGAAGCTACAGTGAGCTGTGATCGCGCCACCTCACTCCAGGCTGGGAGACAGAGTGAGACCCTGTCTCAAAAAAAAATAATAATAATAATAATTAATTAATTTAATTTTAAAATGGAAGGAATGGACACTTCAGAGTGTTAACTCATTACAGACGTCAAGATAAGTGTTAATTGGATTTGGAAATATGGAGGTAATTTGTGAGCTTCGTTAGCAGTTTCTGTGGAGCAGTGACTGAAGTCCAGGTGGCAGTGAAATGATGACTGACTGGGAAGGGAGGTGGATGCTGAATCAGGGCAGAATTTATTATTATTTCTTAATAATAATTGTATTATTTTTAATAATAATATAATTTTTGTAATGATGGACAAGTCTTGAGTATATTAGGCAGAGAAGAAGCAATCAAAGAGAGGAAGAGGTTGAAAATACAGTACTGGGGTATCATTGATGGAGTAACCCAAAGAAGGGATGGGAGGTCATGGGTGAGGTCGTGAACTCAAGTAACAGAGATAACCTTGGACAGGAGAAAGGGTACTTCATTCACTGACCTGGAAGGAAGGAGAGAAGGAATAGATACAGAGGAAGAGAAATTGGGTGAGGTTTGGTAAGTTGAGGGAGTTCTTGCTTCTGTTTTCTATTGAATGCTGTGAATGGAGTTGAATTGGATTTAAGAAGAGTAGGGAAAGGATATGGAGGAGTTCCTTAGATGTGTGGAGAGAAGAAATGACAAAGGATAGGTAGAAGAATGGCCTGGTCTTATGAAGAGCCCATTTGAGACAACTCATTGTTGGAAAAGAGATGTTCCTGGCCCATGAAAGTGTATCAATTTTTAAAGTTTTACTATTTTGAAATATTTTATACATATATTTCCTGTCTTCCAGTTTTGAAATATGTTATACATATATTTCCTGTCTTCTGGAGTGTATACCACAGAGGCAGCGTGACATAAGTGGAAAGTACTCCTGAACTGAACCTGTTTAGTGACCTCACCACATACTGTACTCTGACACATTGCTTCCCAGTTCCGTCCACCAGGCTCCCTATGTGTAAAATGAGGACTAGATGGTAAATTTACTTTCCAACTCTAACATCTTATGGTTCGTTAATTTTTATATATGCATTTTATTAGAGTGTTACTGTTTTGTTATAGATCTGTTAGGGTGTTTGCTTGATACGGATGAGACAGACAGCTTGCTCTTCAATGAAATGGCCCTGGATTGCTGTCTTTTTTGAATTTCATGTTTGTGCTTTATGGTGGTTTCCGCTTCCTTATGAGACTGTTAGCTGTCCTTCTTGCTGCTATCCATGTGCCTTCCTGAATTAACACTACTCCTCTAATTTGCTGCTTTTAATCTGCTGTGGACTGGACACTGGATGACTAAGCTTGTTAGAACTGTGTGTGACAATAAAGAGGCTCTTAGTGAGAGTTCGAAGGTCTTGTCTGAGATCAAGATACGTGGGTTTTATATCTCTTGTTGGCACAGAAACCATTTTTTTATGTCTCACATTCTATAAAGGTTGAGTTTGGAAGAGATAACGGCTTACCATTTGACACTTACTGTTAATGAAATGTGTTTATAACCATTTTTCTGAAGAGTTGAGTAGCAATGCTCAGGGACTTAACTTATTTCTGTTTTCTTTTTTGCTTGCAATCCCTTCCCTTACTCTTCCAACCCTCCCTTCTCAGTCTCTGCCCCACACATTCAATGTAAGGCATTGTTCTAGGCACTGTTATAATATTGTTTCGGTTATTCCATTTCTATTTATGGAAGCCACAGAGAGGGTTCCAGGATTGTAACTCACTGTTCAGTGCTGGATGTGCTTATATCTCAGTAGGGCTCTGCTGGAGACTCTCAGATGAGGTTTAGTGTTGGGGACTAGGAAACTTGAAGCAATGAAATGAATACTGGTTCCATATACTGTATAATCTTTGGTTGATATGGAAGAAAGCAATCAAGAAGTCTTAAAATTATTTTGGACATGCAAATTAATCTATTATGATAGTGGAATGATTAGAAGATAAAGCCAGACAAAAATAGAAAGTGTTACCCATAGTCCCATAGATTGTCATTGTTAATATTTTGATATTATATTCTTCTTCAAGACTTTGCAAAAATAAGAATATATTCCACATCATCCCCTGTAATCTGCTTTCTCACTTAGCAATAGATTGCAGCTCTCTTTCTGTGTTAAAGGTCTGCATCATCAATTTTAGTCCATTGTTTGGAGATGTTGCAATTTACTTAACCAATTTCCTATTTTTAGACATTTATGTTATTTTATAGATATTACAAAACAGCTGCAACGAATTTTTTTTAAGCCTTTGAGTACTTGTTCTATTACTTCTTTAGAATTAATTTCTGGACACAAAATGGCTGGATCAAAAGATATGCTTATTTTACCTTTTGATGCAAATTACAAGCTGGCCTCCATAAAAATTAAACCTGTATATACTTCCATCTTGTGTATGTGGTTGGACGTGTTCCCTCCCTCTCTCCCTTTCTCCTCTAGCTCCCTCCCTTCCTTCTCTTTTCTTTTTCTCCCTGCCTTCTTCCTTCCCTCCCTCTCTGTTTTTTATATTTATTTTATGGTGAATTTTTGTTTATGTTCCTTTACTTATATTCCGGTTAGGGCACTTGTTTCTTAATGACTTAATAGGAGTTCTTTACATATTTAAGACATTAATCCTTTGTTATATACATTGCGGGTTTTTTTTCTATTTTGTCATTTACCTTAATAGTGGGCTTTTTGCAGATATTTTAAATTTTTGTGCTATCAAGTATGTTAGTCTTTTCCTTTATGATTTTTGTTGGCAGCCATCCTTGGAAAGGCCTGAGAAGAAAGGCAGGTCCTTGATCACAGAGAGTCTGAAGTTTATCTTTGAGTAGTATCAGAGCCATTCAGAGTTGTGGGGTTTAAAAAATACATTTTTTTCTTGTAGAGACAGGGTTTTGCTATATTGCCCATGCTGGTCTCAAACTCCTGACCTCAAGCGGTCCTCCCACCTGGGCCTCCCAAAGTGCTTACAGTCATGAGCCACAGCACCCAGCCCTCCATTCAGAGTTTTTCAGAGGGGCTGGCATGATCAGAAAAGCACTTGAGTTAGATTTCTGGAGGGTGACCAGAGGGAGCTGAGTCTGGAGGAAGGGCATCTACGAGGCTGTTGACATGATCCAGGTTCAAGACTGCCAGGTCTGAGTGGCAGAGTGGTGACAGGAACAGAGAGAAGTGCAGACTAGGAATATTTTGGCAGTCGTAATGTGTCCAGAATTGGTGGGTTCTTGGTCTTACTGACTTCAAGAATGAAGCCGCGGACCCTCGCAGTGAGTGTCACAGTTCTTAAAGGCGGTGTGTTTGGAGTTTGTTCCTTCTGATGTTCGGATGTGTTCAGAGTTTCTTCCTTCTGGTGGGTTCGTGGTCTCGCTAGCTCAGGAGTGAAGCTGCAGACCTTTGCGGTGAGTGTTACAGCTCATAAAGGCAGTGTGGACCCAAAGAGTGAGCAGCAGCAAGATTTATTGCAAAGAGCGAAAGAACAAAGCTTCCACGGTGTGGAAGGGGACCTGAGTGGGTTGCCACTGATGTCTCTGGCAGCCTGCTTTTATTCTTATTTGGCCCCACCCACATTCTGCTGATTGGTCCATTTTACAGAGAGCCGATTGGTCTGTTTTACAGAGAGCTGATTGGTCCATTTTGACAGGGTGCTGATTGGTGCGTTTATAATCCCTGAGCTAGACACAAAAGTTCTCCACGTCCCCACTAGATTAGCTAGATGCGGAGTGTCGATTGGTGTATTTACAAACCCTGAGCTAGACACAGGGTGCTGATTGGTGTGTTTACAAACCTTGAGCTAGATACAGAGTGCCAATTGGTGTATTTACAATCCCTCAGCTAGACATAAAGGTTCTCCAAGTCCCCACCAGATTAACTAGATACAGAGTGCCATTGATGCATTCACAAACCCTGAGCTAGACACAAGGTGCTGATTGGTGTGTTTATAAGCCTTGAGCTAGATACAGAGTGTCGATTGGTGTACTTACAGTCCCTCAGCTAGACATAAAGGTTCTCCAAGTCTCCACTAGACTCGGGAGCCCAGCTGGCTTCACCCAGTGGATCTTGCACCAGGGCCGCAGGTGGAGCTGCTTGCCGGTCCCGTGCCGTGCACCTGCACTCCTCAGCCCTTGGGCAGTTGATGGGACCGGGCGCTGTGGAGCAGGGGGTGGCGCTCGTCGGGGAGGCTCCGGCTGCGCAGGAGCCCACCGCCGGGCGGGGGAGGGGGGAAGGCTCAGGCATGGCGGGCTGCAGGTCCCAAGCCCTGCCCCGCGGGGAGGCAGCTAAGGCCCGGCCAGAAATCGAGGGCAGCAGCTGCTGGCTCAGGTGGTAAGCCCCTCACTGCCTGGGGCCCGCTGTCTGCTCTGAGTGCGGGGCCCACCAAGCCCACGCCCACCTGGAACTGGCGCTGGCCCACAGGCGCCCTGCGCAGCCCCGGTTCCCGCCCGCACCTCTCCCTCCACACCTCCCTGCAAGCTGAGGGAGCCAGCTCTGGCCTTGGCCAGCCCAGAAAGGGGCTCCCACAGTGCAGCGGCGGGCTGAAGGGCTCCTCAAGCACGGCCAGAGTGGGCGCCAAGGCCGAGGAGGCGTCGAAAGCGAGTGAGGGCTAGGAGGGCTGCCAGCACGCTGTCACCTCTCAGTAACATCAGGCCTTGGTGCCCGGTTGGATTCGGAGTTGGAGGGGAGGTGTGGAATCAAGAGTGATTCCAGGCTTTCAGTTTGAGTGCCTAACTAAGGGTGAGATGGAAGTGGCACCCACTGAGCAGTGTTACACAGCAGAGAGGGAAGGTTGAAAGAGGGAAGATACAGGTTTAATGAGAGGAGGCAGCGTGTTCGTAGTTGGCCATGATCAGTTTGCAGTGTGCTTGGGTTGTGTTTTAGTCATCTATTGCTGTATAACAAACCACCCCAAAACCTTGTGGCCTAAACCAACAACAGCTTATAATTGCTCATGATTCTGTGGGTTGACTGAGGGTTCAGCTGGACTTCTACTAGGGCTTCTGTTCATCTCATTTGAGGTCTGTCAAAATTACAAATTGCCTTTACTCCTTTTTTTTTTTGGTGGAGTTTTGCTCTGTCGCCCAGGCTGGAGTGGTGCAGTGGCACAATCTCAGCTCACTGCAACCTCTGTCGCCTTTTTTCAAGCGATTCTTCTGCCTCGGCCTCCCGAGTAGCTGGGACTACAGGTGCACACCACCAAGCCCGGCTAATCTTTTTTGTATTTTTGTTAGAGACAGAGTTTCACCATGTTGGCGAAGCTGGTCTCGAACTCCCGACCTCAGGTGATGCCTTAGTTTCCCAAAGTGCTGGGATTACAGGCGCAAGCCACCACGCGCAACCAAAATTGCCTTTACTCCTACCACTCGACTCTACTATATACTTGAATTCAGAACATCCCAGCATGGACCAGTATATCACCTAACACCGTGCTTCCTCCTTAAAAGAAATACACATGTCAGTGAAAGACAGGAAGTACTATGAGTGTATATACAAGGCTCTGGTGTTCTTTACACCCTGGTGGACGCACCACAGTGAGAGTTGGGCAAAGGGTATGCTTTTTAAAAATTTTATTTCATTAAAGTTGGCTAATGGCTTTGAGAAACTTGGGCAAATCATTTTAAGGAAAGATATCTAGGGAAGTTAAGTATCATGGCATTGATTTGTTTGAAGCTGTCCATACAGGGATACTTGTATTCAAGTTTGCAAATCACTAGTCAAGAGTCAGAAGAGTAGTGGGCTGAGGATGGAATTTAGGCTTAGCAACATTTAAGGGGTAGCTTAGTAAGGAGAGCCCTTAAAGGTGACAGAGAAGGAATGTCCAGCGAGGTGGGAGGAGAATCAGTAGAATGCAGTGTCTCGCAGACATGGGATCCAACAAAATTAAAAAGTTGGAAGTAAAGAGGGTCAAATATCCCAGAGAGGTCAAGTAGGATAAAGACTGGAAAGTGTCCTCTGGATTGGCCAGTGGAGTGGCATTGACCTCTGCAAGAGCATTCAGAAGAGTGATGGAAACGGAATTATAGATTACAGTGAGTTGGTGAGTGGGAGCACCAAGTCTAAACTATTTCTTTGAGAAATGTTCATAAGAAAAGAAAGGGAGAGATCATAGCTTGGGAGATGCTTGAGCATATCAGTAGGCTGATGGGAAGAGGCACCAGGCTAGAGAGAGGAGGTCAGGGGAGAGATTGAGGTTAAAACAGAAGAGAGGGCAGTTCCTCATGGAGCAAGGTCCCAGAGGAGACAGGAGGGAATGGAGTAGTCTTCATTTTTAAAAATTGCAATTCCATTCTTTTAGATACTCAGGCCAAAAACCTCTTGTCATTCAGTTTATCAGAAAATCCTGTTTGCTCTATATTCACAATACAGCCAAGGTCCAACCACTTCTTACTGCCTTCGTTGCTGTCTCTCTGGGCCAGCCTGTCATTGGCCTGGATGATGGCAGCTGTTTCTTCACTGGTCTCTCCACTGCTGCCTGAGCCTCCTCAGTCTACTCAGCACAGTAGCCAGAGTGAGCCTTTAAAGTGCCAATCATTTCATGTTAGTTACTCCTCTGCTCAGAAGCGTCCAGTGATTCCCCATCTCAGAGTAAAACTGTAAATCCTGCTGTGGCCTAGAAAGTGCTATGCTCTGCCCCACCGTTTCCTCTCTGCATTCTTATTTTACTCTTCTCCTCTGGTTATTGCTCTCTATCCATACTGGCTTCCTTCCTGTGGTTTCTTAAAGCAGGGCAGATTCGCACCTCCCTGCTCAGGCCTCTTGTACTTGCTGTTCCCCTTGCCTGTGGAATGTGTCCTCTAGGTAGCCCCAAAGCTTGCTCTCCCTCACCTATTTTGCTTAAATGTCACTTTCTGAGAGAGTCCTTCCCTGACCATTCCATTAAAATTTGCAACCCCTCCCTCCCGGCAGCACTCCCTCCCTCTTCCCTGCTTTGGCTCTGCTATATAACGTGCTTGTTTGTGTATTGTCTCTCCTCTTTGGAACTTAAGCTTTATGAGCTTTTCTGTTTTATTCACAGGCCTAGAACCATGGCTCTCATAGAGTAGGGACACAGTAAATATTTGTTGATTAAATGGGTGGATGGATGAATAAGATCAAGGCTGAACCTTGGGAAAGAAGAGGGAAATTTCACACTCTGAGACAGGAGGAGATGAGTGAATCTGTATGGATATAGATAAGTTTGTAGTGGGGAAGCCTTGGGGGTAGGGTGGGAATTGAAGGCAATCATAACAGATACCCTCAATTTTCTGGAGTAAGGAGGCAAGGTTGTCTGCCGAGGATAGTGGTAAGTATGGGGCTGAGGATACTCCTGAGAGTTGGGTTAGTCATCGAGGGGAATGAGAGAGGGAGCTAACCAAGGACAAGGAAAGGACCCAAGCCAGGATGGACACCATGAGGCAGTCTTGTAAGGCTGTGTGATTTGAGGTTAGGAACAGAGCAGGTGGATTTAGCATTGATTCAAGGTTGGGGAGGTGTGAGGGGAGGCTAGGAGTGCACAGAAATCAAAGGAGCAGTGTAGATGGTCAACCATGGGGCCAGAATGGGGAGACAAGCCTGTCTAAGCAGGGGGTTGATTGGTTGATTGAAAGAAAATGGAAGAGTCAGAGCATGGAGGACTGGATGGTCAGGCCAGAATGAAAGCCTAAGGGAATGGAAGTCTTGGAGGGTGTGTCAGAATGGGGGAGACTGATGTTTAAGATTTGTGTTGACAAGGTCTAGAGGGTGGCCATGGATGTGTAGGTCATTGAGAGGACCAAAGGTCAGTGTCGTGAAGAAATCTGGAGGCTGCAGTTTAGGAATAAGTGGATTTTGAGACCACCCAGAAAGATGGTAGGAGTTGCAGTGGAGGGAAGCCAAGATGCTACAGGCATCCGTGAATGTTAGAGACTGAGCCAGAGGGGGAAGTACAAAGGCAAGGCAGGGTGGAAGCCAGTGTAGCCACGTGGCATGAGCTCAAAGGAGCAGGAATTTTTACATGAGGGTGGAGGAGTGATGGTTTGGAGTCAACTCAGGAGAGCAAGGAAAGTTCTGACCTCCTGCGCTAAGCTACTGAGGCGTAGGAAAATATGGCATCAGAGGGCTAGTGATGCAAGTGATATTGGCTGGTGCAGGAGCAGGACCGAGCAAGTTGGATGATTTATCCTTTGGCTTGATTGTGGAGCTAAGTTGTTTTTATTGTTAGGTATTTATAATTTATGGCATTTATTTGGCAGCTTAACTTCCTCTTATTAAAAGGAACCCATTTTTATTTTGCATGTATTTTACTTATATATTAGTATATTGAATATTATATATTTATTTATATCTCTACTTATATTTAATTTTATGTGTACATGAATTCTTTTTTCTCCTTTGGGTCTTGGCTTTGTGACAAAAAAGACCTTGCATGGTCGCTGTAGAGGCATCTTCAGGACCTGGTTTTGAATTTGCTTTTTGTATTTTATTGCTGGGAGCTCCTGCTTACCTTTCACTTTTATGCCCTCCTGGTCAGGTTGGTTGCCTCATGGTTCTTTTTTATCACTAGACTAATGATTAATTCTTAGTGAAGCCCTTCACCTCAGAGGTTGCTGAATGATGAAGGACCACTTCCCTGAATCTTTGCTCAGCAGCCTCGAGATAAAGGAGGAGGTATGACTCTGTCAGCCAAAAAGCCTAATCTTTGAGTTGGAAATGGTTTATTCCTTGTATATTCTTTCTAGGTGTTAACAAACCAAAATAGTAGAGGCATCTCCATTAAATGTGGCCTCTTCTATACTCCTAATGCTTCCAGCTCTTCACTTTATCCCTTCACAGGAGCAGGCACAGCGTGCTGCTGGGAATGTCTGTTCACTTCTTTTACATGTGATTAGTTGTTCCTGATGTTTGCACTCTCATACACTCAAGCATGTGGCACATACCTCTTTAGGATTTGCTGCATCTTACAATAACGATTTATTTATCAGTCTTCTAAGCTGTTCTCCCTTCATCCCTGACCCAACTTGGACTCCTTGAGGGTATGGTTAGGTTCTCACTCATCTTTTTGTATGCTTTTAATAAGTAGGTATTTAGGAAGTAGGTATTAAATTAATGCATTAAACTTAGAATTCAAACAGCCTAACTCACAGATCTTGCAAAGGAGAAACTATGCCCAGAGGATTAAATGGCCTGTCCGAAACTACACAGCTAGGTTCAATTGGGATTAGAATCCATTTCTCCTCTCAAGCTTGTGGGGTCTTCTGAAAGATTAATGTCAAAGCAACTCGATGTGAATTGATTGTGTTCCTTAAAGTTAGAGATAATTGAATTCCTTGAAAATTCACTTATATCTTCTAGGGATAGGGGCTTTCAACCTTTCATTTCACCTGTTACCCTGTTTGGGGGTGGTGTGATGGTTTGGAATTTTGTTGTTCTTGACTGAGATTAGAGAATGAGGGCCTAGGCACAGGGAGGCTCTGTTCTGCTTGTCAAACCAGTAGGTTTGCTTTTTCCTTGACCTATACCTTAAGGACATCCTTCTATCTTGTAGGTGCTAGTGGAGCTATGTTACCATACACTGGGGATAGGATGAGGGCCCCTGGATAATCTGTGGCCTGGCAAGTGACACAGGCAGAAAGCAGCATGTCCAGGTCCCTCGTGGGTGGCTTGGGGGAACTTGGGGTTAGAAAAAGGGCATTATAACCAGGTGCTAGAAGTTCACAGATAGGTCATTTGTGGCTGGTAGGATTGGCAGGAAACAATGAGTCACACTGGTAGGTATACAAGGGATAGAAAAAGAAGAAATTTTTGATAATTGCTAGAGAGCCCTTTTTCCATTTAGACCAGTAGGTCTCAATTGTGGCTGTTTTGCCCCCCAGGAGACACTTGGCAATATCTAGAGACATTTTTGATTGTCACACCTAGGAAAGGGCTATTACAGGCATCAAACGAATGGAGGTCAGGGATGCTGGTGAATATCCTGTAGTGCATGGGATGGGGATGGCCCCCATAACAGGGAATTATACAGTCCAAAGTCATGAGCGTCCAGGTTGAGAATCCCTGATTTACACCCTGGGCCCCAACATCAGTACTCTGGTGGTTACTTAAGTCATAAAAAAAATAGTTTTTTATATATACTTTACTTTGAACTCTATTGTTAAATGGCAAAATCAGGTTTATTTCACCTTTTTCTTTTCGTTCTTTTTTTAAAATGGAGGCAAAATTCACATAACATAATTAACCATTTTAAAGTGAACAGTTCAGTGGCATTTAGTACATTAACAATGTTGTGCAGCTGGGCATGGTGGCTGGTGGCTGTGATTCCTGCTACTCAAGCGGCTGAGGTGAGAGGATCACTTGAGCCCAGAAGCTCAGCCTGGACAACAGCAAACTTCATCTCTAAAAGAAAACCAGAAACCAAAACTAAACATAATGTTGTGCAACCACTACCTCTATCTAGTTCCAAAACATTTTCATCGCCCGAAAAGGAAAGTGGTACCCACTAATCAGTTTTTAGTACAGACAGGGTTTTGCCGTGTTGCCCAGGCTGGTCTTGAACTCCTGAGCTCACATGATTTGTCTGCCTTGACCTCCCAAAGTGCTGTGATTACAGGCATGAGCCACCATGCCCAGTCACTATGTTTAGCTTTAACATAAAATTTACCATTTTAGTATTTAACCTTTGATATAGACTTGTCATTCCACAAACACATTTTAAGCCCCATGTCATGAGGGCACTGTTGAAAGCACTGCATAAATTATGATGAACAAAACAGTTATAGGTGTTTTTCTCCTAGAGCTTACAGTCTAGTGGGGAAGGCAGACATTGAACTCCCACCAGTAAGTTTTCAAGTCCGGGAAGTGAATTTAGCTGTAAAAGTATAGGAGTTGAAGCCAGTGCAGTAGGATTGACTGTCACAGTTTCTTGCTTTCCACTTTCTTTCTGTGTGAGTACAGTTTCTTTCATATAAGAGCAAATTCATAGCCAAAAAGAAACAGGGAAGGAAGAAATGAAGAAAATAAATGAGAGAAAGCAAGACCCAGGAGCGAGGAGGAGGGAGGATTGGGGAGGTCCTCCCAGGAAATCCCGTGTTTCAGGTTCTTCTAGAAACTCCTCAGGCCAGTTCTTAAAACATCTTCCACTGTGGTCTGTCTTTATCTTTTGAGTCATATAGATGGGAATGGTATTTCCATTTGGTTAAATGGTACTGGGTTAAAAAGCAAAATAACATACCCTGCCTCCCATCCTCTGTGTCTCTCATAAGGATCAGAGCCCAAGTGACATGAGGTCAGCTGAGTGCCCAGCAGGACTGAACTATTCTGGCCTGCGGGGCTTCTCTGCGAAGTCCCGAGAAGTGGCTAAGCTGAGGTCGAAGTCCACATGGAAAGGACAGCACCAATGGGCATGCAGTTTCCTTGGTAGACTATGTAAGTGAAAACCCTAGAAGGAAGGTTTTTGATGGTGCCCATGAGGAAAGAGGACAGCAACATGTTTTGTTTTTTTCCTCGTGGTTGGGGTCATATTAATTTCTTAGGGCCACAGTAACAAATGACCACAAACTGGGTGGCTTACACCAGTAGAGATTAATTAACCTTCTCACAGTTCTGGAGGCCAGAAGTGAGAAATCAATGTGTTGACAGGGCCGTGCTCCCTCAAAAGCTCCAGGGGAGAATCATTTCTTGCCTATTCTGGCTTCTCGTGGCTCCAGGCATTCCTTGGTTTGTGGCTCCATCACTCCAGTCCCTGTCTCAGTTTTTGCATGACCTTCTCCTCTTCTGTGTGTCTCTCCTCTGAGTGTCTCTTCTAAGGACACTTATCATTAGATTTAGGGTCTGCCAGCATAATCCAGGATGACCCCCATCTTGAGATCTTTCAATTAATTACACCTACAAAGACTCTTTTTCTATATAAGGTCACATTTACAGGTTTCTGGGCTTAGGACATGGACCTTTCTTTTGGGGGAACCATTATTCAACCTACCAGAGTGGTGAAGGAGACAGGGTGTTGGGAGCAAAGGTTTTTGTTTTTGTTTTTGTTTTCCTGGTTGGGAGAGAAGGAAGCAAAATGCCGTGGAGAGTGCCATGACTAAATCCCTCACCTGGGACCCTGCACTGTTGCTGCCACTCTCGGGAAACTTTCAGCTTGAAATGCCAGCTCCACGGGGCAGGACTGGAATGGCCTGACCAGGTCTGGCTTCATGAGAGAGAGTTTACTAGACTCCTCCTTCCAGCTGTTACACCTGTCCCTGTGTGACTCCATGTCTGCCTTCCTTCAATGAGCCTTTCCTCTTCCCTTTCTCCTTCCTTGCCTTTGTTTTCAGCCTGTTTTCTCACCAGTATTTTGTGTTTCTTTGGTATTTCTCTCTAGTCATGGACAGTAAATGAAACAGAAGTAGGCATTTTACTAATTTTAACCTTTATTAATGAATTCTTTGTTGCTTGTCTTCTGAGCTGACTCACCTGATAGTGGTGCTCAAAAGGAAAACCATTTCCTCTACTCACATTTCTGACACCAAATCTAAGTTTTTTCCACACTAACAATCAGTTATTTGACTTCCTAGACACCGTTTGGGTGTCCTACTATTCAAATTAATTCTGACACTATCTATTTGGAGTTAGCTTCAGATTTTACAGATTAAGGGCTCAAGACTGCCCCCATTTCAGATGCCAGTTGCAAGCTTCTGGTACCAGGTTAGCTACAAATTAGGGGTTCTCATTACCCCTTCCTCCTGTTTGATCATTTGCAACAGTGGCTCACACCACTCAGGGAAATACTTTATGTTTATCAGTTTATTGTAAAGGATACAAATGAACAACCAGGTAAGAGCTACCTAGGACAAGGGATGGGGAAGGGGCATGGAGCTTGCATGCCCTCTCTGGGCATGCCACCCTCCAGGTACCTCCACATACGGAGCTATCTAGAAGCTCTTTAAACCCCTTTATTTAGGGTTTTTATGGAGGCTTTATTACATAGGTATGATTGATTAAATCACTGGCCCTTGTTGATTAGCTCTATCTCTAGCTCTTGCCCTCCTCAGAGGCTAGGGGTAAGACTTAAGGTTCTAACCTTCTAATCACATGGTTGAGTTCCCTGCCAACCAGCCCCCATCCGGAAGCTACCTAGGAAGCCCAGCCACTAGCCATTTCATTCACTTACAAAAAGACACTCTGCATTCTGGAGATTTCAAGGGTTTTAGACGCTTTTGTGTTAGGAAACAGGGGCTAAGACCAAATATTAACAAAAGATGCTCCTATCACCCCTACCACTCAGGAAATTACTACAAGGGTTTTAGGTGCTCTGTGTCAGGAATCAGGGGCAACGACCAAATATATATTTCTTATTGCATCATGGTGCTGTAGCTTGGAAGTGATTTCCCCTCTTCCTGGGGTCTTGATCATTGGCCCCATGATTTGGGGTGTGATTCTAGGAGCTGTTGGGATTGCACAAAGCCTGTGCCTTCAGATGCTTGCATCTCATCTTCCTTGACAAGATGCCTGTCTTAAAGTGGGCCATTGGACTGAGGGAGGTGATGGGCCTCATGAGACCTCAAATTACCCACTTACACTGAATTTTCCTGGTCTCCAGATCTAGAGCTTAGGCCATTTCACATGGCTAAACTGCTTTGTTAAAATGCTGCTTTCCCCTAAGGACACTGATATGTCTAAAGGTCCAGAAGCCTAGTCAGCACTTCTCCAGGTAATACTTTAACTTTGACCAAAACATAAAGTTGACATCATAGTAGAGTGGAAGACACAGAGCCTTTGAAGGCTTTGACTAACTGGGAGATTGTCATTGACTTGCTTTCTGTAAACTGGCTCATGTCTTCCATCTTGGTATGAATGTACCAGTTTTTCATTTTCCAAGGATTGGCTTGCCTCCTTAGACAACACTGAGACTTCCTTGGTAAAACTTATACAGCACATGGTTTAGAGTTGAATGGTGAAGGAGGCAAGGACCATAGAGAAGATGCTAGAAAGAACCTTTATCATAAAATATCAAACAATGTGAAAACATTCTTCCCTAGATAATGACTCCAAAATACAACTGTTGTCGTTTTCTGGTGAAACGTCTAGAGCCAGCTGTGCCATTCTCATAGCATCTTCATAATAATAAGAGCTGACTTTTAGTGCTTATGTAGCAAGTGCCTGTTGGAATTATCTTATTTATCTCCACAGCCCTACTGTTACCTCATTTTACTTCCGAGAAAGTTTAAGCAACTTGCCACAAAGTTGTCTGCTAATAGGTAGAAGGACTGCTGACTCTAAACCCAAGCCCTTTTTTAAAAGTTGTGGTTACATACATAATATAACATTTACCATTTTAATCCTTTTTTAGTATACAGTTCTATGGCATTAAGTACATTCACATTATTTTTTTTCTCTCTAACAGATGAAATACTTTAATCCATATATTAATAAATCCCCAGTTGGATAACTTTTTTTATTATACTTTAAGTTCTAGGGTACATGTGCACAACGTGCAGTACATTCACATTATTGTGTACTCATGACCACCATCCATCTCCAGAACTTTTTCATCGTCCCAACTGAAAGTCTATGCCCATTAAACACTAACTCCCTATTCCCTTTCTCCCCCAAGCCCCTGGCAGCCACCATTCTACTTTCTGTCCCTATGAATTTGCCTACTCTAGATACCTCATCTAAAATGGAATCATAGAGTGTTTTGCTTTTTGTGAGTGGCTTATTTCACTTAGTATAATGTCTTCAGAGTTCATCCATGTTATAGTATATGTCAAAATGTTCTTCCCTTTTAAGGCTAAATAATATTCCATTGCATGTCTATACCACAGTTTCCTTATCCATTCATCTGTTGATGGATGGCTGGATTGCTTCTACCTTCTGGCTGTTGTGAGAAATGTTGCTGTGAACATGGGTATACGTATCTCTCTTCAAGACCCTGCATTCTGTTCTTTTGGGTGTTGTATTTGGGTTCTCCAGAGGGACAGAACCAATAAGGTATATGTATATATAAAGGGAGTTTATTAGGGAGAATTGGCTCATAAAATTACAAGGCAAAGTCCCATGATAGGCCATCTGCAAGCTCGGGGAGAGAGAAGCCATTAGTGGCTCAGTCCAAGCCCGAAAGCCTCAAAACCAACTCTAAACCATGTGCTGTATAAGTTTTACCAAGGAAGTCTCAATGTTGTCTGACAGTGCAGCCCCCAGTCTGAGGCCGAAGGCCCAAAAGCCCCCAGGAAGCCACTGGTCCGAGTCCCAAAGTCCAAAAGCAGAAGAATCTGGAAGTCTGATGCCCAAGGGCAGGAGGAGAGGAAGCAAAGAGTCCTGCATGTGAAGAGAGAGAGAGCGAGAAGACTCTGCAGGCTATTTATCCCCCTTCTGCCTACTTTGTTCTAGCCGCGTTGGCAGCCAGTTGGATGGTGCCCACCCACATTGAGGGTGGGTCTCCCCCTCGTAGTCCACCAACTCAAATGTCAGTCTCCTCTGGCAACACCCTCATAGACACACCCAGAAACTGCCTCACCAGCCATCTAGGCATCCCTCAATCCAGTCAAATTGACACCTAATATTAGCCATAACAGGTATATACCCAGAAATGGAATTGCTGGATCATAAGGTAGTTCAGTGCTCAGCTTTTTTAGGAATTGGCATACCATTTTCCACAGCAGCTGCACCATATTACATTCCCATCAGCAATCCATAAGAGTTCCAATTATTCCACATCCTCACCAAAACTTGTTATTTTCTGCTGTTTTTTCTTAGTAATAGCTATCCTAGTGGGTGTGAAATGATAATCACGTTGTTGTTTGATTTACATTTCCCTAATGACTAATAATGTTGAGCATCTTCTCCTGTGCTTATTATTAGCTGTTTGTATATCTCATTTGTATATCTTCTTTGGAGAAATGTCTATTAATAGTCCATTGTTCATTTTTCTAATAGGGCTGTTATTGAATTTTAGGAATTTTTAATATTTTCTGGATGTTAACTTCTTATCAGATGTATGATTTATAAATACAGTATTTCCTTCCATTCCATGGATTGCCTTTCTACTCTTTTGCTAGTTGTCCTTTGATACTCAAAAGTGTTTAATTTTTGCTATGGTTCCATTTGCATATTTTTGCATTTGTTGCCTGTGCCTTTGGTATCATATCCAAGAAGTCATCGCTAAATTCAATGTCATGAAGATTTTCCCATATGTTTTCTTCTGAGGAATTTGTAGTTTTAGCTTTTTAGATGTTTGATCCAATTTGAGTTAATTTTTGTGTAGTCATGAGGTAAGAAGGGGTCCTCCTTTTTTTGCATGTGGGTATCCAGTTTTCCCAGTTCCATTTGTTGAAGAGGTTATCCTTTCCCCCTTGAATGGTCTTGGCACGCTTGCTGAAAAATCATTTGACCATATATGTGAGGGTTTATTTCTGGGATCTCTATTTTATTCTATTAGTCTCTATATCTGTCTTTATGCCAGTACCACACTGTTTTGATGACTGTAGTTTTGTAGTAAGTTTTTAAATCAGAAGGTATGTGACCTCCAATTTTTTTTTTTTTTTTTTTTTTTGAGACAGAGTCTCACTCTGTCGCCCAGGCTGGAGTGCAGTGGTGTGATCTCGGCTCACTGCAAAGCTCCGCCTCCCGGGTTCACGCCATTCTCTTGCCTCAGCCTCCCGAGTAGCTGGGACTACAGGTGCCCGCCACCATGCTCGGCTAATTTTTTGTATTTTTTAGTAGAGATGGGGTTTCACCATGTTAGTCAGGATGGTCTCGATCTCCTGACCTCGTGATCCACCCACCTCGGCCTCCTAAAGTGCTGGGATTACAGGCGTGAGCCACCGCACCTGGCCCAATTTTGTTATTTTTCTAATTTGTTTTGGTTATTCAGAGTCCCTTGAGATTTCGTGTGGGTTTAGGTTGGATTTTCTTATTTTTTATTTTTATTATTATTTTTTAGATGGAGTCTCACTGTGTCACCCAGGCTGGGGTGCAATGGCACAATCTCGGCTCACTGCAACCTCTGCCTTCTGGGTTCAAATGATTCTCCTGCCTCAGCCTCAGGCACCCACCACCGTGCCTGACTAATTTTTGTATTTTTAGTAGAAACGGAGTTTTGCCATGTTGGCCAGGCTGGTCTCAAACTCCTGACCTCAGGTGATCCGCCTGCCTCTGCCTTCCAAAATGCTGGGATTACAGGCCTGAGCCACCGTGCCTGGCCTGGATTTTTAATTTTATTGGTATTCTCTTTTTGTTTTGAGATAGGGTCTCACTCTGTCACCCAGGATGGAGTGTAGTGGCACAATCTTGGCTCACTGCAACCTCCCCCTCCTGGGTTTAGGTGATTCTCCCACCTCAGCCTCCCGAATAGCTGGGACTACAGGCACCCGCCACCAAGCCCGGCTAATTTTTGTGTGTTTTGGTAGAGATGGGGTTCCACTATGTTGGCCAGGCTGGCCTTGAACTCCTGACCTCAAGTGATCCGCCTGCCTTGGCCTCCCAAAGTGCTGGGATTACAGGTATGAGCCACTGTGCCCAGCCTATTTTATTGGGATGGCATTGAACCTGTAGATTGCTTTGGATAGTATTGACATCCTAACAACAAGTCTTCCAATCCACATACACAAGATGTCTCCTTTTATGTGTGTCTTCTCCAATTTCTTTCAGCATTGTTTTATCATTTTCGGTGTACAAGTCTTTCATCTCCTTAGTTGAGTTTATTCTTGATTATTTTATTGTTTTTGATGCATTGTAAATGAAATGGATTTATTTCCCTTTCATATTATTCGCTGTTAGTGTATAGAAATGTAACTGATTTTGTATCCTTCAACTTTGCTGAATTTATTATTTCTAAGAAGTTTTTTTGTTAAGCTTAAGCTTTTAATATGCCATGTTCTTTCTCTGTCCTGTGTTAAAATTAATCTCTACCTCATTTTTGTCTTCTGACATTTCTGAGTTCTTGGGGAATTTGTTTCGCTTTTCCAATTTGATTGTATAGTCTTCAATTTGCTGTTCCTTTCCTCCGTTACTATTTAAACCAGTATTCAAAGTTTTAATTTCCATTCAGTCTTTCCTATTTCAGAAATCCCTTTTTAAAAACCACTTACTTAAGTATCATAGTTACACTGACTCCTTAAATCTTATTCTGAACATAGTTTTACAGCCATCACCATAATCTCATGGGAGATGAATTCTTAGAGAGATAATTGTGAGTCTCTGTCTTCTTCATATTCAAATGAAGGAGCAAGGGGAAATTTTAGGTTGACTGAATTTACACTGGCTGCCCGTGCCAGACCCAGCCCTTCAGTGCCACTCCCTCTGCCAAGCTGTTGGCCTGGGCAGGGAGCTGGGTGGGTGAATGTCTGCTCAAGGCTCTGAGGAAAGCTGTTGGTTGCGCCTTGGCTTGTGTTGTAGGAGTTCTGTGCCTGCTGCCCTAGCCTTCTTTTGTGTCCTGCAGGTGCTGCCTGCATTTATTGCTGCCTGCATTTATTGCCAGGACACATTGCTTCTTAGAAAGCTAGCTGGGCCTTCTTTGGTCCTGCTCCATCTTGACTAAATCTAGCAGATATTCCTCAAAGTTCTAGGCAGGTTGGATGGCATCCTTCCTGGTTTCCAACTCAAATGCATGTTTTTGTCTATTTTTGTGTGCCTTTAGTTTATTTTAAAAGGACCTGGGGGCAGGAGACATGTGTTCCCCTGTTGCCATTGTACTCAGATGTCCTATAAGACAATTCTTTTGACCAACTCCACCTGATGAGATTATCAGGCTCTTCCCCTTCCCTGCTGTAGCACATATGTCTGTTCACAGCAAGCTGAGTGGTCATGGCTAATCTCTAGTCTGCCCACACCCTGGATGATCCAACCACTGGCCTGATTGATTGGGTTGGAGAAGAGAGAGTTTCTCTTGTATCATTACTCTTATGATTCAGGGAAAAATCAATTTAAAAAATTACTGAGTTAGAAATAGGTTGGCTTATTATAAGTATAATCTAGAAGGTTTTCATGATACTGTCCCACCTCTCGATGGCCATGTTTAATAGATTTTGTATCCTGGTAGCTAGCAGTAGTCGTTACCCGTGTTTGATAAATTATTTTATTCCTGAGTACCATTTTGGGGGCTTGTGGGAGTCAGAGAGAGTAACCAAATACTCATGGGAAAGAAAAGTAGAAGAGATAAAGTGTTAACGCATCATCAGAAATCAAGGCAAAGTCTTTCCTGTTTCTTACAAGGCCATACGATGACCCCTCCTCTTACCTCTGCCTTACTGAGCCCATTTTCTGATATTCACCTGCTCCACTCTTCTTTTTAGTCCTTGAGTATGCCAGGTGTGCTCCTGCCCGTCCTTCCCTCTCCCTGGGGTTCTCTTCCTCCAAATAGCCCCATGCTCTGCCCACTCACCTCCTTCACAGTTTTGTTCATATGTCACCTTCTTGGGGAACCCTTCTCTGACCCTTAATTTGAAATTCTTCACCCTCTTCCCCCACATAACACTCTCTGTCAAACCTTCTTGCTTTATTTTTCTCCACAGCGTTTATCACAATCTAACGCACTTTTTTTTTTTTTTTTTTTTTTTGAGGCAAGACTGGAGTGCAATTGTGTGATCTCGGCTCACTGCAACCTCTGCCTCTTGGGCTCAAGCCATCCTCCCACCTCAGCCTGCCAAGTAGCTGGGACTACAGGCATGCACCACCACGCCCGGCTAATTTCTGTATTTTTTGTAGAGATGGGGTTTTACCTGGTTGCCCAGGCTGGTCTTGAACTTGTGAGCTCAAGCAGTCCTCCCGCTTAGGTCTCCCAAAGTGTTGGGATTATAGGCGTGGGCTACCACACCTAGCCTCTAACCTACTTTTTAATGTATGTATTTATTTTATGGCCTGTCTCCCTGGTTGAGTGCAAGCTCCATGAGGGCAGATATTTGTGTCAGTTTTGTTTACTGCTGTATCTCCAATACCTAGAGAGGTGCTTGTCATGCAGTAGTCACTTTGTAAGCATTTATTGAGTGATCAATGATTGGTGGCTTCTAGTGTCATTCAGCGGCAGCAGGACGATGTATGTCTGTTCTAGATCACTGAGTCTTAAAATGTTTTCAAGTGACCTACAGATTTTTATCATTCATTCATTCATTCATTCAAGAAGTTGCTGTGTGTATCCTCAGTGAATCAGACATTGAGGTACTAGCCTGGAAGTCTCATCAGGGGATATTTATCTTTGTATCTCCAGCACTAAGTGCAGCAAGTGCCAGGTAGTACAAGAGAAGGATTTGTGAAAGTCTGTGGGATCAAACTGCTGAGGTCTTGTGAAGACAAAAGTGAATAATACACATCCTTGTGTTCAATTGGATCGTGGTCAAGTGGGGAAGACATGGACACCCAATAATCCTGTGACTTGAGTGCTATAAGAGAGGGATTACAGAGATGAGAAAAAACAGTTGCTTGGGGATGGTAGAAATCAGGAAGCAGCTTTTTGTAAATATGATATTTATGCTGAACCTTAAAGATGGTTCTTCTGAGTGAACAAGCAGGGAGAGAAGGTTAGACATAGGAACAACATGAGCAAAGATACAAAGGCAGGAAAGTGCAAAGCATGTTCCTAGGACAGTGAATTGTCCTGTGTAGCTGGAATAGTGAGTTCATGGGGGTGGAGGGGAGGAATGGGCTGAACAGTAGCTCTGGATCACATCCTGAAGGCCTTGAATGCCACAGATGAGGTCTGTGAACCTTCTGTAGGCAGTGGGACACTGTTAAAAGTGTCCATAGAAGAGATGGAAAACACATTAGTGGTTACCAGGAATTAGGGGCAGTGTGGGGGCAGGGGGAAGGTAGGAGCGGAGGATGACTATAAAGAGGCAGCATAAGGGATCTTTTTGGTGATGGAACAGTTCTGTATCCTGACTGTGGTTGTGGTTACACACATCTACACATTATAAATTTACATACAACTACACATACATATGAGTGCATGTAAAACTGGTGTAAAACATCCTCAGCATGTTTTTTAAGTCTCTGCCTCAGCCTGGAGTGAATAAGGTCTGTGGATTGTGCCAATGTCAGTTTCCTGGTTTTGACGTTGTACCATAGTTATGTCAGATGTCACCATTGGGGGAAACTGGATGAAGGGTACGTGGATCTCCTCTGCACTATTTTCGCAACTTCCTGTGAATCTATACTTAATTCAAAATAAAAAGTTAGAAAAAATGCATAAGAAGGAAAAGGCAGAGCAAGGAGAATGGTTAGGGTTTCCACTAGTTTACCATGATTTCATTGTGAAATGCTATGTTCGGATACCATGTAAGATGCTTGGGAAGCATCTTTTTCAGAAGTTACAAAACACAGTGTCTACCCTTGAGAAATTTGTTGTTGAATGGAGGAAACAAGTTTTAAGTAGTGATCATTCTGTGTGCTGGCTTTTAGTAGTAAAGGTAGGTACACAGCAAGGTGAGAGCAAGGAAAAAGGGGACAAACTGCTGGGGTAGGGAGGGCTTCATAGTGACACAAGGACTGGGCTGACTCCAGGGAAGAGTGGGAGTTTGTGTGGCACATGCTGGGGCTCTGTAAAAGCCCGGGTGAGACATAAGGCTGAAATTAGTGCTAGGAGGAATTGAGAGTAGGGAATGGATTCAAGAGCATTTTGGAGAAGCATTGATGCAAATTGTTGAAGTACTGTGTGTTGAGACAGAGAGGGAAGAGTCTGAGGTGACTTAAGTTTTCAGCTTGACTGAAAGCATGGTGGCTCCATTAGCCAAAATTTAGAGTCTAGAAGGAGAAAGGTTTTGGCTAGGGTATGTTTAGTGTGAGGTATCTGAGGGACTCCATGCAGAGAGGCTGGGGTGCAGTTGGGGTGTGGCACCCGGGAGAAGCAGTGCCAGAGCTAGAGACGTATTGGACCCTAAGGTGCAGCCCCACTGGACCGCTTGCCACTTCCCCAGTCATCCTCAGCATGTTTTTAAAGTCTCTGCCTCAGCCTGGAGTGTCCCTCTGTTCCTTCTCCATCCTGTGAAATCCCACCCCTGTGTCAGCTCGTATGTTCCTTCAGTGTCTGCTTCAGAATAGAGGTGATGACTTTAAACCTTGCGAGCTTGTGGATTTTGTCCACTGATACTATGGTGGGGCAAGAAGGTAAGAGGGTGAGTTAGCAATGAGCATTTGGAGGTGTCGTGCCCTAGAGGAGGAGAGAAACAGTTGGAGAGGAGAAGAAGCATGAAAGCAATGAGGCCACATGGAAGCTTGGCTGCTCAGCCTCTGCAGAGCTGCCCACCCAGAATTAGACATGACCAGGAGAAGAAATAGGCAGTGAGCTAAATCACAGAAGTTCATGACAACACGAAAGATAAGCATTCACTCTACGTCACCCCAGAGCTCCACCTCCTGTGTAAAGCTGCCTGACATTGAATGGTGTCTGGCCAGCCTGATTAATTTTTAATATTTGATTCTCTGGTGAGGTGGCTAGGCATTGAGGTGCATCAAAGGCAGCTTTTGTTTCTATGAAGTTGGTCAAAATAACACTGGAGAGTCAGGTTACTGCAGCCTTGAGCTCTGGTTGTTCTGAAGGGATGAGATCAGACTCTCTAACTAACCGAGTTTCAGAAGGATCTTTGCCTTTTGCAAGGAAAGTTATTTGGAACTGGAAGTGGGTATGCTTCCTCTTGGATTCTATATCTCTTATTATCGGAAAATACCTCATTTTTCAGCCACAGATAGAAAACAGCATCAGTGCATCAGGTTTCCAATTCTGTCCATGACTCAAATGATGTCTGAGTTCTGAAAACCTGCTGCCAACTCCTGAAACACCAGAGAATTTAAACACAAATGTTCTCTAAATAATATGCTCCTTACGCTGTGTAGCCTGCAAAGCAGATGATGATGATGATGATGATGATGATTTTAATTCTGCACAGTATCTCCTTAATTCTCTAATTTCCCCATCTTTTAAATTGTATACCTAAATGTTCTCTCTTAAAATTTTTTATTTTTTACCCTCTTATCTTTCTACACAGAGCCCTTCATAGCTGAGGATGGATAGTATCTGAGTGGTGAGAACCTACATGTGAGGAGAGCTGCTCTGAAGTGACTCACATGTGGATTTGCGACCTTCTGCAGTGATGGCTGGTTAGGCAGGAGGGGGAAGATCATGGAAAGGGAGGCGATAGTGTGACTCCATTTTATCAGTGGTATGCTTTGTGAGAGCCCACAAGCTAACAGAGGAATTGCCTTTTATTCTCAGAATAGGGTTCTCTCTCTCTCTCTCCTCTGTTTCTTGCGTGCTGGCTCGTGATCTACCTACTTGTAAAGATGCTTTCACAAGCTTGAAAGACTCCACAGTGTCATGGACTGTGAGGAAACTCTATTCTACCCACTTTTGCCTTACTTGGAAATTTTTACAATAATCATGATTACTTTTATAATCAGAAAAGTTATAAACAGTCCCACTGGAAAAATAAACATTTAAAAATCAGGAAAAGATGTTCAAATGTTGAAAATGCCTCTTTATTGAATTTCTAAGTCTTTATCTTTTTTGACTTCCATAACTGATAAATTATTTTAATGAATTTCTTGATATTTGTCCATCCCTCCATCCATTCATCCTTACTTTTTTGAACCAACTTGATTTTGCCATGGTGTCTTATTCTTTTAATGTACTGCCTGATTCAATTTACTAGTAATTTGTAAATGGGATAATACATAGTTTTCTTTTCACCTGTACTGAATGCCAGAGTTTTGGTATTAGGGCTGTACTTAACTTGCTCCATAAAATAAATGAGGAAGCGTTTCATATTTTTCTGTTGCTTTTTAAAAATTTGAAATAATAAATACCATCTTTTTTTAGTGAGCTTAGTTTATGTGAGGCACAATGATTGGAACCCAGATCTGCACAGCTCTGAAGTCTTTGCTCATCCTGTTTGTCACTGCAGTATCAAAGGAGGAAGGCCAGCCTTGGAACCCTGAGTCTCTGTGGTCAGGAGCGCCTCAGGGGGCTGGACTTTTCACTCATCTTGTCCTTTTCTTTTCTTAATTAAAAATTTCATTTTGAAATAATTTCAGTTACATAAACAGTAGAAAAATGATACACAAGATTCACATATACTCTTCACCCAGATTCACCGATGGTTAATATTTTGCTACATTTGTTTTATCATATTTTTCTGAGTTATTTGAAAGTCAGCCACATAATATATAATATCCCTTTATAATTATATACAGTATATAATATAAACATTTTAGTGTATATTTCCTTAAAAAAACAAACTAAACTAATAAAAAACAAAGTATAGATGTCACAATCAGGATATTAACTTTGATATAAACTGTTATCTAATCTGTTTATTCAGATTTTACTAATTGTCCCAGTCGTGCCCGTTGTAGCAAAAGAAAAACATTTTCCTTCGGTTCAGGATTTAATCTGGGATCAAACATTGTGTTTAGTTGTCATGTCTTTTAAATCTCTTTTAATCTGGAACAGCTCCTTAATCTTACATTGTCTTTCATGACCTTGACATTTTTAGTTTACAGGCCAGTTCTACTTTATAGGATGTTCCTTAATTTGAGTGATTTTGATGTTCCCTGTGCTTAGATTTAAGGTATGTGTTTTTGACTGGGATACTGCAATGGTGTGTCTTTCTAGGTGCATCATAACAAGAGGTCCTGATGCCTACTTGTCCCATCACTGATAACCAACCTAAATCATCTAGTTAACTGGTATCTGCCAGGCTTCTCCACTGTTAAGTTACTATTTTTCACTTTGTAATTAGTAAGTATTTTGTAGGGTGATACTTTGTATATAAATCCTCTTCCTTATCAAACTTTCATTTACTAATGCTAGTGTCCATCCTTCTGAAGCAACAAAGTGAGACATGCAAAGTGAATAGACTCTACCCCTTGGAGCTAAAATGAAGCCAAGAGAAAGTGAACCATTCAGTCCGTTTAGGCAGATAAGCCAATTTTTTTTTTTTTTAACTCACTACCTATGGTCTTTGGGTTTTGTCTTTGCAAAGGTTAATTGAAATCTAGTCATACTCTTGAGAATAGTGATTGGCTGTAGCTTGTAACCTTTGGGTTCCTATTTTGGTCACCCAGGGCTCAAGATGGGTCCACCCAGTTTATTCTGGTCATAAGTGCCCCTTGGGGCTTTGGCCGATGGCTCTGTTCTATCTTTGGCTCTTTGATCCTTTGTCTTTGCCTCTAAGATGCTGTCAATTGGAGTCCCAATAAACTGCCTCTGTGCTGAATCACCTATAAACAAGCATCGCTTCTGGCTACAGACTTATCTTATCAGACAACTCTCTACTGAGCCCAGTTACACAGCCTATGCTATCTATGCTAAGGCTGCAGTTGTATGAGTCACACAAGTAGTTTTTAGTATGTCAGAGAGTCCAGAACTGTGTGTCATATGAAGAAATATTAAAAACACCCAGTGGTATACTTGGGCACACTTTAGCTATTGCAGGTTCTGTTCCAGACCACTGCAATAAAGCAAATATCACAGTAAAGGGAGTCACACAACTTTTTTGGTTTCCCAGTGCATATAAAAGTTATGTTTACACTATACTATAGTCTACTAAGTGTTTTAAGCCTACTAAGTGTTAAGTCTAAAAAATGTACATACCTGAATTTAAACATATTTTATTGCTAAATAGGCTAACAATCATCTGAGCCTTCAGTGAGTCATAATCTTTTTGCTGGTGGAGGGTCTTGCCTTGATGTTGATAACTGCTGACTGACCAGGGGGGTGGTTGCTGAAAGTTGGGGTGACTGTGACAGTTTCTTAAAATAAGACAACAATGAAGTTTTCCACATCCATTAACTCTTCCTTTCATGAAGAAGAGGAAGAGTTGTCTGGAGTATTTGATCCTGTTTGATAGCATTTTACCCACAGTAGCTTCTTTAAAATTGGAGTCATCCCTCCCAAACTCTGCTGCTGCTTTATCAGCTAAGTTGATGTAATTCTAAATCCTTTGTTGTCATTTCAACAATGTTCACAGCATCTTCACCGGGAGGAGATTCATCTCAAGAAACCACTTTTTTTGCCCATCCGTAAGAAGCCACTTCCATCCGTTCAAGTTTGATCATGAGATTGCGACAATTCAGTCACATCTTCAGGCTCCACTTCTAATTCTAGTTGTCTTGCTATTTTCACCACATCTGTAGTTGTTGTTACTTTCTCTGCTGAAGGCTTGAATCCCCAAAGTCATCCATGAGAGTTGGAATCAGCTTCTTCCAAACTCCTATTAATGTTGGTATTTTGACTTCTTCTCATGAATCACGATTTTTTTTTCCTTTTTCCTTTTTTCCTCTTTATTCACAAACTGATTGTTAGTGCAAAAAAAAAAAAAAAACTGAGACAGATTAAGAATGCAACTTGGATCTTCAGTCTTCTCTTTTCAACTCAATCCTGGAATATTCATAATATTCTAGCCATCGGGTTCTCTCCTTTCTTTTTTGTCTTCAAAGTCCTTTCCAAAAGGAAACATACTGCTTGGCATTCTATATTATTCCTAATTTCCAGGTGGAAAAATGAGACAGTGACATCTAAAAACATTGGAGAGGCTGGACACAGTGGCTCATGCCTGTAATTCTAGCACTTTGGGAGGCCAAGGAAGGAGGATCCCTTGAGCCCAGGAGTTCAAGACCAGCCTGGACAACATAGTGAGACTCTGTCTCTACAAAAAAAAAAAAAAAAAATTAGCTGGATATGGTGGCATACACTTGTAGTTCCAACTATTCAGGAGGCTGAGGTGAGAGGACTGATTGCACCCGGGAGGTCAAGGCTGCAGTGAGCCGTGATCATACCACTGCACTCCAGCCTCAGTGACAGAGTGAGACCCCGTTTCAAAACAACAACAACAAACACACACACACATTGCAGACTGTATTTTTAAAAACAAGGCAATAATTCAGGCTTTTCTTGCTTTAATTCTCTCTATATTATCACAGTAAAATGTTTAACAAAGTCCAAGAGATTACTGATACACAATAACAACCTAAGACTTTACATTAATGGAGCTATCAATAATAACCTAATCAGTGAAATAACTAGAAAAGCATCAAATGTAAAGAGTGATTTGCTATTCTATTTATATAGTATTGAAACTGTCATAACATTTACAGACCCAGAAAGTCTGAGGTAATATCGAATAATACTTGATAACTGAAATACTGCAACATCGTGAAGGATCTTCTAAATGACCAAAAACAGTTGAAATTTTGTTTGGTATAATTTCAGTGAAGTTTTTTTTTTTTTTTTTTTACACAGAACTATATATATTTTTAAATTAGTAATCCACATAAGTTATACACAAAATTAAGTGACTAGATTGTTCAGTAAAACTCTACATTGCTTTCTTATTATGGACTAATGAGCTTATAATTCACTGTCACTTTTAAGAAATTCTAGTCTATAGACATGTTCGAATTGTTTGGTCTTATTAGTTTCAGTAGCAAAAACCACCACTTCTTTTATATTTAATTCTTTTGAATATCATCTTTAAAGAGCCTGACTTGAATTTTGTCAAAATAAATCACACCTTAACCCTCCAGTCTCTAGTCTGTGTGTTCTTCATGAGCTTCAGTTCAGTGTAAGCTAGCACACGGACCTCCCCATGAATTTTCTACAACTTTAACACTTTCCACAAAGTGTCATGTCCTTCTCTAGGCTTTTGGTAGAATGTGAAGTTAATAATGGCATGTGATGTTCCTTAGCATAATCTATCAAAAAGTAATGATCTCCTTGTAAAAAAAGCCATGGGCTGCAATCACACATCTGAGTTGACAGACATCCACATCAACTCTTCATAAAAAGAAAAGGGGTGGGACATTAGCGGCTCATACCTATAATCCCAGCACTTTGGGAGGCTGAGGCAAGTGGATCGCTTGAGCTCAGGAGTTTGAGACCAGCCTGGGCAACATAGCAGGACCCTGGTCTTTACAAAAAATAAAAAAATTATCTGGGTGTGGTGTTGTGCACCTGTAGTCCCAGCTGCTCAGGAGGCTGAGGTGGGAGGATCACTTGAACCCAGGAGGCAAACATTGCAGTGAGCTGAAATCACACCACTGCACTCCAGCCTGGGCACTAGAGTGAGAACCTGTCTTCAAAAAAAAGAAAAAAAAAAAGAAAAAGAAAACGTTTGTGTCTTCTGGAGTATAAATATCCACTTTTAAGAAATTCAAACAGATCCCAACATAAACGTCTTCAAACTTAATGGGTTTTACATGACTCATCATTTATAGATCCTTGGCACCAACCTCTGGACATTTTATAACCCAACACACTGCAGTATGGAGGGAACACCATGAAAGGATACTTCTGGTATAAAATATGGGGTTTTTGGTGAAATCCTCTGTAGGAATAATTGTTACTCAGAGGATAACCTGTGAAAAACTTCTCTGGTTTCAGTTTAAAAGATACTTTACTAAATTTCAAATATCGATGGAAACATCAGTGTCTGTATTCATGATGTACTTGGCATTGGGGCAAAACTCAGTTACCCACCTGAATGCCATAATGGTTTTCAAGGTCATGTTATTATATGTATCCAAAACATGTGGTTGCATTATGTCACCATAAAGAAGGTGTTCACCCTCTAAGCACAGTGCTAACATTTTGTCTTCCCTTTCAGACATAACGTAAGAATCTCTTATCTCCACCAACACTTTTTTTTCATCTCAAGTAACTCCAATGGCCTGTCTGGCTTTCATATTTGAGGGATGGGAAGTTACTGGGATGATGAGAAATGGTTGGTTAGTTGGTTGATTTTGAGACCCGATCTTACTCTGTCTCCAGGCTGGAGTACAGTGTGGCATGATCATGGCTCACTGCAGCCTTGACCTTCTGGGCTCAAGCGATCCTCCCAGCTAGTAGCTGGGACTAGTGGTGCATGCCACCATGCCTGGCTGTTTAAAAAAAAAATTTTTTTTTTTTTGGTAGAGATGGAGTCTCCCTCTGTTGCCCAGACTGGTCTCGAACTCCTGAGCTCAAGTGATCCTCCTGCCTTAGCTTCCCAAAGTGTTGGGATTACAGGCATGAGCCATTGCACTGGGTCCAGAAATGGGTTTTGATGAGAGCAGTTTGAATGCTCTCAAAATGCAAAGTGAAGGTATTGTCTGTAAATTGTCTCATACTCCAGAAGCACATCCAGTTTACATGTTCTGTCACATTGTAGTGGGGAAGGCTGAGGTAACACATCACGAGGAAACTCAGGAGCGATAGCAACAGGAGACCCCATGTGAGGGATCCTAGTGACATCCTACTTGGAAGGGCTGTCCAGGGAGCTGGGGCTGTCCAGAGAGCCGGAGCCATCCGTAGCAGCTCAGAAGCATGCGAGCTGCAGGTTCTTCCTCTTGATTAATTTCTTGTCAATGAAATACTTTCAGTTTCACCAGTTGAACATTTAGCTGTATGTAGTTTTCAAAAATAATGCCACCAAAAAAAAAGAGAATCTCAGATTGGCTTGAAATTCTGCCATAAATGCCTTATAAAACACACACCTGTAGAATTTCAGATGAGATTAAAGCACTAGCTAAAATTTTTTGTTGTTTTGTGTGTTCCATGCTTTAAGTAAAACACTCAGATTTGCTGTGAACACTATGAACACAGAAAAAAAAAAAGACCCAATTTGGTAATACTTCCCTTCGTAGTAGCTTTTCCCAACAAAACAGCCACCTCCTAAACACAGGCACTGGTAACACCCTCGCCTTCTACTCCCCCACCACCATGGCAAAAACCCCCAGCCACTCCTGGGGGCGTTAGAAGGCAGAGAGTGCACCCTGGGACAAGGCAAGGTGGCCAACATGCAGCTTCAGCCTGGGCTCACCACCACATACCCCAGCATTCTTCTGCATCGCCCACAGCTCCACCAGGCTCCTTCTCCAGCACTCACCTGAGCAGGGAACTGCTAGTCACAGAGGCCCACTGCCTGAGGTTTGGTGGCTCAGCTCCTGCCATGCTCCAGAAAAGCATGAATGGTCTTAGCAATATCTAAGATGGTGAGTCCTTTCCAGAAGGTTTTAAATTTACTTTGCCCAGGTCCATCAGAGGAGCCTCTATCTGTGGCAGCTATTGCCTTATGAAATGTATTTCTTAAATAATAATACTTGAAAGTCAAAATTCCCCGGGCATGGTGGCCCACACCTGTAATTCCAGCACTTTGGGAGGTGAAGGCAGGTGGATCACCTAAGGTCAGGAGTTCAAGACCAGCCTGGCCAACATGGCAAAACCCTGTCTCTAGTAAAAATACAAAAATTAGCTGGGCGTGGTGGCAGGTGCCTGTAATCCTAGCTACTGGGGAGGCTGAGGTGGGGAGAATTGCTTGAACCTGGGAGGCCAAGGTCTCAGTGAGCCAAAATGGCGCCACTGCACTTGAGCCTGAGCAACAGAGTGAGACTTTGTCTCAAAAAAAAAAAAAAAAAGTCAAAATTACTCCTTGATCCATGAGCTACAGAATGTATGTTGTGTTAGCAGGCATGAAAACATTAATCTCCTTGTGCATCTCCGTCAGAGCTCTTGGATGACTAGGTGCATTGTCAAGGAGCAGTAATATTTTGCAACGAATTTTGTTTTTCCTGAGTAGTAAGTCTGCAGTGGGCTTAAATTATTCAGTTAACCATTCTGTAAACAGATGTGCTGTCATCCAGGCCTTGTTGTTCCATTTATAGAGCACAGGCAGAATAGATTTAGCATAACTCTTAAGTGCCCTAGGATTTTCAGTCTGGCCAATGAGCATTGGCTTTAACCTAAAGTCACCAGGTGCATTAGTTCCTAACAGGAGCATCAGCCTGACCTTCACAGGTTTGAAGCCAGGCACTGACTTCTCCTCTCTAGCTATGAAAGTCTTAGATGGCATCTTCTTCCAATATAAGGCTTTTCATCTCCATTGAGAATCTGTTGTTTAGTGAAGCCACCTTCATCAATGGTCTTATCTAGATCTTATGGATAACTTGCTACAACTACATCAGCACTTGCTGCCTCACCTTGCACTTTTATGTAATAGAGATGACTTCTTGTCTTAAACCTCATGAACCAACCTCTGCTGGCTTCAAACTTCTTCTGGAGCTTTCTTACCTCCCCAGCCTTCATAGAATTGAGGAGAGTTAGTGGTGCCTAGCTCTAGATTAGACTTTGGCGTAAGGGAATGTTTTGGCAGGTTTGTTCTTATATCCAGCACACTAAAACTTTATCCATATCATTCATGTAGCACTTCAAATTTCCTTCAAGAGGTTGGGTGCAGTGGCTCACGCCTGTAATCCCAACACTTTGGGAGGCCGAGGTGGACGGATCACTTGAGGTCATGAGTTCGAGACCAGCCTAGCCAACTTGGTGAAACCCCGTCTCTACTAAAAATACAAAAACAACTAGCCAGGTGTGGTGGTGCGTGCCTGTAATCCCAGCTACTCAGGAGGCTGAGGCAGGAGAATCGCTTGAACCTGGGAAGCAGAGGTTGCAGTGAGCCAAGATCACACCACTGCACTCCAGCCTGGGCAACAGAGTGAAACTCCATCTCAAAAACAAACAAAACAAAACAAAAAAGAAACAAAATCCTAGCTTTTTCCATGCTGATAGTGCTCACGCAAACATGGTGAACGTTCCTAAAACCCGCTGGACTTGTGTCAGAAGTGTGGCAAGCACCAACCCCACAAAGTGACACAGTAAAAAGGGCAAGGATTCTCTGTATGCCCAGGGAAAGTGGCGTTATGACAGGAAGCAGAGTGGCTGTAGTGGGCAAACTAAGCCGATTTTCTGGAAAAAGGCTAAAACTACAAAGAAGATTGTGCTAAGGCTTGAGTGCGTTGAGCCCAACTGCAGGTCTAAGAGAATGCTGGCTATTAAAAGAGGCAAGCATTCTGAACTGGGAGGAGGTAAGAAGAGAAAGGGCTAAGTGATCCAGTTCTAAGTGTTACCTTTTCTTTTATTATGAAGACAATAAAACCTTGAGTTTATATTCACTTAAAAAAAATTCCTTCAAGAACATTTTCTTTGCATTCACAACCTGGCTAACTGTTTGGTACAAGAGGCCTCACTTTCGGCCTGTGGTAATTAGACATAGTAGTGTTCTATTTCTTCAGTAGCCACATTCCTGGCAGTAGTAACCATGAAAACATGGCTCTCTGCTATGGTATTACCACACACCTCTGTCATGTGGTTAAGTATAAAGCACTGAATTGTAAATCATTTATTTTGAAATTCATTCATATAAACAAATAAGTTCAAAGTTATCCTCACGATAACATGACTGTCCTTCAAATTTTGATACGTTTTCTTGAGTGCAAAGAATGATGTGGAGGTACAGCTCTTACCCTAAGGGGCTACACACGATCCACAGGATCCTCCTACTTGAACTAGAGCCCTTATGTGGGTGCCAGATGTCCATGGGCATATGTCTTATTTTTGAATGTCTTTGGATATATGTGTTATGGTGGAGAGAGTTGAACAATTGTGCTAAAACCTAGCTTTGAATTTAGAGATATACCACTACCTCCCCTCCCCTTCCCAAAGAAAAATCTGGGGGCAGTAGAAATTGCTCACAAAAGCGGATTCCAACTTGTACCTTAGGAGAGACCCTGTCCCCTCCCTCAGTCTTTTTATTCTTTCTTGTTTTTATTAATGAGTTCTTATACTTTTGATTTACTGTTGAATTAAAAGCAATACATTAAAATGGAGAAGGACGCCAACCTGACAGTAGAGAACAATGGCAAGAGCCGCTAAGGTCAAAGACAGAAATGTTAAAGCTGGCAGAGGAGTTAAAAGGATTACAGTCTGGAGCTACCTAATGAGTGAGGGAAGTAGCATTGTACACTCTAGTAGCCTCTGAGGCATCCCAGCATTGAGTGAGAAACAGGTAATAAATGTTTGTGATGATTTCTCCAGTTAACTAGAAAAGGTGGAATTTTATCCAGTATACAGTTTGGAGCACTGAGATGTAAATAGTAGCTTATCTTGACAAATTTTACTGCAACTAATTCACATTAATTATAAATATTTAGAAACATGAAAGAAAAGATATATAAAACAACTCATATCACCCATAGATTTAATTACTTTTAGCACATTAGTATGGTATTTAGCTCTTCAGCCCTTTTCTATGTATAAAGATAGTATATAATAAGATATATTTGCATATTATATAAAATACATGTTATATAATATATATACCAAATTTATGTGTGAGAACATGAAGCCTGCTTTTTTATTTAAAAAAAATTTACTTGTGGTAAAAATACACAATAAAAAGTATACCCTCTTAACCATTTTGTAAAGCCTGTTTTTTTAAACTCAATAATATGTTGTGAACATTTTTCCATATCACTGAGTATAGATGTTTATTTTAAGGCTGCATGGATATACCATAATCTAGTTAGTCAATTTCCTAGTGCTAAATATTTAGGTTTCCAACTTTGGTTATTAACACTGCATAAAGCATCTTTAAATATATATACTTCTACATTTCATCAGAGTCCCAAAATAATTGTTGGATCAATGGATGTCTACTTTCTGAATGCTTCCAATGTATCTTATCAAAGCACACTTCTGTTTCACTATATTCTTGCCAATATTTGATGTTATAATTCTTTTAAATTAATGTTTATGTAATTTAGTCTTTAATACTAAAAATGCAAGCAGCAGTGGAAACTAAAGTCAATGAGAAAATGCATTTTAGGGAATGTGACGCATGAAGTTATTCAGGCTTATAAACTAGCAAACCACTGGTTCTGTAAGAGAAGAACTTAACACAGCAACTATTTAGAACACAGGCATGATGAGCCTTAAGACACTCACTTGTTCATGGAGTGTACAAAATTCATGTAAGTCTTCATGAATGTGAAGAAATGCCTCATAATTTGAAGAAGAGATGTTAAATGAGTCCAATTATCATAAGCCAAATCTGTGAATCTCAGGGTAGAACTGTGAATCTCAGGGTAGAACTTTATTGAATTTTGTGTAACATTTTTGATGTTGAAACTTTTTTTCACTTGCCACTAACTTTGTGGGTTTTGTTTTATTTGCCACAGAGAAGTTTCACATTTTAATGAGGAAGAAATGAATCAAATTTTTGGTTACTCTTTTCATGTTATGTTTATAGAAAACCATCTCTACCTCCAAAGTTATAGTACAGTTGTAATTTTCTTTTAGCAGTTTTACAGTTTTATTTTTGACACTTAAGTCAGAAGTTGCAAACATTTTTATTGAATAGACCGCTGTTGTGGGGGGCTGTCCTGTGCATTATTAGGATGTTGGCATCCCTTGACCTCTGCCCACTTGATGCCAGCAGCACCCCTTGTCTCCCCAGTTGTGACAACTGGAAATGTCTCCAGATATTGCCAGTTGCCCTCTTTGGGCCAAAACTACCCTCTCTTGAGAAGCAGTGGTATGATAAACCTTAAAGTGAGTTGAGGCAGTACCCAATAAGAAACACTGGCAGGACAAGAGACCAGTCATTGGCTGAGTGGAATACTCAGGTCGACTATTTCTTGAAAATTGTATTCTAGTCTAGAGATTGGAGATACTGGGAATTTGGAGCGGTCTTCCTTTTGTTGCAGTTTTGGATTCCAAACTGCAATGAAAGATCTTGGTTCTTCTGCTTCACTTCCTCATTTGCTCTTATTGACCTCTCTGTGGACTAGGAGAACCAGGAGAGGGTAACTGGGAGTTATTAATAAAAGTGTTAGGAAAATTGTCAGCAGATGCCTTGGTGACATCTTGTTCCAACTTTCCAATTTAAGCTCCATTAAACTGGCTGTGGTCTTTGTGGTTTGAAATATAGAACAGGCCAGGCGCAGTGGCTCACGCCTGTAATCCCAGCACTTTGGGAGGCTGAGGCGGGCGGATCACGAGGTCAGGAGTTTGAGACCAGCCTGACCAAAATGATGAAACCCCGTCTCTGCTAAAAATACAAAAATTAGCCAGGCGTGGCGGTGGGCACCTGTAATCCCAGCTACTCAGGAGGCTGAGGCAGGAGAATCGCCTGAACCTGGGAGGCAGAGGTTGTAGTGAGCCGAGATTGCGCCACTGCACTCCAGCCTGGGAGGCAGAGGTTGCAGTGAGCCGAGATCACGCCACTGCACTCCAGCCTGGGAGACAGAGCGAGACTCCCTCTCAAAAAAAAAAAAAAAGAAAAAGAAAAAAAGAAAAAAAAATTATAGAACCAACTTTAACCCCGTTGGCTCTAGAATAAAGTGATTTATGAGTCTTTTATGAAGACATCATCCTGCAACATAGTCTTATTTCTCTTTCCCTGGTTTACCATGGCTTGTAGGAATGATACTTCCATACCTTGGTGGCATATGGTAAATCTCTTGGGTACGGTCACAGTGGTGTTGGTCAGTAGACCTTACTGGTTTTGATTGATCACCAGTTATTTCATGCTCCTGTAGAGCCTGGGTGCTGAACTGGGCTTCATTTTCTTCTTTGCTGTTGTGACCTTTTGAGTTGAGTTCTTTCTCCACTTTGTGCCTAAATCTCCATATTTCTAAAAGTCATAGAGAGTGACTGATGATATTTATAATGTTAACTCCTTAACTGTAGATATTCTAACTACAGTTTAAATAAATGCTCCATACAATATGGACATAGAAAATGGATTTGCCTTTTCCAATCTTACCAGTCTTTCAGAATTCATCTGAAATCTGTTCGCAAAAAACTTTCCCTAGCAATCGAGCTGACATTCATCTTTCCATAGTAGGTGCTCGATGTAGGCTTATATTTTTTCTCAATGTCTCATGCCTTATCGCTCCAATAAAGTTTGTGTTTTGGGGAGGTGGGAATGGAGATTGGAAGAGACAGTACATTTTGTTGCCATATTAAATCTCTCGTGATTTATTTCATTTGACTTTTCTACTAATTTTAAGATTGATAGGATATACTTATTCCCATTTTACAACTGTGAAAATGGAGCTTTAGAGAAGTTGAGGCTTTTCCAGTTAGTAGATGGTTAAGCCAAAGATAGTATGTATTGATATTGGGATTCCTAACTAGAGAAATTGTGCAAATCTAAAAATGGTTTTTGATTTGCTCCTGTATCTGCAATATGCAGAATCTTAGCGTTGCCAGTTAAAAATTGAGACATCTAAGCCTGCTATATTAAGTAGGCTGTGTACAAGGTTAGTGGGGATGGCTTATGCTGAATCACTCCTGCCCTGGCTCTGTCCTCCAGGAAGGACAGGCACTGCGGAATGGCAGTCTGGGGGTGGGTGTACCGACTGATCAAAACAGTTTCTCTGTATAGCTTTCTTGGAATGTGTGCTCTCCTCTGTTCTCAGGCATCTTTGCTAACCAAAGCCCCCAGTGTCCTCTGCTTTAATCCTTAGCATTTCTGCTGCTACGGAAAGGGCTTTGTGATAAAATACCAACGAAAAGTGGGTGGTTTAGGGGCAGGTTCCAGTCGGCCTCTTTTTCACATTTCTGATATGTACTGAAGTGACTAGGAAGTTAATGCGCCTTGTCTAGTTTGTGGAGACTGTAGAGAATGACATGATGTGTTCTGCTGGAGGAAGAGGATGATGGAGTCTTGTTTTTACCTGAGCTCATGCAGTGGTAGTGAAGCTCCCAGCTTATCTTCCTGTCTGGCTTCCATTGCTGGTCGTCCCTAGTGAGCAGAGCCATTCAGAGGTTTTTTGACTTATTCCCTGGCCTGGCAGAGCTAGCTTCTATGAATTTTTTTTTTAATCAGAACCAGTTGGACCATGTTCTCTTTTTATTATCTTGCTTGGCTTTCTTCTGTGGAGACAAAATGGAGCTACCTTAAAACAAAGTAGGAGCTGCTCACTTCCCTGTGCCTGACTCTACTCCAGGTACTTTGTTATCTGTACCTGAACGCTCAAGGCAGATCATTCCTAGGGATTGCTCTCTGCTTTCAGGACACTTCCATCAGCTTTTCGGACCCAATACTCCTTTACTTTCTTTCTTTCTTTTTTTTTTTTTTTTTTTTTGAGACAGAGTTTCTCTTTGTTGCCCAGGCTGGAGTACAATGGCGCGATCTCGGCTCACTGCAACCTCCGCCTCCCGGGTTCAAGAGATTCTCCTGCCTCAGCCTCCCAAGTAGCTGGGATTACAGGCATGCGCCATCAAGCCCGGCTAATTTTTGTATTTTTAATAGAGACAGGGTTTCATCATATTGGTCAGGCTGGTCTCGAACTCCTGACCTCTGGTGATCTGCCTGCCTCGGCCTCCCAAAGTGTTGGGATTACAGGCATGAGCCACTGTGCCTGGCCCCAATACTCCTTTACTTTCTTTGAGTTACAATGTTGCATCTATTCTGTTCACAGCCCCTAGGACTCCTTTTCCTGCTGATCTTTCTAGGTCTTGACTCTCTGCCTCGTTGCTTGACCGCTACCCGGCTTCAGAGTCCAATAATTATATTTTCAACTTTGTCCTGTATATGCTCCACTTCTTGGCTGGAACTCTGTTCAGTTTATTTCCTGACTTTGAACTATCTCCACGTAGTGCCACCTTGTTTCCTGATCTAAGGACTGTGCAACTCCTCTCCAGTCGGCCACATCTCTGACCAAGGGATTCAGTGAAAACTCTGGTTTCTCACCTGAACTTTGATCTTTAACCCCAGCTGACACTAGTAATGGCCTTTGTGATCAGGCTCTGAAAGAAGACTGACTTCATGTGAACCATGTGAGCATATTGTTCATATATCCCTCAAGGTGGATTCCTTCTTTTCTAAAAGGCATCTAAAAAGCAACGGAAGTTCTTTTGAAAATCAGAGGCTGCCTTTTTGGTAGCAGTTCTTTCATTTATTCTGTAGAGGATCCAGATTGAGCTCTTTATAAAATATTCTCCTACATAATGTACTGGGATAGTCCTAACAATAGTAAACCTTGATCCACAGATCACATGTGCCATTGGATAAAAATAAATAATGCAGAGGAACTCAATAAGACCAGCCTGTTTAAAGGAGACATCATAAAAACCTCCATTAAAAAAAGAAAAAAAAAATCATGTAGCTGTGGTAGCAAGTATAAAACAAATGTAAGAACTGAGGAGTAACAAAATGATGCAATTAGCTTAGCACCCACAGATGGTTTCAGATACACTCAGATGTCACAGGCATCCAGGACTAGGCCTGCTTTGATCATTTGGAGGGCAGGATTTCTGGATACCTGCGTCACCTGTAGCCATCTACTGCTGAAACAAACCGTTATAACAGAGAGGGAGTTCTTAGTTAAGGGAATGGGTTTACTCTTCTTTCTTACTATAAGGGATGGGGAAACTGATGTCCGTGACAAATACTGAAAGTGGAGCATGTCCTATATCAGCAAAAGTTCCCATAACTAGAGTTTTTCTGAAGGTGCAGGTGATGTCAGGTACCCACCTGATGGGCCTTACTTAGGAAAGAAGGGGGTGGAGGAGACAGGGATGAACATTTGTTAAGAGCTTCTGTGTTTAGATGTGTGCCGGGTGCTTTATGATGCTGTCTCACATAATCTTCACAATAACCTCTGTGGAACAGGGGATGGTTGCTCATGTTATATGTGAACTCAGGTCACGTTACTATGGAGTGTTGGCTGTGGGATTTGAACCCTTATCTAACTCCAAAGTCTTGCTCCTTAGAAATGAAGCAGGTTTGGCTGGGCATGGTAGCTCATGCCTGTAATCCCAGCACTTTAGGGAGGCTGAGGTAGGAGGATCGCTTGAGGCCAGGGGTTCAAGACCAGCCTGGACAACATAGTGAGACCTTGTCTCTACAAAAAATTTAAAAAAAAGAAAAAAGAAATGAGGCCTGGCATGGTGGCTTATGCTTGTAACTCCCAACATTTTGGGAGGCCAAGGTAGGAAGATCACTTGAGCCCAGGAGTTCAAGACCAGCCTGAGCAACATAGTAAAACTCTGTCTCTACAAAAAAATTTAAAAATATTAGCTGGGCAACTGGGTGCAGTGGCTTACACCTG
This sequence comes from Homo sapiens, assembly GCF_000001405.40. Lineage (NCBI taxonomy): Eukaryota > Metazoa > Chordata > Mammalia > Primates > Hominidae > Homo > Homo sapiens. Next base: position 69,587,740 of record NC_000002.12, on the reverse strand, counting down.
TAATCTCAGCACTTTGGGAGGCTGAGGCAGGTGGATCACCTGAGGTCAGGAGTTCAAGACCAGTCTGGCTAACATGGCGAAACCCAGTCTCTACTAAAAATACAAAAATTAGCTGGGCATGGTGGCATGCCCCTGTAATACCAGCTACTTGGGAGGCTGAGACAGGAGAATCACTTGAACCCAAGAGGCGGAGGTTGCAGTGAGCCGAGATCCCGCCACTGCACTCCAGCCTGGGCAACAAGAGCGAAACGACATCAAAAAAATATATATATATATATACACACACATATATACATATACACATATGTATATATATGTGTATATATACACATGTGTATATATGTACACACGTGTGTGTATATATGTGTGTGTACACGCATATGTGTATATATGTGTGTGTGCACGCATATGTGTATATATGTGCGTATATATACATGCGTATATACGTGTGTATACATGTGTGTATATATACACATGTGTATATATATATAAGCTGAGCATGGTGGCAAGCCCCTGTAGTCCTAGCTATTCGAGAGGCTGAGATGGAAGGATTGCTTGAGCCCAGGAGGTCGAGGCTGCAGCGAGCTGTCAGCATGCCATCGTACTCCAGCCTGGGCAACAGAACAAGACCCTGTCTTTAAAAAAAAAAAAGTTTTTTTTTAAAGAAAAGAAATGAGGCAGGTTTGCTTTAGAAAATGAAAGCTGCTGATTTGGGCAGAAAGGCAGAAGATATGGAAGAAGGACCCAGCCTCAAGTCCCTTGTTCCTTGAAGATTAGAAGATTACTGCATTTGAAAGCATGGTGCATTGGTTCTCACAGCTAACTGCCTATTAGGCTCACCTGTGCAGATTTTACCCTCCGCCCGACCCAAACCCACCACCCTAAGGATTTTGAATCTCAGTATGTTCCAGCTGGGAAACTGGAGAATTATCTTTTTAAAAACTTCCAAGGTGATTCTGATGTGCTGTTAGAATTGAGAAACTTTTCTGTGTCTAAAGAACAATGGAATGAATGTGAGCCCGGGAGTGGCCCTAGGGATAATCTTTCCAACTCTTTTGTGATATAGGAGAGAAAACTAAGGCCCAGAGATCTCAGAAGCCAGACACTCCTTCATTCAGTAGTTACCGAGCATTGACTTTGTTATTCTAGGTGATTCAGACAATGCAAAGAAAAATACTTTCCTTGTCTTTGAAGAGTTTTTAGCCTAAGATCACATAGCTGGTTAATGCAGAGCCACAATTGGAACCCAGGTTTCCTGACGTCTTTTGTGTTTTTAAGCCTTTTGAATATTGTCATTGCCAGGCCCTCTTTGAGCTCCTGAAGCTCTGTAAATGGTTCCTCAACACTGTGGTAAGTTGCCTCCAAAGCCCATGGTTACCTTGTGCCAAAAGTCCCCTGCCTGCCTTTCTGCCTCATTACCAGCCTGGTATTCAACCACCCACTTTGCCTTAGGTTCATAGGCCCACAGGTTTTCAGTTGACTGCTTTGTTCTCAGTTCATTTTTAAGCATCTCACCTGGAAAAGGCCTGAAAAAGCTGCATAATGATTATTTTAGAAATGCAGTGCTTAGACAAAACCTGCCCCACTGGTGGTCACCCTGATCTCTTTGCTATTCTTTTTAATGAGTTCATAATCCTCCGGTTCATCTCACAGTGTTCTTGTAGACTGCATATTTTTCGGAGTTTTTCCCAGACCCCTTGGGGCAGTGACGTGCGGAGGGCAGGGAGCACTCCGCACCAATCAGGCAGAGGGTGGTGCCAGAGGGAAGGTGGAGGGAAGAGTTGTTTGCCCAGCACTGTGCTAGGCCAATTTTTGTATATTTTTTTCTTTAGTGCTTTTCAATAGCTTTGGGGGAGAAAGTTTCCACATCTGTAAAATATGGATAATAACTGAGGCTTAAAGAAGTTAAGTAACTTTCTCAAGTTTATGTAAACAAGTTTCATTGCTAGAAATCAAACCCTGGAAACTACTGACTGAAAGGTCATCCTCTTTTCCTAGTACCATATGCCACATCATATGTAAAACTTTTGATCTAGTCCAAACATACTTTTTGGGTAAGTGATTCTTAAATTTGGTTTCTGGTATTTTTCAGTAGGTTTTAGAACTCAAGGCTGCCTTTAACGATGCAGGAGAGATACAGGACTTTGGACAGGACTCTGGAGAGGAGGGTAGCGTTAGGTATTGGAGTCTGAGAATTGCAGTGATGACAGGCACCAAGCTCCTAGGCCAGCCCATTGGAACCAGGGGCCAACATAACTACTGTCCCAGTCCAGGGTCAGAACTTGGAAAACTCAGTGCCGAAGCATAAATGTTAACCAGAGGTCCTTGGGGAGTTGGGGTGGTGTGGGGACATGGACCTCTAGCTTAAGAATATCTCCTGGCTGGGCGCAGTGGCTCACACCTGTAGTCCCAATACTTTGGGAGGCCGGGCCAGGAGGATTGCTTGAAGCCAGGGATTTGAAACCAGCCTGGGCAACAAAGTGAGACCCCATCTCTACAAAAAATTAATTTAAAAAAGAATATCTCTTATATGTTATGCCAATTGGAGATTATAGATCTCTCCTTTTCATAGAATAGTCTCTTCTTATAATCCTCGATTAAAGCTTGAATTTTTATGTAGTTTTTTTGGATAACACTTATCTGGACCTCAGTTTTTGAATCTACAAAATGATAATTTGGGTTTATTGTGATGAGGAAATGGGAACATGTATGTAGATGACTTTTCTTCACTGTAGACTATTCATACAGATATGAGATGGGTATGAGACCCAGGATCCCTAAAAACAGATTGGTAAGAAAGGCAGTGTAGTTGTTGGGCAAAGGGAACAGTGATTTTTAGAGTGTGGAAAGCTCTAGGAGAAGGAGGGAGACCAGAGTGGGGATGCTGCACTGGAAGTGAGGTGGAAGGCTTTAGATTTCCTGGTGAGTAATCGAGGTCTCTGAGTGCCTGGGGTTGAAGGTTGAGGGAGTTCAAAGACTTGATGCTGACCTGGGATCTTACTGAGACCAGTCGCTGCCTGTGTGCGTGAGGATACCACCTTGTGCAATCTAGTTCAATGGTGTGTCACCAAGAGCCTGACCTGACACCTAAATGTGACGTAGTGTCCCTTAGAAATCATGTCATGTGATGTAACGTTTAGCTTGAGTCCTGTATTAGAACCAGTGCAACTGGGGATTGGCTTGAGGCAAGTTCCCAACTTGAAACAAGTTGGGAAACCAAGGCACCAAGAGAAAAAGTTACCCCTACAAGTCTGGACTATTCAAAACTGAAGCTGAAAGCAACCTTCTGACTCTGACTTTCTTATACTCTTACCCCATTTCTTTTCTTTTATCAAAACATGGTATTACCAAGTTCCCAAGAGCGAATTATAATTAAAGTAACCACAGTGTAAAGCTCATCAACCCAGAGTCTCGGAATGAGGTGGAGAGAAGCTAGTTAGAGAAGAGGTATTATGTAATGACCTAATTATGAGGCCTGCCATCTGCTTAGGAGTCACGCCTGCCTGGTTAGGATTCCCTGATTGTGTTTTTTAAGGAAGATGCTAGATTGTTAAAGGGGGTAGGGAGAGAAGGTAACTATACCAGAATCATTAGGGCCTTTCTTGAAGGAGGCGGGTGGGTTTTGCGGGGAGGGAGATGAAGCAGCCATGGAGGGCTCCTAAGCAGATGTTCCCCATTAGCTTGGAGAGCAGTGTAGAAGGTTAATTATTCTGTAAAAGAGGTTCCTTATTAGGGAAGGGTGGTCAGGTGAAGCTGGCTATCAGAACATGGCTGATACCCCAGGTTTACCTGGAGAGACAACTAAGACATTTTTTTTCCATTCAGGGGAAAGAGTGAGAAATCCACTTTATTTTTTTAAGTGGACATTTTGTGCTGTGGATGAAGATCCGTAGCTTGAAAAAATATCCAGAAACTTGAAAAAGTGGAACGAAGTCAACTTAGAATAGAAACACAAACCACAATGCTCATGGCACCTAGTGAGTTGCCTCTAAAGGGACTCAGGGCCAAGAATCAGATGAAAAAATTGTACACATATCAAGAAAGTGGCAGGTGAAGAGAGTGAGTCTTTGGACCCACTAAGGGTATAGCTCTAATGCTGAACGGGCTCTTTGGACTTTCAGCCATGAAGCCGAGACCCAGGAGGATGTGGACACACTGCTTGTACTGCTTGTACAGTAGACATACAAGGAGTGACTTTCAAGGAAATTATTAAACTTCCTGAACACTCTTTCAGAGAATCTTTAACAGAAAATCTCTTTGCCTTCAGGTTTCAAAAATGTGCCTATATTAGGGAGATCAGAGTGATTGGAGCATAAAGAGTGAATATCCCCAAGGAAGTAATGCTTCCCTAATTCCTGCCTCTACTTCCCACCTGTCAGGGAGCTTCTTTTAATTTACTTCCATCCTCTGCTCACCACCACACTCCAGTGTGAAAGCAATGTTGTCTTTTAAAGAATTAGTAATTCAAATCCCTGTATAGAATTTCGGAGGTTATTTGGTGTATTTCATATCCCTGAAGAATCACCAAAATGTGGCAAATGTCCAGCTCCAAAGGTGAGAGATGTTTATGTCCCTCACTTTCACTTTATAAATAAGGAAACTGAGGGCCAGTGAAGTATAGTGACTTGCTCAAGGTCATAGCTTGTTATTTGTGGAACTTGGACCACAACTAGGCCTCCTGACTCCTGATGGTTCTTTCTGTTGCCTTTTGGTATCTCTCACGTGGAGTTTTATTTGAATTGCTGCCAGGAGTTCTGTGGCTGTGGCAGTTACATATGATCACGGTGGGTGTAACTGCACAGTCAACAGATATAACCCTGTAGGGGTAATATGGGGCTCTCACTGGTGTCTTAACTTCCAGCAACAGAGTCCTCAGAGCTCCAGGGAAGAGTTTTGAGATGCTAGACATCAGCATTCTTTCTGTAAGTTTGCAATGACTTTGGAACAGAAAATTTTATTTCCACATCTGAGTCTGTCTCTTCTCTTCCTTTTGACCACCACTTCTTGTTGGACACTGTTTGTGGAGTGTGGACTAACCTTGTGTCTTTCACTTGATTTTTTTAACATTCAAACTTTTAGCTTGAGCAGACAGCTGGCAAGAGGTTTCTCTGTAGAATATTGAATAGCCATTTAGAATGTGGGTTATGATGTTCCGCCCTCACCCCCCAGTAGCAGGTCTTTTTAGGGGACAGGAATTTGCAAAGTCATTAGCTTCCTTCCCCAGACCAAAAGAGCCAGCGTGGGCAAACTTCCTCACCACCTCTCCCACCCCGAAACCACTGGTAGGGTTTATTTAATTTAGTCTTGTGCATGTGTGCACGCACACACACGCGCACACACACGCACACACACACGTGCACACACACGCACACACGGAGGTTTTTCATGTATAGAGATACTCTGATTCTATTCTAAGTGTTCTCAGTATACTGCAGTTTCTACTTCTTATTTCAAAGAGATCTGAAATATGTCCTGATCCTGGGACAGTGGTTCCCCAAACTGGCAGATGATCTGTGTTGTCTGTGAGGCTTTTGTAAAAAATAGATCCAGGGCCCCACTCAGGCTTGCTGAATCAGACTCTATCAGCATTTAGCTATTTATTTACTAAGTACTTTATCAGTGATGTAATACATATTTTGTAAATTAGGTACTTAATAAGTAGCTTATGAATTTTACAAAATGCAAAAGCCAAAATTTGTCTTTAAAAAAATATTTTTCACACGACACTGATTTATCTTCAAAAATGCACTTTTTTTTTTTTAAAGACAGGGCACTCTGTCACCCAGGCTGGAATGCAGTGACGCAATCATGGCTCACTGCAGCTTCAACCACCTGGGCTCAAGCAATTCTCCCACCACAGCCTCTTGAGTAGCTAGGACCACAGATGCGCACCACCATGCCTGGCTAAGTTTTTAAAAAATTATTTTGTAGAGACTGGGTCTCGCTGTGTTGCCCAGGCCGGTCTCAAATTCCTGGGCTCAAGTGATCTTCCCACTTCAGCCTCCCAAAGTGCTGGGATTATAGGCATGAACCACCATGCCCAGCCCAAAAAAGATCTATTTTTAACCTAAAGAAAGTGTTTTGCGTCAATTTTCAACCTGTTATCATAAATGTACATTTTTAAATTACTCCCTTTTTTGAAGCCCTGAATTAAAACGTTGCTCTGCAATTTAGCAATCTCATTTGACACTCGGCAGGTGGGCCAGTCCATTTTCAAATGGGCCATTTTCAAACGTATTTAGAGAATACTTTTCACTAGTCATCCTTATATTATTGCAGAAAAAAATACATTCACTCTACAATGCCACACTGATTGTAGTGCACTGTTTTTAAAAAAACAAAACCAGCTGGGCGCAGTGGCTCACTCCTGTAATTCCAGCACTTTGGGAGGCTGAGGTGGGTGGATCATGAGGTCAGGAGCCAACGTGGTGAAACCCCATCTCTACTGAAAATACAAAAATTAGCTGGGTGTGGTGGCGTGTGCCTGTAATCCCAGCTACTCAGGAGGCTGAGGCAGGAGAATTGCTTGAACCCGGGAGGCGGAGGTTGCAGTGAGCCGAGATCGTGCCACTGCACTCCAGCCTGGGAGACAGAGTGAGATTCCGTCTCAATAAATAAATAAATAAAATTAAAAAACAAAACCTTTTGTCCTCTCAGCAGGCTCTAGATAAATTCATAAGCTACTTATTAAATATCTAATATGTAAAGCATGTGTTACTTACATGTACTTCTATAAAAAAAAAAAGATCATTTTTATTAATTTGCTTGTAAACTTGCATAGTTTAAAAACTTGTAACAAAATGCAACCCTAAATATGCATATGACTGTCCTTGGGCTGGTGGTGACCATCATTTTGCGCATTAGACTGAATATAGAAAAAGCACACATACTCTGCTCAAAGAATGTAGTGCATTAAAGCCTTCATAGAGTTCATGTAATTCAGTCTTTTGGTTTTATAGATAGGAGAGCTGAGATCAAGTGAGAAGAAGTGAGTGGATTCAAATGTATTAACCAAGACACTCTGTGGGCACATTAACAGTTATCTACTTAAACGAGCTGAAATAAAAAGGGAAATGTGAAAAAGACAAGTTGGTGGGTGTTTCTAACGGAACCTGGAGCAAAAGTGCTACTGACCCTCGCCAAGAGTCTGAAATTAGAAGAAAAAGGCCACCAGGAGTGTTTCTCTCTCTCTCATCTCTGCTTTTTTTCTGCTTCTGCTTTGGTCTTCTTTTTTAATGCAGATAGACTTTCTCTGTTTAATATTCCTATGGCACCATATGGTTTCCGTGCAGCTCCCACTTTTCACTTGCTGTAGTTTAAGTTGTCTGCACATACTTATACCAAATTCCACTTTTCCAGGAAAGAATCTGAGTTGCCTGGTGTGGATCAGATGTCCATGATGGTCCCATGAAGTCTGGCAAGGATGGGGAAAGGGTATTCTTTAGTACAAACATAATGGGTGGAGGAGAGGGGATGTCCAGAGAAAGGTGGATCATTGAGTTGCACAGACCCCCACCAAAGGTTTCTGTTCTGAGAGTACACTAAGAAATTCTAGTAGTCTAGGAGAAAAATGAGGAGGATCTGAAATAAGCCAGTGGCTGTTAGTATGGGCAGAAGTTAGCAGACTTGAAAGAGATGGAGACAAATCATCAAGATTTGGTTGTTAGTTGGATATTGGGGAGAGGGAGTTTCTGAAGACAGGAAATGGGGTAGATGGTGGTCACAGCATTGGGGAACACAGAAAGGGAGGCTTGGGAGGTATGTGTGGAGGGGACACCTGGGGTTTGATTTCAGTTTTAAACATGTTGAGTTTGGGGTGCCTGTGAAAATTACAAGTGGAAATGTTTATCAGCTTAATTGAGAAAGTCAAATATATGGGTCTGGACCTCTGGAGATAGTTGTCAATATTATGAATGTAATTAAAGGATGTTTAAATGCCTAATGGGTGAAATCAACCAGGGCGCATTTATAGGGTGAACAGAGATGACTCAGGACTGAACGCTGAGGAAACACTGGCAATTAAGGAACAGGAGGAAGACGAACAACTCTAAAGGAGATCAAGAAGTGGACAGAGATGTAGGGGAAATACTGAGCATGTCATGTCCTTTTCTTTGGAAGCCCAAAGGAAAGAGTAGTTTTTAAAATTCTTTATTTTAGACATGGTCTGGCTCTGTCATTGAGGCTGGAGTGCAGTGGCACAGTCTCAGCTTCTCAGCTCACTTCAACCTCCACCTCCCGGGCCCAAGCAATCCTCCCACCTCAGTCTCCTGAGTAGTTGGGTCTCTAGGCATGCACCACCACACCCAGTTAATTTTTGTATTTTTTGTAGAGATGGGGTCTCTCCATGTTGCCCAGTCTAGTCTCAACCCCTCGGCTCAAGCAGTTCTCCCACCTCGGCCTCCCAAAGTACTGGGATTACAGGCATGAGCCACCAGGCCTGGCTGGAAAGAGTGATTCAAGAATGTCACCAGTGAAAAGTGCTCAGTAGCTGTCACACAAGGTGCCATCTGAAAACCATCCGCTTGATTGAGCCACAGAGAGGTCCTGGGCCTTGGAGAGGGCAGAATCTACTTCATAAGAGGTTTCTGAATGACTGGGAGGTAGAATGTGGAGAGAGTGAGAGAATAGACAGGTTGAAATGTCTAGTTGTAAAAGAGAGGAAAGGGGTGGTAGCTAGTTGGATCAAGAAAGAGGTAAAGACGAGGTCAGGAGATCGAGACCATCCTGGCTAACACAGTGAAGCCCCGTCTCTAATAAAAACACAAAAAAATTAGCCGGGCATGGTGGCACGCACCTGTAGTCCCAGCTACTTGGGAGGCTGAGGCAGGAGAACTGCGTGAACCCGGGAGGTGGAGCTTGCAGTGAGCCGAGACCGCGCCACTGCACTCCAGCCTGGGCGACAGAGCGAGACTCCGTCTGAAAAAAAAAAAAAAAAAGAGGTGAAGAGATTTTTGTTTCTTTTTATGATCAGAGAGACTTGGAGCTTGTTTAAACACTGGTGGGAGAAAGGCAGTAGAGAGGGAACAATTTCTTCAGGGAGTGAAGTCCCTAAACGATGGGCTCTAGAGACAGGAGGGGAAGCCAGGCTGGGCTTCAGATAGAGGAGAGCAGGGAATGTAAACGTTGAGGGATTGGGACGTTTTAGGACTTCAGAGTGTTGGTAGATTGGGGTGGTGGAAAGGGAGGAATGGTGGCTCCTCTCAGTGTTCAGAGATTTTTAAATGGCATTTTTGACCCTGGAAATAGCTTCAGATAAAAAAGTAGGTAGCTGTGCTGTATAGATCAGTGGGAGTTGGGGAGGAGGTGGTGCACCTGCAAGCAGGATCTCATTGCATTTGAACTCTAGTCTGAGCCAGGTTGTTGATGTGCTCAGCATTGGACTCTCAGGTTTCCTTAGGATTGAATCACTAATTGCCATGAAGCAGGCTCTGACCACAGTCAGCATCTCTTACTATTCAGCATTCAGAGAAAAGCCTAAAGGCATCTTTCTATTCTATATTTCACTGAAAACATTTTCCGCACTCCCATCACGTCTTCTTACTAATGTAACCCTATCGGGATGTGTGCAAGATCTGATTTTGTCTAATGCTAACCATTTTTCACTTCATCTAAAGCCCTGGACTCGTAGTAATTAATTACTGCTTGAAAGCTGAGAGGTGAGGTGGCCCTGTTCCCTTTAACAGCCCGAGGGAGGGAAGGGGGTGGAGAATGCAATGAATTCTTCCTCTTCTCCAACTCTGGCCCTTCCTTCCACCTCAGATCATGTTGTCTTGGGAGACTGAATTTCTTAGGGTGCCTTAGTGAAGATGAAGGTGAAAGGAATACCCAGGAATGGTGAAAATAAATAGAATTTAAGAATAAGTCCACCATCTCCACCATCCCTGCCCCCTCCCCAACCTACAGCGCTAGCCCCCATGGGAATGTGCTGGCTCTTGGTCTGAGTCCCTCCTGCCTCCTGTGGAGACAGTTGTGGTGAGTGGGGATTAAGAGAAGTCTTGCCCTGGCCTCCTGTTTTGGCACAGTGTAGATTGCACCCTGCTTCCAGCTGTTGAGGCAAGTACAAAGGACAAGAGTAGGGGTTAGGGCCAGGAAGGAAAGAATGTAACTCAATCTTTGAAGCTGAAATCCCTACCACAGCCTGGTCTGGGAAATGATCTCCACTGTGTACCAGTAGTTCTTGGCGCTCTCCCATATTGCCACTCAGCTCTGCCTGTCATGGAGGGTAGAGGGGATGTTTCACCTGGAATGAGTGTTAGGGCACCATTTCTTCTTCACAGCAGGGGAGTAAATTCTACAGAGTAGTCTAGTTCCTCAGGATGGCACCCTGCCCCCTCTTAAGTACGTGGGGTCAGAGATCAGACAGTGGAAAGTCAGGTGAATTTCTTACCTTGCGGTGTCTCATTTTACTTATTGGTAAACTGGGCCTTGAGTCTCTGATGAGTGATGGGTAACTTGGTGAGAAAAGCACAGTAGAACATGCTGGAGGATCCTCTTGTAGGTGGGCTTTAAGAAATGAGCCTGCTAGGCACAGGCCAAGAGCACTGGGCAAACAACCAGATTTTGGGCAGAAGACAGGGGTTCTGCTGCTCAGAGTGAACCTGCAGTTGGTTCCCCGTCGGCAAGACTGGTGTAATAGTACTCGCCTCACAGGCTTGTCATGAGGATGCAATTAGGTAATGCATGTGAAAGTGCTTGGCGCAGAGCTGAATCTCAATAGTGCTGTTTTTGGATGTGTCCTAAACAGATGTGCTGTTAAGTAGCTGGAAGATGTGAAGGTCTGGTAGGGACTAGGCCATGTGGTCTTAATGCCGTGGAGAATGATATTGCATGTATGTTTCTTCCCCTTTATATTTGGATTATATTTGTGTTGTTACCAGAGCAGTTTTTCAGACCGCTATCTAAGGTGGAGACACTTCCATGGTCATTTATTTGATCTTGTAGAAGCGAGGCTCTAGAGGCCATTTTTTTCTAGGCATATACGGAAATGCCACCAGGTGGACCTAGGCTTTGATAAACTTCTCATAAGCATGGTTAATTGAGCTAATCATTTTCATTCACTCTGATTCACTTGTTTTTGGAATGCTTATGTGTTTATACCTCCATTGAAACTCAAGCATAAAACTAATGCAGGAACAGAAAATCAAATACTGCATGTTCTCACTTGTAAGTGGGAGCTAAATGATGAGGACTTAGGAACACAAAGAAGGAAACAGCAGACACTGGGGTATACTTGAGGGTGGAGGGTGGGAGGAGGGAGAGGAGCAGAAAAGATAACTATTGGGTACTGGGCTTAATACCTGGGTGATGAAATGATCTGTACAACAAACCCCCGTGACACGAGTTTACCTACATAATTAATAAACCTTCACATGTACCCCCAAACCTAAAATAAAAGTTAGAAAAAAAAAACCTCAAGCATAATTGTTAACATATATGTATCTTAAAATAGTATTCTGTTAAAGACTAACACTCCCCTTGTGGTTAGGGAGGGGTTGTCAATCATTGTATATTGTATATTTTCTTAATGGATTTTTCTGTTTTAATCCCAGAAAGTCATTGGGGAGAGAGCTTGGGCTAGTGGAGAGTGAGGAGGGTTTTGTAGGAGTTGTGGTCTGGCAGGGCCTGAGAGAGTGCATGGGTTTCTTTAGACCAGGCTATTCCCCGCTCCAGGGTACTTTCATTCTTCTTTTGTTCCTGTTTAGGGCTGGCATTAGAGCAGACAGGCATTGGTGTGCCCCACTGCCCTGACCATGATGGAAGGGTGAAAACATTTTCTAGGAAATTAGCCCATCAGGATTACAGTAAGCAAGAAACAAATTAATGCAAAAAGTCTTCCATGAACAAAGTATCAGAATTTAAAATAAAGACAGGATCAGTAACTGTGCTGAGCCCAGCCATATTGGAGCCTGAGGCAAAAAGAAAAATCAATACTGAAATACTGATCCTGTCTTTATTTAAAAATTTGAAATTTGTGGCCGGGCACGGTGTCTCACGCCTGTAATCCTAGCACTTTGGGTGGCCAAGGCGGGTGGATCACCTGAGGTTAAGAGTTCGAGACCAGCCTGGCCAGTGTAGCCAAATCCTGTCTCTACTAAAATTACAAAAATTAGCCGACATGTTGGCGCGTGCCTGTAATCCTGGCTACTTGGGAGGCTGAGGCAGGAGAATCGCCTGAACCAGTGGGCGGAGGTTGCAGTGAGCCGAGATTGCGCCATTGCACTCCAGCCTGGGCGACAAGAGTGAAACTCTGTCTCAAAAAAAAAAAAAAAAAAAAAATTTGTTTATCTTGGATTTTATTTGCCCTAATTTCAATTTTTAAAAAATATTGCAGTAAAATAGTATTTATCTGGACTACTGAGATTTTTTGGCACCTTTCTAAATTTTGTGCCCCTAGCAAGTGCCTCATTCCCCTTACCCTAGTCCTGGCCCTGGTTTTATACCAGAGACAAAGGAAGTTTTCCCCTCACATAATTCAGTTCATTGATTGGTGCTAGTGTGCTCCCGGTCCTTCTTGGAGGGTCGCCTTCTTAACAAGCCTCAAGTTTGGAGGACAGGTTTTTCTAAAAACAAACAACCAAAAATGTATTTTCATAGAAAAAAAGATAATATATGGTCATTATAGAACATAGATCATCATCCACAAGTAAATCAGTCTTAGAAGTTGTTTGTTTTGTTTTAGTCACAGCATTTTGTTGTGTGTGTGGTTTTTTTTTTTTTTTTGTAGTCTTTTTGCTATACGTATTTTTATTTGTAAAGACAGAATTTCGCCCTGTCACCCAGGCTGGAGTGCAGTGGCACAATGATAGTTCAATGTATGAACTATGTATGTATCATAGTTTAATGTATGATCACTGGGCTCAAGTGATCCTCCTGTTTCAGCCTCCCGAGTAGCTAGGACCACAAGTGTGCACCACCAGCTATTTTGTTTGTTTTTGTAGAGATGAGGTCTTGCTATGTTGCCCAGCTGGTCTTTAACTCCTGGCCTCAGGAAATCCTCTCGCCTCAGCCTCCAGAAGTACTGGGATTATGGGCATGAGCCACCATCCCCGTCGTGTACATTTAATGTTCAATATTTTACTAGCTATAGAATGTTCTTTCGTATAAACAAACTATTTTTTTTTAAGCCAAATATCTCTCTCTCTCTCTTATTTTTTTAAGGCAATGGGCTCTTGCTATGTTGCCCAGGCTGGAGTGCAGTGGCTATTCACAGGTGGGATCATTGTGCACTGCAGCCTTGAACTCCCTGGCTCCAGCGATCCTCCTGCCTCAGCCTCCCAAGTAGCTGGGACTACAGGCATACACCACCATGCCCAGCCCCAATCTCTCTCTCTTTCTCTTCTCTTTTTTTTTTTTTTTTTTTTTTGAGAGGGAGTCTTACTCTGTCACCTAGTCTGAAGTGCAGTGGTGTGATCTCTGCTCACTGCAGCTTCCGCCTCCCGGATTCAAGATTCAAGCAATTCTCCTGCCCCAGCCTCCCGAGTAGCTGGGATTACAGGTGTGCACCACTATACCCAGCTAATTTTTGTATTTTTAGTAGAGATGGGGTTTCACTGTTGGCCAGGCTTGTCTCCAACTCCTACTCCTGACCTCAAGTGATCCACCTCAGCCTCCCAAAGTGCTTGGGATTACAGGCTTGAGCTACCATGCCTGGCTCTAATCTCTTTTCATTGGGCATTTAAGTGACTTCTATTTTTTATGTTTATAGTTTTTTTGTCTTGACTTTATTTTTATTTTTATTTTTATTTTGAGATGGAGTCTTGCTCTGTCACCCAGGCTGGAGTGCAGTGGCATGATCTCAGCTCACTGCTCTACCCTCCAAGTTCAGGCGATTCTCCTGCCTCAGCCTCCCAAGCAGCTGAGATTACAAGCACCCGCAACCACGCCCAGCTAATTTTTGTATTTTTAGTAGAGACGGGTTTCACTATGTTGGCCAGGCTGGTCTCGAACTCCTGACCTCAAGTGATCTGCCTGCCTCGGCCTCCCAAAGTGCTGGGATTACAGGTGTGAGCCACCAAACCTGGCCTGTCTTAACTATTTTTGTACATACTTTGTGGATATTTCAGGTTATTTCCTTAAGATGGATTCCTAGAAGTGGAATTTAGGAGTTGAAAGATCTCTTGGGTTTTTATGCATATTGCCACATTGCTTTCCAGGCACACGCCAGCCAACATTCTACCAGAGGTCTTTCTGCCTCACTGAGACTACTTGCCGATGCAGCTTATGGATTACTCAGCTCCCATTCCTTTCCCTCTTCTCAATATTTTTTGACATGTAGCCTTACCACTAGCATTAGATACTTGGGTGGAATGCTTCTCGTCTTCCTTCCAGGTCAGGTGGGATTCCCTGTTCTTCTTCAGAGCTACTTTTCCTCCTTGTTTTAGCATATATCTTGTCTAAACCGTGTGACACCTTGGTTTGTCCTGGTGCCCTGTCCTGGCTTCTGAATGAATGAGCACTTTCCTAATTAAGCTTCAGATATTTTTTCCTTAGGCTTCTGACTGCTCTGCACTGACCTCGTGGCCTCTCTCTTCAACCCTTTGTTGAGGCCCCCAAGACTCTGGTTATGGAAGACCCACCTTCCTCCCCAGCCCACATTCTGTCTCTGTTCTGTTTTGCCTGGTACCCATTTATTATCAATCTAGTTGATGAGTTTATACTCATTTGGTTTTTAGGTTGTTAATGCTAGGTCTCTGCTTCAGGGAAGCTGGGTTTCTTTATGTTTTATTTGGAGCCTGAGTCAAGTCTGATCTCAGCTTTGTCCAAGAGGGCTGAGTCGGCCATCCCTGGAGCTTACTGCATCGCTGGAGCTTCCACTGAGAGCCAGAAACTGACTCCTCAGTTTTGTTTCTCTTCCTATTACCCAGCTCTCACTTCCTTGGAGTCACTAGGTTTCTGTTTACCCGGAGGAATGTCTTGACCTCTCAGGTCTTTTGGAAGCACAGTGAGAGGACGACAGAGAGATCAGTGCCTGGGCAGACTTCTCTCTTGTGCATACAGCATTTTCACACAGCCAGGACTGGGGTGAGCCACTCGCCTCAAGTGCAGAATTTAAGGGGCACTCAAGACTCAGTAATCAAGATAAAGAATATTTGTATGCTTTTTTTTTTTTTTTTTTTTTTTAAAGACAGAGTTTCGTTTTTGTTGCCCAGGCTGGAGTGCAGTGGCATGATCTCGGCTCACTGCAACCTCTTCCTCCCGGGTTCAAGGGATTCTCCTGCCTCAGCCTCCCGAGTAGCTGGGATGACAGTTGTGTGCCACCACACCTGGCTAATTTTTGTATTTTTAGTAGAGACAGGGGTTTCTCCATGTTGGCCAGGCTGGTCTCGAATTCCTCACCTCAGGTGATCTGCCCACCTCGGCTGGGATTACAGGTGTGAGCCACCATGCCTGGCCTCAGTTTTTTAAAAATAAAAATTAATGCAAACAACCATGGTGAACAAAATATTAGAATTTAAAATAAAGACAGGATCAGTAACAGTGTTGTGCTCAGCCACCCTGCAGCCCAAGACCAAGAAAAAATCAGTAATTCTGAGTCTGTCCCTTTGTGCTCAGGGCAAGTGCCTCACTCCCCTCACCCTAGTCCTGACCCTGGTTTCACACCAAAGGTGGAGTAAGTTTTCCCCTGATGTAATTCAGTTCATCAGTTGGTGCTGGCATGCTCCTTGGTCCTTCTTGGAAACTTACCTTCTTCACAGGCCTTGCCAGGTTTGTCTGTGGCTGGGCTTTTATTTCATCTGATATGAAAGACTCCAGCCTGTGTTTCCTCCCGTTTGAGGGCTTAATCCTCTTCTCTGTGATTGCTTTCTGATAATCCCAGGTGAAAACCATCTTCACAACATTCCCAGGTAATGAGTGCTCTGAGTGGCAGAGATCTTGGCTCCTGTCCTCCCTAACACTGATCCGTCAGCTCAAGAAAGGTAACAGTGCAAGCCATGTACCCCTGTCCACTTCTCTGTGTCTGTCCTTTCCCAAATAGGTATTTGACCATTTTTCTTCCTTGGTCTCAGTATACTAATGCAAGTACTGTTTTAATGTAAATCTAGTCCTTATCTTAAAAATTCTAACTCATCAAGTGTAATTTTTAGTATTATATTTTAACACTCTGTTCTGGGTAGTTTCTATTAAAGCCTGTAATTGTTAAAATTATTGAAACTCATATTATTGAGCTCATATGTTCTACAGACATATTGGTGCAAGGTGACTTAGAGTCATTGGGTGCAAGGAACAGAAATTTAATTCAGATTAGATTAAGTAAAAAGGAGTGTATTGGATAAGTACAAGGGAACCTCCCAGAACCCAACAGCAGGAAGTGAAGCTAGATTTTGTGGGTGTTGGAAGTTACCAGGTCTTTCTTCTGTCTGCCTCTCTGTCTGTCTCTCTGGAACACACATGGCTGACAGTAGCAGCCATCAGCCTAGTCTACATGGTTGTGTAGCACCATTTGATTACAGTTCCTAGGTCATCACTTCGGATTCTCAAGGGAGAATGCACTCCAGGTGTCCTCTCCTGGTCCAGTTAGCTGTGGGAGGGAAAGAGGATCACTTGACATAATACATCTCTAATCATTATTTTAGCATAGGGTGAAGAGTATGATAAACTAGGCCAATGTGTTTCGTACAATGAATAAAAATAAAATCCTTGCCCTGTGAGAGAATATAGTCCTAGCAAGAAAGACTAGAATGCATACAAGTGGGATATAATCAGGGTAAAAAAATCAAGGTGGGCATGGGGGTGGGCATTCTGTTGGGTGAAAGTTCACAGAGAAGTCCTGGTTTGATCTACACCAAACTTAGAGCTGTGAGTTTACCAGTTAAAGAGGGGATGGACATTCCAGTACAGGGTACATACAGAAAAGCACAGAGGCATCAGAGAACACTGGCCAGGCACTCTCAGGAGTTCACTGTGGGTTCCAGATTATGATTGGCCTTGTACATCATATTAAGAGATTTAATCTTGTAGATGATCAAGAGCTAGAGGAGAATTATAAGTAGGGAAGCAACATGATTGGATGTGCTATTAATTTGCCAAACATCTATTAATCATCTACCACGTGCTAAGCACTGTATTAGCCCTGAGGATTCCAAGATAAATAAGAAGCTCTCCTTGCTAGTTTTATTTTCTTTGGTGACTCATTTTTCAGGTGCCCTACCTAGAGAACAGCCTAGAATGTTGTTTTTATAGGTTCACAGTATCCAAAATCCTTACACTGGTAGGAATAACAAGTATCATTTCTACGGCAGAAAAGAGTGGTTCCCTCTTTGCCTTGTCTGTCTAGTGGAGAGATTAACACATCCAAGATAATCACAATACATTATGATAAGTGCAACAAAATAGAGCTTCAGGCCACATGTATGGTAATCTGAAAATTTGGGTGACTGGCAGGGACAGGGAGGACTTTGCAGAAGAGGTGTTATTTTAACAATTGTAAACTCATTTTGTCAAGCAGAAGACTGAGACAGGATATTCCAGGCAGAGGAAACAGCATGTGTGAACCTCCTGAGAATAAAGCAGCAAAAAGGTTAAAGTTCTGAAAGTTTGTTGGGTTGGGAGGAGCAGAGGTGAGGAAGAGGGAGTATTGAGAGATGAGGCTGAGTGAGGAAAGGGCAATATTCAAATTATAAAGGGACTGGAACTGTCATACATTTTTGGTGGGAGTATACAATGGTACAATCACGTTGTTGGTATAAGAAAAGCTCTGTCACTTTCTTATAAAATTAAACATATACCTATCCAGTGACCCAGCACTTCTACTCTTAGGTATTTACCCCAGAGAAATAAAAATATGGCACAAAAAGACTTGTACAACAGTGCTCTTAGAGCTTTCTTTATAACAGCCCCAATCTGAAATAACCCACGTGTCCATCCGTAAGGGAGAGGACAAACAGATTTATTCAAATAATGAAACACTAGTCAGCAATGAAAATTAACAAACTACTAATACATTCAACAACATAAACAATTATGATGAGTAAAATATCCTTACACAAAAAAGCACATACCATATGAGTCTATTTTTCTGAAGTTCTAAAGTAGGCTAAACTAATAATACATGAAAACAATCAGAACAGCGGTTGCCTATGGGAGGATTTGGGTGGGATTGTCTGGAAAGGGGCCTGAGGGACTTTGTGTGAGATGGAAAGATTTTATATTTTGATGGGGGTTTGGGTTACCTGAGTGTGTTCACTTACCAAAACTCATCCAATAGCACACTGAAGATTTGTACATTTCACTGTAAATAAATTTTATTTACCCTCATCCCCAAAAAGAATGATGAACCCTGAATACTAAAGATATGTATGCTGAAGTATTTAGGGGGAAGTGCACTGAGGTTTGCAACTGACTGGGAAATGCATCAAAAATGAGATGAGTTGATGTTTGGATAGATGGATGATAAACAGCTGATAAAAGAAGTATAGCAAAATGTTAATACTTGTAGATTCTACAAGTGGTGGGTGTATGGATGTTTGCAGTTTGATCTTTTCAACTTTACTGTATGTTTGAAATTTTTCATAATAAAATGGGGAAACGTATAAAGGCTCTTATATTCTGCTGCATTAAGGAATTTGGACTTTCCTCTGGCTCGAAGGGACTAATGAATGCTTTTAAGAGGAGTCATTCCATACAAGTTTTAGAAAGAGACTGGAGGCACAGAAACTTATGACTCTATTTTAGTTTTTCAGTAAGAAAAGAGGAAGGCCTGAGCTAAGGGGCATCAGGGGTGCAGTAGAAGGGATGGATTCTGGGTTTGGGGATAGAATTCTTAAGACTCAGTGAAATCAACTTGGCAATGGTGGGAGTTGGGGTGGGGAGGATATTGTGAGCTGGTGCCCAGTCCTGATTGAAGGACCACGACCTAGGGGCTGATGGATGACAGTTGTGTGGTCAGATAGCCTGAATGTCAGAGGAAAGGCTTTAACACGAAGTTAAGTTAGAATGCTCTGTAACTAATGGTTGGGAGCTAAGAAAACGTCAGCCTGCTTTCCAGCATGAGAGCCCATCTTTCAGAACATAGGAGGGTCAGGGCAGAATAGGATGACCTGGAAAAAGTAGTTGTGTCTGGAGACCAGTTCTAAGGAAACCTAAAGAGTTGAAAACAAGCCTGGGCAACATAGCAGGATCCTGTCTCTACAAAAAATTTAAAAATTAGTTGGGTGTGGTGGCATGCACCTCTAGTCTCAGCCACTTGGGAAGCTGAGCTGGGAGGATCACTTGAGCCTGAGGGTTCAAGGCTTCAGTGAGCCATGATTGCACCACTGCACTCCAGTTTGGGTAACAGAGCGAGACCCTGTCTTAAAAAAAAAAAAAAAAAAAAAAAGTTGAAAACATTTATATACCTTTGATGCCAGTGCGTATTCCATAACCTGGCTACTAAACTCACATCATTACACTAGAAAGTGCTCAGGATTCACAGTTACTTAACCCGATCTTTCTACAAAAGCAGTAAGTGTGGAAAACTGTGTAAGCTTTGAAGCATGAAGTTGAACTGGAATGTTCTCGAATTAACATTTGGGAGCTGAGAGAATGTCAGCCGGAACTTCAGCTTTGCTGAGTCTCCCATTCTCTTTTGGAGAATGTAATCCACTAACATATGGTGTCCTGGTTGAAATGATCAGAGCCACAGCTTGAAGGTCTGTAGCATGGGTGGGGACTGACACATGTGAGCACCGATGCTGCTCCCTCCGGCTGACCTCTGCTGCTCTGTTTGCTCATCACTTACTAGGAGATTGTGGCCCCGGTGGATTAGAGGGATGAGCACAATTTATGCCCAAGAGGCTCTCCATTCCTTTAGGCAAGGGATGCTTCAGGATCGAGCATGGGGTGTTTCATTTCTTTTCCCTCTCAACTGAAGAGCGTTTTGATTTCCAGCACAATTATTATTTTTGAAAGAAGCAATAGTGTGTAGGACAAGTATTTATTATTGTGACAGCAGAGAGATTTCTGTGAAGCTCCCCTTAAAGTTCCACCTTGAGCACTTGCCCTGGGGTGAAGGGTTCAGTCCTGTCTCACACTGCTCAGTTGTGCCAGGCTGAGCAGTGCAGGGTTTTTCTACCTTTTCACCAAGAGGATGTTCTCTTAATATATGTCCCTTCTAGTCCATACTAGACTCTAACCTTCTGAAGGTCTGGTAAGGGTTTTTGTTGTTGCTGTCATTGTAGTTTTGTTGTTTTTTTAAAATTTTTTATTGGTATCCTTTATGGTACTCAGCAAACACATTGTATAACAAACACTTGAGAACCTGCTATGGAGCAGCCACTGTGCTGGGTGACAGAGATGCCACAGTGAATCAGTCATCGTCCCTGCCCTTGTGCAGTTTAGAGTGTACAGGGGAAGAAGGCATGCAACCAGGAATTACCCTATAAGTATTTAATTATATTCATGGTATGTCCTGGAGGGAAAGTAGAGGGTGCTGTGTATACCAAAGAACTTAATCATATGGGAGTGAGGGCCAGGGACCATCAGGAAAGGCTTAGCAAGGAAGTAACGTTTAGCCTGAAATCTGAAGGATGATTACTAGGAGTGGCTCAGGCCAAGAATGGGGTGAAAGGGCCAAAGGGAGAAGCATGTGCAAAGATCCTTAGGCAGATTGGAGCATAAGCAATGCTGAAGAAGAAAGAAGGCTCTTGTGGCTGGAACAGAGTGAGCACTGGAAGGTGGAGGTGTATGAGCTAGGTTGGAGAGAGACCACATCACTCTGGGAATTGCGGGCCTTGGTCAGTATTTGGAGTTTTATTCTAAGAGGGGTGAGAAGCCATTGCGAAGTTTCAAATGATATTAAGTTTCTGATGTCTTTCAGCATATCTCTCTACATTTGCCAGATAGCTAACTCTGTGGCAGCAGTACGGCAAAGGTGGGGGCGGGTAGCTTGTGGAAAGGCCCTTTCTTGGTTAGCCTTAGCTGATAGCCCAGGCCCAATGTGCTGTGGTTCTAGGTGCAGTAATCAAAAAGTCTCTGGTATATGTGAACCAACTTGATTTCTTAAACTCTTCCCTTTTGTTCCAGGCAAGTATTTTTCCTGGAAAATTAATTTTTGAGAGGAGGAGGGAGACTCTTGCCAAACCCCTAAAAAGAACCTCCTGAGCTGGAGATCCTCCCCAATCAATCATAACAGTCCTGGAGAGAAAGAACCAATAGCCAGGCCAGTGTGCCATGTTCAGCCTGGGCTGTGGCCTCGATTGGGTTCTGTTGATGTTTCTGTACCACCTCCACAACCACCACCGTTTGCCAGTCTCTGATTTTGTGCCCACAGCTTGAGTGGGGAGAGAGGGAGTTGAAAACCTCAAGTCATCCCCCATCTGGGTGTTCTATCTGCTTGGGGAAAGGACTGCTTTGACATGTTCTCCAGAAGGAGCTGGCACATGATGATTTTTAATTGAGGCAAGTGAGGAGAGATTGACATTAAAAAAACAAACCCCAAGCCCCCACTGAAATCAGTGTTGACACATGCTTTGCATTGACCTTTTCTCCTGGAAAAAGCTTTGCTGTGCTCCTTGCCATCTGTTCTAGAGTTTTGAAAACTTTTGTTCCTTCCGAAGCTTTTGGCAAAGTTGTCTTCAATGTAAGTTGTGGATGGGTGTTGATCAGCCTCTTGGGGGTCATTCCTTGTGGGAGCTCACAGATGCTGTGGATAGAGCACCCAAGTTCTCACCATGGAGAGGACACTCTCCCACTTGAATAGTGCACCCAGGTTCTCACTGTGGAGAGGACACTCTGCCACCTGAATAGTCCACCCAAGCTCTCACCATGGAGAGGACACACTCCCACCTGAACAGTGTACCCGAACTCTCACTGTGGAGAGGACACTCTGCCACCTGAATAGTCCACCCAAGCTCTCACCGTGGAGAGGACACTCTGCCACCTGCATAGTGTACGCAAGCTCTCACTGTGGAGAGGACACTCTGCCACCTGAATAGTGCACCCAGGTTCTAACTGTGGAGAGGACACTCTCCCACCTGAATAGTGCACCCAGGTTCTTACCGTGGAGAGGATACTCTGCCACCTGAATGGTACACCCAAGCTCTCACCATGGAGAGGACACTCTCCCACCTGATCAGCTAGACAGGCAGAGCTGTGGGCAGTCCCTCTTGCCTTTCACTGTGCCATTTCTCTTCTCCCTTCCCTGGGAGTGGAGGTGTTCCTGCATGATCTGCTGCTGCAGGGAGGGGACGGCAGCTTGAGAGGGGACACCAGTTGGCACCCTTGCAGTCTAGCCCTGGTCCGGCCACTAGGTGGCAGTACTAAGGAGGATGCTTAGGCTTTTCACTGTGTTTTAGTTTCCCAGTTGGTCAAGTGGAGGTTGTAGTACATGACCTGCTGACTTCACAGGCCCTTGTAAAGATGGAAGCAGGGCTGTCTGGTTCAGTCCTAGCTTAGAAATGTGTTTTCATTAAACTGCACAAGGTTTAAGAGATTTTTAAAAGTTTGTTGCCTGATTTTTAAATCAGGAGCTCTCACCTAAAGATCCAGCTGTTTTTAGCAGTCAAAAGACTTGACAACTCTTAGCCCACGTTCCTTCGTGACAGCAATTGGCTGGCATTGAGGAATGGCTGCCCCATGAGCAGGGGCATGAACTTTCTCAGGGCCACCGGCCCCACTCCTCCCTGTGATCTTCCTGACAGTGAGTCTGTGTCATCACACACCCTCCATACGTTTTGTTAAAGCTGGACTGTGTCACTCCTTTATGTGATCTCCCTGGCTCTTCAGGCATTTGGGTTTGTGCTCTTGATCTCGAGAAGATATTCCAGATTTAGAATTTTATGATAAGTAATGTATCATACAAATACAAAGTGGTTTTTGCAGGGAGGTGGGGGTGGAAGGGAAAGGCAGGAACACCTTCTGTGTGCTAGGTGCTTTGCTTATCATTTGATCATCCCCAAAGCTTTGAGGTAGGAGTGGGGGTGGGGAGGATATTGTGAGTTGGTGCACAGTCCTGATTGAAGGACTATGACCTAGGGGCTGGTTGATACAATCACGTGGTCAGATAGCCTGCATGTCAGAAGAAGGGCTTTAGCATGAAGTGAAAGCCCTTGGCAGGTAAGAGGACAGCCTCAGGGAAATTGTAGCTTACCTGAGCCAGGATTCGAACTTAACCTGTTGGGCTCTAAAGGAATACTACATGTCTCAAGGTGAAGCGGGGCATAGCTCCTTCCCTAAAAGCTGCCTGTACACATCTACACCTTCGGTAGGCATGTAAGTGAGGGCTATTTGCATGACTTGTAGTGGTGTAGTCTTTTTGTCTTTATAAAATACTTATACCTAGAGCTGTAGAATATTTGGGGGGTAAATTTTTCTCTCCTTTGTAGCAGAATTGCTCCTTTTTTTTTTTCTAGCCTTTCTCCAAAATTACACAGCTAAAAGTAGAGCTACTTTGAAGGTGAGGAGGAAGCAGTATACAGAGCCCTACCCTTGTAAGGGAGGGAGGTCAGTTTTTCCTCGTGCAGCCACTGAAGTACCTTCTGTAATCCTAGGGCTTGGAGGAACCCAGTTTAAATAGTAGCACTCATTTAGTCTTAATTTCTTTTCTTTTCTTTTTTCTTTTTTCTTTTTTTTTTGAGATGGAGTCTCACTCTGTCACTCAGGCTGGAGTGCAGTGGCGTGATCTCGGCTCACTGAAACCTCCGACCCCCTGATTCAAGCAATTCTCCTGCCTCAGCCTTCCGAGTAGCTGGGATTACAGGCATGCGCCACCACACCCAGCTAATTTTTGTATTTTTAGTAGAGACAGGGTTTCACCATGTTAGCTAGGACGGTCTCAATCTCCTGACCTCGTGATCCACCTGCCTCGGCCTCCCAAAGTGCTGGGATTACAGGCGTGAGCCACCGCGCCTGGCCTAATTTAGTCTTAATTTCTGCCCATGAGGAAATGAAGGCCAGAGAGATCCAGCAACTTGTTCAGTGTTCATTTACGTCTCCTGGATGAAACCCACTTTAACTGAATTATCTGTCTGATTCCTTAGAAAAGCTTCAGAACACTATTATTTTATGCTTGTTTTCTGCTTTAAGTAAGCAGCATCTGTTGAGTTTCACCTTATTTTAAAAGAGAAACAAAGAGTTTGTAGGGCAGAAAATTGGAAAACGAAGAGCAGAAAATGGGCCTGGATGCGGTTTTTCTTCATTTGGTATCCTCCAGCTCTTTTGGCTTGTGTCATCTTTCCATCTCAGACAAGTGGACTTCATTCCCAAAAGTGTATATAGGACTTATGTTAGGAGTGCAGTTTCCTTTTACCTGCAAGAAATAAACAGTTGGTGATTTCAGTGCCTAGAATCTAGGCCTGATTTTAAAATATCCAGCAAACCTCTTTGGCAGCAAACCCAGAAACCCTGTCTCAGCACCATGATGGGCTTCTTTGTCTCATATTCCTAGTCTAATCATTCTCATTATTTGCCCAGCTGTTTCCCATCACTTCTCAGATAATCACTTTGGTGTGTTTCTCCTCTTCCTGCTCACCTTACCTTCCCTTCCCTCACTTTTCCTTGCAAAGTGGAAGTCACTGGTGTCCTGATTCATTCAGAACAGCCCCTGGGACTTGGCACCCTCTACCATGATTCAGTGTTTGAATATAGAGCCAGAAGATATACTACTTGCTTCTTCTTCCAAAGCCCCATTGCTGAATTGAATATCATGGTGACGCCCCCAAGGAGAGTGTTTAAATCTTTGTCTTTATTTATTTTTCTACAGACAGGGAGGGTCTCGCTCTGTTGCTCAGGCTGGAGTGCAGTGGTGCCATCATAGTTCACTGTAGCCTCAACCTCCTGGGCCCAAGCAATCCTCCTGCTTCAGCCTCCCGAGTACCTAGACTACAGGCATGCACCAGTGCACCTGGCTAATTTGTCTGTTTATTTGTTTTGTTTTTGAGATGGAGTCTCGCTCTGTCGCCCAGGCTGGAGTGCAGTGGTGCGATCTCAGCTCACTGCAACCTCCGCCTCCCAGGTTCAAGCAATTCTCCTGCCTCAGGCTTCCGAGTAGCTGGGACTACAGGCGCACACCACCACGCCTGGCTAATTTTTGTATTTTTAGTAGAGACGGGGTTTCATCGTGTTAGCCAGGATGGTCTTGATCTCCTGACTTTGTGATCTGCCCGCCTCGACCTCCCAAAATGCTGGGATTACAGACATGAGCCACCGTGTCTGGCCTGTCTTTGTTTTTTAAAAGTCTGAAGACCATGATCTCATGTTGATATCAGAAGTAAAAGAGATTTTAGAATTTATGTAATACCCTCCTCTGTGTATTGCAAATTCTCACTCACTGTCTTCTCCCAGCAAAGAACTAGGCACTTCTGTCATCTTTGCTTATTTAGCAGGTAGAAGTCCAAGTTATCTCAGTAATTTCATTGGTGACTCCATGATCCTATGCTTATTAAAACCTTTTATCAGGAAAGTGATGGGAAGCTGCTAATCCTAGGAGTTTAAATGTTGAAGGATCTATAGGGAAGTGCAAATTAAAACCACAACAAGATGTCACTACACACCCACTAGAATAGCTAAAATGAAAAATACAGCACCAAGTGTTGGTAAGGATGTGGAACAAACAGAACTCTCGTATGTGGCTGCTGGGAGTGTAAAATAGCACAACCACTGTGGAGTACTGCTTGGCAGTTTCTTATACATAAAGGGAAATAGTCACTTGGCATATGACCCAACAATTCCATTCCTGGGTACATACCTAGGAGAAATAATTATCTATGTCCATAAAAAAGACTTCTGTATGAATGTTTAATTCATAATACCCAAAAGCTAGAAAAAATTCACATGTCCTTCAACAGGTGAATGAAGAAACTAATTGTGGAATATGTATACAATGGAATACTAGTTGACCAAAAAAACAAAAACTACATGGAACGATGAAGATGAATCTCAGAAATGTTATGCTGCGTGAAAGAAGCCAGACCAAAGCAGTGTATACTGTAGGATTCCATTTATTCTAGAGCAAGCAAAACTATAGGGATGGAAAGCAGATCCAAAGTTATTTAATACACGGGGTGGTGAGGGAGGGGAGGGGAGATTGTCTGCAAAGGTACCTGAAGAACTATCTGCAGTGATGGATTGGCTGTCGCCACAGCCACTCGTGCGGGTATATACAGTTGCGAAAACTCATCAAACTGTACACCTAAAATGGGTGGATTGTATAATATATGAAGTTGATATAAAAATAAAAATTTCTAAAGATGAGGGATCTTATCTGAACTCTGCCACCAACTAGCTCTGTGCATTCTTGTGAAAGGAACTTAATCTTTCTGCATGTCTTTCCTGTTGGGAAAATGAATATGATAGGTTGCTCGCCTACCTTATTCAGTCATTGTGTGAATACAAATGAAATAATTTATTTTGAAATGCCTTTAAAATAAGTCGTATACACATGCTGGGTGGGAGGAGTATTCTGTAAACTCATCTTGAGGGAAGAAAGATAAGAACTGTGGTGATGAATGTCTGAGCTAATATTTATATATATGTTGGAATTCATTTGCAAATCATCTTTTAACTTTGTGGAACATGAGCTGTGTCACTTCCCCTTCTTGGCTTTGAGTAAAATGAAGGTGTTAGACTAGATCAGACATAGAAAACTGGAGGCTCGGAGATTATCTAAAGCTTTTCAGATGTGTTTTCTTTGGCCTCTGTGCTATGGTGACCTGAACAGCATTAATTTAAAAGGTGACTTGTTGCCAGTGTTTAAATGTGGAGATTTCACATACAATTTTGGGTTTCTAGCTCATCTTTAGAAATTAGCAGATCCGACAAAACCAGGTCCATATTCCCACATGGCAACAATGATCTGGAGTTGCATGGTGGCCATCCCATTACATGAGCCATCACATTCGTTTCCCATATTCTCTGCTACTATCTGTATGTAGCCTTTTCTGTCTTCTGTAGACACCTTAAGTAGAGAGTTAGTTCATTATTGAATGCTCACTGTGTGTTAAACACTATTTTATGGCATGACAATCCAGAGGCAAACCAAACAGACAAAACCTCTAAACTCATGGTGAGCTATAAATAGCCATCCACATCTCCATCAACAATTAGGGGGAGAAAGACCAAAAATGCTATATATTTTAGGGAAAATGGGAGAAAACGTGTTTTCTTCTGGACATAAAAAAAAATCCTACATATTTAATAGGCAAAGCATGTCTGTGTCAAAATTATCCTGCCTACTTCACTTGCTTGCTTCACATAATAGATCATATCCTTTTTATCTTTATGATTCAATAGATTCACAGATGAGATTATCTGAGTGTTTCAAAAAATGCCAGTAGGCAGAGAGACTGACACAGGCTACTGAATGTTAAGATTTTCTTACCTCTGTCCAAACCATTAGGTTTTTCCTTTTAATCTAGATCTTGGGATGCAACTCAGGCTGAAATAAACATCTCTATTGACAGTCTTCTCTGTTGACAGCCTCCTTCCGTAATAGCCTGAACCCTCTTAAGCTCTGGCTGAGAATCTCATCACCCTGATCCGTGTGACAGACAGGGCTGTGCACGAGAAGTATCTTGAATGGCACTATCTCCTCTCTTCTAACCTAGTTTACATCTCCATTTGGCCAACTACACAGTGATAGTGACCAACATCTTTAGACTGACAAGTCCTGTTAGGCGTGGATTTTGATCTCGTGATTTAAATGCTTCTCATCTGCAGATAAGCCCTTTTATAGGCATAGATGCTTGACAATGTGGCTTCATCTGTGTTAAGTAAAGTGATTCACTGATTTGCTTTTAGATTTATCATGGTCATAGGCTTTGAGAATCTGGGCTGGCTCTTGTCAGCCATTGTGCTTACTGGATTGCATGGTAGGCGACTGACCCATTTCTTCAGTCCTGGCTGTAAAGGTCATCTTGCTACCTACAAAGAAAACTACACTGCTCCCATCTGGTGGTAGTTATCTCAAATTGCAGCATCTGAAAGAGTTGCCTTGTCCTTCAGCAGTGACAGGCATCATTGAACTGTAGGAAATACCTATTCCCACCTTTTGTTTCACAACATTGTCAGCTGTTTCCTTATTACCTAAAGGGTATCACATGGTTTTTATAGGAGAGAGAACCACCCCACCTTCTGCCCATAACTAGCCATGGGACTCCTAAGCCTCTCTTGGTTTGTCTATGCATAAAGCAAAACACTTGGACTTAATACTCTCTAGGAGTGCCACTCTTGTGAAGTCTGTAGTTCCGTGATTTTTTAAAAAATTCTAAATATCAATGAAGTGAATCCTACTTATACTATTTACAAAACAATTATGAACATACATAGAAATTTTGTAATTTACACTACTATTTTCCTCAATTCTGATTAATTATAAGAGAACATCATGGATTTAATAACTTTGGCAGGGGGTGGGGGGAAGAAAAGATAAATACCACTGCATTAAATGCACATTTTTATTACAAGACATTCTGATACCCTAAAAAGCAAAATGTAAAAAACATGCATTTTAGAATTGAGGAGAGAGAGAGTGTGTGTGTGTGTGTGTGTGTGTGTGTGTGTGTGTGAGAGAGAGAGAGATAGATAAGACCTCTAAGTGTCAATGCTACTTTTGAAAATGGAAAATGTTATTGAGATACAAAGATTAGAGAGATGACAGTTAAAATTAAAGATTATATGATAAATTTTAGTGTTTATTTGAATACTGAGGAACATTGTAACAGGAAATATGCAAACATGCAGTCTCTGGTAAATCATTATCACAGTCCACATTCGGAACTGAAGCCCATTAAATTTCTTTTTACAAAATTAGGTGTGTATTTTATGAAAACGTGCAATAGTGCTTTATGATAAAGGCTCTTTATGGTTGCAAGGAACAAAAACCTACTCAAGCTAACTTGAAAAGAATAACTATGTAAAGATACAGCAGGAAATGCCATGGGCATCAACAGACAGGTACTAAAGTGCCGCTGAGCCTTGGGGGAATTAGAAGGGCATAATCAGGACCCGAGGCTTTATTTCTCAGAGGCCTAAGATCTCTGTAATGGTTGTTTATTGATCTGTATCAATTTTGCATGTGGCTCCTAACCCAGTACTATGTCATAACCCCAATTCAAATTCCCATACTGAAGACTTACCTCTGTGTTCACCTCTATACAATTAGTGACCACCTCTGTGCAAGAATGGCATACTGATTTTTTTG
The DNA here is from genome assembly GCF_000001405.40 of Homo sapiens. Classification (NCBI taxonomy): domain Eukaryota; kingdom Metazoa; phylum Chordata; class Mammalia; order Primates; family Hominidae; genus Homo; species Homo sapiens. The sequence continues at coordinate 69,558,627 of NC_000002.12, read as the reverse complement.
CTGAACAGAGTCAATGGACAGGATATTCAAGCTAAATGATGACAATGTACAAGGCAGGCAGATGGACTGAGCGTCCAGTGTAACTGCTACTTACTCCAAAGCCTTCAACTTTGACAGCTTTGCCTCACTTTGTCTAACTCCTGTCACCAATGGCATTGAACACCTCATACAGTGCTTTAGGAGTGAGGATGAGGTTAGGGTTCTAAGAATTTGGGGAATGCTGTGGTGTAACAAATTTAGAGCACTTGAGAATTCCTGTAGAGTTATATACATTTTTTTTTTTTTTTTGAGACAGGGTCTCTTTCACCCAGGCTGGAGTTCAGTGGCGCAGTCACAGCTCACTGCAACCTCCACCTCCCAGGCTCAAGCCATCCTTCCCACCTCAGCCTTCCAAGTAGCTGGGCCATAGGTGTGCGCCCACCATGCCTCGCTAATTTTTGTATTTTTTGTAGAGACAGGGTTTCGCCATGTTGCCAAGGGTGGTCCTGAACTCCTGAGCTCAAGCGATCTGCCTGCTTCAGCCTCCCAAAGTTCTGGGATTACAGGCATGAGCCACCACACCTGGCTTATATATTTCTGTTAATGAATTGTGAACTGTCTTTTAGAGAAAGGTCAGTGTGGACATTAAAAAGTCTCCCCAATAATTGTCATACTTGCCTTGTGTATGCTATGTGGAATAGCACTTTCTTACCCTTATCATGTATCTTCTCAACAGCCCAGGAGGTAGGGAGGTCCGGAAGAATCTTTAGGTCTGTTTCTAGATTCGAATTGAGTGATAGGATGAGAAGAAAAGAAGAGGAGATTCTTGAAATTAATTGACAACTATTTATAATAGAAATTAGTGAAATAATTTCCTAGCCTCTCTGGTATGAGGGAAAGTGTGCTCCACTTATGCTTTTAAAAATGTTTTTGGTTTGAATCAGATGTCTTTGAGCCTCTGTATTCTTCAGCTGGTAATTGTTTAAAGGGGAAAATAACACCCAATCTCACAGAACTGTGTTAAGAATTAAACAAGAGCATCAAAATACCCAAGACAGGGCTGGTACAGTGGCTCATGCTTGTAATCCCAGCACTGTGGGAGGCCAAGGTGGGAGCCCAGGAGTTTGAGACTAGCCTGGGCAACATAGCAAAAGCACTTCTCTACAAAAAAGTATAAAAATTAGCCAGGAGTGGTGGTGTACACCTGTAATCCCAGCTACTCGGGAGGCTGAGGTGGGAGGATCGATTGAACCCAGGAGGTCAAGGCTGCAGTGAGCAGTGATCACGCCACTTCATGCCAGTCTGGGCCACAGAGGGAAACCCTGTCTCAAAAAAAAAAAAAAAAAAGTACATAGGATAGTACTTGTAATGTAGTACTACCCATTTATCTGTTTATTTGTAGGTTATTTGGAAAATAATTACTATTCTTTTGTTATCCTAAGATAGGTGTTTGGGAACAATTTCTCTGACTCTTGCCACCCACTCCCACAAGTAATATCTCCAAGTTCTGAGAATCTAAGAATGTGTTCTACAACAGGCTAGCCCTAAAGGCTGGCTGGCAGTGGCATTAGTACCATTAGCAGTGACAGTGGCAACCTCCAGCCACCACAGTTATGTGGCTGACTTTTTGAACATTGACTCAAAAGAGCTTGTGTGTGTTTCTCTCACAGGTGGATTTGCTATTGTATTTCTGGTGAGGACAAGCAATGGGATGAAATGTGCCTTGAAACGCATGTTTGTCAACAATGAGCATGATCTCCAGGTGTGCAAGAGAGAAATCCAGATAATGGTAAGGCTGCCCCTTGGACTTGGGACTGTTTAAAATGGAGGCAGAGATTGTACCCTCTCATAAGAAAGCCAAGCGGGGTTTGTTCCCTTCCCTGAGATGGTACAGAGGCCTCTGTACAAAATGGGACTCAACAGCCATGGGATATAGGACACCGCCCTTGCCTTGGTCACTCTCAGCTGGAGGGCAGAGGAAAAAGCATTTTGAGAGAACTGACCAGTTTTTAGGTCAGAAAAGTCATTTTGGGCATTGGGAAAAGCTTACTTAACAACATGGTTCCCAGAAATTAACTGTGATATTTAATCCAGAAAGCCTAACTTTCCAATGAGCCTCTTCTTCTGGTCTTGTCTCTCTCTCTCTCTGTTACCAATCCCCAGTCTCAGTTCAACCCTCCTGAGCTCTTCAAAATCCTGTGAACATATCCTTATACAACTTAATATTTTTACATGTAGTTCTTTCGACCTGGAATGCTTTCCCCCTTTTTTGGCCTGGAAACCTAGACCAAAACCTAGAAACCTCATATATACTCTATGAATCTATTTATAGAAGTCCAAGAACAGGCAACATTATCTGTGGAGATAGAAATCAGAACGTGGTTATTCAGGGGTGGGAAGTTGACTAGAAATGGGTATACGGGGACTTTCTAGGCCGTGGAAATGTTCTGTGTGTTGTTTTAGATAGTGGTTACACAGGGTATATATGTGTCAGAACTCAATTGAACACCTTAAAATCTGCACATTTTGTTATGTTAATTAGACTTCAATTCTTAAAACTTACTCATTTTTCAAGATGCAGATTTATATGTTTAAAGAAAGAGTCCATGCTGAAATATATATGGAGGAAATAATATAATGTCCTTAGAACAATGAGTGAGTTTAGAAGATAAATAAGATTGGTCAAGAGTTGATGGTGATCAAAGCAGAATTATGAGTATATGGGAATTTGTTAGAGTAGCATCTTTCTTTTACCTCTGTTTGACATTATACATAATATTATACCTAATAATATAATAATATGTAATATTATACATAATTATACATAAGAAACTTTGAATATATAGCCTTTTATTCCTTTGTGCTTCCACAGTGCTTTTGTTTTATACCAATTATATTGCTTAACCTGTTATATTGTAAGCAGTTCTGCTATCAGGAAGTAAGTTATTTAAAATCAGAAATTGTATGCTCCAACATACTGCTTGACATGAAGTAAATGCTTAATAAACTTTGGAAGAAATTAGTATTTGAATAATGGTAATAGCAGATACATATGTTCACCTAGAGATGATGATTCCTTTTATGCCCTGGATTTTAATGCTTTTTAAAGAGCAGAAAGGGATCCAACAATGGAGAGGGTGGCATTGTAGGTATCCCATCAGGCTCCGCTTGCCCCTGTTCACCCTATGTGGCCTTTTCAGTGGCTGCTTAGAGTAACTAGTTAGGCTGCAGTTGGACTTCTGAAAGTACTCAGAGTGTTAGAGAGCCTGGCACTACTCTAGATTTTAGAAAGCCAAAACTATTTGGGAAGGAACTGTCAGCACTGCACAACAAACCAGCCAACTCCCAAGGGCCATATACATACAGTCAAGACCACGTGGGCCTGTCTGTAAGGCACCAATGCCTTCCACTCCCCTGCACATAGCTCCAGATTCCTGTTCTTGCTGTATCTTCCTTCACACACGCAGTGGGTTTTCTGGCTGCTTCTCATTATTTGTCTTCCTCCCTCCTTGCCCATGCTTGTTCAGCTCTCACACGCTTTGTTTCCTGTCTTTGCTTCTGCTGTTTCCTCTATCTGGAATGCCCTTCTTGCTCATTTACTTGTGTTACAAAAGCAATCCCATGATTTCACTTTCTCCTCCTTATTTAAAAACACACTGAGAGCTTACTTGGGCTAGGCAGGCATTGTAGTGGAGGAACTAAGAAGCACAGGCCCATGAGGAGCTCACAAATTAATGGGCCTGATTAAGAGTTAAATCACACAGGTTCAAGTTTTGGCCCAGAGGCGTATTAGCTGTGAGAGTTTTGTTTTTAGTTTATATTCTTTCAAAGCTTTAATATTCAAATAGGTGAACTAAGCTTGTTACAAAAAACGTCAAGCAATTCCCCAAGGGGAACTCCTATGCCATTACAAGGTCCCAGCGGCAACCTCTTTAGGTGATTCTTTTGATGTCTTTCTAAATAACATGCTAATATTGCTAGTTCTTGATTTTTCTTCCATTTTAGGCATTATCTCCTATGGGAAGTAAAGACGTAACTGTCACTTACTTGCTGCTTGCCTCTCTCCCCAAATACTTGCAGTATTCTCATCTTCCATTCTTTGAAAACACCAGTAAACTTTGGCAATATGTAGTTTATATGAATATTAGTTTTTACATTATTATATAAGAAAACTATTTCAACTGAATTCCTGGTGGACTATGATTCCTATGCCTTTCCTATGTAACTTTGCTTTCACTAAAATTATTAATGGTCTTGTTTTTCCTCTCTTGGTCTGAGTTTTCTTTGTACTTTTTAACAGTTTAATTCCCAATTTTCCTTAAGTTGTGTAAACCATTTTTTGAATTTTTTAGACGCATTTAATGGTGTCTGTTTTATCATCTTCAAGATTTCTCCCTCAGTCTTCTGACTGAGGAACCTCGGCTGATTATTCTCTGACTAATTTACAGTCGAATCTTGGAATTTCCTGGACATTTCCTTTGCCTCTCTTTTTTGTTAGAACCCGTAATTCCTTTTTTGGCTAACTTCCTCATTTTGTTGGAGCCGATCCTCCAGTATCTTTTTTTTTTTCTCTTTTGAGATGGGGTCTCAGTTACCCAAGCTGGAGCGTAGTGGCACAATCATAGCTCACTGCAGCCGCCATCTCCTGGTCTCAAGCAATTCTCCTACCTCAGCTTCCCCACTAGCTGGGACTATAGGCACATGCCACCAGACCCAGCTATTTTTTTTTTTTTTCCTTAGAGACAAGGTCTTGCTATGTTGCCCAGGCTGGTCTCACACTCTTGAGCTCAAGTGATCCTCCCATCTCAGCCTCCCAAAGTGCTGGGATTACAGGCATGAGCCACTATGCCCAGCCTCAGTAGCTTTTTGATACATGGTAGATAAATTTTTTTGAACTTTCAGGTCTAGGCCGGGCACGGTGGCTCATGCCCGTAATCCCAGCACTTTGGGCGGCCAAGGTGGGCAGATCACGAGGTCAGGAGATGGAGACCATCCTGGCCAACATGGTGGAAACCCTTGTCTACTAAAAATACAAAAATTAGCTGGGCATGGCAGTGCGTGCCTGTAATCCCAGCTATTCAGGAAGCTGAGGCAGGAGAATCGCTTGAACCCAGAAGGCGGAGGTTACAGTGAGCCAACATCACGCCACTACACTCCAGCCTGGTGACAGAGCTAGACTCCGTCTCAAAAAAAAAAAAAAAAAAAAAAAAACAACTTTCAATTCTAGAAGTATCTTTATTTTATGTTCGCACATCATAGTTTGAGTACAGAATTCTGAGTTGGAAATCATTTCATTTAGATTTTTTAAAGCACCGTTCTACTATATTTTAGCTTTCAGTGTTGCTCTTGGGAAATCCTAAGTCATTCTAATGCCTAGTCCGTTGGGAGTGACCCATATATTCTACCAGGAAATTTACAAATTTTCTCTTTGTTTCTAATGTTCTGAAATTTCATGATATGCCTTTGTGTATGCATTTATTTATTATGTTAGGTGTTTGTGGTCCCTTTCAATCTAGAAACTCATATCCTTGCATTCTGGGGGATTTTTTAGTTTCATTTTTTTCCCCTTTTTCTGAAATTTCTATAATTTGGATATTGGTTCTCCTGAATTGATTTTCTAATTTTCTTGTTTTCTCCCTTCTTTTTATATTTCTTTGTCATTTTGCTCCACATTCCAGATTTCCTCACCTCTATATTCCAACCATCCTGATGAAATTTATTTACCAGACTTTTAAATCTCTAAGATCTTTTTTGTTTTTGTTTTATTTTTAATTTCGATGAGTCCAGTTTATCAATTGTTCTTTTTATGGATTGTGCGTTTGGTGTCAAACCTAAGAAATCTTTGCCTAGCTCTCAATTCTGAAGATTTTCTTTTAAGTTTTATAGTCTTACATTTAAACCTATGAGCCATTTTGAGTTTTTTTTTTTCTTTTTTGAGACGGAGTCTTCTTGCTCTGTTGCCTAGGCTGGAGTGCAGTGGTGCAATCCCGGCTCACTGCAATCTCTGCCTCCCAGGTTCAGGTAATTCTCCTGCCTCAGCCTCCCGAGTAGCTGGGAGTACAGGTACGCGCCACCATGCCCAGTTATTTTTGTATTTTTAGTAGAGATGGGGTTTCACCATGTTGGCCAGGCTGGTCCTCAACTCCTGACCCAAGTGATTTGCCTGCCTCAGCCTCCCAAAGTGCTGGGATTACAGGCTTGAGCCACTGCAGCTAGCCATTTTGACTTAATTTTTGCATAATGAGTCTTAGGTTGCGGTTCATTTTTTCCTTATGGATATCTAATTGCTCTTAGTACCATTTATTGAAAAGGCTGTCATTTAATATCTTGGTTAAAAATCAGTTGAACTTAATTGTGAAGGTCCATTTGCAGGCCTTTCTCTATTCTCTATTCCCTTCCATTAATCTATGTACCTATCCTTCTACCAATACCACACAGCCTTGATTACTGTAGCTAAATAAGTTTTAAAATGGACTGAATTTTCCCACTTTTTTTTTAATTTCTTACTGTTTTAAATCTGAAGTCCTATGTAACATTTTTAAGCCCACTAAGTCTCAGACTTCTGTCAGATAGAAGCCATAACCCCAGCCCTACCTCTCTCAGTGACTCTAAGAATTGTGAAGGGAATCAGAAGATGTAACATGCTGTGTAATATGCTGAGGTTTGGGTGTTCATACTCAAAGAAGCAGATTCCTCTCTACTTCCAGTGGCAGAACAACGGGCACGTTGCATCCAAACGCAAAGAGAACTGTTAGCGGTTTCACTGAGTGGTTTCACGTTTTATTTTGATAAATGCTGTCCACCATGTACTGGAGTCTTGTCTGAGTTCTTTGATCCATATGGGATGTGTGCTCTGATAGAGTCGAAGGGATCTGACTTCTGATGGACATTTGGAGGGTAGGTTTTGGACTTCTGATCCCTTTGCCTGAAAGCAGGAAAAGATTAATTATCTTCAGACCTAAAGGGGTAAGAACAGTGATAGGAAATAGCTACAGCTCCAGATGTGTCAAGGCTATTCTGTGTTCACATCCCCTGGCCCAGATGGATTACATCCTCATTGAGCTTGATAATGAGGACAGTAAGCTGCCACCAGTGATGTTTGAGGATTTGCTTCGAAGAGATCAGATGATTCAAAGCAGGCAAATGGTTTCTTATTCTACAAAGGGTGGAAGATAGATCCTGTACAGTAGGAAGCTCAGGATTGTTCTGGGACAAGAATCTGGAACAGATTATTTTATTTTTTTCTTCAACTTTTAAGTTCCAGGGTACATGTACAGGATGTGCAGGTTTGTTACATAGGTAAATGTGTGCCATGGTGGTTTGCTGCACATAACAACCCATCACCTAGGTATTAAGCCCAGCATCCATTAGCTATTCTTCCTGATGCTCTCTCTCCCTCCACCACCCCCACCGGCCCCAGTGTGTGTCGTTACCCGCTATGTGTCCATGTGTTCTCATCATTTAGCTCCCATTTATAAGTGAGAACACAGATTATTTTCAAAGATGCTTTGATTATATCTTTTGTGTAAGAAAGTTGGGGTGTGTGTGTGTGTGTGTGTATACATAATACATAATTGTTTGAATTTGCCTGAAAAAAAAACACAGGAAGCATGAAAGAAAGAAACAATAAATGTGGTTCACTATAGGGGATGGGGATTGGAGTAGGAAAAAAATTGTCTAGTATTATGAACTATTTGAATGTTAATATATTACACACTTTAAAAATGAATGACGGCTGGGCACTGTGGCTCACGCCTATAATCTCAACACTTTGGGAGGCCGAGGAGGGTGGATCATTTGAGGTCAGGAGTTTGAGACCAGCCTGTCCAAAATGGCCAAACCCTGTCTCTACTAAAAGTACAAAAATTAGCCGGGCGTGATTGTGTACACATGTAATCCCAGCTACTCAGGAGGCTGAGGCAAGAGAATCACTTGAGCCGGGGAGGTGCGGGTTGCAGTGAGCCAAGATTGTGCCACTGCATTCCAGACTGGGCGACAGAACAAGATTCTGTCTAAATAAATAAATAAAAATTTTAAAATAGAAAAAAAAAAGAGGCCGGGCACGCAGTGGCTCACGTCTATACTCCCAGCACTTTGGGCGGTCGGATCATGAGGTCAAGAGATGAGACCATCCTGGCCAACATGGTGAAACCCCATCTCTACTAAAAATACAAAAATTAGCTGAGCATGGTGGTGCACGCCTGTAATCCCAGCTACTTGGGAGGCTGAGGCAGGAGAATCGCTTGAGGCTGGGAGGCAGAGGGTGCAGTGAGCTGAGATTGCGCCACTGCACTCCAGCCTGGTGACAGAGCAAAATACCATCTCAGAAAAAAAAATGACATTTTAAGCTGTTTTATAGTTACTTGGATGAGTAAGCAGAGGTCCAGAGAGCCTTCAGGTTCAATAAGAACAAACCATGTCATAACAACATCCTGTTCTCCTTTGGGAAGATGTCTGGATAGAGAGCTCAGTGCGGTGCAGTAGATCCAGTATCTGTGGACTTTGGCCAGGTGTTTTGATAAGGACACTCACCAGACATCTGTCAGCAAAACGAAGAGTCTAGGCTGGATTGCTACTGGTTATAAAGGTTTCTGATAAGTGGTTTGATATTAATCTGGAGGAAACTTTCTAAAAAGAAAGCATTGTGGCTTACCATTAATTTTATGTTATTTTACATTTAACAAATAACTCGTTTAAAGAAATAGAAGATACATTGATCAATTATGTGCCTTTATAAAGTTGGAAGATGTAGTAACTGCATTGAGTCATAGAATCAGGCTCCAAAATGGTTCTTATAAATTGGAGCAGTGGACTGATTCTAATGAAATGAAATAATAAGGTAAGATCATACACTTGAAATTTTATTCTAATCAACTTTACAAGCATAGTTCTTGGGAGGCAGAGATTAAAAGCAGCATGAGTGGAAAAGACTTAGGTATTTAAGTGGTCAGTTAATTCAGAATGCATGTATAGTATGATGTGGGTGCCAAAAGACAAAAAGAATGTAATGTTTAGCTGCATTAATAGAATTATAGAAGGTGATAGTGCTGGTCTACTCTGCATGAGTCAGACCAAGCCTGGAGTATTTCATTCATTTCCTGGGGCCATTCTTATAAAAAGAATGTAGCAGAGCAAAGCATATAAATGTAGGAGCAGCCAAAATGGTCTTAAAAACCATGTCAGAGAAAGAGGGGATGTTTCACATGGAGAAAAGAACACTCAGTCTAAATAATGCTATTTCACCTGTTTATTATATTTTACTTTTTATTTATTTATTTTTGAGACTGAGTCTCACTCTGTCACCCAGGCTGGAGTGCAGTGGCATAATCTCGGCTCACTGCAACCTCCACCTCCTGGGTTCAAGCAATTCTCCTGTCTCGGCCTCCCGAGTAGCTGGGACTACAGGCGCATGCCACCACGCCTGGCTAATTTTTGTGTTTTTAGTAGAGACGCGGTTTCACCATGTTGGTCAGGCTGGTCTCGAACTCCTGACCTCAGGTAATCCACCCACCTTGGCCTCCCAAAGTGCTGGGATTACAGGCGTGAGCCACCGAGCCCAGCCTTACCTGTTTAGAAAGTGGAAAAATAGACTAGACTTGCTAATTTTGCTCTGGAAAGGACCATCTAGAAAATCAGGAGGTGGAAGATTCCAGATAGGTAAGGAAGAACTGTCTAACGGGTGAGGGCTGTCTGTAGATTGGCTGAGGGCCTAAGGAAGTGGCATTATTCTAACAAAACAGCTTGTTGGCCGGGTGTGGTGGCTCACGCTTGTAGTACCAGCACTTTGGGAGGCCAAGGCAGGTGGATCACGAGGTCAAGAGATCGAGACCATCCTGGCCAAGATGGTGAAACCCTGTTTCTACTAAAAATACAAAAATTAGCTGGGTGTGGTGGTGCATGCCTGTAGTCCCAGCTACTTGGGAGGCTGAGGCAGGAGAATCACTTGAACCCAGGAGGCAGAGCTTGCAGTGAGCCAAGATTGTGCCACTGCACTCCAGCCTGGTGACAGAGCAAGACTGTCTCAAAAGAAAAGAAGGAAGGAAGGAAGGGGAAGAAAAAGAGAGAGAGAGAGAAAGAAAGAAAGAAAAGAAAGAAAGAGGAAGGAAGGAAGAGAGAGAGAAAGAAGGAAGGAAGAAAGAGAGAAAGGAAGGAGAGAGAAAGAAAAAGAAAGGAAAAAAGAAAGAAAAAGAAGGAAAGATAGAAAAAACAAAGAAAACGAAAGAAAAGAAAAGAAGGAAAGCTTGTCAGAAGGCTGTAGTGGGGATTCAGATATGGGCTGCCTGGTTGCTCTAGATCAGTGTTACTCAAAGGATCTTTTTTCCTTATGCTTTTCTCCTCCTGTGTGTTGACTTACAAAAAATCTATTTTCCTCCCAGTCTGTCATGTTACTTTTGTGTGTATACAAATTGAGATAAAATTTACCCTTTTAAAGCATACGGTCCAGTGATTTTTAGTATATTCACAAGGTTGTGCAACCATCACCACTATCTAATTTTAGAACACTTTTTTCTTATCCCCTGAAGGAAACTTCCAGCCTGTTAGCAGTCTTTCCTTATTCCCCCTCTCCACAGCCCCTGATAACCACTCATGTTTTTACTGCATATTCTAGATATTTCATATAAATTGACTCATACAATATTTGACCTCTTGTGTCTGTTTTCACTTAGCATATTGTTGTTAAGGTTCATCCTTAAAAACATGTCCTTGATACATGTCATAGCATGTATCAATATTTCATTCCATTGTGTGGCTTGTGATATTCTGTTGTATGAATGTACCACATTTTATTTATTCATTTATCAGTTGATGGAATTGGGTTATTTTCACATTTTGGCTATTGTGAATAATGTTGCTATGAACATTTGTGTAGAAATTTTTGTGTGCCTATAATATTTTCACATCTCTTGGGTGAAATTGCTAGGTCATATGATAACTTGACTTTTTGAGGAACTGTCAGACTGTTTTGGTAGCTGCATCATTTTATATTTCTACTAGTAATATACAAGGATTCCAATTTTCACCTCCTTGCCAATATTTTTTATTATTTGTTTTTTATTATAGCCATCTTAGTGGGTGTGAAATGGTATTTCACTGTGATTTTTTATTTATATTTCCCTAATGATTGATTATGCTGATCATCTTTTCATATACTTTCGGGCATTTGTATATGCTCTTTGGAAAAATATCTATTCAGATCCTTTGCTAATTTTTACATAGGGTTGTCTTTTTTGTTGTTGTTGAGTTGTAAGGGTTCTTCACATATTCTGGACACTAAATCCTTATCAGATGTATGATTTGTAAATATTTTCTTCCATTCCATATGTTGTTTTTAGACTGTCTTAATAGTGCCATTTGAAACACAAGTTTTTAATTTCAATAAAGTGCAATTTATCGCTTTTTGCTTGATTGCTTGAGCTTTAAGTGTCATATCTAAGAACCCATTGCCTCATCTAAAGTCACAAAGATTTGCACGTATGTTTTCTTTGAGGGATTTTTAGTTCTTTGATCCATTTTGAGTTAATGTTTGTATATGGTGTGAGGTAGGGATCCAAATAATTCCCACTTGTCCCAGCACTACTTTTAAAAAAGACCATTTTTCACCCATTGAATTGTCTTGGCACCCTTGTCAAAAATCAGTTGAGTATAAATGTACTGATGCCACTCAAAGGATCTTGTGCCATAATATAAATCAATGAACTGCTTCCCTCACAGGTAAGATCTTGCTGGGGGGAGAAAAGAGAGCTTAGTGATTTGATTGATTTATGTGCTGGAGCAAGCTCCTTATTTCCTTACCTTCTGGTAATAGTTTATTAACCAGCAGATGTTAACCAGTAACATCTGCTGGTAATAGTTTTATTAACCAGCAGATGAGGGCTCTGCCCTCATGACTTAATCACCTCCTAAAGGCCCCACCTCTTAATACGATTGCATTGGGGATTTAAGTTTTAACATGAATTTTGGAGGGGACACAAGCCTTCAAACCATAGCATGGTTCTACCAATATTTTGTTGCTTTTTTCCAGATGCTTTATTATTCCTCTTAGGATGAGACCAACTCAGAGGCAACATTGCTGATTCTTTTTCAAATAGTTAAATGTAGGGATATGAGTCTTTCATTCATCTTTGAATATTTGGAGGATATGATCCTTATTTTGGTTTCAAAGAACTTCTCTCCAGTTCTTCCTACTTTCAGGAATGTGTAAATGGAAATGAGTTCTAGATGGGTTGATGATGAGATGGGAAAGCAGAGGGAAGGATAGGCCACTAAAATGTGAGTCCCAAAATCATTTTCTGTTTGGGAAAAACTTGAATTATAGAGATTGTGTGTCAGCTTCATCATCTCCCTTATGTATTATCCAAAGCAGATGCAGTAAGTCTTTTGTCTCATCAAACTTCTTTGTCATTCCTATACATTTAGGAAATGACCTTGTTCTCTACCAAAAATAAAACAACAGATACGAACTCATTTGAGTTCTCTTTTTCTTCCGCCTTAAACCAGCATGCACAGCCATCCTTGCCTCCTTCCTGCTTGCCAGGGGGAAAAAAAAAAAGTTACCCTAAGACCAGTCCCTTGAACAGTACTCTTAATCCCACCCTTCTACTTATAGGACTTTTTCCGTCAATTATCATCATCCTGTCCTGTATCTTAAAGCTCTCTTCTCTTGGCTCCTTCCTCTTTCTGGTGCTCAGTTTTCTCCCATTCTAAACACCCTTTCCCCTCAATGCTGCTGCCTTAGGCACAAATGTTCTGCAAGAGTAATCTGTAGACCCTGGCCCTACTTGCTCAACTCTCATTCATTGCAAGTCCAGTTTCATTCTCACCACCATCCCATCTGTTCTGTGAAACTACTCTCACGTAAGTCTCCAGTGACTTCCATCTGCCAATTCCAAAGCCTTTCTACTTTTGTCTGAACTTTTGTTGCAGCTGCCATTTCTGAGGCAATAGTCATTCACAATCCATCACTCAGAGGAAGACTCTAATGAGTTTTAACTTTGATGCCCAGGGTTCAGGTGTATTCACTTCATACCATGGGGTTTTCTCTTGTTTTGTTATGAAATTTGTTTTTCACTGTAAACAGCTGAATCTAATTAGAGTGGTGGTAGTTTCTGTTCTCACGGTCCAAACTGCTAAGTTTGTATGGTGACTCTCAGGGGACCACATGTTTTCCTTCCCCCTGACCTTTTTGAAACAAAAATCAGACAATTTATTAAAACTAGTTTAAAAAATAAAACCTTACCTTGCATTTGTGCAAAAATCATATCACCCAGCTTGCCTTCTTTTTCTTTCCTCAACTTACTTCTTAATTACTTGGTTTTGAATATCATCATTACAAAGAGCTGCCTCTCTGGAGATGTTTAAAGGACTATACCAAAATGTGAGGCCACTTCCAGTTCCTAGATGGGTCCTGACACATAGGAGGTGCTCAACAAATGTTGGTTGGATGAATGAATTCATCCAAGCAGCCCTAAGAGATCACATGCAGTTCCAACTGAAGAGCTGGAAACATGCCCATCTTATATCCCAGTTGGTTGGCTTGAAAGGCCTGATTATGAACAAAATGCTTAGGTCTGGATGCTATTGTAGTCCCTTCAAGACTTTGTAAATAGCTTTTTTTTTTTTGGTAGATTTCCCAAAAGGAAAAAAACAGTACGAACTATTTAAAAGTCAAGTTAAATTCATTTTTGCCCCTACAACCAGGAAAAACATCAATTTTATTTTTCTTAATTAGAAGTTCACATATTTAAGTAGTTCACACGGTCTCTCTACTCTTTACCCCCTGCAGTGTTTCTGGAGAGGGGAGTCTTTGCTTCTAGTTTACGTGGAGCATTGATGCAGTAAGCAAGTAGGCACTCTGTGCATTTGACTCTAGAATTTAGGTTCTGGAGTGTGCTCTGGTTTAGTAGGGTTATGGAATTGCTATTGAAGATCTAGCAGTGAATCTCAGGGACCACTGGAAACCTGTTCTTGACTTTGCTCCTTAGTCTTCTCTGTCAACACTGTATCATCTCTGTATTTAAATTATCTGTGCTAATGGAACTGACTGGCTAATTCTGTCCTATTGGCATCTGAAACTAACAATATATTTCTCCTCTCTTGTTCACAGAGGGATCTTTCAGGGCACAAGAATATTGTGGGTTACATTGATTCTAGTATCAACAACGTGAGTAGCGGTGATGTATGGGAAGTGCTCATTCTGATGGACTTTTGTAGAGGTATGTATATGAACCATTCCCTTAAGCTGTCATTTCTCTAGCATTTTGATTGTCATGGTTAGGGTGGTCATTTCACTTAATGTGCACTGCACTCTATGATATGTTCTGGTTTGACAGATGAGAAAACTAAAAGATACAGTCTGCTGTCAACTCTTAGTTATTCTTATAACGGTACAAACGTAGATAATATAGAACTCCATTTTTGTTAGGTTTGGGAAGGTTTGGTGTTTGTATATAAATGAAGATGTGTAAGAATGAGAATGAATATGTTCTTTGTGATGCTTTATAACAAATGATGAAGGCACATAATAAAGGCTGAACTCCAGATGGATGAAAGAAACAGTGCAGCTTCCCCAACTCCCTCACTTGTGTGTTCTCTTTCCCACTCATGCCATCATTCATGTGTTACGGGGTAAAAGCATCCTTTTTGTCTAATGGAAGTGACCCTCCTGTCCCTACTCTAAGGCTATAATTCCTAGTAAGGTGAGGCTATATTCAAATGATGCAGCTGTTAACAGTGGAGTAAAGTCATTGAAAGCTTCAAGTTTCAAAAAAACATTTATCTTGGGAAATTCAGACTGTAGCATGAATTTTTTTCAGAGTTAATTGCATTTTATATAACCATTGTTTGGAGGTTTGGCTTAGGTCAGTGCCTTACTGTTTGGTGCTGTGTTTTGTAATCACCCTTAGTTCCATTAACATTTTCCTTACGCTTAAGATACTATCCATAGGCCGGGCGCGGTGGCTCATGCCTGTAATCCCAGCACTTTGGGAGGCCAAGGCGGGTGGATCATGAGGTCAAGAGATCGAGACTATCTTGGTTAACATGGTAAAACCCTATTTCTACTAAAAATACAAAAATTAGCTGGGCATGGTGGTGCGCACCTGTAATCCCAGCTACTCGGGAGGCTGAGGCAGCAGAATCACTTGAACCCAGGAGGTGGAGGTTGCAGTGAGCTGAGATCACGCCACTACACTCTAGCCTGGCAACAGAGTGAGACTCTGTCTCAAAAAAAAGAAGATACTATCCATAAATTAAATATGTTGCTAATCCCAAAAATGTGATGTTAACCAGTAATTTTAGCCCTTACTGTATTAACTATTTACCTGATTTCCTAAAGTACTAACAAATTTGAACTTGACCGTTTGTTTCCTCCTGCTCATTTCCTTTTTGGATACTAAAATGTTTAGAGATCAGGCAGTAGGAGCATCCAGGCATCTGGATAATGTTGTAAGTGAGGTCATCAATCTTTTGGTCCTGGAGATTAATTGTTGGTGGTACCATTTCTGCAAGCCAAGCAGTAAGCAGTGAAGCCAGAGAGACTAAGCTGTTCTTGAAGTTCAAAGTATAAAACCATCTTCTTCCTGCTCCCTGGACCTATTGTGCCATCTGATTCTTACTAAAAGATATGGCAAGTTGAGGCTGTGGCCATGTCTCATACACAACGAACACAATATAACCAGGCAACTAAAGCAGGACCATATTGTCAGTTCTACTAACCTCGAAGACATAATGAGGGCAGCTCACATCTGGGGTGCTTTATAAAATAAAGAAACTGTTTTTGATGCATTAGAGGAGACACTGAATTATAAGAAAACAAATCCCAAGCTGGGAGTCAAGACAACTAGGTTTTAATCCTGGCTCAGTCAGTGGTCAGCTCTGTTACCTTAGTCCAGACTGCTTCTCTTTGGACGCCGTTCATTCTCTTAGACTAAATGACAAGTCCGAATGTTTATAACGTCTCCTTTGCCCTGTACGTACCCCCTCAGGTGGCCAGGTGGTAAACCTGATGAACCAGCGCCTGCAAACAGGCTTTACAGAGAATGAAGTGCTCCAGATATTTTGTGATACCTGTGAAGCTGTTGCCCGCCTGCATCAGTGCAAAACTCCTATTATCCACCGGGACCTGAAGGTACAGACCACACTCTTTCATTACGGGCATTCTACTCAATATTTTCTGTCTGCCCCAGGGATGGAGTAGATACTGTGGGGATATGAGAGAAATTTAAGATATGGTCCCTGTTTTTATGTTTATATTCTGCCTGAGGAGAGAAAATAACAAAGGAAAAAGTACAGTACAGGTGTAAGTTTTATTACTTAAGCAGCCTCCAGAAATTCTTTATAATTATCACATGCCTGAGCCTGTGTTGTTTTTGTTTTTCCTGATATACTCCCCCCACTTTTTCAGGATTGTGAAAAGTAATACTTTTAATTTAAATACTTAGTAAACAATGATGCTTGGTTTTTAAAGTCTTATTTCATATTTTGCAAAATCAACTAATTGATTTTTTTTAATTGTCCTAATTGCCATCACCTTGCACTGTGCCTTTCATATTGTAGTCACTTGACAGTGTTTGTTGAATGGAATTGGCACCTTGTTAGGGTTCAACTTAGCATGTATTGGGCACCAATTACGTGCCATGTACTCTACTACGTTTTATGTACAGTGTCTCTTCAGGGGGAGACATTCTTTGTTACGTTTTATAGTTGAGGAAACTAAGAAGCAGAGAGGTTATGTGACTTGCCTAAAGTCATATAACTAGGAAGGACAGTGCCAGAATTTGAATCCAGCCTTCAGATTCTAAATTACAATTTCTTTTCATTCTACCGTGTTTCAGGAAACATGCTTCATAGCTAATAACTTGAATCAGCATCCCCTAGCATGCTTGTTAAATGCAGGCTGGTAGGTTCCACACTGAATCTCTTGGGCCAAAATTTTGGTAGTGACATCAGGGAAGCCCAAGAAGCCATATCTTAATAAGAACACTGGGTGGTTTTTGTATACTCTAAAGGTTTTGGGATAAAGCAGCATACCTGCATTTCTTTTATTTCTTAACTTTTTAAAAAAAATTGAGACATAATTCACATACTATAAAATTTACTGCTTTAAAGTATATAATTCAGGCCAGGCGTGGTGGCTCATGCCTATAATCCCAGCACTTCAGGAGGCCAAGGCGGGCAGATCACTTGAGATCAGGAGTATGAGACCAGCCTGGCCAACATGGCGAAACCACGTCTCTACTAAAAATACAAAAAATTAGCCGGGTGTAGTAGCGCATGCCTATAGTCCCAGGTACTCAGGAGGCGGAGGCATGAGAATCACTTGCACCTGGGAGGCAGGGGTTGCAGTGAGTGGAGATCACGCCACTGCACTCCAGCCTGAGCAACAGAGCGAGACTCTGCCTCAAAAAAAAAAAAAAAAAAAAAGAAGTATAAAATTCAGCAGTTTCTAGTATACTTACAAAGTTGTGTAACCATCGCTACTATCTAATTCCAGAACATTTCATCATCCCCAAAAGAAACCCTGTATCCATTAGCAGTCCCTATTCTGTCTCCCCTTTCCCTCTCTCCTGGCAACCCCTAATCTACTTTCTGTCTCTGTATTTTCATGTTCTGAACATTTCATATAAATGGAATCATCATATGTGACCCCTTCTGTCTGACTTTTTCACTTAGCACAATGTTTTCAAGGTTCGTCAATGTTATAGTATGTATCAGTACTTCATTTTCATAGTTTCATAATATTCTGTTGTATGGATGTACCACATTTTGTTTATCCATTCATTCACTGATGAACATTCGAGTTGTTTTCACTTTTTGGCTATTATGAATAATAACACTGCTATGAACATTCATGTACCAGTTTTTGTGTGGACATATGTTTTGAATTCTTATAGGTCTATACCTAGGGGTAGATTGTGGGGTCATATAGTAGCTCTGTGTTTAACTTTTTGAGGACCCTTCAAACTGTTTTCCAAAGTAGTCACACTATTTTACGTCCATCGGCAATACGTGAAGGTTCCAGTTTCTCCACATCTTTACCAACACTTGTTATTGACCTTTTTTGTTTTAGCCATCCTAGTGGGTATGAAGTGGTACATCCTGGCATTTCTATATTAAGGCAGTTAGCTTACAGGAGAATGAGTATATACCTCCCAAAGGCTTAGATAGCTTTCTGTAGTGTACCTCTGCGCACAGTCAGCCCTTTTTTTCTAAGTAGAAATAGAGGAATGTGGCCGGGCGTGGTGGCTCATGCCTATAATCCCAGCACTTTGGGAGGCTGAGGCGGGTGGATCACCTGTGGTCAGGAGTTCGAGACCAGCCTGGCCAACATGGTGAAACCCCATTTCTACTAAATACAAAAAATTAGCTGGGTGTGGTGGCTGGCACCTGTAATCCCAGCTACTTAGGCGGCTGAGGCAGGAGAACTGCTTGAACCCAGGAGGCGGAGGTTGCAGTGAGCCGAGATTGTGCCACTACACTCCAGCCTGGGTGACAGAGCAAGACTCTGTCTCAAAAAAAAAAAAAAAAAAGGCAAGTGGGGCAGGGAATGCATGTTGTTGAATATTTATTATAAGCTTAGCATAGCACAAGTACATAATTCTGTGGGGATGGGACAAATATAACATTGTTCCTACCCTCAAGATATTCAAAGTATTGTTGGTAAGAAGATACCAATGAAATATTTAGACTTGAAACAGAAATAGATGAAATATAAAACTCTATAGAAGAAAATGATGAATAGAAGATAATCAAGGGGTTTAATGTATGGCCAGATAGTGAGATCAGGCAGTGATGATTGGAATTTTCTGGAAAAGTGGGATTTTGAAGGCCTGATAGGAAGTAAGTGGTCACAGAGAGGATGAAGAACATTCTGGGTAGAGAGTAGAGCCAGAGGGCTCCCTGCAGAAGGGAACAGCAAGGTGTGTGGGGATGAGAAGGTGGGTCAGAGCTCCAGTGTGTGGCCAGTTGCAGACCAGGCTAGAGTGACCACAGGCATTGCTCTGAATATGTATTGACACTACTCCTAGTTGCCTTTAACAATGAGTAAAATTTTTGTTTAAATCCTGTTAGCATGTATTTCAGAACAGGCAGTGGTACCAAAACTTAAGGACCTGACCCCTGGCCTTGCTGCCTGCCTTGGAGAAGAGTGTGAGAGGCATAGAAATAGGGGAGAAATGTGGCTGGTGGGCACCGCTCTTATGATCCATGTGACCTTTTGCCTCTCTGTAGCCCCCGTTCTGCACCCCTTCCATGTCAAATGGGGTTAGAGTTCATCCTGTGAACTCTGACTCTGCACCACCGTGTGACTCATACTGACGGAATTACAAGTGCTGTGAGAGGTGAGCATAGGCAGCTTCCTCCGTATTGCCAAATGCAGAGAACATTTTCCAGTCCCTGTCTTATTCCCCCTGTGGCTTCTGGCTCCTTTGTGACTGTCTCTCCCTTGACCTCTATGATGGTGTCTTCTCCCCAGCTCCTCCTTTCCAGGCTCCTTGGCTTTCTTCTCAAATCACTAGCCTCTCCGAGCCTGAGTTTCATCATCTGTAAAGTGGAGCTAACAGTGCCTGCTCTGTTAGGGTGGTGGTGAGGTTGAATGAGGGAGTGCTTGTCAATCTCTAGGCGCACATCCCTGGCATGGTAAATGCCTGAAAGGGCTCAGAGGTGAGGACAAGGGAAAGAGCAGAGGGACACAGAGGATCCTTTTAGAAAGTAATATTCCCATGTTCTCAGAGTCTTCCTTTATATTAACTTTGTTTTTTGTTTTTTTTTGAGATGAAGTCTTGCTCTCTTGCCCAGGCTGTAGTGCAGTGGCACAATCTCAGCTCACTACAGCTGTCACTTCCTGGGTTCAAACGATTCTCATGCCTCAGCCTCCCGAGTAGCTGGGATTACTGGTGCCCGCCACCACGCGTGGCTAATTTTTGTATTTTTAGTAGAGACGGGGTTTCACCATGTTAGCAAGACTGGTCTTGAACTCTTGACCTCAAGTGATCCGCCTGCCTTGGCCTCCCAAAGTGCTGGGATTATAGGCATGGGCCACCATGCCCAGCCCTCTTTATATTGATTTTTAAACACTTACTGGATTAAATGAAGCCTGAATGATAGTCATGTCATACCAGTAAATAACACCTGTCCAGCTTACGTAGTTACCAGGATAGCACTGCCTGGTGACATTCCCTGTGCTACAGTGAGGTGCTGGGTCAGCATCACCCAGTGATGGGGCCCTGGAGACAGAGCTCAGTGTCTTGCCTGGGATGCTGAGTAGGTCGGTGGGAGGGCTAAGGCAGCGGGCCCCAGCCTCTTCCTTCACTGCACTGAACAGCCCACAAGATGTTTCAGCAGGGGAATGCGGAGCAAACTGGAATGAAAGGCTAGAGTGAGGTTACCAGACTTCATTTCCCCAGCCAGCCCTCAGTGCTTTACCCCTTGCACCTCAGTGCTCCTAAGACGGAGGCAGCGCAATGCTGGACACACAGTAGTTGGCCTTCTGCATCTGATGTTCCACATCTGCAGATTCAACCATCTGTAGGTGGAGAATACACACAGTTGTCCCCCCTTATCAGTGGGTTTTGATGCATGGTTGGTTGCATGGAGGGAGACGTGAAACCTGCAGATAAGGAGAGCTGATTGTATTGGACTCTGTGGTTGTGTTTTCATCAATATTGAAGATCATCAGGCATGCTGCCAATTTGTTCACTGTGGTTCAGGAGACTCTTTCTCCTTTACCTTGGATATAGGGACCATGGGAAGAGGCCTGGATTGTGATTGTTGCAGAGAAGTCCTGGTCGCTGTTGTTTTTAGTCATTGACTCCCCAGATCTTACACTCGATGCCATCTAGATGCTTTCATTAGCACGTTAGATTTTATTGCTGTCTGCTAGTATGTCCGCGCTGGGCAGTTACAGTTGTCTGCGCATCTGCAGCTTCCCCAAGTGCTCCTGTTCACCCTGGCTCTGTCGTTGCATCACATAGTCTCAGCGACTCTGAGCTCCATGTCACTGTGAGAACCAGCCACCACAGTCCTAGCAGTAGTCAGGGCCAAAGAGTTCTCTATTTTCCTGTTTTCCAGAGAAAATGCTAGTTGCTTCTCTGTGAGCAGGATTTCCATTCGGTGAGAAGGTGCCACTGTGAATAAAAGTTAATAGGATGAGGGAAAGAGCACGGGCCAGGCCTACTTCGGGCCTTGTGGAGCCAGCGCCACTCTGCCTGTGGGTCTGCTGGTTCACATGCAGAACTGAGGAAACCCCCCTTGCCCTCCCTACTGCCTGTGCAGCCTTTCTTTCCAGTGACAGAGGAAATAAACTGAAAGTGGTCCCTGTCCTTAAGCAGCTTATGTTCTAAAAATAACCATAGCAGAAGTGCTGTTCTATATTGAAGATCTCTCCTCTAATACATTATTTTAACACTTTAATCATTTTCCCCATTTTAAATTTTCATTTCTCTGAGAAAGATAAAGATCAGTATTGCAGATCATGGTGTTGTGGATCTGGGAAGGTCACCTAAGCCAGCCCTCTTCTTTACCAGTGAGGAAACCTCCGCACAGAAAGGCTGTGACCTGCACAGGTAGTTGAGTGATCAAACCAGAACGGAGACCACGGTTTTTCACTCCCGTTTTATTCTGTTGTATTATACCATGCTATTTGTCCAAGCACTTAAGAAAGGAGAAGAAAGGGTTAAGGCTTAACATGCACATTCATGTCAAAAGAGTCATAGATGTCTCCTTTGTTAGAATAGAGATTTTGATCTCATGAAGTATAATAGGATGAAGATTCTTGTCCCATTTTTAGAAACACAGGTTTGAAAACCTGCATTCATCTAATCCTTCAAATTTTGCAGTGGCAATACATTCTCTGACTGAAATGCCTAATGCCATACCTGTTTGGAATAATATTGAGATGAAGAGGTCAGTAGGAGGTAGCCTCTTAGATCTTTTTGCTAAAGCTGTAAGCAGAGTTTGACAGTGACAACTTCAATTGCACTCTTAAGCTGAGAGGCTAGGAAATGGGGTCAGCAGCATCGCACTCTCAAAGAATGGAAAGGTTCGGGATTGTAAGCAGTGGTAAACAATCTTGAGCTTCACCCTAAGGGACTTTGCCAAAAACAAAGTCCCTATGCAAATTCTCTGAAGCTTTCAGAAGGTGGTGTACGACTGTCTAGTTGGGTTTCTACCTTCTTAATCTCACATAATCTATTCACACCTGCTTACTTCCATCCCTGTTGATTTTTCTCTATACCCTGCCCTAGTCATCTCACACCCAGACTGTTGTACCTGCCCTTGTTGGCTTCCTTCTTTTCTTCTCCCTCAATTTTGCCAAGCTAATTTTCATAAAATGGCTGTCTTCATGTGCTGCTGACCTGAGAAAAATGCTGAATGGTGCCCAAGTGCCCTTCCTCAGTCTGCTGTCTGTGTGCTTCTCTGGTCCTCTCCCTTTCTCCTTCCTCCTTCCTCGCCAATCTCAACTGTCCATCCCCCTTAATTGCACAATGCACATCAGCACGGTGGGTGAGGGTGTGGTCCTGGCAGTCCGGTGGCCTGAGCCTAAATACTGCCCTACTATCCTGTGACCTCAGACAAGTTAGGTAACTTCTCTGGCCTCTTTTTTCTAATCTATTAAGGGAGACAATAAGGCTTTGTAAGGATTATATGAAATACTCTAGGTAAAAGCGCGTGGAGCAGTGTCTGGCACTTAATAAGTGCTGTTAGTTGCTACTGTTATTATCACTCTGGTTTCTATGCTTTGTTCCTGTTATTAGTTTCACTTTTGTAAGTCCTTCACTTCCTCCATGGCTCCACATTGTCTTGTCTCCCCTTTCCTGACAGCAGTGGTTCATAGTAGGTCCTTTCCCATGTTTTCAGCTTTCTTTGCAGTACTGGTACTATGCATAGCACTATTCCAGCCACAGTGGCCTGCCTCTGTGCCTCAGACCCTTCAGGCACACTCCCATCTCAGGGCCTTTGTGCTACTGTTTTCTGCTTGGAATGCTCTTTCCCCATATGGCACATGGCTGCTCCTTCTTCATCCAGGTCTCTGTTCCCCTTGGAGAGACCTTCCCCGACTATACTATTTAAAATAACATTCGTCTTCACCTTACATACATTCACCTGCTGTATTCTTGTCATAATATTTATCACTACCAGGCAAGTATAATTATTTTCTTCTTATCCCCAGTTGGACTGTAAGCTCTGTGAGAGGATAGACCTTGTTGTGTTCACAGCCTTATCCCTAGAGCCTAGAAAAGTTCTTGGCATATAGTAGGAGTTGAAACGTGTTTCTTTTGTTTTTTAGTTTTTAATTTTTGTGGGTACGTAATGGGTGTATATAGGAGTTATATGAGACATTTTGATACTGGTATGCAATGTGTAATATCACATCAGGATGAGTAGGGTATCTGCCACCTCAAGCATTTATCCTTTGTGTGAAACATGTTTCTTTGATAAATGTATGGTATAACAGCTTTTCTAGATGTACATTCCAGCATTAGAAGTGTAGAAACTGATTCAGAAAGCGAGTGCACACATACAATAGGAGAAGCATGGTTTTAGATGAGCCCTGCCAGGTGCATGAGGCCGAGGAGGAAGATTGTTGCTGAATGATGCTGAATAAGTGATTTCATCGGCAACATTTAAGGGTCCCTGGCGTGTGTACAGCACTGGACAAGGTGTTATGGGAGATGCACAGGCATAACACAGTGCCCTTTTCTCTAAAGTTTTGTATTCTTACTTGGGAAGGCAAGCATAAATACATAAGAAGTTAAATACCAACCCACAGTGAAAGAAACATTGCCAAATTGTAAATGATTATCAGTGATTATTACCTACCAAAGGTTGGCAAAATTTATTTACAAAGGGCCAGATAATAAATATTTTAAGTCTGTCATAACTGCTCACTCTGCTGTCAGAGCTCAAAAGCAGCCATAAACTTTAGGGTAAGTAACAAGTGGGCATGGTTTGATGTGGCCTGAAGGCCTTTGGCAGCCTCTGCTATTGACAGTAAGTTCTGTAGATTTTGTGAACTGGTTGTGAAAGGTTTTTCTGAGGAGTTACAACTGGAGTGGAGAATGAGCAGTTGAATAAAAGGAGCAATTGAATAAAAGGACAAATTAGGTTGTGTATGGAATGCTTAGGAGACATCGAACAAATCAGCCTGGCTAGTGTTTAGACACTTCATTCCTTATTCACTAGATTTCTATTGTGGGGGCATTTCTGAACATAAAGCACCAAGAAAGTCCTGTCCTTAAGCTTGCACCCAATGCATTAGACAAGTATTGTCTCCCCTACTATAGTTGGAAGTAAGGATGGGGGCCTTGAGTAATTGCTCTGCTTCTAACCTGCTTCCTGTAGCAGGAATATAATTGCCTATCCTTTCTAGAGTGAGGTTGTTTAGGTTCACTTCCCAGCTGTACCAACTATTGGCTGTGTGACATTTAGCAAGTGACTTAATCACTCTGAGCCTCATTTTCTCCATCTGTGAGAGAAGGATAATAATCATATTGGGATTATGAGGATGTAGTGGGATAATCCATGTAAAATGCTGAGTACAGTAGTACTGGCAATAATAAAGCTCAGAAAATGATGGCTGTTATTTTTATAACCTCTAAATTAGATTGAAAACATTAGCGTTGTTTTGTTGGAATTATTTTAAATTCCTAAAGTGTGTATATGCTCAGGAAGCTTGACTGTGTCACTTTGTGTAAATAGATTAAACTGGTGAGCTTTATAAAAAAGACATAGATGATGGAAATATTTGCGTGCCTCAGCCTTATCTCAAAGGAATGAATCTCTCCTAATCTTTCATAACCCTATGCTTAAGAATTGTTCATCATAGAACATACCTGTGCAGGTTGATGGCTGTAGTTCAAACTACCTATGTGGCTGGAAATTCCAAGGTCAAAATTATAGATTAAAGTGATTCCAGGGTAGTAGTGCCCCCAGCTACACCAGTATATCCTCTCTGGAAGAACAATAGACTTTAAACCCAGATCTTACAAGCTTTTTACAGATTAAGTTCCAAGGAATGTAAGTTAACAAAAACAAAAAGCTCCTCACAACACCACCATAAGCAAGGTTTAGTAGGAGTAAGAAACAATAAACTGCAGAATCAGTTGGCAGCAGAGACTTCAAATATTGGAATTGGCAGATACAGACTATAAAATATACTTAATGTAATTCTTAGAAGAATTAAAAGAAAGTATAGAAACAAGTATAGAAATTAGAGACTATTATAATTGACCAGTTGTTTTTAAAAGAATCAGTAGTAGTACAGTAGTACGGCCTGGATATTTGGTGGCTCCTATCTTGCGCCTGACACACCAGGTTTGCACACACATACACACACCTACACAGTGTTTTTTGGTTTATTCCATTCAACATACATTTTTTATACCAAGCATTGTGTTAGGCACTAGGTAGAGAAGACCAAGAATATGATTATAAGAAGATGCTTATCTTTAAGGAGCTTATCTTTCAGAGTAGACTATTTTATAGTCTACTCTTGCCTTTGTTTTCCAAAGGTGATCAGTCTTTGGAAGGCTGAAGGCAAAAGACAATGGAGACTACAGTCTTAATGGCCTAACAAGATTTTTTGGCTGCCATTTTACTGCCCACACATAGCCAGGTCTGTCCTCCGGCATACTAGTCAGCTCAGTTCACCTAGACCCAAAATCAGTACACCTTGAGTACATAGTGCCCACTATTTTGGAGTTGTCATTTCATTTGTAGAGTCCTTTGATACCAGGGATTTCTCTAGATTTGGGGCTTTATAAGCTCCCTGCTGCCTAGAACTCCTAACTCACTGCCCAAAGAATTCATTTATTTAAAAAATTAGGGCAATACATTAACAGGAAAACTGCCCATTTATCCCCAGACATTTTATCACATTGAGAAGTAACTGAAACATAAGCAATATTAATTCTGAATATCCTAACCTAGTGTAGTAAAGACATTTATATAGGTACTTATAAGGTCCAAGTGAAGTAATTCACATCATGAGAGAATGAAATACTGAAGGACAATAGGGAAAGAGTGACATTTTATCTGAGTGGGAGCCTGAAAGTTTCAAAAAGGACATGGCATTTGAACTGGGGTTTGAAATGAGATTTTGATAGTTGGCTAAGGAGGTGGGGTTGTGGAGGGCATCCTGGCCTAAAAGAAGAGCAAGAGCAAAGGCACAGGTCAGAGGCTTGAAAGTATGAGGATGGTTTCTGCAGAGGTGAGAAATGTGGCTGAAATTTACAAAAATGGCACTCTTGCATCCCCCACCGTGGAGTTTCCTCTTTTTTCCCTCTCCACCCACTTTTCCCTCTTACTCTGCATCTCCTGTGTTCCACTTGGGATGACCCCTGTTGAGATACTTGGAGAGGAATAACTTCCCTGTGCACATTAATGAGACTGCCAGAAATAAAACGTTTATTTATGTGACTGTGAAACCAAATTTTCACGTGCATTACTAAATGATATCTTGGAATGGGTGGTTGGGGAATGTTTTTCAGGTTGAAAACATCCTCTTGCATGACCGAGGCCACTATGTCCTGTGTGACTTTGGAAGCGCCACCAACAAATTCCAGAATCCACAAACTGAGGGAGTCAATGCAGTAGAAGATGAGATTAAGAAGTAAGCTTTTTCTCCTTTCATGGAGTTTTGTCCACAATCAGATGAGCAACTTTACCTTCAGCTTATGGATGAGAAGGTCAGGGTGGGGAGAGAATGGTGATAGTCAGTTGTCCTTCATCTCAGAGCATCATGTTTACAGTTGGGTTGTTTGACTTTAAGTGAAGAATGAGGAGGGGGTTTACAGGCATACATCAGAGTAAAAGGAAGGACTCTTAGAGCACTTTATCAGTGGTCCTGTGGTCATTGTACATAGATGTTTTGATTTATGATGTCACAGAGCCTATAAAAAGCTGAGAGGTGCACACACCGTAAAAGTACTAGCATGTTTTTAAGTATGATCACAACAACCATGACATTATCAGTCAAACAGATGTGCTTTTTACTGAACCCTAAATTGCTCCTTTCTTCCTGCTCATAAGGCGATCTAAGTGGAAATAATGGTGAGTAGGTTATTAAAGTCTCTGCAGATACTGAATCACAGACTTTCATGATAAAAAGCTTCTTTAGATTTGTGACTCCAATAAGAGCCTGACCCATTTTCTCCTCATGTCCACAATGTTGGATTTTTTACAGGCAACAGCACTCGCTATTACTACTAATAAGTCAACAGTCTAGCCTGCACACCTACATCCTGATCTTCTCTGTCCTTTCATGCGTCACCCCAGACAACCATGCCCGGGGCAAGAAGAACCTGATCGACCCAAGGCCCTGAGGGATGCCTAGACGTGTCCCATCTGGGATCTAGAGACTAAAGCATCATAAATCACATGCTTGGTAACACCAAGACACTCACTTCGAGGACGTGCTTATACTACTTTTTTCTGGAGCAAGAGATAAAACTGTTATTTCAGCCTGATTCCAGGAGCAAAGAGGAAGGGCTCTTGATTCCATCCACTCCTCACCCCAGCCAGGGCCCACTTTCTGCTCTTCTGCAGAGTACCACAGTCAGTATTACATCTCTGTGTTGAGCCACATGTAAAGGCCATTTTTAAAACAACAAATTGACAAAATATAGTATCAGTATAAGAATTTTGAGAAGATTTTGTCATTTGAGGACCCAAGAAAAGTTGCTTTTAGAATTTATTTAATGCATTAGTGTCTGAGTCCCCACATGTTCTTAGACTAGGAGGACTGCTGCCAGAACGCCTTGGTGTGATGATATGATTGTACCAAGGACAGCCTTTCATTTTATCTCTACTAATATTTCATACTCTCTTCTGCAGATTGCTCCCAGGGATTCTGTTAATGTAAAAAGAAAAAAAGTATTTCTGCTGCTCCTGGTTTTTAATTATAGTATTGACATATTTAATAAAAAATGAATCTCTTGATTGTAGATACACAACGCTGTCCTATCGAGCACCAGAAATGGTCAACCTGTACAGTGGCAAAATCATCACTACGAAGGCAGACATTTGGGTAGGTGTCAGGTAACCTATCCATACCTCAGATAGCAGCAGTCTTGACTGTGAATTCCCAAGGTTAATGCACACAGCGCTATAGCATGGTGGCTACTGTACCATATCATGGTCTACTTACCCCTCAAGGTTATTCTTGATGTGAGAATACCAGCCACTGCTTCTTGAAGCATGATAAAGAAAATTACTTCCAAGCTCTGTGAAAATTATTTAGATTTTTTTTCATGTATATGTTACTGGTTCTTAAGAGCAAAACAGGTAAATACTTATTATTTACTGGAACACGATTTGGTAATAATGGTAGAAATAATGTAACTCAGCTGCTAACAGTGGTGTTGGGTTCTAAAACTCATGTTTCTAATACATTAATAGTCTATAGTTTTTGTATCTGCTAGTAAATGTGGATGGTGCCAGTTTCTCATTAGATCCATTTAGAGTCATGATAAATAAGCCACTAGTAGCAATCTGCTATCTTTATTTTTTAGGCTCTTGGATGTTTGTTGTATAAATTATGCTACTTCACTTTGCCATTTGGGGAAAGTCAGGTGGCAATTTGTGATGGAAACTTCACAATTCCTGATAATTCTCGATATTCTCAAGACATGCACTGCCTAATTAGTAAGTATTTTAAGTTTCTAGTTTCATATTTTTATTTCTAATCACAAAGAATGAATTGGGGGATAAAGGGATTAGATTCCAGGAGTAATGAGTTAGATGCAAAGGTAAAGAAATTAGTTGATAATGATTGGGAACTCAAAGACAATGTAACTGTCTAGTTAGAGTGGTGGGTCTTTTTGCTAGAAATCTGAAGTTCTGTTTCACACCTGAGCCCAGCCACCCAAGCAGAAATCCTAACTGCCTGGAGCAGTATAGTGCTTCTATATTCTGTTGCAGTCTCTATGAAAGCTCCGGTACCAAAGGAGTCCAGCTGACTCATATCAAGTGATAAGAAATTCATCTTTGCAAAACTGGAAGCAACTCAAATGAAAATGATTGCAGTACATTCACTGGAGTGAATAGATAATTAAGACTATATAACTCCGTGGAACCAGGTTTTTCTTCTCATTTAGGTTAATCACTGGATTTTGATAACATGCATCTAAACTCAATGCTTTCTTAAAAATAGTCTTAAGATTCCCCACTATTTGGTATCATCATAGCAAGCATATGTACTAACATTCATTAACCAGATGGTAGAATAAGTAATCTTTAAAGAAAAAAAAAAGAATAATATTTGCACAAAGCCCCTATACTAAAATGCTAAAGAAGCAGAGATTTTTATCATCTTTCCACATTGGTCAAGACTCTTAACATCTAAGTTTTAACTGTTATGGATTGATTATAAATCCTGAGTAACCCATTTGGGTCCTGCATGGGGATACACTGGAAAAAATAGAAGCAGCAAATGTGGGTGGAGCATCTGACATTTGTTGAGGGCCTACTTATACCTCATTTAATTCTTAAAATCCTTTATGTATTAAGTGTAATTATTCCCATTATGCAAATGAGGAAACTGAAACTGAGAAAATGTAGGTAACTTATCCACTTAACATAGATACAGCTTTTAAGGTGCTGCCCATTCCATTGTGCCAGTTTTGTCAATCAGCCTCTTCCATTTATTAACAAAAAAAGGAGGAATATTTAAAGGGCTGGATTATGACATTTAATAATTGTTGGATTGTTTTAAGAGATAAAGCATTATGTCCATGTTAGAATTCCAGGTATGTAAGTGAGATTGGTAGGAAATATGGGAAAATGGCCAACTTTGATATTAGACTAGTATTATTTTTTGATAATTTTTAAAACATTTATGCAGTAAATTCATATTGGGAAATACAACTCTTTATGAATGTCTATACCATGGACATCTTTCCCAAACTGCTTGCAAACCATTTGGCAACTCCACTATCACCCTAAACGCACAGATCTAAAATTAAGTTTATCATCATTAGCCCTCCTTCCTTCTTTTTACCCTCAATACCCAGTTCGCCTGTCCTCTTTTCAGTTTCTCTCAGTGGTATCACCATTGAAGCCTGGAAGAATGAAATTTAAGATTTCTTTGGATCCAGCTAGCAAGAGAGGAAAGGTTCAGTCGTGTACTCGGCCATATTCCTTTTTTGGAGTTTCTACTGTTTTCATTACATTCTTTATATGAACATCACTGTCACCATAGTATATACAGACTCTGTCAGCTCATGCCTTTACTGTTGGACTGGTCACCAGCTTTTCTCCTCTCTTTTCAATCCATCCAGCACACCCTCACCAAAAGATTCCTCTTATAAAACACCACCTCTCATGTCCCTGATTAGGAAACTCTAGCGGCTTGCCAATGGTCTCACAGTAGGGCTCAGCTTCTTAGCATGGCATTTAAGATTCTGATTCTGATTGCATTCCACCCACTCAGACTTCTCTCTACCCTGTCCTTCTGGCTCCTCTATTTACTTGCAGCAGGCATTCTCTTGTCTTTCTCCAAGTCCTTCTTTGCTCAGACTGTTCTCTTAACTAGAATGTCTTTTTCTTTGCTTCCCCACTGACTAAATTCTGTCCTGCCTTCAAGGGCCACCTCAAGCTCTGCCTCTTCTGCAAGGCAGTCACAAGGCTGCACCCTCACTGATCTTTTTGGAACTTAGTGTCCAGAGCATTCACTTTATTATTTAAGCAGTCAGCTGCCTTGCGTTGTTGTTTGCATGTGTATGTGTATGTTTGTGGTCTTCTCAAATAATTTTTTTTCCCCCTGAGGATTTTTCCAGCCTCAGGGAGGCAGAAGCTTAAAGGACCTGGAAATAGACAAGTGATCTATAGGTCACAGGAAAAGTAGATATGCATACGTTACTTTGTAATTTCTTTTAATCTGGAAACCAGCTAATATTTCCAACAAAAGAATAATAAGTAAATTCATGAAGTTTGGGTTTTGGTTATAATTATTAAGAATAATCATTCGTTTAGTAAGATAAGATGAACCAAGGAAGCCCATGGTAAGACCGTGTAACCTCCTAGGTATCGGAGTATGAAGGTGGTAACTTTCATATTGAGAGCTTGAGTCCCTCTGGTGCAAAGCATAGAATATGAACTTTAAGTATCTTTGTTACAATCTATATATTTTATTTTCTTATGGATATTAAATATTTCAGGAACATTAGAGCTTCTCTTTCTAAGGGAGAGAAAAGGGGATAATTATACTGTCTGACTTCTATGAAAAATAAAAGTTTAAAAACAAAACATTGGGAGTAGAGAGAGGAATGATGCTTCCTAGCTAGTGTAATAACTGTTGGAATATTATTAAATAAATTCACATGTTTGCCTTAGGGTATATGTTGGAACCAGACCCTGACAAAAGGCCGGATATTTACCAGGTGTCCTACTTCTCATTTAAGCTACTCAAGAAAGAGTGCCCAATTCCAAATGTACAGGTACGTGAATGGTGCTATTTAAAGGGAGTAAACATTATCAAATTGCCATTTTGAGCTCCTGGGGTGTTAATCAGCTGTTTAAATGAATTTAGATGTCCCTTGCTTTATCTACTGGGGGTAGTCAAGCAAAGCTAACTGTGAAGCAGTTGCCATAAAGGGAATCCAGTTTTCCCATGGAATTTAATTATAAAACTGAAGCAATTGTACTGAACAAAAAAATGCCCTAGGGATTGAGTTGGACGCTTTGGATGAAGATTGACCAACTTCATGTCTGTCAACTCTTCTAGTTCTCTGAGAGCCACATGCCTGTTGTAGTCACCTGGAGGTGATTACAGGCAGGCTACTTTCCCGAGGCAATGCCTTGGACATGCCCCCATGCCTGTTAGAACCTACGCCCCTTGTCCCCGTTCTCCTTCCTTGCAGCAGAGCTTTCTTGATTTTGCTTCTGCTGTTGGCCATTTATAACTCACACTCCTCTTTCTCTGTCCTTCCAGCACATCAAGCCATAAGAATGTTTTCTACATTTAGTAATCCTAAACTCTGCACTCAGTTTTCAGAGCAAAATGCTTGCAAATGTCCTTTTTACAGATTTCAAATGTTGCTAGTACGGCTGGGCATGGTGGCTCACGTCTGTAATCCCAGCACTTTGGGAGGCCGAGGAGGATGGATCACCTGAGGTCAGGAGTTCAAGACCAGCCTGGCCAACATGGCAAAACCCCATCTCTACTAAAAATCCTTGCATATTTTTCATGTCATATTGTGATTTATTTTTCTTAAATATTTTATTAATGGATGCTATAATAATAGATTCTGATCTGAAATGTTCTTGCTAGTTCCTCCAATAATGAACTTTTGATTTCACTGCTGGGACTTAAGGGTGCTGCTCCTCTTTCACTCTCACATTTGGAATCAGATGTGGGGTTCATCCATGTGGAGCTCAGAATATTGGCTTTATTACTAATAAGCTTGAGTCAGAAGATGCAGCTTGACCAGTCAGGCTCCCTAGCATTAGACCCACATGACTGAAATGTAAACACCTGATTCCTGGGGGACCAGCTCTTCTTTAAAGGAAGGAGGGCAAAGCAAACCGGACCAGCTCAGTTTTTCTACAGTCTTAACAGTCACAGAAGTCAACTCTTCTCCTTTGGGAGAGGAATGCTTGAAGAAGAGGAAGTGCTAGAAGTTTTCTAGCAGAAAATCTCCCCCCACCTGGAAACATGAAGGAAGCGAGAGGACCCTCCTAAAAGGCCAGTTTTATAACTAGTATTGTGTGTTGGTTTCCCAGATTAAAACGAGGGATACTGTGCAGTAACCAAACATGACTGTCTTCTTTTGTAGTCCCACTTTCCCATTCATAAAGTTAAATAATGTGAAATCTAAGTGGAAGCATTCAGATTGGTAGCTAGTTTTTTAAAAGTACACCTCACAAGTCTTATGTCATTTGGTACTCAGTAGTGGTAAGCACTTGTTTTAGGGTTAGGGACAGCTAGTTGGTGCTCCCTCATGAGGCATTATTAGATGGATAGTGCAGATTTCAAGCCAGAGGAACTCTCCTTGGCTTGTGGACTGAGTAGTGCCTCACATGTTGGGAAGGGTACTGGCTCAGCAGCCATACACAGAGGTGGCTGTGGTTTTCTCTGAGCATTCTAACTTGCAGACTCAGTGCACCCTGGTTTGACACATTGATAAGCTCGAACGAAGATCTGTCTGGGATCCAGAATAATACCAGCTACAGACATTTCCTTCCCATTCCTTTCATAGCATCACTTCTAAGCTGTGCTATAGGAGGAGAAGGGTACTGAGATCAAGCCCCAGTGACTCACCATGGTACAGAAGGTAGAGAATAATCCGGGAATGTGTGCTGCACACAAGCTACTCTCTCCTCTTCTCAGATACATTGCTTCCCTGACTGTGGCTGAGTCTGATATGCATTTGGTTAACTTTCCTTCCCTCTACCAGACAGAGCTCAGGGCCTGGAAGCTGCTCCAGAAGATCCCAAAATGTGTTTCCATCAGCTCTCAGTCCCAGTCAGGCTGCTTATTCTTTAACAAAGAAATCTGTGATGTCCTTTTGTTTTGTTCTGTTTTGTTTGCAATTCTATAGAACTCTCCCATTCCTGCAAAGCTTCCTGAACCAGTGAAAGCCAGTGAGGCAGCTGCAAAAAAGACCCAGCCAAAGGCCAGGTAAGAAATGCCTTCATGAACACATGTCCTCCTTGGATTGCCACAGCAGCAGGGAATGATGCCTGTGTTTCTTGATTCTTATGTATGCTGTCATGACCAGGGGCTGCACAGATCAGGAAAGCAAGCTCTGTCTTGCCTAGGCAGAAACGGTTCTTTGGGAATGCAAAAAGGAATATCATGAAATATTGTGATCTACATTTGAAAGAGAATCAAGAACTCTGAAGCTGTTTTCTTTGCATGGGAATAGGCTCAGGGGCATTCAGAGATGAGGCAACAGCAGACTTTAAATATTGCTAGTACGGCCAGGCGTGGTGTTTCACGTCTATAATCCCAGCACTTTGGGAGGCCTAGGAGGGTAGATCACCTGAGGTCGGGAGTTCAAGACCAGCCTGGCCAACATGACAAAATCCCATCTACTAAAAATACAAAAATTAGCTGGGTATGGTGGCACACACCTGTAGTCCCAGCTGCTTGGGAGGCTGAGGCAGGAGAATCACTTGAACCTGGAAGGTGGAGGTTGCAGTGAGCTGAGATCACGCCACCGCACTCTAGCCCGGGCGACAGAGCAAGACTCCATCTCAAAAACAAAACAAAACAAAACAAAACAAAACAAAACAAAAAAAGAATGTTGCTAGTACAAGAGTATCCTAAACATTAGGCAGGCATGGTAGCACGTGCCTGTGGTACCAACTGCTCTGGAGGCTGAGGCAGGAGAATTACTTGAGGTCAGGAGTTTGGGATCAGCCTGGGCAATACAGTGAGACCCTATCTCTTTTTAAAAAATGTAAAAAATATCCTAAACATGTGTCCTGACTTTTGGTTAGCTGCATTCACCACCCTAACACTCAACCTCCCTTTCCTTCTTACTTTCTATGGCTCCAACCACATTAGGAAAATGCAGGTCAAAGCACCAGGTCAGTGAACAGCAGAAGACTCTCTGGGTCTTAGCTAATCACAGTCTGTTCAACCTAGGTTCTTCCAAAAAGCAGATGCCAAAAGAGGATTAAACGAAGATGTTATTTGGGGAAATGCCCATGTGAGGGAAAACAGGGAGGGAGCCAGGAAAGGCTGGGAGTGCCATCGGAAGGCAATGCAAGTCTGACCCAGACAGAGGGAGAAGAAGCATGGGTGGAAGTGACCTAGACTGTCTCACAACTTAAGTAAGACTCACCAAAGGTGTTGGGGTCCTTGTGCCAGTCAGCCAGCAGATAGTCCCTCATCTCCTAGGAATTCCTGTGGGTTGGAGGTTAGGGCTGGCAGCAACCTATGGGAAGCATGGCACCAGGGCAAACACACAGCAGTGCTGCATTTAGTGCTGCATTTTGGGAATGCAGCAGCTGAGCATTGGGGTTTTATGCTCCCTGTAGATGAAGGTCTACAAAGCACTTTCGCATGGCTGCCACCCCTTCCAAATGGCAGATTCTAGAGGTAGCGCAGGAGATATTTATACTCCTCTTTTTTCTACCACCATCACGAGTAAGTGCTAGCAGCAAACTGCGTCAACAAAGTACCCTGGATGGGAATATGTGAATTTTAATTGAACAGTCAAATAACACCTGTATCTTAAAAAGTTCTTTAATATTTATTAAATGCCTGCTGTGTACATGAAGTTATTTTAGATGTGCCTCTAAAGTAGTGAGACTTTGATTTTTAATAAACGTAGCAAACTTGCTTAACAAACAAAACTTGTTACTTTGTAGTCTGTCCATTTCCTTCACTAATTCTGCCATGCTCACCTCTTTGGAAGTTGTTTTGGGGCTGATTTAAGTAGCTTAGTCCTTTGTGCTCATGGCTGTCTTGTACTAGGCTCAAACATGATATGTGCAGAGGGTAAGCAATGATCCCTTTCCCCACTCCACTCCACAAAACATACTCATTGAAGTCCATACAAACTAATATTTTGGACATTCTACAATTAATAAAACAGATTGACAGTTACTGATAACATTTGATGTTCACATCTGCCTTATGATGTAGGCATATGTTTTTCCCTTTTACACATAAAGGACCCAAAGCTGAAAGAGGGTGAGTGACATACCCATTATCACACAGTTACTTAGTGAGGAGCTAGAACTCAGATATATTTTTCTTTGGCTCCAGATCCCATTGCTCTAATATGTTCCCCTCAAGAGATGATCAACATGGAGGTTGTGCTGTTTGGGTTTCTACAGAAGCCTGCTCACCTCCCTCACCCTTGGCTTTTTCTTTTTTTCCTCTTTTTTTTTTTTTGAGATGGAGTCTTGCTCTGTCACCCAGGGTGGAGTGCAGTGGCGTGATCTTGGCTCACTGCAACCTCTGCCTCCCGGGTTCAAGTGATTCTTCAGCCTCAGCCTCCCGAGTAGCTGGGACTACAGGCGCGTGCCACCACACCCGGCTAATTTTTGTATTTTTAGTAGAGACGGCGTTTTGCCATGTTGGCCAGGCTGGTCTCAAACTCCTGACCTCAAGTGATCCACCCGCCTCAGCCTCCCAGAGTGCTGGGATTAAAGGTGTGAGCCACCACACCCAGCCAGCTTTTTCTTTCTTACACCTTTCTTCTTTTCTCCAGCACGTGTCCCATTTTTCTTCCCACATCCCTTGCCCAGGTTCTAGCCCCCAAGATGTGATAGCCTTTATATCACCACTTCCCCAACCGGCACAAGAGCATCCCTCTAACAGGTTGCCAGTGCAAAGTTTCTGGGCCCAGGATGGACCTTGGAGGTATGTCATGGGAAGGACATGAGGCCAGCTGCTTTGCTTCCTGTTTTACATTCATGGAGGCTGTTTTGGAAATATTTTGACAAAACATGCTTTGGAAATATTCTTGAAACTTATTAATTTTGGCCTAACCTCAGTTATACTCTGTAAAGTGGAGTTTCAAAGGACGGCCAACTCTGATCTGAGTTAGGTAGTAGCTAGCTGCCTGGACTACTGTAAATGAGTGGAAGTTAGCACCTGGGCTTCTGCACCCCTCACAGGGAGCAAGCAGTCTTCCCTATATTAGTTTGAAAGTGTCGATCTGGCTGTGAATTACAGAAAGTCCAAAGTGACAGCTGCGTATAGAAGATAGATGTTTATTTTTTTCTCTCAAGTAAACAAAGTCTGGAGGTAAGTAGTCCAAGGCCAGCATGGCAGTTCTGCTCCATGAGGCCCTCAGGGATCTAGACTTCTTCAAGCTAACCACATCACCATTCCTACAGTGTAGCTATGGCTGCATGGATCAATATGGCAACATCTCTGCTCCTAGCAGCAGGATCAAGGAATAGTCAAAGAGGAAGACAGAGGACTTGAACCAGTTATTTCTTATGGTTTCTGGAAACTGCCACCTGATAATCTTCTTACATCTCATGTAATGCCAGGACTTAGAAACAGGTTCACACCTGTTTTCAAAAGAGACTGGGCAATGTGATTTTTACTCTGGGTGACCCTGTGCCCAGCTAAAACTTCTGTTACTGTGGAAAAAAGATAGTATGTATATTGGAAGAAATGGAGTTTCTGTGACACTTCCTTTTTATTTTTAAACCCTTTGACTTGAATTATTTACTTTTTCCTTCCAGTTCCCATGTTGGATTCACTCATCTGCATGCTTTTCATTTTAGAGAGACCACTTTAACAGCTAGTTGCAGCCAAGTTTGAATCCTCTTCGCATCTGAAAACCATGTGCCTCAAACCTCTCTTTGCATTATTACCCAAAGGGTATTTTGGGAAATCCTAGGAGGTACTAGGTAAAAGCGCCACAAGAAGAAATAAGCTTGAGAATGCAAAGAGAATACTATATAGCATTCTTTTTGAGATTGTCCTTGCATATTCGCACATGAAAAGTTCTGCTAGAAGGAGAGCCACTCAGTATATTTTGATCAGTGTGTTAAAAATGTATTTGCCCACCAAGCCTACTTTCAGAAGGTCTAGTAACAATGGCATCCTGTGGGAGATTCTTTGGGAAGCATCGATTAAACAGACCTGGAAGGTTTGGGTCGATGTGGAAGCGGAAGCATTGTGTCCTCTGCCCACTCCCTTCCATTTTTCCCATACTTTAATATGAACCTTTCTCTTTTCCCTTTCTAGACTGACAGATCCCATTCCCACCACAGAGACTTCAATTGCACCCCGCCAGAGGCCTAAAGCTGGGCAGACTCAGCCGAACCCAGGAATCCTTCCCATCCAGCCAGCGCTGACACCCCGGAAGAGGGCCACTGTTCAGCCCCCACCTCAGGCTGCAGGTTTGTATCTAGATTGGTTTGAAACTCAATACACCTCTTTGTTATTCTGGACAACAGAGAAGTCTTGGAAAGCCTGGTTTGCTTTAGGATTGGACTCCAGAGGCACACAGAGATAACAGTGTTCCTTGAGGAACAGGAGGAAGCTGCCCTTGAAATTGTATGGCAGTGGCCGGGCGTGGTGGCTCATGCCTGTAATCCCAACACTTTGGGAGGCTAAGGCGGGTGAATCATCCGAGGTCAGTTCGATTTCGAGACCAGCCTGGCCAACATGATGAAACCCTGTTTTTCAAAAAAAAAAGTACAAAAAATTAGCCAGGCATTGTGGTGTGCGCCTGTAGTCCCAGCTACTGGGGAGGCTGAGGCAGGAGAATCGCTTGAACCTGGGAGGCAGAGGTTGCAGTGAGCCAAGACCGTGCCATTGCACTCCAGCCTGGGTGACGAGTGAAACTCCGCTTCAAAAAAAAAAAAAAAAAAAGAAAAGAATTGTATCGCAAATGGCTGGCAAAAGGAGAGGCCTCCTTGAATTCTGAGATGGATCTCCAAAACCACTAAAGCCCTTTGTCGCTTTTTCTAGACTTGGCCCTGATTTTTGCAGTTTGGAACCTTATCCTCCCTCTTTATTTCATATATTTCCCTTTGCCTTTAAAGAAATAAGACTCTTCCAAAGTGTTGAGTTCAGTCCAGGGCAGCTTCCCTGTTCTGTTAATTAAACTTTGGGACATTGAAATGGGCTAGGGGAGATGATTGGGTAGAAAGCATTATTTTATTCATTTGCCTCCCAGCCTACAAAAATGCCTGCTTGGGTCTAATACATCAACAGTTAAAGATGCCTGGAAGAGACAGGACTAAAGAGGCTGAAGAGCTTGGACTAGCAGACAACTTACTTTCAATTTTAGGAAGTTTGGGGTCTGATGGGCTGAGATACAAAGAAACTGAGTTATTTTCATACATGCCTAAAAAAAAAATAGAAACAAGACTCCTCTCTTTTGACATTCACAGAAGAATATTGTTTCTTTAATGCTTTGTCTCTTGAAGTATCTAACACCCCCTCATGTTTTGGCATTCTGTTTCTAATGAAATAAGTAAGCTTTGTTTCATAAAAAGGATTGATCCAAAATATCGAGTAACTGAACCCTACCAGGAAGCTGCTTTTGGTGAATTTGGTGGCCATCTACTTATAGCCACGCATCCAGACTGGGATAAGCTACATGTAGAACACCAGGGAATGATGTTGTCATGCTGCATGCCAAGAGGGGCAAAGCTTGTGCATATGTACCAAAGGCCAGTTGAATATGTAGACATTTGGGGTGCCAACTAAAGTTGTAATTGACTAAATGGGATGATTAATAAGGGAAGACTTTCTTAAGGAGGCAATATTGAACCTTGTTTTGAAAAATTTGAAGCACATAATTTAGCAAGAAGATAGAAAGACATTCCAGGTGGGACAGAGCATGTGGAAAGACAGTGAGGAGGACACGAATCTTGAGATACTCTGCACACTTGTCACCCCCTATTAGTTGTTTTGGCAAGACAGAAAGCCATTTTTGTGTGGAAGCATTTGGAACCCTTACATGGACTTTATTCTCATTGCAGGATCCAGCAATCAGCCTGGCCTTTTAGCCAGTGTTCCCCAACCAAAACCCCAAGCCCCACCCAGCCAGCCTCTGCCGCAAACTCAGGCCAAGCAGCCACAGGCTCCTCCCACTCCACAGCAGACGCCTTCTACTCAGGCCCAGGGTCTGCCCGCTCAGGCCCAGGCCACACCCCAGCACCAGCAGCAACTCTTCCTCAAGCAGCAACAGCAGCAGCAACAGCCACCGCCAGCACAGCAGCAGCCGGCAGGCACGTTTTACCAGCAGCAGCAGGCCCAGACTCAGCAGGTAAGGTGGTCAGAGTGTGGCCCTTGCTTGCATATCTGAGTCATGACTGTGAAAAGGCCCACTAGGTAAAGGTGTCTTCCC
The DNA here is from genome assembly GCF_000001405.40 of Homo sapiens. Taxonomy (NCBI): domain Eukaryota; kingdom Metazoa; phylum Chordata; class Mammalia; order Primates; family Hominidae; genus Homo; species Homo sapiens. The sequence goes on along the minus strand of NC_000002.12, from coordinate 69,518,872 downwards.
AGAGAGCCATTAAACATTACATCACTGTTTCTCATAGATGTAGATACTAAAGCATTGAGAAGCGGATCCATCACTCACACCCCTTTCACCCTTTTACTCAGGCCATGAGGAATCTGTCATCTGATTGAGGAACATCAGTACAAGAGCTATTTTTTTGGCCGGGTGCAGTGGCTCGCGCCTGTAATCCCAGCACTTTGGGAGGCCGAGACAGGTGGATCACGAGGTCAAGAGATCGAGACCATCCTGGCCAACATGGTGAAACCCTGTCTCTACTAAAAATACAAAAATTAGCTGGGCATGGTGGCGCAAGCCTGTCGTCCCAGCTACTTGGGAAGCTGAGGCAGAAGAATCGCTTGAACCCAGGAGGCAGAGGTTCAGTGAGCCGAGATCGTGCCATTGCACTCCAGCCTGGGCAACAAGAGCAAGACTCTGTCTCAAAAAAAAAAAAAAAAAAAAAAAAACTATTTTTTTTTAAGGACTGCTTTTTTTTCTTCTTTTTTCTAATACAACTGTAACACCATTATCATAAGAGAGGAAAAAATAACAATAGTTTCTTATTATCAAATATCCATTAGTGTTTAACTGTTTCTGATATCTCATAATTAAGTTGGCTTGTTTGAATCAGTATCCAATACTAACAGATTGTATTTAGTTGGTCTATATTGTTTTCCATTATCTTTTCATATATTTTTTTCACATTTTTTACTATGAATGTATTCATTTTATAATGATGAGTATATCTGTTTTTTTGGAGGTATGGTCTTGCTCTGTTTCCCAGGCTGGAGTGAAGTGGTGCAGTTATAGCTCACTGCAGCCTCCAGTTCCTGGGCTCAAGTGATCATCCCAGCTGAGTCTCTCAAGTAGCTAGGACTATAAGCATGTGCCACCATGCCTGGCTAATTTTTATTGGTAGAAATGGGGGTCTCGTTATTTTGCCCAGGCTGGTCTCAAACTCCCGGCCTCAAGCCATCCTCCCACCTCAGCCTCCCAAATCATCGGAATTACACACATTAGCCTATGCGGCTGCTGGCTGATATATCTTTTAAGTCCCCTTTTATCCATAGGTTCCCTCTCCTCTTTTTTTTTTTTTTTTTGCTTTTTGTCATTTAATTTTTCGGAGAAACTGGATTATTTGTCCCTTGGAATTTTTGGCATTCTGGGTTTAGCTGATTGCATGCTATGGTGTCATTTGATGTGTCTGACCGTCTTCCGTGTACACTGGTAATTTCTCGAGGCTTACTCAGTATTTGATTCAGTTTGACAATTCTTTGTTCTTCCTGTTGCATCATGTCAGGAGGTCTGTAATGTCTCTCTGGCCTCTATTTCACTGATATTAAGATCAGGGAGCGTGTACTTTCAGATTTCCCTGAAGACTGCGTTTCCCAAAAATATTTTTAAAAAAAGGAAGAAAAAAAGATCAATCGGTGTATTGAGGTGTTGTCTGTCTGATCCATTTGTTTAATGTTCCCCATTAGCTTAGCAGGTATCACTGATCATTTGCCAAGTTCCTTAATTCATCAGGGATGGCACAGTGATATTCTAACATTCCCTCTTCATTTGAGGGCTGGACGTTTTCCATGAAGAAATTTTTTCATCAGCTCTTTAGCTACCCTGAGGTACTGTTTGTACAGAAAAGGCAGGAAAAACACTTGATTCTTTCCTTTTGTTTACTGGTTTTCAGAGTAATAAATTTGTTCCCTCTTGTCATCCAAAGGTGAACAGTGACGTTTTTGTTTTGTTTAGTTTAGTTAGTATCATTAGGAATTCTTAGATTTTAACATATTTGATATCTTTGAATACATTGCTTTTTTTGTTTTGTTTTTACTAGAGGTGGGGCCTTGCTGTGTTGCCCAGGCTGGAGTGCAGTGGCTATTCACAAGCAGGATCCCACTACTAATCAGCCCTGGAGTTTTGACCTGCTCCGTTTCTAATCTGCGCTGGTTCAACCCTCCTTAGGCTACTGGTCCCCTGCTCCCGGGAGGTCCTCATACTGATGCTGACCTTAGTGCAGACACCCAACTAGCATAGCATACTACAACCCTTGACTTCCTGGGCTCAAGCGATCCTCCCGCCTCAGCCTTCCGAGTAGCTGGGACTACAGGTGCACACCACCATGCCTGGCATATTGCAGTTTTAAAAAATGTATTTATTTTAAAGCTCAGATTGCCCCAACTTTGGCCAGTGGAAGTCTCTTCAAATTGGCTCCTAAATCCTTTGAATGTAACTCCAGTGGTCTTTAATGATTTCCTTGCTATCTAGGATCATGCTGCCCTCTAGGATCATGCTGCCCTCAACTTGAAATCATCCATTTTTCTTAGGAGCTCTGTTTCTTTTTAGTGCAAATAATGTTTAGAAACCACAGTTTTGATGCTAGAAATACCATTTGCCTAATGGATTGCTTGTTGTTTCTAGGCCTTCTCAGTGGACAATTAGAAAATATATTTTGTTTTGTTTTGTTGGAGAATAGGCATTATGAATTCGGATTTATATTCCTAATTTGGATTTGTAATTACTGGATTTCTGTTTAACTTCTTGGATTTTGTTGTTTTTTTTTTTTTCTGGAAATCTTGATTCTTAACAGCATTAACATAGATAATTAATTGTTCTATCGTTTTAAGATAGCAATAACCATATGATTACTGAAAACAGTTTAAGATTTCCTTGCCCATTTTACCCTTAGAATGTTTAGCACATTATTTTCTGGCGCGTTCAGCTACCAATTTGATACACCGGTTTATATGCATTGTTTTGCTTTTGATTTTTAGTTATTGCTTTTTAAATTTTAGTTTAATTCTGTTTTGTGGATATGTGAAACATTTACATAGTTTCAGAGTTAAATCTGCAAAAGTCCATCCCCACCAACCCATATATAGTGGTATTGCTCATTCTTATTTACAACTTGAGAGTATTCTATTAGATATTTCCTTCAGGATATATCTATCATAAATATTTAATCAGCCAGTCTCCTGTTGATAGACATTTGGGTTGTTTCCAGTATTTTGCTGTTATAAGTAGGCAGCTATTTTTTTTTTTTGACATCTTCTAATTTGTTAACCCTTTAACTTTGCCCCAGTAGACAAACAGTATCCTCCCAATTGACTCTAATAACTACGTAAAGTATACGGGATGTTCAAAGATACAGTGTTGACCTTAGTTCATCAGCAGGCCCTTATTTTGAGCTCTGTTTGTGTATGTAGCACATAGCCCCTAACAGTGGGGATTAGAGAGACATATAAGAAGTGTGGGCCAGATACAGTGGCTCATGCTTGTAATCTCAGCATCTTCAGAGGCCGAAGCGGGAGGATTGCTTGAGCCCAGGAGGTCGAGACAGCCTGGGCAACATTGTGAGACTGTGTCTCTACAAAAAATAAGAAAAAAAATTAGCCAGGCATGGTAGTGTGCACCTGTGATACCAGGTACTTAGGAGGCTGAGGTGGAATGATCACTTGAGCCCAGGAGGTCAAGGGTGCAGTGAGCCGAGATTGCTTGCACCACTACATCCCAGCCTGGGCAACACAGCAAGACACTATCTCAAACAAACAAACAAAAGGAAGCGTCATAGAGCACACTGGCTATTTTGAATGTTTAAGGAAGTTTAATAAAAATGGAGCTCTTGGGAAATAATTTTTAGTAAGACTTGAGATGAGTCTTAATAGTTGAGTTAACATTTAGGTTATTCTTTTCAGTGTCATCATTGCTTCATCCTGTTCAGGTAGGGAAGCATTTTAATCTTGGCTACTTCAAATCCCTTTATAAGAAGGATTACCTCTATGATTAGGAGATCGTTTATTAGCTCCTGCTATACTCTAGCTTATGGAGTCACATGATGTTTAGTCAGATAGCTTCCCTTAGGCAAGGCCCAGAAACCCACTTGGAAGGCCAGTCTGTAGTGCAGGAGGCAGCCTGGTGCAATGGATGGAGCCTAGCAGTGTAAGGGACTGCTGCTGTGTTGTATTTTAATTCCCTGAGGTCTCTATCATGAGATTTTAGGCCTAGCCTCAAGACTTTTCTACTTGCCCTTGCCTTTGGCTTTAGCACTGGTCTTCATTGTTTTTGAGACATTTGTCTTTTGTGACTATTATTCTGGGACAGGCCCTTATTCATCTCCTCATTTCTTGCTCAGTTTCAGGCAGTACATCCAGCAACCCAGAAACCAGCAATTGCTCAGTTCCCTGTGGTGTCCCAAGGAGGCTCTCAACAGCAGCTAATGCAGAATTTCTACCAGCAGCAGCAGCAGCAGCAACAACAACAGCAACAGCAACAGCTGGCCACAGCCCTGCATCAACAACAGCTGATGACTCAGCAGGCTGCCTTGCAGCAAAAGCCCACTATGGCAGCAGGACAGCAGCCCCAGCCACAGCCAGCTGCAGCCCCACAGCCAGCCCCTGCCCAGGAGCCAGCGGTAAGAATCAACCAGAGCTCAGAGCACAAAAGCAGCAGAGGAATGTGCAGCGAGAGCTAGGGGAAGGGTGGGAAAGATGGCAGCAGCTGATGAGGGTCCAGGTTGCTTTCCCACCTGGGTGGTTCAATTATTTGATCTTTCCTTGATATATCCAAGAATAGTATGGATGTTCTATAGAAGATAGAGGTTTTTTTAAAAAAGGATTCTAGGCTACTGATGAAGAGCCTTCTTAATTTTTATCACTCTGAAACTAGGCTAGCAGGAAGATCTGTTCATCATCTCTGTCTGTGTCACTTTGAACAGTCAAGGACCTAGGCAGGATTAAAGCTAATCCCTTTCTCTTCTTCAAGGGGCAGTTTGATCCATTGTGCCCTTTCCAGGCCCTGGGTCCTCCATGTTGTGTTTATTCTTTGTCTTGGATGACATTACTAATCACATTATTTAAGTTTACCATGCAGCTCCCGTCAAGGGCCTGCTTACCTGAGACCATTCACCCTGGTGTAATCCCCCTGGGTACCAGAGCATCTGAGTATCCAGTCATTTGAGCCATCTTATCAATTTAGAAATTGGGCATGTCCACTTTTAGATATTGGCTGAGTATGGCATCAGAACCCCTCGTCTGATTGTCCTCTACAGTTTCAACACACACGGGCACATCATGCTTTGGCCTGTGATAAGTGGATTTTTTTCTGTACTCTTATTTTTCTGAGTGATAGTGATAGAAAATGTTATGGTGTTAGAAAAAGACATTTTGCATACCCAGCTGGTAGAGTGTCACAGCTACCCTGTTACTCCCAGGGAAGTCTAACTACTAGAGGAACAAAGGAAAAGTAAGAAGCCATCTTTCTGCTGGGCACAGTGGCCTCACGCCTGTAATCCCAGCACTTTGGGAGGCCGAGGCGGGCGGATCACAAGGTCAGGAGATCGAGACCATCCTGGCTAACGTGGTGAAACCACGTCTCTACTAAAAATACAAAAAAAAAATTAGCCGGGCGTGGTGGCAGGCACCTATAGTCCCAGCTACTCGGGAGGCTGAGGCAGGAGAATGGCGTGAACCCGGGAGGTGGAGCTTGCAGTGAGTGGAGATCATGCCACTGCACTCCAGCCTGGGCCACAGAGCAAGACTCCATCTCAAAAAAAAAAAAGAAACCATCTTTCTGAGGATTGATTTCTAATAGAGTTTTGTCTCCCATCTTAAACCAGAAAACCTACATCGCTTCGAAAGGAAGCAGTGCCGTAGATTGTCTTCTTTAAGTCTTAGCTAAGTGTGTGTTTAGTGTCTTTACACCTTCGTTTCTAAAACAACTCAGACTTCCTGCAGGCATGGAGTAGACAGTGAGTCTCTGTATTTTTAACAAGAGGTAAAGTTCCTCTTCTTCATGGAAAAAGAGTTTTTAAAAAAATTAGTACATGAGATAGCTAGAAGGGACCTTAATTATTCAGTTCAGCCTCCTCATTTTACAGAATTGGAAACTGAGGCATAGACTAGAAAGTGGTTGCCCAAGACATACGAACTGATGGTAGTGGAGCTGGGGCAAGAATCAAAGAATCCTGATCTGTGTTTAAGTTTAATTATAACAAATGCTCATCCAGGGTGATAAAATGATCAACTACTACTGACTACACTTCTTATGAGGTTCCCCTATGCTTCTCCTACACAAAAGTGTCTACTCCCTTGGGAATGAATTATGAACTTTCTCCGTGTTCTTTGGATGAAAAAACACTTTGAACACTTTGCTCTGGGATAGTTGGTTTTGGGGACAGAGAGGAAACAGAAATAGACCATGCTTTGGCCAGGAGCCATAGAGCTTCTCAGCTTTGACCCATCCTTGTCTCCGCTGACTCTTGGCAGGGCTAATCTAAAGAAGCAAGTGAATGAAGGTAAAGCGTACCCTGTAGCCATCTTAAAGCAATAATTAGCAAAGGGGAAATGGCCATTTGCCCTAGATGTTTATTGCAGTCTTATTAATAATAGCCCAGAGAATTTGGAAGCAACCTAAATTGCTGAGAAACCCAACTGTGCAGCCATTAAAAAGCACGGTTATAAAGTCTGTACAACAGTATGAAAAGAAATGCTCATGAGGTAATGTTAAAGGAATTGTGAAATTACGGAAAAACTATACACTTGAAAAGAGACTTAAAGTATAAGGTACCAAAAAGATAAGGATTGTATCTAGTTGTATTAGAGTGATGGAATAGAAGTCTGTTTTCTATATTCTTACATTTCTTGATGTGATTATACTCCTTTTATAATTACATTTTTAAAAAATCGTCAGCAAAATAGACATCTGAGTCTTTTTATTCCTTCTCCCGTGGTCTCTCTGTCCCTCCTCCCACTTTCCAATCCTGTTTGGATGGGATGGCATCATGGGGCAGAAAAGAGTCCTGAGCCACAGTCAGGAGACATGGGCTCTGCTTCCAGTTAACCCTGTGACCTTGAATGAGCATTTGGCCTCAGTGCAGGAGTTGAAATCTGCATTTTCTAAGGTCCCTTTAAACTCTCACATTCTTTGATTCTAAGTGGAAGTATAACTGTCTGCCAGGGTTGCTGGGAGGCGTAGCTGAACAGATACAAACCACTTAGTGTCTGTAGATTGCTGTTATAGGGCAAGGTGTCCTGAAGGAGGCATCTAATCTTCAGTGTGCTGCATCTGGAGAACAGAAGAGAAAAATGTTCTCCAAGTGGTAAGAAAACTATCCAACTCCTTTCCTTTATGCCATCAACCTCGAGACAAAACAACTTCGGATGTAAAATGCCCTGGAGATTTCACCATCCCTTCCCTCCAGTCCTTCATCTCAGAATAGAGTTGTCACTGGACTCTTCAAAATAAAGGGACCCAACAGTTTAGTATTCTTTTCAGATTAATGAATGTCTCATGAAATAAGCCCATTCAGTGTATCCTCAAAGCCCTCTGACCCCTATGTGTGGTAGTATTCAGCCAGCTGTTACAGGCACAACTCTGGACCCCCAGAGGAAGTTGTGGAGCTGGAGCTGTGGTTGTCTTCACAGAGCACTCTGCCTCTCCTTCAGCAGGGCAGCTTTGTTACCCTTCTAACCTCTGATTGATATTAGAACCTTATATTGTAACATTCAGCCTGTTGGTTAAGTGGATGGAATACTGACATGTGTACATAGTCTACCTTAATAAATTTTCCAAGTCCTGAGGACAAGATGAGGGCAGTCAATATCCCAAGCTAGAAGCATCCTGACCCAGGTAGCTGGATAGTCTAGTTTCCTTAAACTGTCTCAGGGCCTGCCTTTGTAGACACTGAGACTGCAGCTGAACTGAGTTGCAGCATGGAGCAGCAACTCTAATCTGAGAAGAGGGACTGGAGGGAAGGGATGGTGAAATACCTGGGGCATTTTATATCCAAAGTTATTTTATCTCTAGGTTGATAGTGTAAAGGAAAGGGGTTGGGTGGCTTTCTTAACATTTTTTGTTCATTTTCCTTGATATAGGTGACTTATGCTTAAGGACCACTCATGTGGTCACAAGGATATTCTCACCGGTATGTTGTTCTGTGGTGGCAGTTTGGCCTGTTTTGAAAATGGCCCACATCACAAGAGTCCTTGTATTATTAGCTCAGTCATCATCAGGACCTTTTTTTTCTTTCTTCTTCTTATATTCTCTGCCAGTTCTTCAATATTATGTCCAAACTGAAGATTGAAACAAGTTAATCCCACTAAACTAATGCTACATATTTTCTTAGGAGTTGCCACAGAAATAGGATCTTATATACCCATCCCATCAGTGAAATAAAGAGCCTTAACAACAAAACAAAAAAGGGAATGCTTATACATTCTTGATGGGAGTATAAGTTAGTTCAACCATTGTGGAAAGCAGTGTGGCGATTCTTCACAGAGCTAAAAAGAGAACTACTATTCAACCCAGCAATCCCATTACTGGGTGTATACTCAAAGGAATATAAATTGTTCTGCCATAAAGACACATGCATGTGTATGTTCATTGCAGCACTATTCATAACAGCAAAGACATGGGATCAACCTAAATGCCCATCAATGGGAGATTGGATAAAGAAAATGTGGTACATATATACCATGGAATACTATGCAGCCATAAAAAAGAAGGAGGATGGAGGCTTTGCAAGAACATGGTTGGAGCTGGAGGCCATTATCCTTAGCAAACTATTGGAGGAATAGAAAACCAAATAGCACATGCACTCACTTACAAATGAGAGCTACATGATGAGAACTCATGGACGCAAAGAGGGAAACAACAGACGCTGGGGCCTCCTTGAAGGTGGAGGGTGGGAGGAGGGAGAGGATCAGAAAAAATAACTCTTGTGTACTAGGCTTAGTACCTTGGTGACAAAATAATCTGTACAACAAACCCCCGTGACACGAGTTTGCCTGTTTACCTGTATAACAAACCTGCACATGTACCCCCGAACCTAAAATAAAAGTTCAAAACAAACGAGCAGTAACATTTATTAATCACAGTAGAATTTTCTCTGACTCACTCCCAACCTGTGGTCTCGCTATGGCAGAGAGTGAGGGATCTCTTAGCAGAAATCATTCAGCTTAAATGTGTTTCGCTGGAGATACGTCTTCATTGGCCTTTACCTGTAGTGATAGGATCTATTGCTTGCCCTTTGAAAGCATTCTGAATGAGTTTGTATGTGACTCCAGAAATAGAAAGTGGTCCTTTATGATAAATTCTAGATCTTTACAGCTGGAATAGCTTCTGCATTCTTATGCTTTGAGCTGAATATGGTTAACATATGGTTACCCTATATATTATCGCTGATAAAGATTGAAATTTATGTGTATCAGGCAAATACCATGTTGTTATCAGTCTCAAAGTTGCAGCACAGATTGTCAAAGCCTGGATTTTTCTTTCTGGGCATTATTGATAAACTTAGCCATGTGAGTTTCATGTTAGTGCTTATGTGGCATTTTTTGTTGTTGTTGTTACACTTATCTGTTTGTTTTTCCTTTAACTTTTTTTTTTAATTTAATGAAACACTTTCCGTCTCTCTTCCTAGCAGATTCAAGCCCCAGTAAGACAACAGCCAAAGGTTCAGACAACCCCACCTCCTGCCGTCCAGGGGCAGAAAGTTGGATCTCTCACTCCACCCTCATCCCCCAAAACCCAACGTGCTGGGCACAGGCGTATTCTCAGTGACGTAACCCACAGTGCAGTCTTTGGGGTCCCTGCCAGCAAATCAACCCAGCTGCTCCAGGCAGCTGCAGCTGAGGCCAGTCTCAATAAGTCCAAGTATGTGGTGCTTCCTCTTTGTTGTTCTTACCTCTGTGGGCAAAGTCTGCCTGCGGCTGTTAGTGTGTGATTCTTTGCATAAGTGTGTAGATGTGTGTAATGCAAATACAGTGGTGTGTACTTGTGTTTGTTTATTTTTCTGGTTTGTTTATTTTTCTGGCTCATTTCATCTTGCATGTACTTGTGTTTAATGAGCAGCTGTGAATTTGTCTTTAGTGCATGGGCCATACTAATCTTAAGAAATCTTTTCCTACTTGGCCCACTGTTCTCATTCTCTCACCTGTTCCATGCTCTACAGTGTGTTTTCTGAACTCTCGATCTGACCGAGTCTCTCCACGCTGAAAAGTCTTTCACTGGCTCCTCATGATAGCTGAGCACACTGCTTAACATAGCAGGGCCTGTTGTGTTTCACAGGCAGACTTGCCATTCTTCACCTTCCCGAGCCCTTTGTTCCTCCTGTGCCCTCTCCTGGGACTGCTATGCTCCTCCTTGCCCACCTAGGGAATGTTCATTTATTCATCAAGATCCATGTCAGAGGTTGACTTTTCCTTGACCCTTCCTCTGATATGATGTATAATTTTTGTCTGAACATTTTTTTGAGCTTATATGACATTGTGTTGTCGTTAATTATTTGTATGTCTGACCGAACTGGTTTGTGAGTTCTCCAAGACAATGACCATGTCTTAGTCAACCTTTGGAAATCCAGTGACTGGTTCTGTGCCTGACAAGTAGATTTTGATGAGTGTTGAGTAAATGCAGTTTCAGACCCTTAACTGTCTTAGAACCATACACTCTAAAGTTAAAATCTTTCAATGAAGTTAAGAGAGACTTTATAAGAAAATTATATAATGATACTTAGATGCACAAAGTAGTGGTAACTGTCTTTATTTCTTTTTAATTGTGATGGTGGCCCTTAACTCTATGCATGCTGGATCCTGAGAGATGAGAGGCAGCCTAAATAGACCTCTTTCCTGCCCTTCCAGAGGTCAGTTATTGTGGATGTTATGGTGGTCACCACAAGATACACAAGTCTAAGAACAGGTTGCTTTTAGATCCTGAACTGAAACAACTTGCAGATAAGACTGAAAACTTAAGCAAGAGATTAAGGAAGTAGTGGGAGGTAGTGAGTCATGAAGGAAAGGAGACATTCATTTCACAAAGTGGAATGGGTATCTGCGGAAATTCTTCAGGTGCTGTGGAAAGCCCTTTTAGGAAAACACTGTGGGCTGGATGCAGTGGCTCACGCCTGTAATCCTAGCACTTTGGGAGGCCAAGGCAGGTGGATCACCTGAGGTCAGGAGTTCAAGACCAGCCTGGCCAACATGTTGAAACCTTGTCTCTACTAAAAATACAAAAATTAGCCAGGCGTGGTGGCATGCGCCTGTAATCCCAGCTACTCGGGAGGCTGAGGCAGGAGAATCGCTTGAACCTGGGAGACGGAGGTTGCAGTGAGTCGAGATCACGCCATTGTGCTCCAACGTGGGTGAAAGAGCAAAACTCTGACTCAAAAAAAAAAAAAAAAATACTGTGGTGGAAAATGATGGTTTGACCCAGAAAATAATTTGATTCTGAAACAGAGAAAATAAGTTGACCCTTTTTGTTTTGTTCAACTTTTATATCTTTTTGTTTCGTGGGGGTGGGAACCTACCTAGGTCTGCAACCACCACTCCATCAGGCTCTCCTCGGACCTCTCAACAAAACGTTTATAATCCTTCAGAAGGGTCTACGTGGAATCCCTTTGATGACGATAATTTCTCCAAACTCACAGCTGAAGAACTGCTAAACAAGGACTTTGCCAAGCTTGGGGAAGGTGAGTAAGCTGTGTCTTTTTTTGTGCTTCTTGATTATAGATTCTCTGTGCTAAGAAATAACCAGGAATGAGAAAGAATCGTAACTCTAGAAGGGTATGCATGTGGAAACGTAGGCTTGGGCCTTTGCATAAGGCTTGATTTCAAAGTATGCATACAAGTCAGTTTTTATTTTTACCATGGGCCCTGAAGTCCTCATCTTCAGGAAATCCTGATCTATTGTGGGTGGTAGCAAGGAGAGTGTGATGCTTAGGGAAGAAACTTGTAGAAAAGGTTTGTGACATAGTCCAGGATAACAGCATCAGGCATGGTCCCTCCTTGGAGGAGTGTGATGGTTCTCTCATCCTAGGTTGGTTTACTGTCCCAGAAAGTTGCCACTGCTTGTCCATGAATGTGCCTTCACATGGACACTGAATCTTTCTTTCACTATAGTCAGAGTTCTGTATTACTGTACTACACAGAAAGATGATTAAATAAATAGAAGATATACTTCTGCCTGAAGAACAGTCTACTTTGGAAGGCAGGACACACACACACACACACACACACACACAGGCACATGCACACACTTTGGAACAAATTCTAATATGCATAATTCTAATAATTCTAATAATGTTAGAGAGTACTCTAATAAAAAGTACTCTCAATGTAGATAAGGGCGCAGGATAAAGGAATGATGAGAACCAATTGAGTGGTATGAACTATTGGCCAAACATTTTGGCTTTAACTATCATTTTATAGAAATCTTTTAAAACTCCAATCCAGGTGTGGTGGCTCACGCCCGTAACCCAGTACTTTGGGAGGCTGAGGCAAGAGAATCACTTGAGCCCAGGAGTTCAAGACCAGCCTGGGCAACATGCCAAGATCCTATCTCTACAAAAAATTTTAAAAATTAGCTGGGCATCCTGGCACACATCTGTAGTCCCAGCTACTTGGGAGGCTGAGGTGGAAGGATCACTTGAGCCCAAGAGGTCGAGGCTGCAGTGGGCTATGAATTTACCACTGCACTCTAGCCTGGGTGACAGAGTGAGACCCTGTCTGTTGAAAAAAATTCCTATTACTTTCTTGCTTTTTTAAACAGAAGATAGGGCATAGTACTTAACTTTTTTGGCAACTTTGTTTCATTGTTATGTATACCAGTTGTTATTCTGGACTGTAAATAGAAATACCTCTATAGACTACTGAAAATTGTAGTAGTTTTGTACCCAAATAACTAGCCCCTGAGTTTTAATAATTTCCTCTCCCTTTTCTTACTGTTCAGCTGTCAGCTTTCACATTAAGCTACTGTCATTATGCTTGTCCCTCATAACGTCTCATTATTGCCATCTCCACCACTCCCTCTTCTCATTTGCTCTCCTAAACTGCTTCCAACATGGAAAGCAGATCATCAAACTCATTAGAGCTGTATAAAGTGAATAGATTACAAGTGAGGGCGGGAGGCATTAAATGTGCAGTTCCGTAGTGTTAAGTACATTCACACTGTTGTGCAACCAACCAATCTCCAGAACGCTTTTCATTTTGCAAAACTGATGACATGCTCTCTTTTGATTCTTAACAATTTCCTTTTTTTTCTCAGCCGTTCTCTCAGTTATTGCAATGACTAGACAAGGACCTTTGAATGTGTCGCCATAATGCAGTAAAAGTAGTCAAGTCCAGAAGTCAGTTCAGAGAATGCCCCTTACCTCTGCCATGTGTGTGTGCCTCGCAAGATTCTGCTAGAATGAACTGAGTGGTGTTTTGTCTCTCCAGGCAAACATCCCGAGAAGCTTGGAGGCTCAGCTGAGAGTTTGATCCCAGGCTTTCAATCAACCCAAGGTGATGCTTTTGCTACGACCTCATTTTCTGCTGGAACTGGTTAGTATGGCAAATACCTGGAACGGGAGGTTCACTGTTGTTACCTTCACACTGTTTTTTACTCCACAGATAACTCTAGCATGCCAGTGAAATCCAAATCCTGGCAGTACCGTGTATATATATATATATGTTTTTCATGGTCTATTTAATTTAAAATTTACTTTTTTTTAATTCAAAAGCTTTCTGATCAAAAAGGGATAAAGATCTAGAACCACTTTGAATTAAAGTGGCAGGACAGTCTGGCAGTAATATGCAGGACTTGTTCTCTCTAGTCCACAGGCACGTCTTAAACAAATATTTCTAGATTTAAGAAACACCCAGTGTTCATTGCTTGTAATTTCTTAGGTTTCTGAGATTACTTGAAGAATTTTAAAAATTAAATATTCTGTTATAGCTAACACTCCTCTAAACTGTGTGTGTGTGTGTGTGTGTGGGTGTGTGTGCGCACACGCACGCACGCTGTTGGGGAGAAGGAGGGAGGTATTTTTTAATGAGACTTCTAAAAAAGGAGGGAGGTTTTTTTAAATGAGACTTTGTTAAAAGTATAGAAGCAATCATAAGAGACAAACTTTTCCCTTCTATTAATAAAAAATTATACATTTTGATTATATAAAAGTTAGTAATTTATAGAGAAGAAAGTTAAAATTCTCCATGACCTCACGACCAAGAGATAGTCTAGGGATACTATCTTGATATCTGTTAGAGGCATTTAACCTTTTGAGAGTCACAGATATCTTTGTGAATCTAATGAAAGTTATAGGTCTCCCTGACCAGAATACACATGACCACAATTTTATTTTTTGAGATGGAGTCTCGCTCTGTTGCCCAGGCTGGAGTGCAATGGCTCAATCTTGGCTCACTGCAACCGCCGCCTCCTGGGTTCAAGTGATTCTCCCGCCTCAGCCTCCAGAGTAGCTAGGATTACAGGCACCTGCCATCATGCCCAGCTAATTTTTGTATGTTTGTAGAGACGGGATGTCACCATGTTGGCCAGGCTGGTCTTGAACTCCTGATCTCAGGTGATCTGCCTGCCTTGGCCTCCAAAAGTGCTGGGATTACAGGCGTGAGCCACCATGCCCAGCCATATGACCACAATTTTGTACACTCTTTGGCCCCCTGCTTAAGACTCTGAGACTCTGATATGCATCTTTTTTTTTTTTTTTTTTTTTTTGAGATGGAGTCTCATTCTGTCGCCCAGGCTGGAGTGCAGTGGCACAGTCTCGGCTCACTGCAAACTCTGCCTCCCAGGTTCAAGCAATTCTCATGCCTCAAGCCTCTCAAGTAGCTAGGACTACCGGTGTATGCCACTATGGCCGGCTAATGTTTGTAGTTTTAGTAGAGATGGAGTTTCACCATGTTGGCCATGCTAGTCTCGAACTCCTGAGCTCAAGTGATCTGCCTGCTTCGGCCTCCCAAAGTGCTGGGATTACAGGCATGAGCTACCACACCCAACCTGATATGCATCTTTATAGTCATATTTTGAAGCCTAATTTTTTCACTTAATGAACCTGGCACATATCTCCTACATCATTAAAGAAGCTCCTAAAATATAATTTTTTTTTTTTTTTTTAGACGGAATTTCGCTCTTGTTGCCGGGGCTGGAGTGCAATGGTGCGATCTTGGCTCACTGCAACCTCCACCTTCCAGGTTCAAACGATTCTCCTGCCTCAGCCTCCCAAATAGCTGGGATCACAGGCATGTGCCACCATGCCCAGCTAATTTTGTTAAAGTATAATTTTTAAAAATTATTACAGGTGCGGTGGCTTACACCTGTAATCCCAGCACTTTGAGAGGCCGAGGTGGGCAGATCGCTTAAGGTCAAGAGTTTGAGACCAGCCTGGCCAACATGGTGAAACCTCATCTCTGCCAAAAAATACAAAAATTAGCCAGGCATGGTGGCGCACACCTGTAGCCCCAGCTACTCAGGTGGCTCAGGTGGGAGGATCCCTTGACCCCAGGAGGCAGAGGTTGCAGTGAGCTGAGGTCACAACACTGCTTTCTAGCCTGGGCAACAGCGTGAGATCCTGTCTCAAAAAAACAAAAACAAAAACAAAACTTCTAGGATACACCAGATGTATGATATATCCTAGTGTATTTAACCAATTGCATCTTTTTTAACATTAACTTTATTCCAGTATTTACTATTATAAACACTTCAGCAATGAATGTGAGCTTTTGAAAGTATTCTTTACAAGATGTAGAATTTGGCATGCTTCTAAAAGTGATCTTTTTAATTATACTGATTAGTATCTACTTTTAACCTTATCATATATTCTTTCTGCCTGCTTTCTTTAGGAATGTTAGTAGTTTTTCTAACCTCATAAATTTATTTCTGAATAGAATGTTGTCATTTAATAATATTTGATATGTAATACTCTCTTATTCTTATTATCTGGATATTTTTAAATAGAAGTTTCAATTTTTTCTTTAATCAAAAGTTACTCAGGTTATGTTTTCATTGCACTATGACCAATATGCCCTGTGCAGTCTTTGCTGTAAACTATACTGAAGGGCTGTCTGTGGCCCAGTTTGTTATTCATTTTTAAATGTCCTCTGGAAATTAGCAGTTTCCACGTCAATAAATATTAATCTACAATATGATTGTTCATGGAAGAATGGCAACATTTATTTAATATCCCCTTTTATGAATATTTACATTGTTACCAATTTTTCACCATATAAATATTCTTGAAGCTAAATTTTTGTTTATATCCTTTACAGTTTCTCTAAGATAACTTCTAAGAGACTATGTGCTAAATCAAAAGTATGTATATTTTAAGGTTTTTTATACATATTTTCAAGTTGTAGTCCAAGAAAGCTATATAAATTTTGTTTCGATTAATAGTGAATGAGAGTCATTTTCCCTGCCATTTCTCCACCCAGCCAGCACAGCCCAGGCCAAAGACTGTAGACAGAGAACCTTATTTTTATTTTATTTATTTATTTTTTGAGACAGTTCTGCTCTTGTTGCCCAGGCTGGAGTGCAATGGCACAATCTTGGCTCACCGCAACCTCTGCCTCCCAGGTTCAAGCGATTCTCCTGCCTCAGCCTCCCAAGTAGCTGAGATTACAAGCATGCACCACCACACCAGGCTAATTTTGTACTTTTAGTAGAGACAGGGTTTCTCCATGTTGGTCAGGCTGGTCTTGAACTCCTGACCTCAGGTGATCCTCCCGCCTCAGCCTCCCAAAGTGCTGGGATTACAGACGTGAGCCACCGCACCCAGCCAGAGAACCTTATTTACTGACCCATTTTTATTTCTTTGAGATTGTATTGTTTGTGTCCTTTGCCTTTTAGATTCATTTTGTAAGCATTCTTCATATGTCACATATTATCTTTTCCTAGAAAATCATCTGCAGTTTTAAAATTTTTCATTAAAGTACAACAATATATATATATATCTTTTAATATCTGTGTACATTAATTTTAATTGTATGTATTTGTGTTCCTCTTTTTCTTGGTAACTCTAGCCAGAGGTTGGATGTTTTATTATATTTTCAGAGACAACACTTAGATTTATAAAATCTTCTGTTTTCTTTTTTATTCTTTACCTTTTGCTTTTATCTTTATTACATTTTCCTGTTTGTTTGTTTGTGTGAGATGGTGTCTCGCTCTGTTGCCTAGGCTGGAGTGCAGTGGTGGGATATCTGTTCACTGCAACCTCTGCCTCCTGGGTTCAAGCAATTCTCCTGTCTCAGCCTCCCAAGCAGCTGGGACAACAGTTGCACGCCACCGTGCCCAGCTAATGTTTTGTATTTTTAGTAGAGATGGGGTTTCACCATATTGGCCAGGCTGGTCTCAAATTCGTGACCTCAGGTGATCCACCCACCTCGGCCTCCCAAATGCTGGGATTACAGGCGTGAGCCACCTCGCCTGGCCATTTTCTTGTTTTTCTTATATTTGGTGATATTAAGAGGAACACATAGTAACATATTTTAAAATTCTTTTTTAAAAAATAAAGTACTTGGGCTGTGAGTTTTTCTTCACAATTTGACAGTCATTTTCACCCAGCACAAAAGTGGGGAGGGAGGCTAATTATAATCTTCAGGGAGGCTTTGTCATGTGAAAATATTCCAATGTCCTCCTTCCTCTTTCTCCAGTTGCCTCGCTTCAACCTTTGAAGATTACACTGTTTATTAAGAATGCTTTCTAATGAGTGTGTATTTCCCTAGTAAAAAAAAAAATGGGGTTTTGTGGAGCTTAACCATAGCTCATAAATATTCGTATGATATTCTCATTATTATTTTGGAGTTATGCTTTTCATCATTAAGTAGTTAAAAATTTTTGTTTCACTTTTAGCTTTGTTTGTGTAAATTGTATAAGTATATTGATATTTTGGTGAAATTTGAAAATGTTCCAAAACCAGTTCATGCTGCTTGAAGTTTGATGTGCCACATAGTTGACCAAACATATCAAATGTGTAAAGCATTGACTGTTGTCTTTGAAATAGAACATCAAAATGATGATTAGCCATGGACCTGGGTAGGATATAGTTTGTCTGGAAAGAGGGTCACAGAATAAGCCCTGAGAGTCTTCTTTGCTGCTGAGTCCCAGAATTTGGCACGATGTTTGGCTCCATACAGACGTGTTGAATGAATAAGAAGAGTTGCTTTGTGCCAAAGCTTAGGACCTTGGATTCAGCAGCGTTAACAATCGAGGTCCCTGATCATTTTCCATCTACTCACCCTACCAACCCCAGTTTTAATGCCTAGTTTTCATCTATTACACATGGTTATGTTTCACTGTTTGTATGAGCTGTTTTTTAATGAGGTTTATTTTGTTTTTGTTTCTGCCTTTCCACTACTTTATATTTACTCCAAAGGCTGCAAATGGTTGTGTGTGTGTGTGTGTGTGTGTGTGTGTGTGTGTATATATATATATATATATATATATATATATATATTTTAAGGGACTTAAAGGCACAGCTACAAACACATATTTGAGTAAAGTTATGACAGTAATAACATTGAACATGTATCAAGCACTTGAGGCATGTTAAACCCACTGGGTAAGCACTTTTCTTGCTCATTATCTCAGGTGATCCTCACAAAGACCACCTGCCCAAGGGCACAGCTGGAGAATGACAGAATAGAGATTTGTACCTGTAGCCCAGCTCAAAAACTGTAGTTATAACCACATCTCAGGAATCTCATAAACCAGCAACACTAAGCTTTTACAAACATTAAAAAGTGTCTTCATAGTTTCCTCAGTTTATCTGGTCTTTTTCTATCAACATTTGATATTTTCCCCTCTCTCTTGTTTGCAGTGTAAATGTTTCTTTTCTGTGACACCTTCATTCTTTACAAATGAAAGAAAATTACATCTAGATCCCAGGAACTCATTTGCTCTCGTTTGTACAAAGGGCAAGATGACATCATTTTCTATAAATTTTCTAACTGAACTCAGACTGTTTACAGATTTTAAACCTTCTGATTGATCAAAGGAGAAACTAAGCAGGAAATGTCATAATGGGTTCGGGAGGATGGCACGGGGCTATATTAAACATTTGTATGGTAAAAGCTGCAAAAATGACAGACTGTGTCTATACATTGGAGGAGAAACAGGCAAACATTTAAAACTTCACATGGTGCCTCTTTATTTTCATATGTTTTCCTGTGTATAATTTACACATGTTCATTTATAAAAATGTGGAGAAATGAATAAGGCCCAAAGTAAAGAAAATAAAATCTTATAACCCCACCTTGAGAGAAGAGCATTTGCTGACATTTTACAGTATTTGTATCTAGAATTTTATTTCTGCATATAAATTTTTTTCAAATATGACTTACACCGTATATTCAGTTTTGCAGTTTGCTTTTTTTCTTTTAAATATGTTTCATTGTGTCGTTTTAAAATATTTCAAGGACTTAAAAGCAGTTATTTTATCCTTCTTTTCCTCCTTCTACCTTTAAAGAAACTTAGTTTAAAACCCACTTTAATAACAAAATTATAGAGACTGAGAACAGAATAGTGGTTTCCAAAGAATAGTAACAGGAATAAGTGGTGGGTGTCACTACAAAGGAGTAGAATGAGGAGGTCTTTGGTTTCATGGAACAGTTCTGTATCATGATTGCAGTGGTGCTCATTCTAATCTATACGGAGAATCAAGTTGCGAAGAACTATACACACAGGTTGGGGGAAGTGAAAGTCCCAGAGGGAACTAGGGGCCCCAGAAGGGAGTGCTTTAAAGGCTGAGAAATACGGTTTGAATGAGGAGTTGGGGGTCCTAGAAGAAGGTTGAAGGTCCAAGAAGTTGAGTGTTGGAAGGTGTGAGATTAGGATCCCAAGGAGTGTTGGAAGTCCAAGGAAGGGCTGAGGGTTAGAGAGTGGGAATTCAGAGTCCAAAGAACAGTGGGGTTAGTAGTGTGTCAGTGGGGGTTGGAGGTGACCTTCCATCCCATCCCCACTTCCCAGGGCAGGCCTGGAGATGAAGAGGGCAGATACTCACAGTCCTGAGAGTTCAGTGTGCCAGTCACTGAGCTGGGTCTGATAGCAGCTGCTGGCACACTGGGGCTGACCGGCCACTGGGTAGGACATGGCTGTGGAGATGATGGAGGAGGTTACCCACTAAGGGGATGCCACTGCACCTCCCCATTCCCTTCTGCCACATCTGGGTATTAACACCCCAGTCTGTCCCTATTGGCCCTTGCCTGTTACCCATCTAGTTGAGCTGGGGCTGGGAAGTTCCTGCACACCTGAGGAATGGTAAGCATCACACATGCCACCACCTCCATATCTGGGCCTGGGGCACTGGGTTCCCACATTTCAAGGGCCTCTGGAGTGAAAGCAGGTGCCGTATGTCTTTGAAGCCAGGATGTAAAGGAGGCGGCCAGATTCCAGGGACTGGAAATGTCGCCGGTCCATCCAGCAATCCCACCTTTGCCTTCCACTTTATCATGCATCTCAGACTATATCTTGCGTGCCCTGAGGAGGTAGCATTAAGGGTGGCAGAGGTGGCTGCTGTGACAGTGGCAGAGTGTATTCAAGAGATGCTGGGTACTGAGTAGGCGAGGGCAAGGGACTGGGGCACTGGGCTCTCGGGGGCAGGGGAGGTGGGGAGAAAGAGGCCCGGTCAGCCACTGACTACGAGAAATGTGGAATAGAGGTGGGTGGGGTGGAAACTCTCCCATGTCATCACAGCTGCCCAGTAGACCCCAGAGCATCCTCCTCATGCCAGAGGCAGAACTGGAGAGAGACCAAGATTCAGAGACAGGTAAAGTCCAAGACAGGGAAAGAAGGAAATCAGAGCCAGTTGCCCACAGAGATGCTGCCAGTGATGCCCACACATGCTCAGCACTTTGACTCCTCCACAAGCCTGTTTTACAGACAGAACACTGAGGCCAAGAGAGGTGAAAAGAAATGTCCCACATTTGATGGCCCAGGCCAAGGGGATTAGTAGAGGGGATGCTGAGCCCCATGATTTCCAAATTCAACCCAGCACCACTCAGGCTGAGAAGGAGGGATTCAGGGGTCATTGAGAAAGACAGGGATGTCCAGGGAGCGAGATGAAAAGAGGCAGAGAGACATGAGTGGGGTGGGGTGGGGTGGGGTGGAGGGAGAACAGAGCAGAGGGTGTGGGTGGGGTCCCAGAGCCAGAGGTATGGGTGACATCGGCACTGAGGGGAGAAGAAAAGAACAGTAGACACATGCACAAATAGGGCCACGTAACAACTGGTGAGCACTGAGGAGCCTAGGGCCGCGGTACTGTGCTGGAGTCGGTGATCTCAGGCTACAGTTTATATAAGACATCACCACTGGGGGAAGCTGGTTGAAGGGTTCACAGGACTGTATGTGCAGGAACTTCTTGTGGTTCTGTATTACTTCAAAATAAAACGTTTTTTAAAAACCCACTTTATAGAAACAAAATGAGGCTTTTTTTTTTCTAGAAAGACAGCTGACAAACAAAATGAGATTTTAATTAACGAACAAACTGAATACTGAAATGCAAAGTAAAGAATGATTATGTATGGCTGGGCACGGTGGCTCACGCCTGTAATCCCAGCACTTTGGGAGGCCGAGGCAGTTGGATCACAAGGTCAGGAGTTCAAGAGCAGCCTGGCCAACATGGTAAAACCCCGTCTCTACTAAAAATACAAAAATTAGCCAGGTGTGGTGGTAGGTGCCTGTAATCCCAGCTACTCGGGAGGCTGAGGCAGAGAATTGCTTGAACCTGGGAGGCAGAGCTTGCAGTGAGCCAAAATTGCACCACTGTACTCCAGCCTGGGCAACAGAGCAAGACTCCATCTCAAAAAAAAAAAAAAAAAAAAAAAAAGAATGATAATGTAAAGCTGCATGTGGTGGTGCATGCCTGTAATCCTAGCTACTAGGCTACTAGGCTGAGGTGGGAGGATCGCTTGAGCCCAGGAGTTTAAGTCCAGCCTAGTTAACATAGCAAGACCTCAGTCTCTTGGAGAAAAAAAATAAAAAGAATGATAAAGTGGAAACCAAGAAACCTGGCTTCTGATCCTACCTCTGGCTAGTCTTTAACGTTTAGGCTTCATTTTCTTTTATGGGGAAATAAGAAAATTGTGCCAGAAAATTCTGAGACCACGTCAAGCTCTGTTATTCCATAGGGTGTATAGAGTTCTGTAAATCTATATTTTGCCAAATATAGAATGAATGCCAATAGTATGTTAAGTATAGTACAGAGATTAGGGCTTGTCTAACCTTGGAATAGGCAAGAAGTCTATTTCTGCCCCTTTCTGTGTGTCTGCCTATCACTATATTAGACATCATGGTGATACAGTAGGACTTAGTCCTTAAAGGACCTCAAGAGGGTGATAGATACATAGGAAGTACCTATACACATGCTAGATTACAAAACAGATAGTGTTATATCTGTTTATGTGCTAAAATGTGTGATATGGACATTACCTCCTCTCGACATTCTGAAAGAGATACTGTAGACTGCAGTATATCCAAGAAAGGAGTGGAATTTCAGACATATGAATACCCTGGTTTTATTGTTAATTGCATCTCATAATATGTTGCAAGGACCAGGTTGAGCTGGGTGCGGTGGCTCATGCCTGTAATCCCAGCACTTTGGGAGGCTGAGGTGGGTGGATCACCTGAGATCAGGAGTTCAAGACTAGCCTGACCAACATGGTGAAACCCTGTCTTTATTAAAAATACAAAAATTAGCTGTGCGTGGTGGCAGGCGCCTGGCGACTCAGGAGGCTGAGGCAGGAGAATCGCTTGAACCGGGAGGCGGAGGTTTCAGTGAGCCGAGATTGTGCCATTGCACTCCAGCCTGGTGGACACGAGTGAGACTTCGTCTCAAAAAAAAAAAAAAAACGGGCCAGATTGAGTATCTCATAGATACTTTGCTGTTCACTGAGCTACAGCCACTTTTATTCTAGGCTTAGACTTACTCTGTAGTTTGAACTGTTGCATTAATAGAGGGTAAACTTACCTAGATTTACTTGGTGTTATTGCTTTTCTCTTTTTTTCTCTCCTGACTCCTCCTTCCCCTCCAACCTAACTCCAGCTGAAAAAAGGAAGGGTGGGCAGACTGTGGACTCTGGCCTCCCGCTTCTAAGCGTGTCTGATCCTTTCATTCCTCTTCAAGTACCTGATGCACCAGGTAGGTGAACAGAACTGTTCTGAGGTTAAGCAGCTTGATTTGCATGTCCCAGGCCTTGTAGAAAGTTCTGCCTTAAATACCCCGTGAAAAGGATCTGAATTCCAAGCCCTAATAATAGGCTGCTGTTGTATATTTTTACTGTGTCTCAATAAGAGGAGTAAACTTGTCCTGGAGGGTACCAGCCCTTAGCAAAGATAAAATCAGTTCAGGTTATACCAAATTGATTTCCATATTATATCAATGTTCAGTTTTTCATCCTTGATTGTGTTAATGGTGACGTGAGGGGCCTCTGTATTGGAAAGAACATTAGTCCAATATGATTTTAACAATGGTGGGGAGGCTGTAAGCACATGATAAAGTGATCAAAATATGAATAGTGGTGATAGTGTGATCATGGGATTGTGGGTGACTGCTGTTCAGTTCTTTTCTATAATGCCTTTTTATTTTATAATATAAAAACACATAATGATAATTAGGGAATGGGATAATAATTAATAGGGAATGTGCGTCAGGAGACCTGGGTTCCCTTCCAGGCTCTGCCGCTACCTGAAAACCTTCTGGGCTTGGTTCTTCATCAGTGAAGTGTGTTGGACTGCAGGAGTTTGAATATCTCTTGTAGTCCACCATATCTCAATTTTAAGTAGCAGTCTAAAAAGTAGAAAGTGGTTGATGTGTTCTGAAAGAGCTTTTGGAACAGTGATTGGATGCTTCCCAGTTGGAGTTCAAGTTGCCAAAGCTTTTCCTTCCGGCCTTCCTTCCGTACTCTTTGGTGGGAGGAGTGGTGTGGGGAAGAGAAGCCGCCCTTTCTCTTATCTGTCAGTCTCTTCACAAAAGCAAATTGTTCCAGCTCCTTAGAAGCAGTTGACAGTTGTTTTGCTTCTGATCATTTTTCCTTTTTTCCCATTGTTGCCCCTACCAACTCTTGACCTTGAACTGACAGGACTGGCTTGGTTTTTTTTCTCTCCCAAAATGTTAAAGGTATTTGATTGCTTGCTTCAAGACTGGAAGTGACTGCGATGTTCATATCCTTTACCAAGTCTGCCCACCATCACTAAGACAGACTGCAGCTAGGGTACCAAGGCAGTTTTTATTTTTTATTTTTAGACAAATTTGTTTACCCCTCTAAGGAGAAGCAAACACTTGCCTTGATCAGGTAGTACTGTATAACTTTATAGCTTACTGGACCTGGATGTAGCTTAAAAATATCGAAAACCACTAAGGAATGATTCAATACAGGGTAGTTAAAAGGGAAGAAAGGAATGAAATAGAGGCGCTTTTTTCCTTTGCACTTTTCAGGTATGCCTGGCAGTACTTGGACAAGTTCATTTTGAATAGAAGGTTAGAAAAGTGTGGGCTGTAAACTCCAGCTGGGGCTCACTGTCTTTTCCTCCCTGTTTTGGTAATCATGGGATCAGACAAGGGAAAGAGGTGATGGAGGCATTCTCCTTTTGACACCCCTTCAGGTTCTTGCTTTGCTGTTGCTTAGGTAGCCCATGGGCTGCAGAAGCCAGGAAGAAGGCCTCTTTGCACAGGGCAGAGGATGAGGGCCCTCAGGCAAGTAACTGTCCTGTGCAGCTGTCACAGGAGTCCTCTGGATCAGGGTTGAAGAGCCAGGCACATGCCCCAGGTGGCTCAGGAAATCGGCTTCAGCTTGTGGAAATGCGTCTGGGGCCACCAGAGCCAGCTGGCTGCCATCCTGCCTGCCTTCTTGTCATCTTTCCTGTCTCCTGGTCCTCCATGCTTCTTTCATCCTGGTGGATTCCTGCTGAAATGTTACTGGTATACACTTTAATACCAATTAAGCCAAGACCTCTCTTGGGTTTCGGTGGAAAGATCAACTAAAATGAGACATTTTAATAGAGAACTGCAGGAGTGTATTATTTACTTTCTGATCTGTCAGACCAGACTCATCTGTTGAAAACATAAGTCAGACAGTTAACTCTTCTGTGCTTTGGTGAATTCTCATATCACTGAGGGGGCATAAAATCCAGGCTGCTTACTGCGACCTGCAAGGCCCTAAGTGGTGTGGCCCTTGCCTACCCCTCTAATCTCAGCTGAGAGCGCTGTTCCCCTCCATCTTGTCTTTCCTCCAACAAGCTAAGCTTGTTCCCACCCTGGGGACTTTGCACTTGCTGGTGCTCAGCTTGGAAAGCCTTCCCTTCAGTTTTGTTCCCTTGTGTCATTCAACCTGTGGGTCTCAGCTTAAATGCCGTCTGCTCAGAAAGGCCCAGTGTGGTCCCATGGGCACTCCCAGTCACATCCCCTGGCACTTTTTCTTCATAGCCCTTATCAGGACATAGTCTGTCTTTCCTCATCCTATCACTCTCTGAGGGAGGGGCCTCATCTGTCTTATTCATCACCTGTATCAGCTGTGCCAACGACACTGTCTGTATTCACTTAGTGAGTATTTACAGATCCGACAAATGAATGAAATAAAACCAGAAGCTGGAAGCCTTTAGGTGGCCCCATTACCCTGCATTTCTGTCCCAGCTCCCAGGCACCAGACGACTGGCTCCATAGCCTTCCATCTGCACCTCTGCCAACTCCCAGCCAGTCCCCCCACACCCACTCTTTGAGAGTGAATAAAGGAAGGCACAGCCCACAGTGTCAGGCAGCTGCCAGTCCCTGGGCTGATGAGAATAGTAGCTAGGCTCAGCAGGTCGTTTAGCCCCGTCCTTTCACGGTGTCCTGCAGAATTGTGCTAAGTATGTTATATTACCACGGTGGCTTTGACTATTCTGCTTATTTTAACATTCAGCCTCTAGCACATTCAGTTACACAGCTTCTATATCAAGGCCACTGCATCCTTTTTTTTTTTTTTTTTTTGAGACGGAGTCTCGCTCTGTCGCCCAGGCTGGAGTGCAGTGGCGCGATCTCGGCTCACTGCAAGCTCCGCCTCCCGGGTTCACGCCATTCTCCTGCCTCAGCCTTACTGCATCCTTTTTTAACATTTTTGAATATTGAGTGAGGAAAGGGCTCAGGGTTCAGTGTCTCTAGAACCTGGGCAAACTACAAATTTGGTTTTACCCCGCAAAAAGCAAGTAGTCTGTCACACCTCCAGCCCACTATGGACACCAGTCAAGTTTTTTGCCTGATTTTCTTTGTTTTGCATACATGCTCATCTTCTACTCTCAGCCATACTGATGATAAGAATCATGAAAGGCTGGGCGTGGTAGCTGACACCTGTAATACCAGCACTTTGGGAGGTCGAGGCGGGTGGATCACCTGAGGTCAGGAGTTCGAAACCAGCCTGACCAATACGATGAAATCCCTGTCTCTACTAAAAATACAAAAATTAGCCAGGCGTGGTGGCATGCGCCTGTACTTGCAGGTACTCGGGAGACTGAGACAGGAGAATTGCTTGAACCCGGGAGGTGGAGTTTCCAGTGAGCTGAGGTCACACTCCTCCACTCTATCCTGGGCGACAGAGCAAGACTCTATCTCAAAAAAAAAAAAAAAAAAAAAAGAATTGGCCAGGCACGGTGGCTCACGCCTGTAATCCCAGCACTCTGGGAGGCCGAGGCAGGTGGATCACCTGAGGTCAGGCGTTCGAGGCCAATCTGGCCAACATGGTGGGACCCTGTCTCTACTAAAAATACAAAAATTAGCTGGGCATGGTGGTGGGCGCCTATAATCCCAGGCACTCAGGAGGCTGAGGCAGAAGAATTGCTTGAACCTGGGAGGCAGAGATTGCAGTGAGCTGAGATCGCGCCACTGCACTCCAGCCTGGGTGACAGAGCAAGACTCCGTCTCAAAAAAAAAAAGACTCATGGACTCTCAGTCTCCTGAAGACCATGCGTTTCAATGACTTTTAACTTTTTTATTTTATGCTTTTAAAATGATTTCACGTACAAGTACCTTTGATCTTATAGATACTGGGGAGTGGTAGGTGGTAGATAATGTCAAGTAACGCCCTCATGGTGTGGGTGAGGAAGTGAGTCCTTAGTGTTGTTTGGACTGTGCTCAGCCACACATTCTTCTTATTGCCCACACTCCCCAAACAGTGGAGGGTTCTTTTATCTTTGGGACAGTTCTCAGATCAATAAAGCCTTTGACCAGAGAGCTAAATTTAAGGCTTTGGGAAATATAAAAATAGATCTGAAACTGTTAGTCCTGAGTTCTAGCCATTAGTGGCTAGGTGATTGTGGTCAAATCACTTAAATTGTGTGTTCTTATCCTTAAAATTGGCAATACTAAAACCTACCTTATGGGGTGGTCACAAGGTTAGATGAAATCATGTATTTGAAATTTCTATGTGAATTTTAAATTACTATAAAGATGGGAAATGCTGTTTCAACTTTGGTTCTACATCCCTATTCCCAGTGGGGCAGTCCTAGTTATCATAAAATGATATTTTTCTCTTGTTGAAATTAAACTTGCTCTTATGACCTTTAACTTTTGCACAACTGAGAACCATTAAAATAGATTTCCTGGATACAGTGATTGTCAAACTATGGGTAAAGGGCACTGGATAATTGTAGGTTGGTTCGTTGGTTTGTTTTAAGGAATATTTTTATTTTTCAAAGCACTATAAAACAAATTTTCTTAGAAGGTCTGGAATATGAAAATCATAGCCATGAACATTTGTATGCTTACAAAGCTGCCAAATGATGCATGGCTAGTGAGTCTCAGAGTATTTCACTGATGCTCAAATGCTGCTTGTCCATTTATTTGCCTTCTGTATGCATTAGGAAACAGATAAGCTATAAGTAGTACCAGCATTTTAAAATATGGTAGAAAAGAGGCTGGGCCAGGCTCATGCCTATAATCTCAGCACTTTGCGGGGCCAAGGCGAAAGGATCACTTGAGCCTGGGAGTTCGAGACCAGCCTGGGCAACGTGGTGAGACCCTGTATCTAAAAAAAAAAAAATTTTTTTTTAATTAGCCAGGCATAGTGCTGCATGCCTGTAGTCCTAGCTACTTGGGAGGCTGAGGCAGGAGGATCCTTGAGCCCAGGAGTTTGAGGCTGCAATGAGCTATGATCACACTACTACACTCTAGCCTGGGTGTGACAGAGTGAGACCCTGTCTCTTAAAAAGTGTGTGTGTGTGTGTGTGTGTGGGTACACACACATAGATATATTTTAGAAAGATTGAGGAATTTTCTCTGAAAACTGGGGACAATATTTTTAAATCATTCTTTTAAATTGTAGTAAAATGTACATAATGAGATTTACCATTTTAACCATTTCTAAGTGTACAGTTCAGTGGCATTAAGTATATTCTCATTGTTTTGCAGCCATCACTACCATCCATCCACCCACCTTTTTTCAACTTGTGAAACTGAAACTCTGTACCCATTAAACAACAACTCTCTATTTCCCCTCCCCCCAGCCCCTGGCAACCACCACTCTATTTTCTGTCTCTATGAATTTTACTACTCTAGGAACCGAATGTAAGTGGAATCATACAGTATTTGTCCTTTTGTGACTGGCTTATTTCATTTAGTATCATATCCTTAAGGTTCATTCATGTTGTAGGATATGTCAGAATTTTCTTCCTTTCTCAGGCTAAGTAATATTCCATTGTATGTATATACCACATTTTCTTTCTCCTTTCATCTGTTAATGGACACTTGGGTTGCTTCCATCTTTTGTCTTTTGTGAGAGATGCCTCTGTGAACATTGAGTGCACAAATTTCTCTTCCAGATCCTGCTTTCAATTCTCTTGGGTATATACCCAGAAATGGAATTGCTGGATCATATGCTAATTCTATTTTTAACTTTTTGAGGACCACTGTTTTCCATAGAGGCTGCATCATTTTACATTCCCACCAACAATGCCCAAGGATTTGAGGAAACGATCTTTATAACAAGTCTGCAGTACTGATCTCGGCGTTCCACAGACTAAGCAAGAAGACATTCGTTGCCCCATCAGTGCTGCTTCTTAGAATTAAAAACTTTTTTAAAAAAGTGCCTCTTGGTTTATGGCAATTCATCATCTCTTGAGAAGTTAAGCAAGAGAAGCTGTGTTTTCTCAAAAGTTTATAGTCAAGACGGGCATTCTTCTCATAACTTTTGGCCTGGCCTCTTCCTCATTTCCAACTGCTGTCTCGTGATACTGAGAAGTCCAAGGTTGATCATAATATGTGTTTTTACTCTGGAAAGCTTATCTTTCTGCAGATTTAATTCTCTAAAATGAACTTGGAATGGGGCATGATGTTTGACTTTTGCTTCCAACTTGCAGATGTCACAAATGGTTTCTCAATGCTAAGAACTCTTTAGAGTGACTAGATTTCATTTTATTTTATTTCTTTTTTAGGGTGACTAGAGTTTTAAAACATCATCTCTCGTCATGAGACTTCAGGGCTTACACCCCAACTCAGACAGAACATAGATTTCCAAAGCCACAAGGCTGGAGTGGCCGTGTCCTCTTTTTTGGTGGGGCTGGTATTCGGCCCTTCCATGTCTGTGAGTCCTGCCGTTCTACTCCTCCTGCTCATATTCCTAACCAGAGTCAGAATGGGCCTTGAGAAAGCCCTTGGTTTTATTAGCCTGTATAAGTAGATACCTGTCCTCTTTTTTTTTTTTTTTTTGAGACGGAGTCTCGCTCTGTCGCCCAGTCTGGAGTGCAATGGTGTGATCTCAGCTTGCTGCAACCTCTGCCTCCTGGCTTCAAGCAATTCTCCTGCCTCAGCCCCCCGAGTAGCTCAGATTACAGGCATGCGCCACCACGCCTGGCTAATTTTTGTATTTTTCGTAGAGATTGTGTTTCACCATGCTGGCCAGGCTGGTCTTGAACTCCTGACCTCAGGTGATCCACCCGCCTCAGCTTCCCAAAGTGCTGGGATTACAGGGGTGAGCCCCATAGCCGGCTTCTCTTTTGATATTTTAGGAGAGGGGCTGGATATGGTGGCTCGCTCCTGTAATCCCAGCACTTTGGGAGGCTGAGTTGGGTGGATCGCCTGAGGCCAGGAGTTTGAGATGAGACTGGGTAACATACAGGGACGCCATTTTTTCAAAAAAAAAAAAAAGTTTTAAGTTAGCCAGGCATGGTGGCATGCATCTGTAGTTCCAGTTACTTGGAGGCTGAGGTAGGAGTGCTGGGATTACAAGTGTGAGCCACTGCGCCTGGTCAGTTTATCTTCATTTTGTCCATAAGAGAACTTCAGTCTAGAAAGAGTAAGAGATTTGCCCAAAGTACTACACAAACTTAGTGTAGAGCAGGTCTCCTGTTTCTTAGTACCTTGTGTACCTCTCTGTTAGACCATCCTGCCTCTTCCCCACCTTTCACTTTATTCTAACAGTTCTGCTTATTCTGTTCTCACCCAAGACATTTGAGTAAAATATGGAACTTGACCCATATTCACTACTGTAATCACAGGCACCTGTGGCTTGGTGACCCCCTAGCCCATTTAGTCCTCTTACTTAAAAGAGACGTTAATCCCCTTTTATGTACCAAACACTTTATTTATACACACGCATTAATTCTGATAAATACACCCTTTTAATCCCAACAACACTTTAAAGTAGTTCTTAATCTGTTTACAGGTGAGAAAATTGCTTAGAAAAATCAGGCAACTTAAATTCAGGCTCTTTTACTCTTTACTTTTTGGGATTTTGCAGGCCCCAGCTAAAATTCAAAAAATGTATAGTATCACAATAAAAGGTAAAAATAAATCAATAAAATGATACTCTCTATCTTTTTTTATAACTTCAACTTATTTTCTAGATTTAGGGGATACGTGTGCATGTTTGTTACCTGGGTACATAGCATGATGCTGAGGTTTGGGGTACAACTGATCCCATCACTCAGGTACTGAACATAGTACCCAATAGTTATTCAACTTTTGTTCCCCTCCCTCAAACACACACACACACACACACACACACACACGTCCACACACACACGTTTAGAGTCTGGAGTCAGTTCTAAAAATATCAGAGTAAGCCTAAAAACTAATGCAAAACTTGGCCGAGCACAGTGGCTCACACCTGTAATTCCAGCACTTTGGATCACCTGAGGTCAGGAGTTTGAGACCAGCCTGGCCCACATGGCGAAACCCCATTTCTAATAAAAATAACAAAAATTAGCTGGGCGTGGTGGCAGGCGCCTATAATGCCAGATACTCGGGAGGCTGAGGCGGGAGAATTGCTTGAACCTAGGAGGCGGAGGTTGCAGTGAGCTGAGATCGCGCCATTGCACTCCAGCCTGGGCAACAAGAGTGAAACTCTGTCTCAAAAAAAAAAAAAAAAAAAGCAAACAAACAAAAAATACTAATGCAAAACTGGACCATTTTCTTCTCTTCAGAATTGTCCAATTGCTTTTCACAAACATTTCATAGGAAGATTAAATCATTACTAAAATACAATTTATGAATAATTTGGGGGTTTCATTGGTCTATCCCCTTAAATAATTGAGAATAACAGTGTCAGTCTTTGTACATTTCAGGTATGAACTGTCCCAGAAGAATGGCTTTTGCCTTTGCATCCAAAGAAGTCACTTCTCATAACTCATGGTGAAAAAAGGTCTTTGTTCATTAGACATCACTAAGTCACGATATGCTGATGTGAAGCGTGATTGATGTTTTTGGATCTTAAGGAACACTTCTACAGTTTCCTACATTCACCACTCTCTTCTCTGTGCTGTTCTTCTCCATGCCCCATCATGATACTTGGCTTCGGTGTGTTTCTATTAAACTGTAAGGGAAAGGACAGAATTTATAAAACAAAGGATATCAGGGCCAGCCCTTGATGCAGATGGAAGGCCTCCAGGCTCCATGATTTATAGACTGTCAGCATCCTATAGCCTTTCTTGTGCCTCCCATTACATCCTTTTCTCAAGTTCTTCATTTACAATGACCAAAAATGACCAGTAATAGCTTTAGATGTGACCTCTTCTAAGAGTCCTTACATTTTAAAGCAATCAAAACTTTAGTTAAACCAGAAGAATGAAACTCCAGTGTGGTCAGATATCTGAGTCTTAGTATCAGCTAGCTCTCTTGCTTGCTTGCTGTGAGATCTTTGGCAAGTTTCTTTAACTTTCTGGAGCTGGTTTCTTCATTCATAGAGGAGAAGGCTGAATTAGATAAGATATGAGGTTCTTTCCAATGCTAACCTGTCTGATAACATTACCGTTGTCCCTGGGACCATGTCTATGTGAAGACTCATATTCCTATATTGATGGAGATAGGCAGACCCCTAGACAGATACAGAGAGAACTTCAGAGACAAGTCCAGGCTCTACCATGTCTAATCTGTGACTTTGGGCAAGTTGCACATTCTCATAGTCTCTGATCTTCATTCTTTTAAACTGTATTAGTATTCCCAAACCCAGGGGTTTTTGAATAATGAATGAAAATATTTGATATTAAGCTCTACAAATGTAAGTGACGTCCATCATTGTGATGGCACCTGGAGGCCAACTGAGTCACTGGGAGCCTTCCTTCCCTGTGAGAGTCCTGGGAGTCCAAGTAGCTTTTCGCACAGCTGTCCACCTTACATAGACATGGCCTGTGCTCTCACTCCCAGCTTTGTGCCTGGTATTGTTCTGTCTGCAGCTCCTCCCTCCCACATTTCTGGTATTTGAGTATTCCCAAGCAGCCGTGACCATACAAGTTATCTATGTGAATAGCTTGTTACTTTGAGGTTTGGTCAGAAAATAAGCCCCCCTAAATCAGGCAGTTTACACCATTCTGTCTCACCACACAACACGTGTACACTCATGTACTTCTTTACCCTCCCACGTGCTTTTTGCTAATGACTTATAAAAATATTAGATTCTTGAGCCAGGTTCAGTGGCTCATACCTGTAATGTCAGCAACTCAGGAGGCTGAGGCAGGAGGATTACTTGAGGCCAGGAGCTTAAGATTGTCCTGGGCAGCATAGCGAGACCCCATCTCTACTAAAATGAAAAATAAAAAATATTAGCCGAGCATGGTGGTACATGCCTGTAGCCCTAGCTTCTCAGAAGGCTGCGGCTGAAGGATCTGTTGAGCCCGAGAGTTCGAGGCTGCAGTGAGCCGTGATCGTTCCACAGCACTTCAGCCCGGGTGGCAGAGCACTATCCTGTCTCTTAAAAAAAAAAAAGGCCAGGCTCAGTGACTCACATCTGTAATCCCAGCACTTTGGGAGGCCAAGGTGGGTGGATCACCTGAGGTCAGGAGTTCGAGACCAACCTGGCCATCATAGTGAAACCCCATCTCTGCTAAAAATACAAAAATTAGCCGAGTGTGGTGGCGCACACTCGTAATCCCAGTTACTGGAGACTGAGGCAGGAGAATCGCTTGAACATGGGAGAGGGAGGTTGCAAGTGAGCCGAAATTGTGCCATTGCACTCCAGCCTGGGCGACAAGAGCGAAACTCCCATCTCAGAAAAAAAAAAAAAAGAGAGATTTTCTTCAATTCCTGTTCTTTCCACCTCCCCAGTCAAGCCAAAAGGCATAGATGTGGCAGGGCATCTGAGGGGAAACCAAGAACTGGGATACAAAGGTTCGTAAGACCCTTCCTTACCTTCAGTCATGCTTAAGGGCTGCGAGAGAATTGAGTGCAGGATGCTCCAGAAGATTCCTGATGTGGCAGGAAGGTGGGGAAAGGCTTACAGGAGATAGTATTGAGTGACAAGTACAAAAAAGTAGGGGGAGGCATCTCCATTTTACAGATGAGGAGATAATGTCAGAAGGTTAAGGAACTGTGCCAGAGTCACAACATGTCACCAGAGAGGCTAGAATTCAGAATCTGAAAGAATGCTAGCCTGAGGTTTTGCACCAAGATAAACTGCTGCATGAAAGACAAGCAAGTAATTTTGGGTCTTTACTTTTTATCCATTGCTTTTCAAGATTGCAAATATATGAGTGCTAACTTAAAAGAAGCAAGTAATTTCATTTTTTTAAGTGACAGTTTTTTGAGGAGAGAGGAATGAAGCAAAAACTAGTGTTTGGAGCAATGCAAAGTTAGACTTTTTAGGAAAACCATCTTATTTTTACCAGTATGCTGAAAATTATTAGAGATATTTTTAACATCTTATAATGTCATATACAGTGTAAGGTTAATGCTAATATAATTACACTTGTATACTTGGTTAGTGCCCTGTGAGGGTTTTTTTCCTGCAACTGAAAAACTTCCTTTTTTTTCCTTCCTTTTTTTTATGTTTTTATTTATTATTATTATTTTTTTTTTTGAGACTCACTCTGTCACCCAGGCTGGAGTGCAATGGCATGATCTTGGCTCAGTGCAGCCTCCGCCTCCTGAGTACAAGCAATTCTCTTGCCTCAGCCTCCTGAGTAGCTGGGACTTCAGGCATGCGCCACCACGCCTGGCTAATTTTTGTATTTTTAGTAGAGGCGGGGTTTCGCCATGTTGGTCAGGCTGGGACTATAGGCATGCACTACCACACCCGGCTAATTTTTGTATTTTAAGTAGAGATGTGGATTTCCCCATGTTGGCCAGGCTGGTCTCGAACTCCTGTCCTCAGGTGATCCACCCACCTCGGCCTCCCAAAGTGCTGGGATTACAGGCGTGAGCCACTGCACCCAGCCGTCCTTCCTTTTTTTAATATAAACGAGGTATAAATGAGATATGTAGCTTATTGTCATTTAATTCAAAGTTATCTGCATTCCGTAGACTCCAGAGATGGTGAATTGGCTTTACATATAAGTCTTTTTCTGCAGTGTGTTAATTATACTAAAGCAAATTATCTTGCCAAGACTCTGAAATCCATTCTTTTGTTTGACCTGTGTAGTTACAGATCACCTAAATTGAAGATCACCTAAAATTTGGTTCCTGTTTTTCCATGAATATCAATTTATTTCTTGCTTATCTCAATTCCCAAATGGCCTAGAAGAATACAGATTTATTACAACGTTATATACACGTTCTTGGACTTTAAGTCACTTCTTTTTCTCAAGCAAACATTTTAATTTTAGTTCTCTTAATGACATTTCCATGGTTTAAAAGAACGTTGTTGACATGTCTTTAATTGGGCAAGTTACAGAATTTATGTGATCTAAGTCTCCTCTTAACAGGAAATGTGAGCTCTAAATTCCCTTCTTCCTATAAGATTCTATGATTCATTATTTTGTTTCAAGTTAATGCTTTACCTTTAATAGCTTAAAGGTAAATAGAGGGTTCTTGATGGATCGGGCTAAAAGAATTG
This sequence comes from Homo sapiens, assembly GCF_000001405.40. Classification (NCBI taxonomy): domain Eukaryota; kingdom Metazoa; phylum Chordata; class Mammalia; order Primates; family Hominidae; genus Homo; species Homo sapiens. The sequence goes on along the minus strand of NC_000002.12, from coordinate 69,483,893 downwards.
TTTTGGAAGGAATCCAAATGTGCACACATTGTCAAACATTAAGTTACCAGGTGTGACAAGTCTGGTGGCTCAGGCGTCCTTTTATTTCTTGGCCAGAAGACATCAAGAGTAATCCATTTTTGGGCTTAAGTGAATTTTGTGATATTTGACCATAGAATAATATGACTGCCAGCATGTCACAGGTGCATAGTTGGCAGACAATAAATGATCGTTGAAGTCAGCTTAGGTGTGGTTGAATTGATTATCTTGGTGAGTTATAAACTGTTTCTAAATAAAGTCCCCCCCAACCCCCGAAAAAAGAGAGAGATTCAAAACTAAGCCCGAGAAGGAAAATGAACATACAAAGATTTATATGCAAATGTTTATGGCAGCTTTATTTTTACCAGCTTAAAAACTGGAAACAACCAAATGTTCAGTTGGTGAATGGATCAACAAAGTGTGGTACAGCCATACAATGGAACAGGACTCAGCAGAAAAACAGAGCAAACTATTGATACTTGCGACCACACGGATGACTTTCATCTCAAAGGCATTATGCCAAAGGAAGGAAACCACACACAAAAGACTACATACTCTGTGGTTCCATTTATAGGAAATTCTGGAAAAGGCAAAGCTGTAGGGACAGAAAGCAGATCTGTTGTTACCAGGGTCTGTGGTGAGAGGAAGGCACTGACTGTAAAGGGTTATGAAGGAATTTTCTCAGGTTTTGGAAATGTTCTGTATCATTTCAGTGGTAATGATATGAATGTATACATTTGTCCAGACTAACCACATTGTACACTTAAAATGGGCGACTTTTATTGTATGCAAATTACACCTCAAATAAAAACAAGCAGACGCACCCAGGACAGCATCTTGAATGCCTTACAAAGTGACTACTTCACTTGAGGAAGTAATCATTTTTAAACTTCCAATTTTGAAAACCTGTTGTTAACAAGATATTAATAGCATTCATTTTTATGGTGAACCTGTACCAAATATTGACCCCTAAAATGTGTTTGCTTAAAGAATAGTGAATGATCCGCTGGCTTTAATATCTTACTACATTTTTGCTTTCTTTTTGTCTCTCTGCCCAACGTAGAAAAACTAATTGAGGGACTCAAATCTCCTGACACTTCTCTTCTGCTCCCTGACCTCTTGCCTATGACAGATCCTTTTGGTAGCACTTCTGATGCTGTAATTGGTAAAGTCATCATCTCTGTTTCTTCAGTCATGCATGATATGTGTGCCTGTTTCAAGAATGACAAGTACCTAGTTAACCAATCCCTGGGGAATAGCCCTGCCACCCCAGAAGCCAAGGCTATTTAATCTCACTTGTATCACTCCAAATGAAGTGTTTTCCTTGCTTTTCGGGGGTACAACGTCTATTTTTTGCCTTTCTTGATATCTGGAGATTTCTAGAGTGGATCTCTTATGAATGAGGAGGAATGTGGAAAGTTTCACATTTAGTTAGAAGAACTTTAAAAAATTGGTTTCTAACTAGACTACCTTTACTGAACTTAATGAAATTTAGCAGATTCTTCTTTTTTTTTTTTTTGTTTGAGACAGAGTTTCACTCTTGTTGCCTAGGCTGGAGTGCAATGGCAAGATCTCAGCTCACTGCAACCTCCATCTCCCGGGTTCAAGCAATTCTCCTGCCTCAGCCTCCCGAGTAGCTGAGATTACAGGCATGCACCACCATGCCTGGCTAATTTTTATATTTTTAGTAGAGATAGGGTTTCTCCATGTTGGTCAGGCTGGTCTCGAACTCCTGACCTCAGGTGATCCACCTGCCTTGGCCTCCCAAAGTGCTGGGATTACAGGGGTGAGCCACCATGCCCAGCCCAGATTCTTCTTTAGAAGGCCCATGTACATCCAGCTGCAGTGGGACGAGCCTGGGAAGCATAGGAAGACCCCATCCCTACAAAAAAAATGTTGTTAGTTAGCCAGGTGTGGGGGTGCACACCTGTGCTACCAGCTCTTTGGGAGGCTGAGACGGAAGATCACTTTGAGCCAGGGGGTTTGAGGCTGCAGTGAGCCCTGATCATGCCACTGCCCTCCAGCTTAAGTGACAGAGACCCATCTTAAACAAAATTAAAAAATTTAAAAAGGTCCATGTATATACCAAGTATCAGTAACTGAGAAAACATTTTGCCCACTGGTTAAGCCCCATAAATAGAATCCAGGGCAGGGGCTTGGTCTGCTTCCTCTCTCACATTTTCCTATGTTCCAACAGCAAGGCAGGCAAGATTTGCAAAATGTCCAAGGCCCCTGTACTCCAGGAGGGTCCAATCATGAGGCACCTAATAATGCCTTTGGGCAGAAAGTCCTAGAACTCAGAAGTGCCATGACCTTGCATAGGGGTAGGCCTGCAGCTGAGGGGTGTCACGTGGTGCAAAAGGCCTCCCAGCTACATCCTGGGATGGGGTTTGAGATGGATTAATGGCCTTTGCATGGCACAGAGGATGTTTGCCCCCAGGTTTATCCCTTAATAAAAGTGAAATTACCAGAAAAAATTAAGGTGCCTTTCAGCCCATCTCTTCTGACATGGAAGAGGTTTGCTGAGCGGCTTATGTTCTGAATTTGTTTATGAGAACTGATCATTAGTGAGACTGGCCACAGTATTTAACCTTGCACATGCATGCTCAGTGAAGCCTAGACATTCAGAGCAGCAGAAATAAAGTAACTTATTTTTCTTTCCACCTTGCCTGAGACTGGCATTTTAGAGACCTGTTAAAAGAAAGTCTTCACATGGCTGGGTGCAGTGGCTCACACTTGTAACCACAGGACTTTGGGAGGCCAAGGTGGGATAGATCGCTTGAGCTCAGGAGCAAGACACCATCTCAAAAAATGAGAATTAAAAAAAAAGAAGAAAGCTTCACAGAATTTCCTAAAGAAACTTCTGACTCCCTTTCCCTTACCCTTTCCTCTTCTTAATGCTCTGTTACGAAAGAAAAAGCTGATGTTGCTGTTGAGAGTCTCATACCAGGACTGGAGCCCCCAGTTCCCCAGCGCCTCCCATCTCAGACGGAATCTGTGACCTCGAATCGCACAGGTCAGTCAGGTGTCTCTGCAGCTGCAGGGACTGGTCGGTGTGGTGAACCTCTGAGCCAGTCTTTTCACCTGGCTCAGTCGTTCCTGGGCTTATTTTGAAGCCCAGGTAGTTCCTCCTGAAATGGACACTCTGAATTGTCACAGCCCCGGCTTCTAGATGTTGAGTGATATATTTCCTTGCTAAAGAACTGAGTACTTTTTGGAGCCATGTTCTCTGTGGAGTGATCTCTGGGCTTTCTCTGGTTACAGTATTTCTTTATTCAAAATTCTTTTCACTGGTGGTGGGATCCCTCTATGTCCTTAATTAAAGAACTCTGCCGAGCTGTAAGGATACCCTTAACCCTCCAGATTGCTGTACATCTTTCCAGTCTGCCAATGCCAGTGATGTCCGTGGAGCTCATCTTCTATATATTGATGTTCCGTTCCCAGCACAGTGCTTTAATCCTGTATAGGTAATTTGCTGTAAAATTGTAGGCAAAGTTGAAGTCTTCCCTAGATGTAGTATTACTTGTACCCTAATTTCAAAATTCAGTCTTAATAGAATTTCTTAACTGCCCACAAATACAGATTTGGTAACCTTCTTCTTTTTTTTTTTTTTTTGTCCATAATTCCCTTGATAAAAGTATCTGGTTTTCAAACTTGGATAGAAACAATTAGAAGCCTAGGAAATGTGAGGATAAATTCATGCAGGTGAAAAAAAAATTACCTCCAAAGACATTATGATTTATTTTCCTTATCCTCATTTGAATGTTTTCTCCTAGAAAACTTCTCAGAAAACAATCCCTGTGTTAAAATGCTTAAACTCAGGCTGGGTGCCTTGGCTCACACCTGTAATCCCAGCACTTTGGGAGACTGAAGTGGGCGGATCACCTGAGGTCGGGAGTTTGAGACCAGCCTGACCAACATGGAGAAACGCCGTCTCCACTAAAAATACAAAATTAGCCGGTTGTGGTAGCGCATGCCTGTAATCCCAGCTACTCAAGAGGCTGAGGCAGGAGAATCGCTTGAACCCAGAAGGCAGAGGTTGCGGTGAGCCAAGGTCGTCCCACTGCACTCCAGCCTGGGAGCTGGAGCGAGACTCCGTCTCAAAAAGAAACTTAAACTCTGAGTTTTTGTCTTGGTTTTCTGAAGTCAAAATCATGTTCAAAGGGCCAATTTCAATGTAAAGAATACTAGCTAGAGGCATTGTGGGTGGGAACCTGGTTGAGTTCTAGAAGGTACTGTTTAATCTTGTCACATTCTGCTAATAATAAGCCAGAGGCAACCCTCTCCTAATCAGTTTGGATACTTTGTCCTATAGTAACTTCCTTCTATGAGTGTTTAGGGAAAGTTTAAGTGAAACTCTAATTGTAAAGTTTTTTCTCCCAAATGGCATTCACTAAGAACTGAGGTGCTAAAGTTAGCTCAGCATCCAAATCACAGACCTATTTAACCAGCAACCTCTGAGCAAAAAATTATCCTCTATTTCTATGTTAATGTTAAGAGGAATCTAGAAAGACATGTTTCTATAGATGAAAATCCAGAAGCCTCCACACATTTCTTTTGGTTTTCATTCTCCCACTTTGGCTTGTATGTGTAACGTGTAAATGCAGTAACTTAAAAGCTAAGATCTAATCTCATGATACAGATGAAAATCCAGAAGGCTCCACACATTTCTTTTGGTTTTTATTCTCCCGCTTTGGCTTTTATGTGTAACGTGTAAATGCAGTAACTTAAAAGCTAAGATCTAATCTCATGATATTGTTGTGTGTGCCACTTAATGCCATCACTGACCTGGGATGCTGTTAATCTGGACTCAGATTCTCTCACCGGGGAAGATTCCCTGCTTGATTGCTCTCTGCTCTCTAACCCTACTACTGACCTTCTGGAAGAGTTTGCCCCCACAGCAATCTCTGCTCCAGTCCATAAAGGTAAATGCTTTCTTCTTCTCAGGCCCACATGTGTCCTTAGAGGGGAAAGAACTAAACAACTTTTGAAAGTTTTTCTTATCAAAAGTCTTTACTAGTGAAGTTTTAAAACTACCTCCTTGTATGGAAAACTTGAGTATCTCCTAGATACTGTGTTATAATACCTCTCAGTGAGAATATTTACTAAGACTTAGACGACCGGCCAGTTGTGGTAGCTCAGGCCTGCAATCCCAGCACTTTGGGAGGCTGAGGTGGGAGGATCACTTGAGCCTAGGAATTTGAGACCAGCCTGGACAACATACGGAGTCTCAGTCTCTACAAAAAAATTTTTTAATTAGCCAGCCATGGCAGCATGCACCGGTGGTACCAGCTTCTCGGGAGACTGAGGTGGGATGATTGCTTGAGGCCCGGAGGGCAAAGCTGCAGTGAGCCATGATCGCACCACTGCACTCCAGCCTGGGCAGCAGAGCAAGACTCTGTCTAAAAAAACAAAAAAAATAGCAGACAGGTACTAAAAATAAATAAAATTAAATCTGAAAAAAGCCCTAGACAACAGATTGGTGAAAGTATTGCTTTCTGGCAAGAACATAGAATGCAGATATTCCATGTTACCTTTAAGAGCTAGATACCTTTGCAGTCAATTCAAGTAGATGGTTGAAGTGACTATCTACTGCCTGCCTATAATGATCATATGATGCTTGTTGGCCTTAGAATGTAAAATGGTTTTATCATATCTGATTCAAAGTTATTGCATAGTGATGACTGCAATAAAGAAATAAGCATCTTTCCTCAAAAGTCAGTCCTTGCAAGGTTGAACTTGTAGAAGTTTTGAATTTTAGTTCACCTTCAAGTCATGATTGGTTACTGGATTTCTCTTTCTAATCTACTATTTTCATTTTTCAGTCTTGGGTTAATAGTGGTCTGAAATCCTGGACAGAGGTAGCTTGAATCAGATTCTATTCAATGAGCAGTTTGTGACAGTGTCAGGCTCAATGCCTGGCTTACTTTGTTACTGAACTTTCTGTGATTGGGTAGTGAAAGTAGTCTTCTGGAAAGAGAAAATGTGTAGAAAAGAAAGAGCTTAAGTCCCTTCAGGAGAAAATTCAAGAAGGAAGCCTCCCCAGAATGACTAAAAATAATCACCTCTGTGGTTTGCAATGGTAATAGCTGAGTTTTTGTTTTTACCCGTGATGACATTAAAATGATTATGTTTTTATAGATTATGTAGAGGGAAGTTACCTATTTAGACAGTGATGTCTGGCAGGAGTATGTCAGCAGCAATGTAGAATTACAGAGAAGCATCATTTGCAAAATAAGTGCTCAGCCAGCACTTGCTTGCTGTTAGGGTAGCTTTAATTAGAATGGAGAAGACTATTCTAACAAACTTCTACTTGAGGCCTCAGTGCGTGTGATCTTGTGCCTCAGCGTTCCCTGAGGCTTCTGAGTTGTTTCAGTGTCTTTTTTTCCCAGTCACAGTGCAGTGAGTCCTTCCAGCAGTATTTTGTTTGCATTATATACAGTGGTTACTTCTTAAAGAGCCACCAATTCTCTTCCTCCTCCCCTGCCCTGCCCCCAAGCCCCGGTTTTGAGTTTTTCAAATATTGTTTGGCCTCTGTTCCCTCAGTGAAGACAAGTGACTTATTCCTATGCCTTTGTGGATTAGTGACAATGAAGAGATACCTCACAATAATTATAATTAATGTCTTATAAATAATAGAATTCTTCCAAGAACCCTTTTCCCTAATCATTATAAAAGTCAACATGGCCAACTCTAAAGCATTTTTTTCTATATCTCTGTATTTTCCAGTTTTGCTATTTTTATTTCAACTCAGAAAGATAAATCCTTTCACCTTTGAAAATAACAGGGCTGTACAGTTGAGATCTTTGTGCCTCTTTCACATTCTCTCATTTGCTAATCTCTGCCTCTGTTGTTTCTGCTTGTGTACTTGCATTCTGTATTAAGCTGCAGAAGATAGTAATCTCATCTCAGGTTTTGATGTCCCTGAGGGCTCGGACAAGGTGGCTGAAGATGAGTTTGACCCTATTCCTGTATTGATAACCAAAAACCCACAAGGTAAGAAAAAGGATGGGGAAAAGAGAAGAGCTTGGCCTCAGTTCTCTTCAAAATAGTCATGCACCTAATCTGCAAGGGGGAAGAAAAGCATCAACATTTAATGAAGGACATTGGGTGTAATGAGAATCATTGTAGGCTGGACCAATAGAGATAGATAGAGATAGGTATCTTTAAAGTTTGACCGTGGTGTTTATTTAGAGAGAAGTCTTTAACAGTTGGCCAAAAGTTAGTTTTTACCATGAAGCCAAAAGCAAAATGATCTTTAGTCAGTGGAAACCTGAAGGTATATATCAAAAGCACATCACATTTTTTATCATGATTAGAATAATCCATAATAAATATTTTTCCCAAAGAGATTAACAGCTGTGTTTTGGTATCATTCACATCTTTTTGACATTAATGGAGCATCCTTTTTCAACTTTGATGGAGGAAAATCATGTGAACATGCCATAAAACACTAAATTACCATGGGACCATCTATTTATTTTTTAAAGCATGTTCTTATTGCAGTATCTTAATAACTAGTTTCTCCCCAAAGCAAAAATTATTGATTTTTACTTTATCAAAGGGAGATGGCTTGATATTATCAGGAAGTTGGTATATAGCCAGCAATTCTCAACCAAAAAAAGTATTGATTTGAAAATAGTGCCCTCTTTGCAAGATGTCCTACCTATACTGTGGTGTGCACAGAGTGCCTGAGCTTTTGGTGGGAGGTGGTGGACAGCTAACTTACATGTTTCAAAATCAACGTGTAAGGGTTTGCAAATGTAAAATATTGCTTCTCTAGGGTTTGGTTTTTTTGGTTTTTTTTTGTTTTGGTTTTGGTTTTGGTTTGGTTTTTCTTCTTTGCTTGCTCTGCACATCTAAACCTTAACCCTCTATGTTTTGTACTGAATTCCTATCTCTCCACTTCCAGGTGGGCACTCTAGAAACAGCAGTGGGAGCTCTGAGTCCAGTCTTCCCAACCTAGCCAGGTCTTTACTGCTGGTGGATCAGCTCATAGACCTGTAGCCGTGACCCAGTAGCAGATGCAGTTCTGTAACCTTCATACCGTAAAATACATTTTCATTACGGAGTTATGAAAAAAATGATTTTTTTAAAAAAATCTGCAAATAAGGGGCCCTCCAGCCCTTTTCTCCTACCCCTTGCCTTCTCCTGTAGAAATGATAAGGAAAGAAAATCACTTTGGCCCTCCAGATATTCCTTGGCCAGTTCCTCCTTGTTAGTTTGCTGTGTTTTCTCATTACCCTTCTTCAATAGCATTATCTTAAATCAAGCACTAGATGCCATGAGCTTCACCTCTGCTGGAATCAACTCCACCAAAAGCTTAACTGTAACTGAAACTAGTGAATTGACACTTTTGTCTCGTTCTTGCTAGGAATGGCCTCCCAGATCAATTCTCCCAACCCCCGTCTCCTTTGGCCAGATGCTGATGAATGTATTTCCCTGTTTTTGCTTTTTATCCTGATGCATTATCATGAGGACATGGCTACTTCAGTTGGTCTTAACTCTAGGCAGTAGCCTGGAGATGGGTGTGTGGTTTAAGAAAGGGTAAAACTTACTGACTGGTAGTATATATTTGAGAAGAGAAATTGAGCCCAGCTCTAGCCAACCAACTTTGACCTTGTTTGATCATAGACTTAGCCAAGGGATTTTACACCCCATGCAACCTGCCCAGCATTCGTCCAGCTTTCTGGCTTCCATTGAACCGTGATTTCTCAGATCTGGAGACGTGACTGCAAGTATTTGAGATCCTTGGATACAATGTGTACGTTATATAAATCCCAAGTATTGCCATTCCTTTTCATGTTAACTGTTCCAAGTGGGATCTCAGAATTAGACCAAAACAAGACGGTGGTAATATGATACCTTTTATTAGAAGACTTTTCACTGGGGCGGGGGTGGGGGGAGGATGGGGAGGGGAAGGAATTGTAGCAGAAACAGATGTATTTTTCTTGTGATTTTTATTTTGAATCAAATATTGTAAATTGTGTATAAATGAAGATGCTGAATAGTTCTGTTTCCACTTGGCATTTCAAGTCTGATATCAGGTGTCTGTACAGGGTTTTGATTTCTTTCCCTTGTATAACTACACAACAATCCTACAGTGTAACATATGGAATCATTTTGAATAGACTTGTGTGCTATAAGCTTTCAGCAGGTCCTCTGTCTCTAGAATAAGCATGTTGTTTATTTTCAGATAATCAGAAATAAGTGTGCTGACAAGCTGGACACAATCTGGGTGTGCCCAGCTTACCTTTCTTTCTGATGTTTAAATTGAAGGCTGCAGCCAATGGAATATGTTCAGCTGGTTTTCCTTGGCTTCCTAGATTAAAAAAAAATAATAAAGCATAGTTCTTTATTAACTTTAGGATATTGTTCATAAAATAAATAAAGGCCCCTGCACTAACATGACAACATGCCTCATGGTCACCCTCTCTATATGTACTTACTCATTAAAGTGTATTTTATTTCCTTATGTGGAAAGCACTTTTATAAAATCACCCTTTTGAAAAGAAGTGGGCACAGAGAACCCCACTCCTGTTCTTTTCCTCTAGTGCCATTGTCCATCATCAAAAGGGAAACTCTTAGTTAATCAGATCTGTACAAATAAAATTCCAAGTCCATTTGCTTGTTTTGCTATCTAGTACTTTTGTTTCTTCTTCCTCACATTTGCACTTTATGGGGGAAAAAAGTTTAACAGCAACAACAGCCTATAAAACACTGCATTCTGGAGGGCAAGGTTTGACCCTAGGAATGTGCGAGTAGCCTTTGAAAGGCATTGGAGGAAAAGTCTGAATCTTCCAGCCTTCCTTCTGTCTTTAAATACTTCCCGTGCTGGCTGAAACAAGATGAGCTAGGTAAAGGCCTCTAGTTGAATAACAGACCATTTCCAAAACTGAGAGAGGCACAAGCTTCCTGCCGAGGATTAAAAAGCAAAAGATATCCACGAAGGGCTCTCTGTGGTTGGATAGCAGTGAAAATAGGACTTGGTTTACCCCTTTATGGACAGGAAAATTGCTGCAGGTCAGAATTGTATTCTCTTTCCTGGACATAGAAAGAATGTATAAATTAATGAAGGAAATGTTTATTTTTAAATAAGAATAATGTTTGAGTTCTATGTTTTCATATTTGATTTTTTTCGTATATACATGTTAGAAATATAATGAAATATCTAGTTTCTCAATTTAATTGAAACTATGAAGAGTACAGTTTAGAAATTAGGTATCTCTAAATTGTTCTTTTCATATATTACCCATAATTACATTGAAATATATTATCTAGTCATTTGGCTCAGTAAAGCTTAATGGAGGCAGTTAATGAAAATGAGCAGACTAGAAGCCAGAGACGGCAGTAGAAGCCTAAGGGAGATAATGACAAGAAATTGTCTTGGGCTTATTTAGAGTAAGGCCTCCTCAAAGGGGAGAACTATTTTTCTGTTAAGGAACACATATGAGTGCTTTGGTAAACGGAGCCTTCCTTGGTTTAGAGCATCATCCCTGAGCTGAAAGAGTTTATTTGAGTTGAGCATAGTGTCCTGGTACCTGTGGAATCATAGCCTGAGCTACAAAGGGACCTTTGAGACCATCCTCTAGTCCACCATCCTCTTCATTTTACAGGTGTGGGACCTGAGCTGGATTGAACAGGGTCGGGGGAGAAGAGGCCTGGGCAGGACAGGCCACCTGGGATCTCATCCTGGCCCTTGCCAGCCACTGGCTGAGTGACCTTCAGCAGGCACTTCACCTCTCAGAGTTGCTGTTCCTTAGAGTTATACGATGGGTTTGGACTAGATGGTCTTTAAGATTATAGAAGTATAGGGTCCTAAGTATATATTATTATATTGAGAAGGGCTATGAAGGATTTATATAATCCTGATGTTCTTCAGTTATCTTCTGTAGTTCCTGCTATTACGGTAGCAGTGTTTACATTTTAAAGAATTATAATGGGCTTTTACTAACTTGCTCTTTCTTGATTATCTGAATAGAAGCCTAAATCATAATCTTAGAGATTTTCCTTTTTAAGTATTACAGAAACACATGCGTGGACACACACCTACCTATTCTAATAAAATGGTATCAGAAGATTTCTTTTTAAATGTATAATCAGGCATCTACCAGTTTAAAACGGGCAAATACTATAAGCATATGTTTCTGATTTGCTTTTATTCCAGCTATGTAAGAGGAGTAACTATAGCAGAAAACATGACAAATTGATTTTTCCCTTTACAACATTCAAATGAGTCCCAATGTTTTCAAAAATACATACCTCAGAGGAGATAAGGCTTAAGTGGACACTTCTAAGTATGATTATAATTATTATAATTAATGATTTCTTTAGCAGACATATCAGAATTTTGACATCTAATTAAGTGTTGTTCCCCTCAATGTCATCTAGTTTTACTTAAGAAGTTAATACTTATTCTAATGATGCTGCCATCCTTAAAGTTATTTTTGAAACTCCTCTCCTTAGAAATAATATCAAGGAAGGTAATAAGGTATAAGAAAATCAGCTATATTATTTAATTAGTATCACTTTGAGAAAGCACCTGGAAGTATATTCTTTCTTTGTCTACTTTTTCTACTACTCTTGGTTCTGAGTAACATTTAGCCATTTCCAGAAAGCAAATTCAACCCTGTAAGATGAAGAGTGGTTACTGTTGAAGACAGTAAAAAGGATAATCCACAAAAAATTCTCAGAGAGGACCTTATAATAGAAAGTGAACATGATTAAGACTTAATTTCTGTAATTTTCTGAATAAGGAAACTTCTGTGATTCCTTAGTCTTTAGAATGGTTTAAAACATTGAAAGATATGGGTATTAAAACACCTCTGAAAGAAGTTGTCACTTTGTTCAGTGTTATTTGATATTGGACTTCGCTCTTCCTGAATTAGAATTACACAACTTGGATTGCTAATACTTGTGGAAAAACAAACCCAAGAAACGAACTACTTTCTCAAGATGTAATATTTGTTTTATTATTAATACTTTTGGTTGTTTTGATTACTTATTTCCTACTCTCCTGACAGATAATTGATCAACCAATATAACCTTCCCCAGGTTAGGAACAGTTCTGCCTTCAGCAGTGCTGTGGGAATGAAGGGATCTTTGGGGCTGACAGCCTATGATGTGGAGGGATCTGCACTCAGCTAAATAAATACATGCTATAGATACCTTGGGCCAAAATAAAGTCTCTCTTGATAAGGTTTTTCTGTGATTTCCCAGAGTCCTTAACCTTCTCTGTCTGCAAGATTATCAGGCTCCCATAGCCACTAACTTTGAGCTTTGGGATGAAAATGACAGGATTGCCCAGTGTGCCGGGTTAAGCAAATTAGAGGCTGCCTGGCAGAACAGAAAAACTATCACATGAATATTTAGAATGGAAGCTTTCCTGAAACACTCCAGATACTGCAAAGCTATCTTTATTCCTCTCTAAAGGCTATAATTTTATCAACACAAAGTCAGCCTTTTCTTTTTCCACATTAGTAATGTTTCTGAAGTTGGATGTGCTTAGATTTCTTAAATCAGAATGAGTGCTAGGAAATCTATAACAAGAAACCTCTTTTGCTTCTCCCAGATTTCCTTTCACTAATACGGGATAGGGAGGCTCCTTGGGTAATGCTAACCTATGCAAAGAAGTTACCAAATGGTGGTAGTTGCTAGAATTAAAGACACGTTCTTGGTTCACACTTTGATGTAGTGACCTGAATTTACTCTTTTCCTGTGAGTATTCTACTCTGCCCTATTGCACTCTCCTTTGTCATGTGGATGTGTGTTTATCATAGGTCTTTAACGCGTCCTTCCCAAGAAGACAAAGCATACAGTTGTACATGAAGATATCTTATGCAGTAAAAACGTGAAATTTGAACATTGCTGCACAAGTATTGTATAAAAAAAAGTCTGTAAAGAACTTTCTTATGTAAACATACAGGGGAATAAAGACTTTTATCTGTTCAAATGGGAGCATGATGTTTAGAGATGTAAATAACTTAAAATAAGTTGCTCTTTTCCTGAGCTGAAAACCCACTTTTTTGCAGAAAGGATTTAATCACAGTATTGAGTGACAATAAGTACCTGGGCACAAGAAAAGTATAGCTACACACTGAGGACATATTAATGAATCATGGCTACCTGAGAGAGTAAAACCCCTGTTTTAGTCTCAAGGAGAATAAGACGCCTGCCAGCCTACACTGGATATGACCAGACTCAGGGTTGTAAAATGGAGCGCAGGTTTGCAGCTTCCCTCCTCTAACTTAATCCCTAATATACCCAGGCCAACTTAATTAAACATTTTGTGTTGGCAAGAATAATTTTATCCCCAGTGAGAAAACTCACTCATTTAATTGCCTCATTGGCCTGAGAGGCACAGCTGGCCATTTTTGGCTTCCATGAGGTCCCTCATTTCCCAGTCGTGGGTTTTAATGCAGCTACCTAATATATGGTGGAACCAAATGCTTAATTTTGTTATGTGAGCTAGAAGGTCATGGTAATTATTAGTTTGATGTACGTCTCTTGATTTCCCCAGTTTGGTTCTAAAATTTTACGTTTCAATTGCTGCTGCATTTCCAAGTTCTTGTGAAGGGATATTTTGCTTTCTGTTTACTAACTATATGTGAGAAGGCTTCTTCTCAATGCTCCAAGTCTTCGTTTTCTGTTTTTGGCAAGAATCATATCTTTGATACTCCCTGTAACCGTTCTTTCAGTTTTTGGTATGAGGAAAAGTAAACTTCTGGTGTTGTGTGATGTATTTCATTAAGGAATATCCAGCCTGACATTTAAGTCTTCAGATTTTAATTCTGTAGGGAGCATTCTGATGGCCCTCACTATGTCAATCAGATGGAGTTTCCAGGGGAAACCCATCCTAAATGATTCAGCACTTTGGGTTGCTTTGGAAGTGAATAGGGAGCTGGTGAGGATAGTTGCCAAGTTGTCAGGTATTTTAGGAACTCCTTCTCTTCCCTGAAGCATGTGAGTTCTTGCTGAAATCTACATAATTTGGAGCCTCAAAATAGACTAATATGGAGTTACCCATATTGAAAGTGTCAACGTGCCTAACCTGGCACACAGTCCTACATCAGAGCAAGAAAAAGAAGTATGTTTTGACTTCTTGCTTAATTTTATGTGTGAAACCAAAATAAAAAGAGGCATGATCCAGTTTGAGGGAATTATAACAAAACCCTACGTTAGGCTCTATGATAAGTAAGACCCTGTGCAGACTATGAAGCCAGGCCCTGGGCTTTAGCCCCTGAGGTACAACAGGCAGTGTTTACTGAGCTCTATGGCCACAGGGTATCTGCTATGACGTGCCATTGGTTACCAAAGGAACTGGGTCAAGGCATGTGGTTAGGTTAGTATAAATCCTTCAATGCTAGTAAAGAGACTGCTTCAAACACGTTTTCTTGTTGACACAATGCTACCTTCATATAAAGGAACTGTTCACCCTGAAAACACATTTTCCCTGTAAGAACACATTCACATACTCAAAAAAAGACTTTTATCTGCCAACAAGATTTAATGGTTACCTTCTGTTTCTAGTATATTTGGAATTTATCCTTCTCTCGACTACCTTGTTTCTGGTGCTGCCACCACCAGAATTCCTTAAGGGAATGTGGAGGTCTGGGCTTCCCCCATATTCTCTGGCATTTCTTTGCCCTTCAGAGTGCCAGGCCTGGAGAGTTGCAAAGTGTGGTTGCTCTCCGCCTCAGCCACACTGTACCTCCTCTAACAAGAATAGAAAGGTTAAGGGACTTGGCCTTCTCAGGACAACCCTTTAAATGTACTTTTCCATTCCTACAAAGCCTGTTGATGCTGAAAGAAAGATAGGAAATAGCTCTTGTCCTTGTTTTGAAGGACAGGAGACTAATTTTCCCTTCAAACTTGATATTCTGGTGTTTTTGTGACTGTTTTTGTAAATTATTCAAAGTTGTTGGAATTTTAAGTCTGATTTTCCCAGTACTCATCATGAAGGTCATAGAATATGCTCTGAGTTGGAAGGTTTTCCAAATGGGTTCTCGACCAAAAACCCACTTTTTAACAAATAATTTTGATGGGTTAGACATGTTCTTCCATCCTCTCCAACCCTGAATATGGGCACATACACACACCCCTTGGTACTTCCTAGTTCTCAAAATGTAATCTAGCACTTCAGGCATCCAAAGTGCCCCTGGTTCAATAGATAGCTGCTTTTTTGCCAGTCTCTGTGCACAAATTGTTTTAACTGAATTCAGTTTAAATTTCCAAAAAACACTGACTCTGTTCAAACTAGTGTTCATTGGATTATTGACCTGTATGATGCCAGAGTTGGTCACTGGCTTGACTAAGTTTTCCATTTTTTTTCCCTAAGAGATATTTTGCTCTCCTGCAGAACAAGCTTAATAACATCAACTTTCAAGGTAGTTTTGGAAGATGAGAAATTGTGCTTTTGTTTTGGCAACTGAAAACTTTGTCCAACTGATACTATGTGAGGAAGGTGGTTCAAGGAGTTTTAGGGCCCTCTTGTCCTTCTTTAAGGCTCTGCAAACCTTATTTTGGAAAACTTATTTTTCTCCCTTTTATTTGAATTTCCTCCCAGAAATTATCATCTTGGTATCACTGAGACAAATCTAATATCAATTTACTTGCCTGAGAAATTAGGATTATGTCTGTCCACATAAATCGCAAGGAAGAAGGTATTCTGTTTATTTCCTGTCCACTGACTGATGCTTTCGTATCACCATGTAGCTGCACATACTAAAATTATAATACAAGGAAAAATTTATTCTTTTCAAAATCTTATTCTTCAAATACTATTCTGAAAGCCATTTGGCACCAGTACAGAATTTAACTTAACGCCCCAATCTGGAATTCACTGAACGCATTCAAACTGTTAGAAAGGAAAATAAAAATGGAGGACAAACACATTTTTGTTCTGTTTCTGAAAACAATATTTAAGGTCAGAACTGTTTAAAAAGAAGCACTGCTAAAAAGTTATAGGATTCAGAGAAACATAGTATTTTTGTACAGTATCTTATAAAATGTTCAGACCTCTCTCTACATTCTCTTTACAATGTAATGTCTCTAAGTGACTGGTTTCCCAATAAACTGATTTTAATGCCTCTTCTGCTGTGGTCTGTGTGCTTAATTCATGCAGAAACTTTAGCAGGGGATAATTTTTGGCAGAAATTTCTGCTAGCTAATGGTTTGCATAGGAGGGGAGAGGGTCAGTATGGGAAGGGGATCATTGAGTTCCATCTCTACAGAGGTTCTGGGTCATCTATGGCTCCAAATCATTGTATCTAATATTCTTATCCTGGTGGGTTGGGAAACTCCAGTAGTATCTCTTTACTGAGCCCATGATGAAATGATACCTTTACCCCCAACCACCCTTTCTCTGGATTCTTCTTGCTTAGTTACATATGCCTTTTTCCTGCCCTCTTGCTAACATGTGCCCAATGACATACTTCTAACCTGCTAATATTTCTTGGAAGGTAAGCTCTCTTGCATTCTGATAATTGTCTATTTGATTTTAAAAGCCAGAGCACCCTGAGGCACCTCTACCTAGATAGAAATAGACTAGTATATTGGAGTTTGCTAATGCTTCTGTAATGGCCCATGCATTTTACTCCTTCTGCTTAAAGAACTTTATGGCAGATTCATTTAAGCAGAGGAGATCTTTATGAACTTAGAAGACTGAAAACAAAATTCTGGGGCAACTCCAGCTGAAGGTGATTTATTTGGTCTGATTTTGATGCTGTATGCTCCCCTCAGAAGGTACCTTCAGTATTTATATTTTGGGCACTCGTATGCTCTTTGAGTAGTGCTTGTGATGTAAGTCATCAAGTAAACTTGCATTTATCAAGCAGCCACATTCTGCTTCTTTTCAGAGAGTTTGTCCCTCTGCATGTGGCGCGGATGACCACATGCCAGATTCTGAATTGAGTCATCCCCAGACAGTGTTTCTACATAATCCAAAACTGTCATGGTATATGTGGAGATGAATGACTGGGTTTGTTTTCATTCCATAATGAGCCAGTGCCAGGTAGAGCAGGTGTCCGTGCCTGGCCCTGTGTGTAGGAGCATTGCATAGTTACGCTGAATGTCTGTGTGCCTAACATCTTCATCTCCTTTCCTGTACGTCGTGCCTATCATGTTCCAAAACGTGAGACAGTGGTTGATTGTGTTCCAGTTTGTGTGCAGTTTCCTTGCCTGACTTTTATTTTTATGTTTTTCCTGTTGCATTTTCAACATCTATTATTTGGTCCCACAATGTTTTTGCCGCGGGTTGACCATTAAATGTTCCAAATAGAGTTGAATTGACCTACACATTAATTCTGCATTTTATGCTTTTCTAGATCTCCAGAGGGAGTCCAATCCCTGTCCTGTAATAACTGTAGAGCACTTTAAAGAATCACTGGGTGTTAAAGGCCTTCCGCTGTATCCAGACCCCTCCAGAGTACCTGGCACAAAGACTCAGAACAACTTAGAATCTGACTACTTGGCCAGAGATGGCCCTTCAAGCAACAGCTCATTCCACAGCAGCGAAGAGGAAGGGACTGACCTTGAAGGAGACATGCTGGACTGCAGTGGGTCTCGGCCTCTCCTTATGGAGTCTGAAGAAGAAGATGAGAGCTGCAGACCCCCCCCGGGGAAGCTGGGAGGAGCCGTTCCATTCGCTCCACCAGAAGTCTCTCCTGAGCAAGCAAAGACAGTGCAAGGTGGAAGAAAGAACCAGTTTCAAGCCTTCACACAGCCAGCCACTGATGGGCTCAGTGAGCCAGATGTTTTTGCCATAGCTCCCTTCAGGAGCTCAAGGGTTCCAAATGATGACATGGACATTTTCTCCAAAGCCCCATTTGTCTCCAAGAGCAGTATGGCTCCTTCCCAGCCAGAGGAGTCAGACGTGTTTTTGAGAGCTCCTTTCACTAAGAAGAAAAGCATGGAGGAGTTAACAGTTATCCAATGCACCTCCCAGGAGCTGCCTGCACAGACCGGTCTCCTCAGTCAGACAGGTGATGTCCCCCTGCCCGCGGGCCGTGAGAGAGCTGTGTACACCTCTGTCCAAGCTCAGTATTCCACAGCTGGTTTTGTGCAACAGTCTAACCTCCTGTCCCATTCTGTACAAGCAGCAGACCATCTGGACAGCATCTCTCCCAGGGGATCCTGCCTGGAATCTGGGGGTCATTCTAATGACAGAAACAAAGGACCTCAGCTCCAGAAAGAAGCTGTCTCAGGCCCCATGGCTGGCAAACCATTCCGCCCCCAGTCCTTATCCAAGTATTCCCGTCACTATAGCCCAGAAGACGAGCCAAGTCCAGAAGCCCAGCCCATTGCTGCCTACAAAATTGTTTCACAAACCAACAAGCAGTCGATAGCTGGGTCTGTTTCTATCACATCCCTTTCCTCCAGGACTACGGAGCTGCCAGCTGCTGATCCATTTGCTCTAGCACCCTTCCCTTCAAAATCAGGCAAGAAACCCTAGGAGCAAAACCTGAGCCTCAAGCCTCTTGTCTCTATCCCACCCTCAATACCCGCCATGGCACTCCCAGCTTAGCCTTCTGAAGAAGAAATATTATCAGTTCTTATATTTCAATTCCCTGCGTCAGAGCAGAATTTCTTGAGTCAACAAACTCAGTTGCAGTGATATTTAGTTGAAGCCCCTTTAAGTTATGTTCATTTTTGTTTGTTTGTTTGTTTGTTTATATTGATTTCTGGACTTGGAGGCATTTTCATCTCCTTCACAGAGGTCATCCACTTCCACCAAGAACTCTGCTTTCCCCCCGCCCCACCCACAGAAACTGTTTAAATCCTGAAATACTTCTTCACCCCAATCCCAAAGGGGCCCTATTGTTGCTAGTTTTAATTCCTGTAGCTCCTGTTCTAAGTCATGCCCATCGAAGAATCAAGATTAGTCCCTCCACTAAATCAAGATTTAGTACTCTTGAAAAGGGGAGATGTCTGGAAAGAAGAGCAAGATAAAAACCCTGCACATCAACAGGAAGTATAATCCTGCAGTTACTAATAATTCC
This sequence comes from Homo sapiens, assembly GCF_000001405.40. NCBI lineage: Eukaryota > Metazoa > Chordata > Mammalia > Primates > Hominidae > Homo > Homo sapiens. Next base: position 69,464,877 of record NC_000002.12, on the reverse strand, counting down.
TGTAGAAGCAGCAGCTCTAGGAGTCTCCAGATCTGATTCTCAGTCTGTGTGCAAGCCAGGCTGGCTCTCGTGCATGACTGTCTATGGGTGTGGAATGTACGTCAGAGCCTGTGTAGAGATACAGGCAGATGGGCTAACTCCTCATGTCTAGTCATGCTGGCAGGGCTTTCCCCACATCCATGCTTTTGAAATTAGTGTGAGTGTACAGGTTTGTGTGTGCATGTATACGTGTGTGTGCACAGGAAGCATTTCCACTTGAGGGAAATCCTGCCCCATCATGCCTACCTCCACAATGAAATCACTCGTTTTTTGGTGTTTGCTCGCCTAACTGACTTGAACCCCATTTTATTTATTTAGTTTTTTTCTCATGGCAAAGTAGAATACGTTGGAAGGTGTAGGGAAATCCTGCTGGAACTGGTGTTTCAGAGTAAATCTTTTTTCTCTCCGGAATTTCTTGTTTTGCTATTAACAAATTATATTTACCTGATTATGAAAAATTAATTTTCCTTATACATTTTCCCCTTACAACACTAGAAAAGAGCACCTTGTTACAGTTCCGGCCTCTCAGTATGTGGGCTAAATGCCAGCATTAGGGAATTCATTAATCATGAGACTAGGCTACAAACTAGGCTTGCTTGTTTTGGGGTGGTTTTGTTGTTGTTGTTGTTGTTGTTGTTGTTGTTTCCAAATCTCTACTGCCTTTTGAGGAAATGTAAATCTGAGACATGGAAATAAGTGTTTGGGAGAATGGAAAAGAGCTGAATCAGGTAGGCATGAAAACTTTTACATTCTCTATCCTCTTTAGATGTTGAAATAGGCCAGACAGGTTAACTGATGTTTTTTAAAATTGTCTTTTATTTCTGGAAAGATCTGACTTATTCCTAGCTTTTTTCATACCCTTTATTATTAGTGCCTTAAAATAAAGCTGGCCAGGTGCAGTGCCACACACCTGTAATACCAGCATTTTGGAAGGCTGAGGCAGGAGGATCAGTTGAGCCCAGGAAGTTCAAGACCAACTCTGGCAACACAGCGAGACCCTGTCCCTTCAAAAAATAAATAAAAAAATAGGCTGGGCATGGTGGCTCACACCTGTAATCCCAGCACTTTGGGAGGCCAAGGTGGGCAGATCACAAGGTCAGGAGTTTGAGACCAGCCTGGCCAACATGGTGAAACCCCATCTCTACTAAAAATACAAAAAATTAGCTGGACGTGGTGGTGCACACCTGTAGTCCCAGCTACTCAGGAGGCTGAGGCAGGAGAATCGCTTGAACCCGGGAGGCAGAGGTTGCAGTGAGCAGAGATTGCGCCACTGCACTCTGGCCTGGGCGACAGAGCGAGTCTAAAAAATAAAATTAAATAAAATAATGAAAAAAATTAGCTGGGTATGGTGACATATGCCTGTAGCTACTCAGGAGGCTGAGCTGGAAGGATCACTTGAGCCCAGGAGTTTGAGGCTGCAGTGAGTTGTGAGTCCAGCCTGGGTGACAGAGTGAGACACTGTCTCCAAAAATATAATAATAAAAATAAAGCCTGTATCTCAATGGGAAGATTTCTGCTAAGGCAGTTCAACTCACTGGAAAGAACTGCTGCATTAGGTTTCAACTTTAATGCTTTCTGTTACTTCTAGTAAAGGTTAAGTGATTTTTCCATTAGCTGTAGAAGTTTGGAGAGCTATTTACCAAGCCAGATCAATGATTTAAAAATTATTGGAAATTCATCTAAGAATCAAGTCTGAATGCCCAATTCTATTGCGGTTGATTAGGTGTGATATTCTTTAAAGTTCAGGAATATTGGCAGTAAAAAATGAGCAGCTACTTTTCAATACTTTGTCCTTTTTTGGTGGTCTCTGCCTATTTCAAATGTCCTGATCAAAAGATAAATAATTGGCACTGTGCCAAGGTTTGGTTTTCCAACTAAGGTTTCAACTGTGCCAGAAACCTATGTCCTTCACTTTGGTGGATGCTAAATGTTATTCTAAGAATATGCTTTTTCCCAATTCTCCTTTCTGATTTTTATGTATTAGTGGATGCAAAATTGTCTTTCTAGTTGAATGAATAATTTCGGCTAATGCACGTGGAACTTTGCACCCCAGATTCTTCCCATGGTCATTATCAAGTGAAGCCCTCAAAAACATGAGCGAAGAGCCTAGAAATACTCAGGGAGATTTCTCACCCCAACTCAGAAATTTTTTTTTTTTTTTTCAAGACGGCGTCTTGCTCTGTCGCTCAGGCGGGAGTGCAGTGGTGTGATCTCGGCTCACTGCAACCTCCATTTTCCGAGTTCAAGCGATTCTGCCTCAGCCTCCCGAGTAGCTGGGATTATAGGCACACACCACCGCGCCTGGCTAATTTTTGTATTCTTAGTAGAGATGGGGTTTCACCATGTTGGCCAGGTTGGTCTTGAACTCTTGACCTTGTGATCCACCCACCTTGGCTTCCCAAAGTGCTAGGATTACAGGCGTGAGCCACCGCACCTGGCCCAGAAATTCTTTTTTTTTTTTTAAATTATTATTATACTTTAAGTTTTAGGGTACATGTGCACAATGTGCAGGTTAGTTACATATGTATACATGTGCCATGCTCGTGTGCTGCACCCACTAACTCGTCATTTAGCATTAGGTATATCTCCTAATGCTATCCCGCCCCCCTCCCCCCACCCCACAACAGTCCCCAGAGTGTGATGTTCCCCTTACTGTGTCCATGTGTTCTCTTTGTTCAATTCCCACCTATGAGTGAGAACATGCGGTGTTTGGTTCAGAAATTCTTAAAGTAAGAGATCATTCTAATTCCCCTTTCCAAATATTCAGGATTATCTCTGTAACAGCCCAGCAAAATGTTTTTCCTTTGGTTATTTGATAATTCCCTTCTAATCAAGTGACTATTTTAATTCTCAAGGTGCAAATCAGGATAAAATCATGGTGATTTTACTACATAGTTGAATACTTCGTCAAGTATGAGCTTGTATCCTTTTTAAATTTTTCACTGGAGGCCAGGCGCGGTGGCTCACGCTTGTAATCCCAGCACTTTGGGAGGCCGAGGTGGGTGGATCACTTGAGGGTAGGAGTTTGAGACCAGCCTGGCCAACATGGTGAAACCCTGTCTCTACCAAAAATACAAAAAGTAGCTGGGCGTGATGGCACGCACCTGTAGTCCCAGTTACTAGGGAGGCTGAGGCAGAATTGCTTGACCCAGGGAGGCAGACTTTGCAGTGAGCCAAGATTGTGTCATTGCACTCCAGCCTGGGCGAGAAGAGCAAAACTCCGCCTCAAAAAAAAAAAAAAAATTGTCACTGGAGACATGATGGGTGGAGACTCTACATACCTTCTTTGAATACAGAAACGGATGCAAACACATGCAAATTACTTTTTTTTTTTTTTTTGGTGATGCATGAAAAAACTTTGACTTGTGGATTACATTAATTATTAGTAACAGTTAGATTCTGCCGACTTGTATTACAGTAGGGTCTTATTTCCTTAAAGAGAAAAAAAAATACAGTCATGCCCCACTTAATGATGAGGGAGACATTCAGAGAAATGCATCCTTAGGTGATTTTGTCATTGTGTGAACATCACAGAGTGTACTTAACACAAACCTAGATGGCACGGCCTACTACCTACCTAGGCTATATGGTCCAGCCTGTTGCTCCTGGGCTACAAACCTGTACAGCATGTTACTGTACTGAATACTGTAGGCAGTTGTAACACAATGGTAAGTATTTCTGTATCCAAACATTTTAGACATAGAAAAGGTACAGTAAAAATATGGTATAATCTTATGGGACCATCATGGTATATGTGGTCCATCATTGATGGAATCGTTTTTATGCAGCACATGACTGTATATAATCAACAAACAACTCTACTTTCTTGTTTTCGTTTGTTGTGTTTTTGCTTTACACATTTGATAGGGAACATAGAAGTTGTGACCTTTCATTTCAGTGGAAAGCATTGAGCCAGAATATATTTATTCCTAAACCATCGAGCCACACATGCATTGATGAACCCTGAAAGAATCCACAGTAATTGACTAACAGGCAGTACTGAATGAAAGATGTCATATGTGGTGAAAAATATTTAATATATCAGTTTCTTGGGCTCACATACAGCCCTTTAGTTCCAAGTGCTTGGTTAGATTAGAAAATGGGATGAACACAATTTGATGCTGAAGCAGCTGCTGAGCAGCACCCAGGGAGTCTAGGTCATACGCCCTATATTGTTTTCGGCCCACTTATTGTTGAGTTGAAAAGTCTCATATTTGTAGACTAGAGTGTATGTGTTTAGAGGCTCATGTTGTATCTGAGTTTTCTCTGGCAACTAAGATCTCTTTCTAAACGTTCTAGAAAGATACTGGTATCTTACTGGCCCATTATTTAGTAAGTTTTAGAATACATGTACATCAGTGTTTTCAACTGCTTGGTGGACATTTCACTGATGCATAATCAAAGTAGCAGATTATAATCATCAGAGTGATCTGACAAGGAAATTCTGTATTTGCTTCCATAAAGAAAAATAATCAAAACATATATCAGATATAATATATATGCAGTATATCACATAGGAAATTTTATTGTAGGAAATTAGAGAAGGATGCTACTCAATTCATTCTCTAGCAGGAAGAATACAGCTTAAAAATCACTTGGGTCCCTTTAATAAAGAAAAGTGTGATTCTGTGTTGTGTGTTTGGAACTGAAATTGGAGAACACGTGCCAGTCGACTGTGAAATGGTTGCTGGATAAAACCACAGATGTGGTTTTATCCGAGAAATGTGGGACTGAAATTATTTTGATGAGAGGTACATAAGAGAGCTGCAGAAAAGACTGTAGCTTCTGAGGAGGCAGGAGTACCTTGTTAATATCCAAACCACCCCTGAGTTCTAATGTTCCAACTCCACCTAAACGAGGAATTGGAAACTTTAAATGGAATTATCTAATTTAAATTCTTAGTTTTTTCTTTGTCTTTCTCAGCTGATACTTGTAGTTTTGTTTTGTTTTTTAACCACCAAGAACACTTGCAAGTTTGTTACTGAAAACATCACTAAAGGAAAAGAAGAGTTTCAAAATGCTTGAAAAGTAGTATGTGGTTGGGAATTGTTTTTGTTCAAGTCCCTGGAAGTCCTCTTGGCTTAGCTCCCTTGTTCCTGTTCCCACTTCATTTCCTTACTTAACATTCCCCTATTTTGAGCATGTCAATAAGTGCATGATGAATGGCACAGTTGAATGATCATGTTAACTTTAATTGCTTCCTTTGTTGCTGTAAACAGTTTCTTGTTAAGTTTCAGCCAAGTCTGTGACAATCTCACCAAATAAGAATGAAATGGGCGGGGTGTGGTGGCTCACACTTGGAATCCCAGCACTCTGGGAGGCTGTGTTGGGCCGATCGCTTGAGCTCATGAGTTCAAGACCAACCTGGGCAACATGGCAAAACCTTGTCTCTACAAAAAATACAAAAATTAGCCAGGCATGGTGGTGCACACCTGTAGTCCCAGCTACTTGGGAGGCTTAGGTGGGAGGATGGCTTGAGCACGGGAGGCAGAGGTTGCACTAAGCCAAGATCGTGTCACTGCACTCCAGCCCAGGCAATAGAGCCAGACCCTGTCTCAAAAAAACAAAACAAACAAAACATGAATGAATGAAATGGCTCACCTTCCCTATTATGAACTAGAAGAAAGGATGAAGGAAGGTTGGCAGGACCCCAGCCTTACTCTGTAGTGACAACCCAGAGGTACTTTTCCCGGAATGCAGGGTCAAGTTTATGTGTGAAGGGACTCTAGAATAGCTGGTAAAAATGGCTACATGGTAACCATTCTTGACTTAGTCCAGTATTCCCATAATTTGTAATTCCATAAATTTATTCTCAGCTGTCCCCCAGCCATTTCTAATAGAAGGATGTGTACCCCAGTTTTGACAATGTTCTTGAAATCAAGTTAGTGTTACCTGCATTGCATTATAATGGAACTATATGTACATGTTAAAGGGATCCGTTTGATTCCTTTCGGCAAGGAATTGCAAAAATAGTTTTTACCAATACCAGTTAAAATAGGATAGGTTAGACTTTGGGGGCAGGGTGAGACAGTGCAGCCTTTTCACTCTGAAATGGCAAATCAGCTGTACTCTTTGAGTCTACCAGAGATTCCTATTTGAGTGTGAATGGGGTGTGTGTGTGTGTGTGTGTGCTCATTCATCTTCATGCTTTCTTCCATGGTGTTAATTCAAGCTCTCCTAATAAAGGTATCCAAAGAGTACTGAGAAGTGACCATAGGTATTTGGCATGAGTAAATGTAGTTCCTTTTGCCAAAAAAACTCTCAAAAGTTACAACTGGAGTTCTTCGCGATAAAAGGTTGGGGAAATCAGCCATGGCTTTAGCCTTGTTCCCAAGTACACATCTTCTTATCCACAAGGATGAAACTCTGTAGGGCTCACCCTGAGGGCTCATGTGTGGCATTGAGAGGGTAGCAGTGACCAGAACACCACAAGGCCCACAAGATGTTTTGAATGAGGGAACATTTAATGTCATTTGTTAGGAGATAGAAACCAAATAATAAAGGACAAGGACCACGCTCATTCCGTGGAGAAGAGGTGAACTCCCTCTGCTGACTATTTGGAATGGACTGAATGAGGAGGTCTCTCCAGCCAGAAGGAGTATTGAGGTCATCAGGCCTCAGAAAACAATGTACACATAATCTCGGGCTGTGAACAAGAGAAAGGAGGGGGGGAAACATGAAAGTCAATCTTAACAATTTTTGCAATACCTCTTATTTGCAGACCATTGGATTTATGTTATTGCACTCTCGGTGTGATTTATCGTATGTATCTGATAGGTTTTATGAATTGTTTTGAGTTGTAAACTCCTATACCCTTTATTAAAATGGACCTAATTAAGTGATTTATGCTTTGTGCAATTTCTTAAATCAGATCTCTCTAGGATTGAAGGGATCCATAGGTATCTTTCACTTAGTGTGAAGCCTAGTAGTATACTTTTATATTCCTGAAGAGAGACCAGCATTAACATAAAGAGAGAAGTCTTAGGAAAAAATATACCTAAGAATTATTTTTAAAATTCATACTGTGAAGGAGAATCTGCCTGCCTATTTCCTCTCCAAATTTCAGAAAATAACACAGAGTGCTATTTGCCTGAACTTTAATGAGCTTGACTTTGTTATGATTCAGGGAGAACTGGTTACACCTCTGCTGAGTTTGCAGAGGTGACATTTGAAGAAGACCCAGGAATCCAAAGAGTTCTGGTATTATATGCATGAATGAAGCCAAAGTTGCCTACTTCTGAAAATTTAAGACCTAAATATACACCCCACCGAATTCTACCATGTGAAGTTCTTATGTTTTTCCTATTTCAAGTTAACATTAAGCAAAAGCATAGTCTTTTTTATGTGTGCCTCCGCAGTTGCTCTGGGGGAAGCCCTTTTCAGACTGTCCCTGAGCCTTCTGCTAAGGTGTGCCCTGCCTTCCATGTAGGGAACACAGGAGTAGCAAACACAAGCTCCCACAGGTGGACTCTGCATTCACTTTGTGTCTCACTTTTGCCCCTGAGGCTGGTTGGCAGTAGACCAAGGAGGTGCCCTTATATCACCCCTTAACACCCAAGTAGGAGGAACCAGGGTGAGACCCCAGGGGAAAGCCATGAGCAGATGGTTTAGATCTGCTTCTCTAGATTTAAGTCAAAGTTCTTTCCCCCTCTCCTCTTATGTATTTTTCCTTGAGTTCCTCTTTTCTTATATTTGAGTAGTAAGATCTAGAGGGCTTAGCTTAGCATGTCAGTTTACATGGAAGGAGACCAAGTAGTCCCTCAACCTGCTGTTATATGAGCTTAGCCTAGGGGCCCAAAAAGAGACATATTCCCTTCAGAATGCAGCCCAGGTGTGGACATGGATGAAGAATTAATGGGAGAAGCACTTGGGCATATTTGAATGCTCAAGCAGCTAAGCTCAGCAGCAGAGGAGAAACAATCTGTAGAGAAGGAACAGATGAAGGAATAAGAGAGTGAAAAGTAAATGGACAACAAGCACACCTAGCACTCAGTCATAGTTTTTAAATACCATTCTCTAACGAAAAGAGCCAGGGCTCCATGGAAAAATGGCTGATTCTAGGGCTGGAGCAGGAAATATACAAGATGAACCAGGAGCATCTTGTAGTGTAGTGTCAGAAGGTTAAAAAGGGCTTTAAAAAAAAATGGGGGCCAGGTGTGGTGGCTTATGCCTGTAATCCCAGCAGTTCGGGAGGCTGAGGTGGGTGGCCGAGGTGGGTGGATCTCTTGAGGTCAGGAGTTCGAGACCAGCCTGGCCAACATGGTGAAACCCTGTCTCTACTAAAAATACAAAATAGCCAGGCGTGGTGGCGTGCACCTGTGATTCCAGCTTCTCGGAAGGCTGAGGCAGGAGAATCGCTTGAACCCAGGAGGCGAAGGTTGCAGTGAGCCAAGATTGTGCCACTGCATTCCAGCCAATATATATATTGGCCAGGCATGGTGGCTCACTTCTGTAATCCTAGCATAGAGGAGGCCAAGACGGGAGAATCATTTGAGGCTAGGCATTCGAGACCACCCTGGGCAACACAGTGAGACCCCATCACTACCAAAAAAAAAAAAAAAAAAAAAAAAGAGTCACAGGAACACAAGAGCCAACCTGAAAGAACTCCCATGGTCAAAGCTAGAACAAACTGAGCAATAAAATAAACACTGCATTATTAGATGATAACACATAGGATAAACATCCATGAGCCCATACTGATATAAAAAATGATTGAATAAACAGGATAAATGGGGAAGAAAAACAAATCTCTCACACAGAATTTCAATTAATCTATTATTAGATTATATTCCTCCTCACAGGAAGTGGAACTCAAGACTTTCTGTATTGAAACATAGCCACAGTCTTTCATTTATATATTGCCTATGGCTGCTTTTGCTATCCAAGGACAGGGTGGAGTAGTTGCAACAGAGACCATGTGGTCGGCAAAGACAAAAATATTTACCCTATGGCCCTTTACAGAAAACTGATTTGACTCCCGCTGTAATTCTTGCAACCTGCTCCTCTTACCTCCTGCCCCTGATAAGTACATTTTACTCAGCAAGCTGGGGTCCCCTTCCCTGCTAGCGCCCCTCATTAGCAGAATCCCTCCAGGAAGGCTCACCCTGGCTTGCTTCTGCAGTGCCCACTTGGCCCATGGAAAGTTTTGGCATCCTTGTCCCACCAAATATGAGAGTGCAAGCCTGTCTCCTGTCCCTTCTCTCTTTGCTGTGCCTCTTGTGGGCTACTTGGACCCACCTCTCTTCTCTGGAATTCATCCCCAAACTCCTGAGGACACTCCAAGGACCGTCTTACCATATTTTACCCCAGTAATTGGGGAGACTGACCCAAAAGTTTCTGCAGGGCAGGAAGCCCGCAGTCAGGGAGTGAGACCTCACACTCCTCTAATCATAGGCAACCTAGGGCCTTTAAGGATGATTCTCAGTTGGCTTGTCTTACGTAACATGGATGGGTTGGGTGGAGGTGTCACCAATTTTTTTTTTTAACATCTTTCAGGAAGCCTAACCACTTTAAAATGTTAGAGGCCTTTGATATCACCCAGTGTCCTTGACTTGGAGGCTTAAGCCAAAACTCCAAGACAGCAGGAAAGTCCCATTCCATATCCTGTTCCACAGGGCTACCATGCTGGTTAACTCCAGGGAACGATTCACATTGCATCTTGTTTTATTGTGGCCTCTAGAGTTAAACAGGGCACACCCTTCATAGCCAGAAGAGGTAGCCTTCCAGCTACATATACATATACATAGCTACAAACCCGAATGACCAGGTGTTCCCAGGTATTCTCTTAGATCTCAAATCTAGGAACACCTGGCTTTGGAGGTAAAAGGGGAGAAGTAGTTTGATGAAGGAAATCAAGGTTTTGTTGGTTTTTGGGGTAATCATTAGGTAAAAAATAGAAGAGCGCCAGGCGTGATGGCTCACGCCTGTAATCCCAGCACTTTGGGAGGCCGAGGTGGGCGGATCATGAGGTCAGGAGTTCAAGACCAGCCTAGCCAACATGGTGAAACACTGTCTCTACTCAAAATACAAGAATTAGCCGGGTGTGGTGGCACATGCCTGTAATCCCAGCTACTCGGGAGGCTGAGGCAGGAGAATGGCTTGAACCTGGGAGGCGGAGGTTGTGGTGAGCCAAAATCACGCCACTGCACTCCAGCCTGGGCGACAGAGTGAGGCTCCATCCTAAAAACAAACAAACAAACTAGCAGAAAAGCTACAAAGCTTGCAGAGAAATTTTGGGAAATACAAGAGCAGGAACTTTGTTTTTAAAATGTTTATTCCAGGTCTGGCATAGTGGCTCAGGCCTGTAATCCCAGCACTTTGGGAGGCTGATGCAGGAAGATCACTTGAGGAGTTCCGAGAGCCACCTGTATAACATAGTGAGACCCCTGTCTCTACAAAGATAAAGATAAAAAAATAACTGGGCACTGTGGTGTGCACCTCTAGTCCCAGCTACTTAGGAGGCTGAGGTAGAAGGATCACTTGAGCCCAGGAGTTTGAAGCTGTAGTATACCATGGTCACACCACTGCACTCCAGCCTGGAAGACAGAGCAAGACTGTGTCTTAAATAAATAAAAGTTTTTTTCTGGATTATTTAAGAAAGAAGATATTTTTCCCTCTCAATCAACAAACCAAAGACAATGCAGAAGGGGCTGTATGTAATTAGAGTGATAAATGGAAGGTATTATCTTTGTTGTCATTTGCTTAATCCTTTTTTGAGACCTTCACCAACCTCACAGTACAATGTGGCTGTGTCTCTGCTCCCACCTTCTCTGTGGAAAGTCCCATGACTGACATCTCTCTCCATCCATTCCTGGGATCATGTGTGCTTGGAACAGATTCTGTTCTGCTACCATTTACTAATTTGCTTCTTCAACTGCTCTGCTGCCTGCGACCAAATCAGCCCCAGAAGGCTGTTAATAGAACAATTTTAGACAAATTAAATTTAACAGAGCTTAATTGAGCAACGAATGATTCACAAATCAGGCAGCCCCCAGAACCAGAGTAGGTTCAGAGCGACTCCAGGACTGTCACATGGTTAGATACGATTTATGGACAGAAAAAGGAAAGTAATCTATAGAAAATAAAAGTGAGGTACAGAAACAGCTCAATTGGTGACAGCTGGGGATTTACCTTATTTGACCTGGTTTGAACATTTGACTGCCTGTGGTTGACTGAAGTTTGGCTCCTGTGACTGGCTGAGACTGCTTGTTAGAAGAGTCTGTTAAGAAATCAAGTTGGGTTACAGTTCACTGTGTCTAGAGAAACCTAACTTAAAATATGCAAGGGGGCAGCTTTAGGCCAAACATAACAATTTCCCCCTTTTGAACAACCTCTCAATCTGAGAGATTAACCAAAACTTTAGGCATTGATATCATTCTGTCACCATCATACATGGAGTTATTTGGTCTCAAATTTCACTGAGAAATAATAGAACAGTGGGTTTTGTTTTGTTTTTTTGAGATAGAGTCTCGCTCTGTCACCCAGGCTGGATGGAGTGCAGCGGCGAGATCTCGGCTCATTGCAAGCTCCGCCTCCCGGGTTCACGCCATTCTCCTGCCTCAGCCTCCTGAGTAGCTGGGACTACAGGCGCCCGCCACCACGCCCGGCTAATTTTTTGTATTTTTAGTAGAGACAGGGTTTCACCGTGTTAACCAGGATAGTCTTGATCTCCTGACCTAGTGATCCACCCACCTCAGCCTCCCAAAGTGTTGGGATTACAGGCGTGAGCCACTGTGCCTGGCAGAACAGTGGGTTTTGTAAGGTGGGAACAAAGAAACAGAACAATAGAAAGAAAGCTGATTGGGTAACATCAGGTTACTTTTTTGTAAGAGTTACAGCATAGGAGGACTTCCTTGTCATGCTGGAATCTCCTGTTTTCAGGAGAAAAAAAGAAACAGGTCTGTTTTGAGGTCTATCTGCCTCCTACAAGTTTCAGTTTGATTACATGGCATTTAGCGTGAGTGACTCCATTTTAGTTTGGTCTGGTCTGTTGGGGCCTAGTGCAGGAGCTCAGTCCAAAACAATGACCTCCCATAATTTTATTTAACAAGGCCAAGGCACCTATGGTGTAATGTCTTCCTACTTCGCCTGTCCAGATGCGGGCTGGTGCAACCTGCTTCAGACCCTGACATCCAATCAGTAGTTAACTGTGCTCCACAGGTTCCACTGGGGTACAGCATGCCCCTCTCCTTTCACTGGCTAGAAAGCAGCAGGACCCTGGGCTCAGGGCTCACACAGTCTTAGATGTTTTAATGAAACAACTTCCTTCTTTTCCTTTATTTCAAACACTCTCCCTGAGCCTGAGGCAGAGTTCATGGGGGCTGGTCCAGAAGACAGTCTGAGTATCTGGGCTGCTTGACCTTGGATCAAACATATGAATTGACTCTTTCCTCAAGACAGGAATTCTTCCCCAGGATGAATTCTTTCCCAGAAGCGTTCACCATACCTCAGGTAAATATTTCTTTGTTTCATCTGCCACATCAGTCCAGCAGAAATACTCAAATCCATCTCATTTCTAGGAATAACACAGATTAGTCGGCTGACCTCAGGTGTCACTCCTTGTAGAACATCAGGAACGGGTCTAAAAGTGTTATAGGAGAATAAAGCAACAGCATCGTTGTAACTACCTATGTGACAAGCTCAGTTCAAGGCACTTTGAATGCATTTTCTCTAATCACTCAACCATTTTCAGTAGGTATTGTTCCCTGCATTTTACAGATTAGGAAAGTTAGGCTCATCCATTCAACAAGTTTTTTTTGTTTGTTTTTGTGAGACGGAGTCTTGCTCTGTCGCTCAGGCTGGAGTGCAGTAACACGATCTCTGCTCACTGCAACCTCTGCCTCCCGGGTTCAAGCATTCTCCTGCTTCAGCCTCCTGAGTAGCTGGGACGACAGGTGTGTGCCACCACGCCTGGCTAATTTTTTGTATTTTTAGTAGAGACAGGGTTTCACCATGTTAGCCAGGATGGTCTCGATCTCCTGACCTCGTGATCCACCCTCCTCGGCCTCCCAAAGTGCTGGGATTACAGGTGTAAGCCACCACGCCGGGCCTCAAGAAGTATTTATGGAGCACTTACTGAATGACAGGTGCTGTTCTAGGCATATGAGATACATCAGTTATCAATATAAGCAAATATCTCTACCTTTGTGGGGCATACATTCTAGACAGGGGAAACTGATGGAAAAATAATTAGCATAATAATGAAATAAAATATATTTATTAGAAGATGATTAGTTCTACAGAACTTCAGAGAGGTTTCAATTTAGCAAGTATATCTTGAGTATGTCTTAAATGCCAGGCACTAGGAATAAAATCAAGAAGATAAAGGTGGCATGCCTATATGGTGCTTACAGTCAAGTGATGCCATAGAGTAAGGGGCAGAACTAGTAGTTAATGTCACTGCTGACATCCATGTTGGGAAAGATAACCAGAATGAGTGACTGAGGCAAGTATCTCAGTCAATTGAGGTTTATTAAGCCAGCTTCAGGGAGTGTCAGGGAAAAAAACGTGAGCCACAGATGTATCTGTGGCTGTTTTTCCAAAGAGGTTTTCAGGAGGTTTAGTATGTATACTTTTCCTTAAAGGGGAGGAAGGCACGTAGGAAGATGGGCAGGTAGGTGTAAAGGTGAATGGTTACATTCTTAGGAGACTTTAGTTAGTGCCCAGTAAATCTACATTTTTACATAAGATAAGATGAATGTCTGAAGAAAAAAGGGATTAAAGGAAGAATCAATTATGCAAACATCTTTGGGTAGCTGGAGGAATGACTGATCTCATTTGTCTTTGTTCTACACCTGGGAAGATAAGCTTGTAATCAACATTATCAGTGTGGAATGGAACAGACTTTAGTTTTAGGAGCGAGATACACTGGAAACCTAAAGTTACAACTGGCATGTCCTTGTTTATGGGAGGCTGGCAAAGAATTTACTTATGCATGATCTATGGGGAAGTTATTCGGAGATGCCTGAGGCCTTTTACCTTTCCATGCGGGTCTGGCTAACGCATAATGCTAGTGACAGCTATTCATTTGCAAGAGGGGGTTGCATAACTCAGCCTCTTTGGAATAAGGAGTGGAAGTCCTGAAATTTTTTAAATTTTCTGTCACATGTCCTCGTTCTTCAAAATCTTTCAGAGAAAAAACCCTGTAGAAGACACGAGTTTGTGGTTGTAAGTTTCATCTGATTCCAAGTCGCTAGGAAGCCTCATTCCTAGGGGGTCATGTCCTACGGAGATGGGGGAGAAACTAAAGAAGCAATGCCAAATAACAGCAACAAAGGGAAAGTAATCCTGGAACCTGATTCAGGCTACGTAATTGTCTCCTCAATTAAGGCAATTCTTTGGGCAATCATCTCCCTAACTCTTTTAGTTGTACATTGACACATTATAATGTCTGAAGCAGTCTATAGACTAGTTTTTCTAGAGTCTCTGAAGCATCTTCAGATTGCAGTGGCAATCTGACGGATTTTCCTGGATTGTGACTTGAATCAGGTGTTTAAGTGAACCCTTTGCATAGTTCATATTCAATAGGCACAAAGATTGTTTATATATAAATTGCTGTTATTTCTCCCAAAGTTTAAGTTCTCTGGCTTCTGCTTGTAGAGCTTTAAGAAAAGCATAGTTTTAATTTCTCATGATTCATCAGAGGCATGTGAACCAGAGCAACTCCATCGTGAGTAGGGGCTGGGTAAAATAAGGCTGAGACCTACTGGGCTGCATTCCCAGGCATTCTAAGTCACAGGATGAGATAGGATCTCAGCACAAGATACAGGTCATAAAGACCTTGCTGATAAAACAACTTGCAGTAAAGAAGCCGGCCAAAACCCACCAAAACCGAGATGGCGACAAGAGAGACCTCTGGTCATCCTCTCTGCTACACTTCCGCCAGCACCATGACAGTTTACAAATACCATGGCAATGTCAGGAAGTTACCCTATATAGTCTAAAAAGGAGAGGCATGAAGAATCCACCCCTTGTTTAGCATATCATCAATAAATAACTATAAAATTGACAACCAGCAGCCCTTGGGGCTGCTCTGTCTATGAAGTAGCCATTCTTTTATTCCTCTACTTCTTTTTTTTATTTTATTATATTATTATTATCATACTTTAAGTTTTAGGGTACATGTGCACAACGTGCAGGTTTGTTACATATGTATACATGTGCCATGTTGGTGTGCTGCACCCATTAACCCGTCATTTAGCATTAGGTATATTGCCTAATGCTATCCCTCCCCCCTTATTCCTCTACTTTCTTAATAAACTTGCTTCACTTTACGGACTCACCCTGGATTCTTTCGTACGCAAGATCCAAGAACTCTGTCTTAGGGTCTGGATCGGGACCCCTTTCCAGTAACAATTCCAAATCAAGAAAATGGAAGAAAAAGTTGAAAATGTTAGTTTGGAGACTTGCAGCCAGGAAATAAGTCTGAATCCAGTCCAAATTATAGGCAAATAATAAAAACTCAAAAACAATGAATAAGGCTAGAATCTAATAACAGGTGTCAGGCCTCGGAGCCCAAGCTAAGCCATCATATCCCCTATGACCTGCATGTATACATCCAGATGGCCTGAAGTAACTGAAGAATCACAAAAGAAGTGAAAATGGCCTGTTCCTGCCTTAACTGATGACATTACCTTGTGAAATTCCTTCTCCTGGCTCATCCTGGCTCAAAAGCTTTCCCACTGAGCACCTTGTGTCCCCCACCCCTGCCAGCCAGAGAACAACCCCCTTTGACTGTAATTTTCCTTTACCTTCCCAAATCCTATAAAATGGTCCCACCCCATCTCCCTTTGCTGACTCTCTTTTCAGACTCAGCCCGCCTGCACCCAGGTGAAATAAACAGCCTTGTTGCTCACACAAAACCCGTTTGGTGGTCTCTTCACACGGACGCGAATGAAATTTGGTGCTGTGACTCGGATCGGGGGATCTCCCTTGGGAGATAAATCCCATGTCCTCCTGCTCTTTGCTCTGTGAGAAGGATCCACTTATGACCTCAGGTCCTCAGACCAACCAGCCCACAGAACATCTCACCAATTTTAAATCGGGTAAGCGGCCTCTTTTTACTCTCTTCTCCAACCTCTCTCACTATCCCTCAACCTCTTTCTCCTTCAGTCTTTCCCTTCTCTTAATTTCAGTTCCTTCAATCACACTTTGGTCTCTCCCTTCTCTTAATTTCAGTTCCTCTCCTTTTCTGGTAGAGACAGGAGATGCGTTTTATCCGTGAACCCAAAACTCCGGCGCTGGTCACGGACTCGGGAAGACAGTCTTCCCTTGGTGTTTAATCATGTGGGGTTGCCTGCTTGATTATTCACCCACATTTCAGAGGTGTCTGACCACACAGGGATGCCTGCCTTGGTCCTTCAGCCTTAGCGGCAAGCACTGCTTTTCTGGGGGGCAAGCACCCCCCCACCCCTTCTCTCCATGTCTCTATCCCTTTTCCACTTTCCTGGAGGGCAAGCATCCCCCACCTCTTCTCTCCGTGTCTTTACCCCTTTTCCACTTTTCTGGGGGGCAAGCACCCCCCCACTCCTTCTCTCTCTGTCTCTACCCCTTTTCCACTTTCCTGGGGGGCAAGCACCTCCCACCCCTTTTCTGCTTTCCTAAGGGCAAGCGCCCCCCACCCCTTCTCTCCATGTCCCTATCCTCTCTTTTCTCTGGACTTGCCTCCTTCACTATAGGCAACCTTCCACACTCCATTCCTCCTTCTTCTCCCTTAGCCTGTGTTCTCAAGAACTTCAAACCTCTTCAACTCACACCTGACCTAAAACCTAAATGCCTTATTTTCTTCTGCAACACCGCTTGACCCCAATACAAACTTGACAGTGGTTCCAAATAACCAGAAAACAGCACTTTCGATTTTTCCATCCTACAAGATCTAAATAATTCTTGTCATAAAATGGGCAAACGGTCTGAGGTGCCTGATATCCAGGCATTCTTTTACACATCGGTCCCTCCCTAGTCTCTGTTTCTAATGCAACTCGTCCCAAATCTTGCTTCTTTCCCTCCCGCCTGTCCCCTCAGTCCTAACCCCAAGCGTCAATGAGTCTTTCCAATCTTCCTTTTCTACAGACCCATCTGACCTCTCCCCTCCTCCCCAGGCTGCTCCTCGCCAGGCTGAGCTAGGTCCCAATTCTTCCTCAGCCTCCACTCCCCCACCCTGTAATCCTTTTATCACCTCCTCTCCTCACACCCAGTCCAGCTTACAGTTTTGTTCTGCAACTAGCCCTCCCCAACCTGCCCAGAAATTTCCTCTTAGAAAGGTGGCTGGAGCTAAAGGCATAGTCAAGGTTAATGCTCCTTTCCTTTATCTGACCTTTCCCAAATCGGTTAGTGTTTAGGCTCTTTTTCATCAAATATAAAAACCCAGCCCAGTTCATGGCCTGTTTGGCAGCAACCCTTAGACTCTTTACAGCCCTAGACACTGAAGGGTCAGAAGGCTGTTTCATTCTAAATATGCATTTTATCACCCAGTCAGCTCCTGTCATTAGAAATAAAGCTCCAAGAATTAAATTCCGGCCCTCAAACCCCAAAACAGGACTTAATTAACCTCACCTTCAAGGTGTACAATAATAGAGTAGAGGCAGCCAAGTAGCAATGTATTTCTGAGTTGCAATTCCTTGCCTCCACTGTGAGGGAAACCCCAGCCACATCTCCAGCACACAAAAACTTCAAAACGCCTGAACCGCAGCAGCCACGTGTTCCTCCAGGACCTCCTCCCCCAGGAGCTTGCTACAAGTGCTGGAAATCTGGCCACTGGGCCAAGGAATGCCCACAGCCCGTTATTCCTCCTTAGCCATGTCCCATCTGTGTGGGACCCCACTGAAAATCGGACTCTTCAACTCACCTGGCAGCCACTCCCAGAGCCCCTGGAACTCTGGCCCAAGGCTCTCTGACTCCTTCCCGGATCTTCTTGGCTTAGCGGCTGAAGACTGATGCTGCCCAATCACCTTGGAAGCCCCCTAGACCATCATGGATGCCAAGCTTCGGGTAACTCTCACAGTGGAAGGTAAGCCCGTCCCCTTCTTAATCAACACGGAGGCTACCCACTCCACATTACCTTCTTTTCATGGGCCTATTTCCCTTGCCCCCATAACTGTTGTGGGTATTGATGGCCAGGCTTCTAAACCTCTTAAACTCCCCAACTCTGGTGCCAACTTGGACAACATTCTTTTATGCACTCTTTTTTAGTTATCCCCACCTGCCCAGTTCCCTTATTAGGCTGAGACATTTTAACTAAATTATCTGCTTCCCTGACTATTCCTAGGCTACAGCCACACCTCATTGCTGCCTTTTCCCCCAGTTCAAAGCCTCCTTCGTGTCTTCCTTTCGTATCTCCCCACCTTAACCCACAATTATAGGATACCTCTACTCCCTCCATGGCAACCGATCTCAAGCCCTTACCATCCCATTAAAACCTAATCACCCTTACCCCGCTCAACGCCAATATCCCATCCCATAGCACACTTTAAAAGGATTAAAGCCTGTTATCACTTGCCTGTTACAGCATGGCCTTTTAAAGCCTATAAACTCTCCTTACAATTCCCCCATTTTACCTGTCCAAAAACCGGACAAGCCTTACAGGTTAGTTCAGGATGCACACTTTATCAACCAAATTGTTTTGCCTATCCACCCTGTAGTGCCCAACCCTTACACTCTTTTGTCCTCAATACCTTCCTCCACAACTCTCTATTCTATTCTTGATCTTAAAGATGCTTTTTTCACTATTCCCCTGCACCCCTTGTCCCAGCCTCTCTTTGCTTTTACCTAGACTGATCCTGACACCTATCAGTCTCAGCAGCTTACCTGGGCTGTACTGCCACAAGGCTCCAGGGACAGCCCTCATTACTTCAGCCAAGCTCTTTCTCATGATTTACTTTCTTTCCATCCCTCCGCTGCTCACCTTATTCAATATATTGATGACCTTCTACTTTGTAGCCCCTCCTTTGAATCTTCTCAACAAGACATCCTCCTGCTCTTTCAACATTTATTCTCCAAAGGATATCGGGTATCCTTCTCCAAAGCTCAAATTTCTTCTCCATCCGTTACCTACCTTGGCATAATTCTTCATAAAAACACACATGCTCTCCCTGCTGATCGTGTCTGACTGATCTCTCAAACCCTAACACCTTCTACAAAACCACAATTCCTTTCCTTCCTAGGCATGATTGGATACTTTCACCTTTGGATACCTGGTTTTGCCATCCTAACAAAACCATTATATAAACTCACAAAAGGAAACCTAGCTGACCCCATAAATCCTAAATCCTTTCCCCACTCCTCTTTTCATTCCTTGAAGATAGCTTTAGAGACTGCCCCCACGTTAGCTCTCCCTGACTCATCCCAACCCTTTTCATTACACACAGCCAAAGTGCAGGGCTGTGCAGTTGGAATTCTTACACAAGGACCAGGACCATGCCCTATAGCCTTTTTGTCCAAACAACTTGACCTTACTGTTTTAGGCTGGCCATCATGTCTCTGTGCAGTGGCTGCCACCGCCCTAATACTTTTAGAGGCCCTCAAAATCACAAACTATGCTCAACTCACTCTCTACAGTTCTCATAACTTCCAAAATCTATTTTCTTCCTCACACCTGATGCATATACTTTCTGCTGCACTACACTACCTCTCAGCAAGCCAAACTCATTGCCTTAACTCAAGTCCTCACCCTTGCAAAGGAATTATGTGTCAATATTTATACTGACTCTAAATATGCCTTCCATATCCTGCACCACCATGCTGTTACATGAGCTGAAAGAGATTTCCTCACTATGCAAGGGTCCTCCATTATTAATGCCTCTTTAACAAAAACTCTTCTCAAAGCTGCTTTACTTCCAAAGGAGGCTGGAGTCATTCACTGCAAGGGCCATCAAAAGGCATCAGATCCCATTGCTCAGGACAATGCGTATGTTGATAAGGTAGCTTAAAAAGCAGCCATCAAAAGGCATCAGATCCCATTGCTCAGGATGATGCTTATGCTGATAAGGTAGCTAAAAAAGCAGCTAGAGTTCCAACTTCTATCCCTCATGGCAGTTTTTCTCCTTTTCATCTGGCCACTCCCACCTACTCCCCAACTGAAACTTCCACCTATCAATCTTTTCCCACACAAGGCAAATGGTTCTTGGACCAAGGGTCTCCTTCCAGCCTCACAGGCCCATTCTATTCTGTTGTCATTTCATAACCTCTTCCATGTAGGTTACAAGCCGCTAGCCCATCTCTTAGAACCTCTCATTTCCTTTCCATCGTAGAAATCTATCCTCAAGGAAATCACTTCTCAGTGTTCCATCTGCTATTCTACTACTCTTCAGGGATTACTCAGGCCTACATATCAAGCTCGGGGCCACCCAGGACTGGAAAATTGACTTTACTCACATGCCTCAGTGAGGAAACTAAAATACCTCTTGGTCTGGGTAGACACTTTCACTGGGTGGGTAGAGGCCTTTCCCACAGGGTCTGAGAAGGCCACCGCAGTCATTTCTTCCCTTCTGTCAGACATAATTCCTCGGTTTGGCCTTCTCACCTCTATGCAGTCCGATAACGGACTGGCCTTTATTAGTCAAATCACCCAAGCAGTTTTTCAGGCTCTTGGTATTCAGTGAAATCTTTATATCCCTTACCGTCCTCAGTCTTCAGGAAGGGTAGAATGGACTAATGGTCTTTTAAAAACACAACTCACCAAGCTCAGCCACCAACTTAAAAAGGACTGGACAATACTTTTATCACTTGCCTTTCTCAGAATTTGGGCCTGTCCTTGGAATGCTACAGGGTACAGCCCATTTGAGCTCCTGTATAGACGTTCCTTTTTATTAGGCCCCAGTCTCATTCCAGACACCATACCAACTTGGACTGTACCCCAAAAAACTTGTCATCCCTACTATCTTCTGTCTGGTCATACTCATATTCACCATTCTCAACTACACATAAATGCCCTGCTCTTGTTTACAGTGCCGGTTTACACTGTTTCTCCAAGCCATCACAGCTGATATCTCCTGGTGCTATCTCCAAACCGCCACTCTTAACTCCTTCTTAAAGTAAATAAATAATCTTTGCTGGCAGGGCTATGCTGAACCTCCTTGGGCACTCTCTAATTAGATGTACTGGGTCCTCCCAATTCTTAGTCCTTTAATACCTGTTTTTCTCCTTCTCTTATTCCTTTTAGTTTTTTAATTCATGCAAAACCATATCCAGGCCATCACCAATACTTCTATACAACAAATGTTTCTTCTAACAACCCCACAATATCACCCCTTACCACAAAATCTTCCTTCAGCTTAATCTCTCCCACTCTAGATTCCCACGCTGCCCCTAATCCCGCTTGAAGCAGCCCTGAGAAACATCACCCATTCTCTCTCCATACCACCCCCCAAAATTTTCACCGCCCCAACACTTTACCACTATTTTGTTTTATTTTTCTTATTAATATAAAAAGACAGGAATGTCAGACCTCTGAGCCCAAGCTAAGCCATCATATCCCCTGTGACCTGCACATACATCCAGATGGCCTGAAGTAACTGAAGAATCATAAAAGAAGTGAAAATGGCCTGTTCCTGCCTTAACTGATGACATTACCTTGTGAAATTCCTTCTCCTGGCTCATCCTGGATCAAAAGCTCCCACACTGAGCACCTTGTGACCCCTACCCCTGCCAGCTAGAAAACAACCCCCTTTGACTGTAATTTTCCTTTACCTACCCAAATCCTATAAAATGGCCCCACCCCTATCTCCCTTTGCTGACTCTCTTTTCAGACTCAGCCCATCTGCACCCAGGTGAAATAAACAGCCCTGTTGCTCACACAAAACCTGTTGGGTGGTCTCTTCACACGGATGCGAGTGAAACAGGTACACTATAGTTTTCTTCTGAAACGTAATTTTTCTTTTTCTAGTTTCCCATTTTTATCAAGGATAAATCATAGTAGGACCAATTTATTTACAAAATAAGTTTTAGTCTTATTGTACTTGGCCTGATTATTTGCATACAATGCTGTAAGCGTAGTGATTGACCATAGAGGCTCCTTTTAAATTGGCTTTGTGGGAACCATTTCATAAGGAATAGCAGATTTGACTTTTTAAAAGCCTCTTGAGGTTATCCAAGCCAAGGATTTATGTATGCCTGTAGATACCTGTATGAATTGGGGGTGAATTCCACTTTTCTTGAGGTTCCAAAGTAACTTGAGTTTCCTGGGCCTGTCAGAAAGTGACAATCTTTACTTATTACAGGTCAGGAACTTTGTAAAAGAATTGGATAGACATGGTACCAGGCCAGTCTTTCCAAAGGGCTTTTTATTGGCTCTATAAAGTCAATGTCAATTCCTCAAAGCAGTCGGAGTACATCTGAAAAAAATGCTATTCCAGTCAAAGCCTTGATAAAATAACCAGTGTCTCAAATTTTGTCCTGTTACAAAAGAAAACAGATTCTTACTGAATTTATGCAAATAACTATACTGCTATATATTAAGAATACTCACAAATAGGCCGGGTGTGGTGGCTCACACCTGTAATCCCAACACTTTGGGAGACTGAGGCAGGAGGACTGCTTGAGCTCAGGAGTTTGAGAGCAGCCTGGGCAACATAGTGAGACCCTGTCTCTGCAAAAAATAAACAAAATTAGCTGAGTGTGGTGTTGGGCACCTGTAGTCACAGTTACTTGCTTGGGAGGCTGAGGTGGAAGGATCAGTTTAGCCTGGGAAGTTGAGGCTGCAGTGAGCTGAGATTGCACCACTGCAATCCTGCCTGGGCAACAGAGTGAGACCTTGTCTCAAAAAAAAAAAAAAAAAAAAAAAAAAAAAAAGAATCTCACAAATAGTTTCCAAATTCTGGGGAAATTTAGAGAGAAAGAATATGCTTCAAATTTTGATCAGAAAGGTATATTTTACCCAACTTGTTGTAAGCTATAAATAGCTCAACAGAAAAAAGTTTTCTTGACTCTGTAAAAACAAAACAAAAATTATCAGCAATGTTTCAAACAAAAAACAGTCATTAAAAATTACTTCACACACATACAAAAATTACTTTAATATTCTATTGGTTTAGTCCCATTAATTAACTCTTGTTCTTTTTGATGTTGGGTTAGCAATCCTCATGAATACATCAGCTTTTTAATTAGAGTCCTGGAAAGCATTTTCATAGTCCAATGCTATGATCTCCAAAGTTATCGGAAACTTGTATTCAAGAGTATTTGTTAGAGTCCTTTCCATGAATTTCCTTAAAGAAGAAAATTTTGGACTGCAGCTGATTATAAACTACTTTTTGAGAAGAATCAAAATAAAACAACAATTGTCTGTGGATGACAAAACTCTTAGAACAGCCATGGTTAACCTAATGCTAGATGACGAGTTAGTGGGTGCAGCACACCAGCATGGCACATGTATACATATGTAACTAACCTGCACATTGTGCACATGTACCCTAAAACTTAAAGTATTAAAAAAAAAAAAAAAAGAACAGCCATGGTTAAAGACACAATTGACAAGGAAATTTGGTTATTTCTGTGGCACACAACGATGTAACATAATAATCATAATTATTACTGATGTCATATACTAAGACATACCAGAATTACAGGAATCTCACACAATTTTGAAACACACATTAATAACTCATTCATATAAATATAACCCAAAGAAAGTTAAACACCATTTCACATTTGACAATGCTTCCTCTCCCCCACATAGCGTTCTATTCCCTTAGTGCCTTTGTTGATTTACAAATCTTCTCCAGGAGCTCCCTGAGACCAGGAATTGTTTTGTTCATCTTAATATTACTCCACACAGGATTTTGATCATCTGTGAGTAACAGGAAACCTAATTAAACAGTACTGTAGGCAAATATTGACCTAAAAGAAAGAAGCTGAGGCAAAATTAATATAGAGAATTTATTTGGGCCAAGGTTGAGGACTGTAGCCCTGGCCATATTGCAGGTTGCCTTGGAGAGTGCTCTGGGAAAAAAGGAGAGGCTCAACTTTTTAAAGAAAAAGAGACAAATCAGGGGAGAGGAACAATTACAAAAGTTGCTCATCAGGTATTCTCATTTGACTTTTTTTTTTTCTTGAGACAGGGTCTCATGCTGTCACCCAGGCTGGAGTGCAGTGGTGCAATCACGGCTCATTGCAGCCTCAACTTCCCAGGCTCAGGTGATTCTCTCATCTCAGCCTCCCAAATAGCTGGCACTACAGGCATATGCCATGACATCTGGCTAATTTTTTGTGGAGACATGGTTTGTTTGTAGAGACTCCCAAGTGCTGGGATTAGAGGCGTGAGCCACAGCACCCGGCCCTGATACTTTTCTTTTTTAGGCTAGTCAATGGGCCTCATAATTTAAAGGGGCTCACCTTCCTCAGATAACATGTTTTTATTCTGCCAGGGTTAGTGGCTCATGCTTGTAAACCCTCCATGTTTCCCAGCATGGTCTCAAACTCCTGGGCTCAAGCAATTTGCCCACCTTGGCCTCCCAGAGTGTTGGGATTACAGGTGTGAGCCACCATGCTCAGCAGGTATTCTCATTGGTTTACAGAAATAACATTGTTAGTGACTGGCCATGCACTGTTGAACTATAGGGTATATGGCATGTTAACGGCTTCTTGACATTAGTCTAGTGTATACATAGCAAGTGACTTCAAGAAGTTGTTACTTAGCTCAAGGGCGAATGAGATATTACTGCTGCTACATTTTAAATGCCTCTCTGGGCCTGATACTTTTTCTAGTGCAGGCTTGTGGTGCAGGACTGGCAGGCAGCTCTGCTCATGGCCCTGGCATGGGATCCACTAGGCGAAGCCAGCTGGGCTCCTGAGTCAGGTGGGGACTTGGAGAACTTTTATGTCTAGCCAGAGGATTGTATATGTATCAATCAGCACTCTGTGTCTAGCTTGGGGTTTATGGATGCACCAATCAGCACTCTGTATCTAGCTAATCTGGTGGGAACTTGGAGAACTTTTATGTCTGGCTAAAGGATTGTAAATACACCAATCAGCACCCTGTGTCTAGCTCAAGGTTTGTAAATGCACCAATCAGTGCTCTGTGTCTAGCTAACCTAGTGGGGACTTGGAGAACTTTTACTCTAGCTAGAGGATTGTAAATACACCAATCAGCACTCTATGTCTAGCTCAGGGATTGTAAACGCACCAATCAGCACCCTGTCAAAACGGACCAATCAGCTCTCTGTAAAACAAACCAATCAGTACTCTGTAAAATGGACCAATCAGCTCTCTGTAAAATGGGCCAATCAGCAGGATGTGGGTGGGGTCAGATAAGGGAATAAAAGCAGGGTGCCTGAGGCAGCAGTGGCAACCTGCTTGGGTCCCCTTCCATGTTATGAAAGCTTTGTTCTTTTGCTCTTTGTAGTAAATCTTGATGTGGCTCACTCTTTGGGCCCGTGCTGTCTTTATGAACTGTAACACCCATCGCAAAGGTCTGCAGCTTCACTCCTGAAGTCAGTGAGACCACGAACCCACCAGAAGAAACAAACTCCGGACACATCTGACCATCTGAAGGAACAGACTCTGGACACACCATCTTTAAGAACTGTAACACTCACCACAAGGGTCCATGGCTTCATTCTTGAAGTTAGCGAGACCAAGAACCCACCAATTCCGGACACAGTAGCACAGAGGCTGTGGGTGGTTTGACTAGAGCAGGCCCTAAGAATGGTGGGACATAGAAGCCTCGTTTCAGGGGTTTGAGGAGTGGGAAGTGAAAAACTAGAGACTAAGAGTGCAGACCATTTTTTTAAGCCACTTGGTTCTGAAGGGAAGAAAAGAGTGTGGAAGAGGATTTGGGGCAAGGCAGGATTTTTCTTATGATAAGGAATCCATCAGAGAGGGAAAAATTGAAGTCTGAGAAGAACGATTGTTCCAAGGTGGAAGAGCCACATTTTATTTTTGATTGAGGGTCAAAAACAGAGCCTTGGACTGCCTTGCGGTCTAGAATGGGTGTGTGTGGGGGGGTGGGTGGGGGGTTGGATGGGGGAAGATCACTGGGTGGGGGGTTGGATGGGGGAAGATCACTAGTAGTTAAAAGCAAGTACGCAGCATTGGGAATGAACCAAACTCGTAGGAGGCACAGCCCACTCAGTGTGCGGGCCCGGGCGAGCTGCAGGCCTGAAACCCACCCACCCTCTTAGATGTGTCTGTGGGCCATAGAAATTACTAGGGTTGTCTTGGGTGTGGCCTCAACCTGTTCAACAACAGGTGTGCTGTTTCCATTCTGGAAACCAGTCCTCTGTCTTCCAGAACAGTGATTCTCAAATTTTAGCTGGCATCAGAATCCTGGGAAGGGTTTGTTAAAACACTACTAGGCAGGGTGAGGTAACCTAAGAGCTTTTGGAGGCCCAGGTGAGAGGGATCACTTGAGGCCAGCAGAGTTCAAGAGCAGCCCAGGCAACACAGGGAGACCTCTTCTCTACAAAAATACTACTACTACTACTGCTAATAAAAGCCAGGCACCGTGGCTCACACCTGTAATCCCAGTGCTTTGGGAGGCTGAGGCTGGAGGATGAATCACTTGAGCCCAGGAGTTGGTTTTGGTGAGCTATGATCGCACTCCTGCTCTCCAGCCTGGGCAACAGAGATAGACCCTGTCTCTGGAAAAAGAAAAAAAAAAAAAGCAAGTAACAAAGATTTCTAGTCCCCACCTACAGAGATTGTGCCTCAGTAAGTATAAAGTGGGGCCCAGGATTTCTAACATGTTCTAACGTGCATTTCTAACGTGTTCTCCTGCTTTTTTTTGGCCCCTAGTCCGCACTTTGAGAACCGTTGTCCTAGAGAAAACGGAATACTCCAGGAAGGTTCTGGAAGAATAGGTAATGGGCTTTGGCACTCTGCCCTGGAAACTAGTCAAGTCTCATGTTAATCGGAGAAGGGCAGCACTGTACCAGATACATCCTCTGTGCGGGTTGGTCCAAGATGACCAAGTGGCAGCTGACAAGCACAGCTATGAGGAAGGGTTAGACACAGTTCCACATCAGACCCATGGGAAAAGGGCAGGAGAAATGCGAGAACCTTTTAGAAGGAATGCTCCAGGGAGTCTTTGGGGGCAGTCACTGAGCTGGGCCTGGAGGCTGAGTAGGGTCCTAGAGGAGGGAATGGGTCAGGTTTAGGGGCTGGAAACAGCATTCGCAAGGCAGCACCAGCACCAGCTAAAAACCTAGCCAACAGGGAAAACAAAGTACGGAAACACGCATGCGTTCACAGTGCTGCGTGAATTAACCAAGCGTTGGCGCAAACGGGAAAGGTTCCCCGGCCTCTCTTGGTCAGGGTGACGCAGTAGCCTGCAAACCTCGGCGCGTAGGCCACCGCACTTATCCGCAGCAGGACCGCCCGCAGCCGGTAGGGTGGGCTCTTCCCAGTGCCCGCCCAGCTACCGGCCAGCCTGCGGCTGCGCAGATCTTTCGTGGTTCTGTCAGGGAGACCCTTAGGCACTCCGGACTAAGATGGCGGCGACGGCCAGGCGGGGCTGGGGAGCTGCGGCTGTTGCCGCCGGGCTGCGCAGGCGGTAGGTGACGAGCCTGGAGCTCCGAATAGGTGTGCCGCTGGGCTTAGCCAGCGGAGCGGTCGCCGCCTTGCAGACCCTCTCTCGAGGCGGGTGGGTAGTGCATCTGATGGAGCCGGCGGGTCCGCCCTGTCGCCGTAGTTGGGGGTGAGCCCTGAGGCTGTCTGTGCGGGAGCTCGGCGCTTCTGTGGCCTAATCCGGGCGGACTCTCTGGAGCTTCCTCTCAGGCTCAGAGACCCAGTTCTTGAGTCTCTGCGGTACGGAAGCTTGTAGAGACTGGCTGTAGAGCCAGAACGGAGGAGCTGTTTTAAAATCGTGTGCCTCTCCCGCCCCCAGGCCCTCTACCGGGTGCATTCCCTCCTCTTCTAAACGCAGAATCAGAATGTCACACAGAAGGGAAGAAAATACCTTGTCTCGTTTCCTCATTTTCCCAGTAAGGCCCTGAAAGAGGAGGTGACATGTCCAAGGTTACACAGTTTCTAAGTGATGGAATTCCGACGAGAACCAGGACCCCTAGATTCCCTGCACCCACCACCATTAAGCCCACTCTGTTCCCTTGTTTTTTCCGCCTCCCTGAGCCCTACCTTTGAGTTTCACCTTTCAAAGACTTCTGTGAACATTGCTAAGAGGACATTTATGTAGGTGTACCTTAATTTTACGTCTGGAGAAAATGGCCTACGGAGAGTTTGCCCTCTAGAGTATTAGACATTGTAGTGTTAATGGTGCTCTTGAAGTTTAAATGTATATCCTAAAAAGATTTAAGTTGGTAGAATTTTTTGTTAGTTACCTCCTGTGTTTGAGTAGATGTCTTCCTTGAATAATGTAATCCACTCTTACTTTAAAAAAACAAGACTTTAAACCTGTATGTTGGAATGTGCTTCCTCTTTATTCATTCTGCTGCCTTTTCCCTGGGCTGAAGGGACGAGAATATTATTCTTCTAGTGCATTTCCAAATTCCAGAGTATTCACAGATTTAGATACTGAGCTATAGAAAAAGGCATTTTTACCCCAAACCTTGAACTGCACTCAATTAGTAATTATTGGGCACCAATTAAATAATGGTAGCAGCTGCCATTTATTGAGCACTTACTGCATGGCCTGGCACTGGTTTAAGCACTTTACATGGATTCTCTGGATTATTTATGAGGTAGCTGTGAAACTAATCTCATTGTAGAGATGAAGAACTGAGGCCATTGTGCTAGCAGCTAGAAATGAAGATAGTTTCTCCCCTTAATGAGTATGCAGTCTAGCAAGAAAAATATATTAACAAATAATGACAGTCATGAGTGCTGTAATAGATTCATGTAATTTAAAGTGGTGTGCCGGGCGTGGTGGCTCACGCCTGTAATCCCAGCACTTTGAGAGGTCAAGCTGGGCGGATTGGCTGAGGTCAGGAGTTCGAGACCAGTCTGGCCAACATGGTGAAACTAAAAAAAAAAAAAAAAAAGCTGGGCGTGGTGGTGTGTGCCTGTAATCCCAGCGAGTTGGGAGGCTGAGGCAGGGGAATTGCTTGAACCAGGGAGGTGGAGGTTGCAGTGAGCCAAGATCACGCCACTGCACTTCAGCCTGGGTGACAGAGTGAGAAAAGCGAGATTATTTCCATCTCAAAATAAAGTGGTGACAGCTCTTACTGTGATCAACACTGGAGCTAGTGTGGGGAGTGGCAGTCAGGACTTCACAGATTATTTGATTCCCATTCAGTGTTGATTCCATTGTTCTCTTGAATCCTCGGTGCCAATCCTTTTATCTCTCCAATAGCATCTAAGAAACTCTATGGGTTACAGTCCCACAGTATCCCAGTAGTCTTTTGCTTATCAATGGCATATAAAGATTATTGAAGGTAGTAAACAGTTCATCTGTATTTTGTTAATACTTAATTGGTGCCCACTCTTTCTTTTCCACGAGAAGAATTCCAGTTTTGTGAGAGAGAGAAAAAAATGTGGCAGCCGCTGTTGCTTCTTGCCTATTTTAAGCAGAAGATAATTAGATAAATGTGATCTTGTGTATGATCACAAACAATTTTGGCCTTTGGAAAAAATTTTAACAGAAAATTATGACAGTGAAAGACCGTTCTAACTGACCATCATTTTGCCTTTAACCTCTAGACTGCCCATTCCCGGGCTTGGGCCAAGCTAACTTTGGGAGACATTTAGTTTATAGTTTAAATGATAATAGCCCTTTCCCAAAATTAAACCACCTTTATAAAGCTAATGAAAGACCACCAGGTTTGGAGGATGAGAGGAGCCTGAATTCTGCTAAGGTGTAGATGTAAATGATTACCAGCCATTATTCTGGCGGTCCTAAGAGTTGCAACTTCCCCAATTACTCCTGCAGAAAACATCTCTCTTGTAGAACCTAAGATTAGCCTTTTCAGGTTTTTGCATTTCTGACTGGTCCTGTGGCCCCGCCCACAAACGGGCTGAGCACTCAGGAGGATCATTTTCCGCACCCCTATGATTGCATCCCCAACCAGTCAGCAACACCCGTTCCCTGGCCTGCCAGTCTATCCTTGAAAACCCCTAGCCTCAGATCCAGAGAGACTGAGTACTAAAACTCCACTCTCCCTTTCAGCTGGCTCCATGTGAATTAAACTCTTTATTGCAAATCCCCTGTCTTGATGAATTAGCAGTATCTGGACAGTGGGCAAAGTGAACCCATTGGCAATTATAAATGACTCCTGTACTTAAAATTTTTCTATGGCTCCTATGAAGTGGCAGTGGTAATGGATAGCGATGATATTTTCAAGTAAACCGGATTTTAAAGTAAATTGCATTGGGATTTTAAGAATTTTTACTATTAAAGTCTCCTTTTACTTCCTTTTCCAGTAATATTTGCTTTCATTTTCTTCCTTTGTTTTCAGTTTGTCAAAGCCATAAAAAATAGCCAATTAAGTTTTCTCTGTAAGAGTGAAGTAAAGTTAGAGGCCTGGCGCTGTGGCTCACGCCTGTAATCCCAGCACTTTGGGAGGCCGAGGCTAGTGGATCATGAGGTCAGGAGTTCAAGACCAGCCTGGCCAAGATGGTGAAACCCTGTCTCTACTAAAAATACAAAAATTAGCCGGGCATGGTGGTGGGCATCTATAATCCCAGCTACTTGGGAGGCTGAGGCGGAGAATTGCTTGAACCCAGGAGGCGGAGGTTGCAGTGAGCCAAGATCGCACCACTGCACTCCATCCTGGGCGACAGAGCAAGACTCCGTCTCACAAAAAAAAAAAGAAAAAAAAAAGTGAAGTGAAGTTACAACACTGGGTTAATATGTTTCCATCCAAAAAGCATATAAAAGGCAGGGCATGGTGGCTCACGCCTATAATCCCAGCACTTTGGGAGGCCAAAGTGGGAGGATTACTTGAGCCAGGAGCTGGAGATCAGCCTGAGCAACATAGTGGTAATCCATCTCTACCAGAAGTAAAAAAAAAAAAAAAAACTAGCTGGGCATGGTGGCATACAGCTGTAGTGTCACCTACTTGGGAGGCTGAGGTGGGAGAATCACTTGAGCCTAGGATGTTGAGGCTGCAGTGAGCCCTGATCACACCATTGTACTCCAGCATGGGTGACAGAACAAGACCCTGTCTCAAAACAAAACACGAAAAGCGTGATCAAGATCGTTGGCTGTGTAATCCCAGCATTTTGGGAGGCCAAGGCAGGTGGATCACTTTAGGTCAGGAGTTGGAGATCAGCCTGGCCAACGTGGTGAAACCCTGTCTCTACTAAAAATATAAAAATTAGCCGGGTGTGATGGTGTACACCTGTAATCCCAGCTACTAGGGAGGCTGAGGCAAGAGAATCACTTGAACCCAGGAGGTGGAGGTTGCAGTAAGCTGGGATCGCATCACTGCACTCCAGCGTGGGCGACAAAGTGAGACTCAGTCTCAAAAAAAAAAGACGGGCCAGGTGTGGTGTCTCATGCCTGTAATCTCAGCACTTTGGGAGGCCGATACGGGAGGATCACCTGAGGTCAAGAGTTCGAGACCATCCTGGCCAACATGGTGAAACCCTGTCTCTACTAAAAAGTACAAAAATTAGCCAGGCATGGTGGCGGGCACCTGTAATCTCAGCTACTCGGGAGGCTGAGGCAGCAGAATTGCTGGCACCTGGGAGATGGAGGTTGCAGTGAGCCGAGATTGTGCCATTGCACTCCAGCCTGGGCCAACAACAGTGAGACTCCATCTCAAAAACAAAAAGGACAGTCGTATACTTTTTTTTTTTTTTTTTTTGGAGATGGAGTCTTGCTCTTTGGGCCAGGCTGGAGTGCAGTGGCACGATCTCGGCTCACTGCAACCTACGCCTCCTGGGTTCAAGCGATTCCTCTGCCTCAGCCTCCCGAGTAGCTGGGATTACAGGCGCCCACCACCACTCCCAGCTATTTTTTGTATTTTTAGTAGAGATGGAGTTGCACCATGTTGGGCAGGCTCGTCTCGAACTCCTGACCTCAGGTGATCCACCTGCCTTGGCCTCCCAAAGTGCTGGCATTACAGGCGTGAGCCACCACCCCTGGCCCAATAGTATACTTTCTTTTAGATTTTTTGAAGTATTGAAATACTTTTCAAAACAGGTAATATAGGTTATCTTGAGAGAGGGAAACGTAAGGGACAGGAAAGGAGGGAGGCTTTCACTATTTATGCTTTTTTCCCTTACCAGTTTTGAACCATGTGACTCTATTGCCTAATTCTAAATTTTTTAAAAAAATAAAAAAGCTTATAGTTATTTGCTTCCTTCCTGTATAACCAAGAGTCTGGGACTATGGGTTATAAATTACTAATGTAGATACAATTCTGTTTCTTTTTTTTTTTGAGGTAGAGTTTCACTCTTGTTGCCCAGGCTGGAGTGCAATGGCATGATGTTGGCTCACTGCAACCTCTGCCTCCTGGGTTCAAGCAATTCTCCTGCCTCAGCCTCCTGAGTAGCTGGGATTACAGGCATGTGCCACCATGCCCGGCTAATTTTGTATTTTTAGTAGAGATGGGGTTTCTCCATGTTGGTCAGGCTGGTCTTGAACTCCCAACCTCACGTGATCCACCTGCCTCGGCCTCCCAAAATGCTGGGATTACAGGCGTGAGCCACCTCACCCAGCCCAATTCTGTTTCTTATACCTCAATGTTATATTATCCTGTGCACACCCGGTTATCAAGGGTAGGAATTTCCATTTGAGCTCTACCTGATTTTGAATTGTTTGTAGATATTGCTTGCCTAAGTAAGTGGAAATAATGTAGATGGAAGATGAAAAGTCAGTTCTCTAATTATTTCTATTGCGGGTTATGTTTAAATTTTACATAGGTCTTTTTTATACATGAGAAGTAGAAACCAACTTTAAAAGATTAGAGCTCTTAAAATGTCATTCATTATGTGCTTTTAAATGCAGGTTCTGTCATATGTTGAAGAATCCATACACCATTAAGAAACAGCCTCTGCATCAGTTTGTACAAAGACCACTTTTCCCACTACCTGCAGCCTTTTATCACCCAGGTAAAATTTCACCTCTTTTATAGCAGTTGTGTTTCAGAAACTGATGGAACTGTGCTAGGATTTTGTGGATCATAAAAGATGAGAATTTGTATATTTTCTATTTAGAAGCCTATAGATAGAATATAGGAAAAAAAGCTATATTTTTCTTATAGGCTTCTAAGTAGAAAATGTA
The DNA here is from genome assembly GCF_000001405.40 of Homo sapiens. NCBI lineage: Eukaryota > Metazoa > Chordata > Mammalia > Primates > Hominidae > Homo > Homo sapiens. The sequence goes on along the minus strand of NC_000002.12, from coordinate 69,431,729 downwards.
TTTGCAAGGATATTGTCCAATAGATCTATGAAATCTCAGTATGTTGTATAACATATCCCCTGCAACACAAGAGTTGCTCAATAAATGATTTCCAAAATGAAAATACTGTAGAAGTTAAAATCTGACTGGGTGTGGTGGCTCATGCCTGTAATCCCAGTACTTTGAGAGGCTGAGGCAGGTTGATCGCTTGAGCCCAGGAGTTTGAGACCAGCCTGGGCAACACAGCAAAACCCTGTCTCTACAAAAAATACAAAAAATTAGCTGGGCATGGTGGCGCACACGTGTAGTCCCAGCTGCTTGGGAGGCTGAGGTGGGAGAATCCCTTTAGCCCAGGAGTTCAAGCTTGCAGTGAGCCGTGATCACACCACTGTGCTCCAGCCTGGGTGACAAAGTGGGACCCTGTCTCAAAAAGAAGTTTCAAATGGGGATTGTGTTTCAAAGAATTCTATGTATTTAAAGCTACTGCTGTCCTTTTTTTGGATAAGAATACCCTTAAAATTAGTAAATTTCTGGCTTTCATCCAGACCTTAGAACACAGGATTTTGAATGTAGTAAAAAACTACATTCAAAAAAAAGAAAGAAAAGCTTTTTTGTCAAAATTAATTACTATGGTTTTGTTAATAATCTTGATTGTTAACGAGATATATACTTTAATTTTCTTTAATTTGGGAAATAGATATGATTTAAAATAATTTGAAGTGTGATGACTGTAATGTAGAGTTAGGGAAGTTTAAGGGGAGAGGGTATGTGTGTCTGCATGTGTGTATGTATGTAAATGTATACCTATATGTGTTATGGAGCTGTAAGCATATAAATTCAGCCTCTCCTTTCCATTGCTAGCTTGAACACATTCCTGTGGCCATACTCTGGCTGATTCTGGCTAAGGGCGTGAGTTAAATCAGGGTAGACCTTACCCCTTCTGTAGCCAGGGGCCAGAAGAGGAACACTTTCCTGCAGGCTTGCCTGACTGCTTGGATCACAGAATAGCTTAGATATAAATATTGTAAATACTGAGTAACTCAGCTGATTAAACCACTTTAATTGGACTTTTAAACTTTGTAGGACTGAAATATGTGGTCATATAGGCTTTTCAAATAGGAAACCCATTAATTTTAGTCATTGATATTGACTTTAAGCACCACTAATCTGTATTTTGGGGGAGTTTACATCTACCTCCTTAGGTACCTATTAGTACCAAGCATAATAGGAAAAAATAGGCTGGCATGGTGGCTCATGCCTATAATCCCAACACTTTGAGAGGCTGAGGCGGGCAGATCCCTTGAGCCCAAGAAGTTCAAGACCAGCCTCAGCAACATGGTCAAACCCTGTCTTTACAAAAAAATACAAAAATTATCTGGGCTTGGTGGTGCATGCCTGTAGTCCCAGCTACTCAGGAGGCTGAGGTGGGAGAATCACTTGAGCCTAGGAGGTTGAGGCTGCAGTGAGCTGTAATCATGCCACTGCACTTCAGCCTGGGCAGCAGAGTGAGACACTGTCTCAAAAAAAAAAAAAGGAAGAAATATTTTTTATCATTCTGTCCTGTTTCCTGTTGTAAGTCTCATGACATTTTCATGAGCATCTTTCTGGATGATGGACCTGGGAGTCATTTTTGAAATACAAAATTAAACCCAATTGAGATTATAATTGTAATGATTTTGTTAAGTACCTATTCAAATTAGGTGTTTTTTTTTGTTTGTTTTTGAGGCAGGGTCTCACTATGTTGCCCAGGCTAAAGTGCAGTGATGTGATCTTGGCTCACTGTAACCTCCGCCTCCTGGGCTCCAGCCATCCTCCCACCTCAGTCTCCCAAGTAGCTGGTACTACAGGTGCGTACCAACACACCCAGCTAATTTTCGTATTTTTTGTAGAGACGAGGTTTCACTACATTACCTAGGCTGGTCTTGAACTCCAGAGCTCAAGTAACCTGCCTGGCTCAGCCTCCCAAAGTGCTGGGATTATAGGCGTGAGCCACCGTGCCCAGCCTGAATTAGTTTTTTAGTAATAGCTTTATTTATTGTCAACAGTAAAAAGTTCTGTGATGATGTCATTCATTTTCATACTTTCTACTTTAGATAGTATAGAGTATATGCTCTTAAGTGACTTTTTATTTTGCATTTGTAGTTTTTACCCTCAAGGATTTCTAAAAATTTTGCTTTCTGCAGGTGTAGTTTTTCTCAAATTGATTGAGTAGAATAAAGCCAGATTTTTTTTTTTTGTCTTGGCTCACTGCATTTTCTACTGCCTGGGCTCAAGCAGTCCTCTTGCCTTAGCCTCCTATGTAGCTGGAATTATAGGCACATGCCACCACAGCTGACCAATTTTTGTATTTTTTTGTAGAGACAGGATCTCTGTTGCCCAGGCTGGTCTCGAACTTCTGCCCTCAAGTGATCCTCCTGCCTTGGCCTCCCAAAGTGCTGGGATTATAGGTGTGAGCTGATGCACCCAGTTGAAGCCAGATTTAATTTTTCAAATATTGGTAGAGTACTGTGTGCAGATTTTGGTTAGCAATAAATTATTAATACAAGCTGCAAGAAATGATTGGTTCAGAGCCAGAGTTAGAAGATTATTTACAGAAAGTGTTGGCAGCCCTTTCTTTAATGTGTCATTGAAAAATCATTCCCTTATAACACAGATTTTCAGAAGAATGTCTTACTAGAAATATACATATTTTAAATGAAGTACTTGGACATTGCGGCTATTTTTTCATTTTTTAGGAATTGTCTGGTTGTCTAATTAGAAAAAGGATTTAAACAAAATGTATGGGAGTTCACTTTCAATTTTTTTCTTTATCCATGAAATGGTTTAACTTCAGCTAGCTGGAACTGCATGGCAAAGTACAAAAATGGCTCTCAGTTGTCAAATTAGAACTTTTTCTGTAATGACTAAGAAAAGCATTTTTGTACCAACCATATGTTTTGCCAAATTTAAACTCTTTCAAATTTAAAATAAAACTGTTGCTTTTTGATATTCTATTCTCTCTCCTAAAATAGGTGATGTGAAAATTAGGACAGGAAGATTGATCTTAAATGTATTTTCCTATTATGCCTGGCAATGTTAGATAAGGATTAGCAATATGTACGGTGGCTAAGAAAGTCAGCACCTAGAAAATTGTCCAGCTTTGAATCCTGGCTCTGTCACTTAGTAGCTGAGTGACCTTTAGTCTCCTTATTATAAAATAAGATAAAAATAGTAAGTATTGAAAGTACTCATTGAAAGTATGTAAGGATTAAATGATATAATACATGTAAAGTGCTTAGCACCCTGCCCAGTGCATGATAGGCACTGAATAATTTTTTTTTTTTTGAGACAGAGTCTCACTATGTCTCGCAGGCTGGAGTGCGTGGTGGCTGGATCTTGGCTCACTGCAACCTCCCTCTCCTGGGTTCAAGCAATTCTCCTGCATCAGCCTTCTAGGTAGCTGGGATTACAGGCGCACATCACCACACCTGGCTAATTTTTGTATTTTTAGTAGACACAGGGTTTTACCATGTTGACCAGGCTGTTCTCGAACTCCTGACCTCAGGTGATCCGCCTGCCTTGGCCTCCCAAAGTGCTGGGGATTATAGGCATAACCCACTGCGCCCGGCCAGGCACTGAATAAATTTTAATTGTTATATAGTATTGTCAGTCTATTTAAATATACTGCTGTAAGATGGAGGATTTCTTTTTACTCAGAAGGTTCATTTTCTTTTTTCTTTTTTCTTTTTGAGACAGAGTCTTGCTCTGTTGCCCAGGCTGGACTGTAATGGCGCAATCTTGGTTCACTGCAGCCTCCACCTCCCAGGTTCAAGTGATTGTCCTGCCTCAGCCTCCTAAGTAGCTGGGATTACAGGAGCGCACTACCACGCCTGGCTAATTTTTGTATTTTTACAAATACCTCTACAAAATAACCCTACCTCTACAAAACCCCTGTAGAGACGGGGTTTCACCATGTTGGCCAGGCTGGTCCTGAACTCCTGACCTCAGGTGATCTGCCCACCTCGGCCTTCCAAAGTGCTGGGATTACAGGTGTGAGCCACCACACCTGGCCTTTTTTTTTTTTTTTTTTTTGAGACTGAGTGTCACTCTGTCACCCAGGCTGGAGTGCAGTGGCACATTCTTGGCTCACTGCAAGCTCCGCCTCCCATGTTCAAGTGATTCTCCTGCCTCAGCCTCCCAAGTAGCTGGGACTACGGACGCACACTACCACGCCTGGCTGACGTTTGTGTTTATAGTAGAGATGGGTTTTCACCATGTTGGCTAGGCTGGTTTCAAACTCCTGACCTTGTGATCCACCTGCCTTTACCTCCCAAAGTGCTGAGATTACAGGCGTGAGCCACCATGCCTGGCCTTCTATTTTTTTTTGAGATGGAGTTTTGCTCTTTTTGCCCAGGCTGGAGTGCAATGGTGCGATCCCAGTTAACTGCAACCTCTGCCTCCCAGGTTCAAGTGATTCTCCTGCCTCAGCCTCCTGAGTAGCTGGGATTACAGGCGCCTGCCACCACGCCCGGTTAATTTTGTATTTTTAGTAGAGACGGGGTTTCACCATGTTGGCCAGGCTGGTCAGGAACTCCTGACCTCAGGTGATCCACCCGCTTTGGCCTCCCAAAGTGCTAGGATTATAGGCGTGAGCCACCACGCCTGGCCAGAAAATTCATTTTCTTTTCTTTCTTTCTTTCTTTTTTTTTTTTGAGACCTAGTCTCTCTCTATTGCCCAGGCTGGAGTGCAATGGCAGGATCTCAGCTCACTGCAACCCGGGTTCAATCGATTCTCCTGCCTCAGCTTCCTGAGTAGCTGGGATTACAGGCAGATACCACCACGTCTGGCTAATTTTTGTATTTTTTTAGTAGAGACGGGGTTTCACCATGTTGGCCAGGCTGGTCTCAAACTCCTGACCTCGTGATCCGCCCGCCTCGGCCTCCCAAAGTGCTGGGATTCCAGGCGTGAGCCACTGCCCCCTTCATTATGATTATTCATAATGAATAATCAGATCTGTTTAATAGTTTTAAAACTATTAAAATGCCAGTGCCGTCCTTTCGTCCTGCAAGCTGTTGTCATAATAGCAAGGTAGGAAATTAAAGATTGTGTTATCTCTTTATTGCTTTAGTGAATCCATTCTCAATCTAATCATGGTCCTAGAAAAAAGATATTATAAGAAAAGAGTTGGCGGGCACAGTGGCTCATGCCTGTAATCCCAGCATTTTGGGAGGCCAAGGCAGGCGGATCACCTGAGGTCAGGAGTTCGAGATTAGCCTGGCCAACATGGTGAAACCTCATCTCTACTAAAAATACAAAAATTAGCTGGGCTTGGTGGTATATGCTGGTAATCTCAGCTACTCAGGAGGCTGAGGCAGGAGAATTGCTTGAACCTGGAAGGCAGAGTTTGCAGTGAGCCGAGATCATGCCACTGCACTCCAGCTTGGGCGACAGAGCGAGACTCAATCTCAAAAAAAGAAGAGTCTGTAAAGATGTCTTTTAGGCTAGGCACAGTGGCTCACGCCTTTAATCCTAGCACTTTGGGAGGCCGAGGCGGATGGATCGCCTGAGGCCAGGAGTTCAAGACCAGCCTGGCCAACATGATGAAACCCCTTCTCTACAAAAAATCAAAAATTAGCTGGGTGTGGTGGTGCACACCTGTAGTTCCAGCCACTTGGGAAGCTGAGGCATGAGAATCGCTTGAATCCAGAAAGCAGAGGTTGTAGTGAGCCAAGATTGTGCCACTGCACTCTAGCTTGGGTACAGTGTGAGTCCTTGTCTTGAAACAAACAAAATAGATATCTTTTAAATATTCCAGGAAGTAATTTGCATAGATTCTTGCTTATGTTGTATTTTGTTATGTTATTTACTGTACCATTAGGCAACTTAATTAATATCTCTAAGCCTCCGTGTCTTCATTTGTAAAATGGGAGTAAGAGTTCCTTCTTTACAGGGTTGTTAAAGGCATAAATACATGTAAAGCACCTGGGCCAGGCATGGTGGCTCATGCCTGTAATCCCAACACTTTGGGAGGCTGAGGTAGGTGGATCACTCGAGGCAAGGAGTTTGAGATCAGCCTGGCCAACATGGTGAAACCCAGTTTAAAAAAAAAAAAATTAGGCCGGGCACAGTGGCTTACACCTGTAATCCCACCACTTTGGGAGGCTGAGGTGGGTGGATCACGTGAGGTCAGGAGTTTGAGACCAGCTGGGCCAACATGGTGAAACCCTGTCTCTACTAAAAATACAAAAATTAGCCGGGCATGGTGGTGCATGCCTATAATCCCAGCTACTCAGGAGGCTGAGGCAGGAGAATCACTTGAACTTAGGGGGCAGAGGTTGCAGTGAGCCACGATTGTGCCACTTCACTCTAGCCTGGGGGAAAGAGCGAAACTCCATCTCAAAAAAAAAAAAAATTAAAAATAAATAAATAAAGCACTTGGCCCCGGAGCTGGACATGATGGCTTACACCTGTAATCCCAGCACTTTACTTTGGGAGGCCAAGGTGGAAGGCTCACTTGAGGCCAGGTGTTTGAGACCAGCTTGAGCAACATTGGGAGATTCCACCTCCACAGATTTTTTTTAAAAAAAGCCTTTGGCTGGGCGCGGTGGCTCACACCTGTAATCCCAGCACTTTGTGAGGCCGAGGCGGGCAGATCATGAGGTCAGGAGATCAAAACCATCCTGGGTAACACAGTGAAACCCCGTCTCTACTAAAAATACAGAAAAAATTAGCCGGGCATGGCAGCGGGTGCCTGTAGTCCTAGCTACTCGGGAGGCTGAGGCAGGAGAATGGCATGAACCTGGGAGGTGGAGCTTGTAGTGAGCAGAGATGGCGCCACTGCACTCCAGCCTGGGCGACAGAGGGAGACTCCGCCTCAAAAAAAAAAAAAAAAGCGTTTGACCCTGTATTTGGCATATAATAAGCACACAATAACTTTATTATTACTATTATAAATTGCTAACTTTGTCTTTAAAATAATGGTGGCACTTTAGAAAGAAGAGAATGTAGCATTTTAGTGTATTAATGTCAGCAATAAGTGATCTGTGATTATGATAGCCATTGGTACAAAGTCACCAAATAGACTATATATAGGACTCCTGAATTATGAATATGTATAAGACTTAAGTGTTTACTATTTCTGGAATCTGTTTCATAACACAACTATTTAAATAATCAGTGTATTGGCTGGGCACAGTGCTCACACTCTAATCCCAACAGTTTGGAAGGCTGAGGTGGGAGGATCATTTGAGTCCAGGAATTTGGGACCAGTCTGGGCAATAGCGTGAGACCCTGTCTCTGCAAAAAAATACAAATATTAACTAGGTCTGATGGTGCACGCCTGTAGTCCCAGATACTTTTGAGGCTTAAATAGGAGGATTGCCTGAGCCCTGGAATTTGAGGTCGTAGTGAACCGTGATTGTGCCACTGCACTCCAGCCTGGGCAACAGAGCAAGACCTTGTCTCAAAAAAAACAAAAACAAAAACAAAAAACCCAAAAACCAATAAACCAGAGTGTTAGTAGAAAACTATATGCACTTAAATATATTGAGATATATATATATATATATATATTTTTTTTTTTTTTTTTTTTTTTTTTTTTGAGACAGAGTCTCACTTTGTCACCAGGCTGGAGTGCAGTGGTGCAATCTCGGCTCACTGCAACCTCCGCCTCGCAGGTTCAAGCAATTCTCTGCCTCAGTCACCCAAGTAGCTGGGATTACAGGCACCCGCCACCACGCCTGGCTAATTTTTGTATTTTTAGTAGAGACGAGGCTTCACCATCTTGGCCAGGCTGGTCTTGAACTCCTGACCTCGTAATCCACCCGCCTCGGCCTCCCTAAGTGCTGGGATTACAGGTGTGAGCCACTGCGCCCGGCTCTATGGTGATATATTTCTTTCTTATCCTTATAAATGCTTTGTCAGGGCAATAAAGCCTTGGGTTTTTCCCCAGTTTTTCTTACTTCTTCTGATTCTCTGCAAATGAGCACTTCATAGTCCATAAACTTGTTAACTGTTTTTTCTAGAATAACATTTTCTTCTTTTTCTTTTTTAGTGAGATACATGTTTATTCAAACACAAGATACCCCAAATCCAAACAGCTTAAAGTTTATACCAGGAAAACCAGTTCTTGAGACAAGGACCATGGATTTTCCCACCCCAGCTGCAGCATTTCGCTCCCCTCTGGCTAGGTATATTACTGTTTTCATTTGCTTTTACCAAGAAACATAAATAACTAACTGACTTTGGGGTTAAGACAACTCTGTTTAACTATTGCATTTCTATGTGCACTGCATTTTTTTTTAAGTGTAGAAAATAATTTCTTTTCAGATGAGAGATTAAAAAAAAAATAAGGCCTGTTGCAGTGCCTCACACCTGTAATCCTAACACTTTGGAAGGCTGAAGTGGGAGGATTGCTTGAGTCCAGGAGTTTGAGACCAGCCTGGGCAACATAGAGAGACTCCATCTCTACCACACACACATACACACACACACACACACACACACACACACACACACACACACACACTCACACAGAGAGCCCATCTCTACCCGCCCCCCCCCACACACACACACAGCCCATCTCACCACACACACACACACATACACACACACACACACACACAAATTTAGCTGAGTGTGATGGTGTGTACCTCTGGTCTCAGCTACTCAGAAGGCTGAGATGGGAAGATCGCTTGAGCCTGGGAGGTTGAGGCTGCAGTGAGCCATGATGGTGCCACTGCACTCCAGCCTGGGCAACAGAGTGAGACCCTGTCTCAAAAAAACCCAAAAATGTTGAGGAGGCTGAGGAGGTGGGGATCACTTGAGCTCAGGAGTTGGAGACCAGCCTGGGCAACATGGTGAAACCCTGTCTACAAAAAATACAAAAATTAGCCAAGTGTGGTGGTATGTGTCTGTATTCCCAGCTACTAGGGAGGCTGAGGTGGGAGGATCACTTAAACCCAGGAGGTTAAGGAAACTATGAGCTGTGATGCCATGATTGTGCCATTGCATTCCAGCCTAGGCGAGCGAGTGAGACCCTGCCTCAAAAAAGAAAAGAAAAATGAGAGTTGATATTAAAAAAATTTTCTCCTGTGATATATTTGAGAGATCTATAGCATGAATAAATAAAAACTTATATTTTTACTTAAGAAAAAATATTCATCAAATTGATAAATATGGTAAATTTCCATTTCAGATCTTAAAAAATCTGATTTTTAAGAATAATGAGAACTTGCTTATTTTATTCATAAGGGTAGTTGAATCTGTAGTTCTTTCAAGATGGAATAATTTCTAAAATACTCTATTCAGAACTATAAATGAAAACTAGTCAGTGGGGACAGTTTTAAAATTCACCAGATAAAGGCATGTTTAAACCAGTAGTCCCCCCTTATCTGTGGTTTCACTTTCCCTGGTTTCAGTTACCCAAGATCAGCCATAGTCTAAAAATATTAAATGGAAAATTCCAGAAATAAACAATTCATCAGTTTTAAATTGTGCTGCTTTTCTGAGTAGCATGGTGAAATCTTGCTCTGTCCTCCCCAGGGCATAAATTATCCCTTTTCTAGTGTATCCATGTCATATACCCTGTCTGCCTGTGCCCTCCCCTCTGCTGAACCCCCCACCACCCTCGCTGCATCATTGATCACTTAGAAGCCATCTCTTAAAGTAGTGATGCTGGCATATTGCTGGCATATTGTTATAATTGTTCTATTTTATTATCAGTTGTTAATCTCTTACTGTGCCTAATTTATAAATTAAACTTTATCATAGGTATATATGTATAGGAAAAAAACATAATACTTGCAGGGTTCAATACTATGTGTAGTTTCAGGGATCCACTGGGGGCATTGGAATGGATCCCCTGAGGATAAGGGGGGACTACTGTATGTTAGAGATGATAAAGAACAGGGCCAGGTGCGGTGGCTCATCCCTGTAATCCCAGCACTTTGGGAGGCCGAGGCGGGCGGATCATGTCAGGAGATCGAGAGCATCCTGGCTAACAGTGAAACCCCATCTCTACTAAAAATACAAAAAATTAGCCGGATGTGGTGGCGGGCGCCTGTAGTCCTAGCCACTCGGGAGGCTGAGGCAGGAGAATGGCATGAACCCGGGAGGCAGAGCTTGCAGTGAGCCGAGATAGCGCCACTGCATTCCAGCCTGGGCGACAGAGCGAGACTGTCTCAAAAAAAAAAAAAAAAAAAAAAAAAGCACAAATGATAAAATTGTTGGGATGAACCTCTTTTTAACTGATAGAGAAGTTAATAATAAAGAATATTAGTCAGTAGAGTCAGTCAGCATCAGTTGAAATTTTGGGGAACCGAAGCCTCAATCTGATTGCCAGGGATACTCGGAAAACAGAGCTCAGGTAACTATTTCTATACGTACAGCCATTTTATATGTCTCGTTTAAGGAACCTAGGGATTTGCTAAGCTCTGGAATCGTTTTTAAAATTTATAATTAATAGGTACTTTTTTTTTCTTAAACATATCACTTCTCAGAATATACCTTAGAGTGTTTGTTTTTCATATTTTATTTTTAACTTTTTATTTATTTTTTGAGATAAGGTTTCACTTTTGTTGCCCAGGCTGGAGTGTCTGGAGTGTGATGGCGTGATCTTGGCTCACTGCAACCTCCACCTCCTGGGTTCAAGCTATTCTCCTGCCTTAGCCTCCCTAGTAATTGGGACTATAGGCACATGCCACCTCACCTGGCTAAATTCGGTATTTTTTGTAGAGACTAGGTCTCATCATGTTGCCCAGGCTGGTCTCAGACTCCTGAGCTCAAGTGTTCTGTCCTTCTCGGCTTCCAAAGTACTGGGATTACAGGCTGTTTTTCGTACTTTTTTGATATAAGTCACAGTAAAAAGTGTTTTACATTATGTGTGTGTATGCGTGAGATACAAATGTTTGATGGGATAGTTTTCACTATTTTTTCACCCTTACAATAGATAATAGATTCTTAAATTTCCTTTCTTCATCTCTTTTTGTTGTTCTGTTTTATTTTATTACATAAAACCCTGTCACTACATACATGATTCCACAACTCACTACTGGGTTTTAAAAACCCTACCCTAGAAGTTACTTGCACATGTGCCCAAGATACGTGCAGGGATGTATTTACTGTCATAGACATCTGAGACATACAAGTGAAGAAAGCAACTTGCAGAACAGTGAGTCCAATATGATACTATGTATATAAAAGCAAAAACCACAGAACAACAAATGCACTGACAAAAAGATCTGGAAGAATACACACGAAACTGATAACAGGATTTGGTAGGGGTAGTCAAGGGGCATTTAAATTTTATTGTTTGAAACATTTACATCAAGAATGAGTTCATATTTTGTATTAAAAAAGTAAAAGTAAAAAAGCCCCAATTAATTCAGTTATAGATTAGTTAGAGATTATTTCTGTCAGATGTTCAGTTGGCAAAATCTCTTTTCAAGTTAGTCTTTTGAAAATAGTCTGTTTAGGCTGGGTGTGGTGGCTCATGCCTGTAATCCCAGCACTTTGGGAGGTGGGTGGATCACCTGAGGTCAGGAGTTGAGACCAGCCTGGGCAACATGGTGAAACCCCATCTCTACTAAAATACAAAAATTAGCTGGGCGTGGTGGTGGGCGCCTGTAATCCCAGCTACTTGGGAGGCTGAGGCAGGAAAATTGCTTGAACCCAGGAGGCGGAGGTTGCAATGAGCCAAGATCTCACCACTGCACTCCAGCCTGGGGGACAGAGGGTGACTCCGTCTCAAAAGAGAAAAAAAAAAAAATAGTCTGTTTAGTGCTCAGTACAGTGCCTGGCACTTAGTAGGTGTCAAATATTGGTTGAATGAATGATTGATAGTATAGATATAGCAGTCTATTCATTCACCAGGTGATGGACATTTCCATATTTTTCTGTATGTGTGGCTATTTTAAATGAAGCTGCTATGAAGATTTATGTACAAGTCTTTGTGGAGCACGAGTTTTTATTTCTTTTGGGTAAATAACTAGGAGTGGGATTGCTAAATCGTAGAGTAGGAATATAAAACAAAATTGGCCATGAGTTGATCATTGTTAAAGCTGCAAAGGATATGTGGAGAATTTTTTACTTTTCTCTACTTTTGTGTATGTTTAAACTTTTCCATAATCAAGCATTTTAATATCTCTTATTTTTTCTTTTTTTGCAGGCAGTTATTTAGGATTGAAGGAGTAAAAAGTGTCTTCTTTGGACCAGATTTCATCACTGTCACAAAGGTAAACATAGGATTATATAAAATAAGACTTGAAATACTCTTCATTTTTTTCTGAGTCCAATGCCTCTCTCTCCAACATTTCCATTCTTTCTGTTCTTTAATTTTTATATTTTATTTTTGAGACAGGGTCTTACTCTCTTGTCCTCTAAATGTCACAAGAATCAAGCGAAATATGCTATGTTTTTCTTTTTCTTTTCTTTTTCTTTTTTTTGAGATGAAGTCTTGCTCTTGTCCCCCAGGCTGGAGTGTGATGGTGCGATCTTGGCTCACTGCCACCTCTGCCTCCCAGGTCCAAGTGATTCTCCTGCCTCGGCGCCCCCCCCCGCCACCCTGAGTAGCTGGGATTGCAGGCGCCTGCCACCATGCCCAGCTAATTTTTATATTTTTAGTAGAGACAGGGTTTCGCCATGTTGGCCAGGCTGGTCTAGAACTCCCGACCTCAGGTGATCCACCCGCCTCGGCCTCCAAATTGCTGGGATTACAGGCGTGAGCCACCACGCCTATAAAAAATATGCTATGTTTTTCAACAGTCAAGGCAGTATCTGCTAGAAAGGGCTGTTCCATTTTTGATGTCTACTAGATTAATGGGACATGAACTATTTAAATTTGAACTATGTATCCTTTTAAATCTGTTAATTGACATATATCCACGGAACTTAAATCACTTGCCTGATAGTGTGTGAAAATCAAAAATATTTATTAAACTCCCCTTAAGCAAATTGAAAGGATTAGTCTGAGCTCTTTATGTCCTTAAAAGTGGACATACTGGGGGCCGGGTGTGGTGGCTCACGCCTGTAATCCCAGCACTTTGGGAGGCCGAGGTGGGCAGATCATGAGGTCAGGAGATCAAAACCATTCTGGCTAACATGGTGAAACCCCGTCTCTACTAAAAATACAAAAAAAAAGTAGCCGGGCATGGTGGCGGGCGCCTGTAGCCCCAGCTACTCAGGAGGCTGAAGCAGGAGAATGGCGTGAACCCGGGAGGCGGAGCTTGCAGTGAGCGGAGATCGGGCCACTGCACTCCAGCCTGGGCGACAGAGCGAGACTGCATCTCAAAAAAGAAAAAAAGGGGACATACTGGGTTAGTGACATGTTAAATCTAGTCATCTAGTCCAGTATTCTCTTGCGGCTATTTATTTAGAGACAAAGTCTCACTCCACACCCAGGTCAGAGTGCAGTGGCATGATCTCAGCTCACTGCAGCCTAAGCCTCTTGAGCTTAAGCAGTCATCTCACCTCAGCCTCCCTAGTAGCTGGGACTATACGTGCATACCACCATGTCCAACTAATTTTTGTATTTTTTGTAGAGATAGGGTTTCGCCATGTTTTCCAGGCTGGTCTCAAATTTCTGAGCTCAAACAATCTGCTCACCTCGGCCTCCCAAAGTGCTGGGATTACCGGTGTGAACCACCACGTCCAGCCCCCCATTCTTCAGTTTTCTTTCTTCCATATTTTTTAAGGAGAAGAAGGGATGAACATTTATTTAATATATTCAATGTCGGATATGGCCCTAGTGCTTTACATATGTTATCTAATTCTTACAACTAGTTATTTTATAAGTGGGAAATTATATATTTATTTTTTAAAGTTATTTAGTTCTTTTACGTATAGCCTATGCTATATAAAAATTTTTATAGGTAAAAATGTGATTATATCTTAAAGGGTTTTGGTTTTTTTTTTTTTCCTATTTTTCTTGATTAGATTTAGTAAGTCATCTTTTAGCTCTCTTACTTTCATTATTTAGTTACCCTATTTGAAATTGCCCTAGCTCTACAATTTTTTCTTAAGTGAAATGACATAACCAATAGATAATATCCCAAGTTAGGGTATATGTTGATACACATATATGTATGTGTGTGTGTATATCTATCTATCTACACATACATATAGATGGGATCTTGCTCTGTTTCCCCAGGCTGGAATACAGTAGTGCGATCATGGGTCACTGCAACCACTAACTCCCAGGCTCAAGCGATCCTGCTGTCTCAGCTTCCCGAGTAGCTGGGACTACAGGTGCATGCCACTATGCCCAGCTAATTTTTTTTTTATTTTTTTTTATTGTAGAGACAGTGTCCTTCTATGTTGCCCAGGCTGGTCTCAAACTCCTGGGCTCATGCAATCCTTCTGTCTCGGCCTCCCAAAATGTTGGGATTACAGGTGTGAGCCACCACGCCTGGCCCACGTTGGTATTTAATAGACGGAATACTGGATTTATTTTGTTTTCTTCCAGTAATGTTTCTCATCATGGACTATCACATTTTACTGAATGTCTTCAGCAATCGCCTGTTTCTATTTCTGATTTCCAGTTGATAATTAGACTTCTTTATGCATCATTTGTGTTATTTTTTTCTAAATATATATGTATATTTGCAGCTTATATGCTGCCCTTTTTTTCTCATTCAGACAACTTTAGAATATTTTTTCTTTTTATTACCAATATTTTCCTATTTAGTAGAGCCTGCTATTTACTGAAGATCTGAGGTAACACTCTGATTTGTTTTCCAAATAATTTATTACCTACAACTAGTTTCCATTCCCAATCACTAAGATATTTCACTAGTTTTACTTTTATAACCTTAGCAGTCCCCATTTATCTCACCTTTTATGTACTATCTCTATATTGTTTCCTTTTTTTGTTTTTTGAGATGGAGTCTCACTCCGTCGCCCAGGCTGGAGGGCAGTGGCACGATCTCGGCTCACTGCAACCTCCGCCTCCCGGGTTCAAGCGATTCTCCTTCCTTGGCCTCCCTAGTAGCTGGGATTACAGGCCTCTGCAACCACGCCGGCTAATTTTTGTATTATTAGTAGAGAAAGGTTTTCACCATGTTGGCCAGGCTGGTCTCAAACTCCTGACCTCAGGTGATCCACCCGCCTCGGCCTCCCCAAAGTGCTGGGATTACAGGCATGAGCCACCATGCCCAGCCAAATTTCTTTCATACCCTTTAAGTAATATATATAAGTAAATTTTTTGAATAGTTGTAGGCTGTTCCGTATACTTGATCAAGCAATTACATCCTATGTTTTTTTTAAGAGAATGGGAATCTCTTTATCATCTTCTTTAAAGACAGAAAATCCATTTAATATTTTGTCTTCACATCATGAAAAACATCTTTTAATCATTTAAATCAAATTAAAACAATGAAAGTGAATGAATTAATAATAATATTATTACTAATATATTAATAATTATATTTAAATTAATTAAATATTAATTTTTATTAATTATAAATTATAATTATATTATTAATAATAATAAGTGAATGAATTAATGAATGGGGGATCTTTAAGATTTTATCTTCTGAAATTCGTTTAAACAGGACCCTTTAAGATGTGGAGCTAATATATATTCTCCAGAAGTGGTTGCCATTGCATAGGTATAGTGTGTATATAGGAAAAGATATTTTTTCTTTTCCTTTCCTTTCCTCTTTTCTTTTCTTTTTATCTCTTTTCTTTTCCTTTCCCTTTTACCTTCCTCTCTTCGCCTGCCTGCTTGCCTTCCTTCCTCCTTTCCTTTTTTCTGCTGCTTTTTTCTCTTTTTTCTTTCTTCCTTTCCCTTTATTATTTTTAAAAATATAAAAAGAGACGAAGTCTCGCTATGTTGCCCAGGCTAGTCTTAAACTCCTGGACTCAAGCAATCCTCTTGCCTCAGCTTCCCAAAATGTTGGGATTAGGCATGAACTACCACACCTGACCAGGAAAAGCTTCTTAAGAGGTGTAAGGGGGCCAGGCGCTGTGGCTCACGCCTGTAATCCCTGCACTTTGGGAGGCCGGGGTGGGTGGATCACGAGGTCAGGCTTCGACCTCTCAAAATGCTGGGATTACAGGCATGAACCACCGTGCCCAACCTTAAATATCTTGTGTTATACTGCAAATTGCCTTTTTTACTAAGTATAATAATTTTGAAATATATCCATTTCAAAAAACATAGTTCTAGTTTACTCATTTTACGTGCTGGAGAGTATTTCATTATAGGAATAAGATATAGTTAATTTGTTCCTTTATGTTCAAGGCACACACCTGTAGTCCCAGCTACTTGGGAGGCTGAGGCAGGAGAATCGCTTGAACCCAGGAGGCGGAGGTTGCAGTGAGCCAAGATCACACCACTGTACTCCATCCAGCCTGGGCAACAGAGTGAGACTCCATCTCAAAAAAAAAAAAGAAAAAAGAGGTATAAGGTAGTGTTCTGTATGGGTCTTTGCCGTTGCCTGGAAATACAGCATTTTCCTTTAAATGTTTATAGGAAAATGAAGAATTAGACTGGAATTTACTGAAACCAGATATTTATGCAACAATCATGGACTTCTTTGCATCTGGCTTACCCCTGGTTACTGAGGAAACACCTTCAGGAGAAGCAGGTAACATGTTGTATTGAGTAATTAAAATTTGTCCTTTTTTTAGACTTTTCTATTTTCTTCACATTTACCTTGATTTCAGAAGTCATAGGAATCTAGATTTCTATCATTTAATATATTTAGCTCTGCAAATTTATATATCATTTTGAAAGCTTGTGTATAAATTGGCATTACTCTATAAAACAAAAATTTTCAATTATAAAAATTTTCAAACATGCAGAAAATATCATGCTCACCAATTTGCCCTCCACTCATATCTAACAAATGTTAATTAAGTTACAGAATGGGCTTTTGGGAAAAACAAAACAAATGTTATCTTTTGCCACAGTTGCTTTAGACTCATTTTAAATAAAATATTAAACATACAGTGTCAGAATATAGAGCATAAAGTAAAAAAAAGAAACCGCTAAAACCACTGTACCCCCATCCCTTTTCCCTTCCTAGTTCCAGAGATGTGTGAAAACTTGTTTTGTTTTATACTATACATGTAAGTCTCTGCAGGGAATATATAAGACTAGTTTTTGTTTTTAAGTTTTAAATCTCTGTTTTTTTTTTTTTTTTTTTTTTTTAGAGACAGACTCTCACTCTGTCACCCCAGTTGGAGTGCAGTGACGCAATGTTGGCTCACTGCAACCCCCACCTCCCAGGTTCAAGTGTTTCTCATGCCTCAGCCTCCCAAGTAGCTGGGATTACAGGTGTGCACCACCACACCCAGCTAATTTTTGTATTTTTAGTAGAGATGGGGTTTCATCATGTTTGTCAGGCTGGTCTTGAATTCCTGACCTCAAGTGATCACCTGGCTTCAACCTCTCAAAATGCTGGGATTACAGGCATGAACCACCGTGCCTAACCTTAAATATCTTGTATTATACTGCAAATTGTCTTTTTTACTAAGTGTAATATTTTTGAAACATATCCATTTCAAAAAACATAGTTCTAGTTTACTCATTTTATGTGCTGGATAGCATTTCATTATAGGAATAAGATATAGTTAATTTGTTCCTTTATGTTCAAGTAAAGTTTTTGTACTAATTTTTATTGAAAACATTGCTGTAGTGAGCATCCTTATACAAGTCTGTTTATGAATATGTGGAGAGCTTCTTTATTTATTTGTTTATTTATTTTTATTTATTTATTTTTGGAGACAGAGTCTTGCTCTGTTGCCCAGGCTGGAGTGCAGTGGCGTGATCTCGGCTCACTGCAGCCTCTGCCTCCTGGGTTCCAGTGATTCTCCTGCCTCAGCCTTCCAAGTAGCTGGTATTACAGGCGCCCACCACCATGCCTGGGTAATTTTTGTATTTTTAGTAGAGACAGAGTTTAACCATGTTGGCCAGGCTGGTCTTGAACTCCAGACCTCATGATTCGCCTGCCTCGGCCTCCCAAAGTGCTGGGATTACAGGCATGAGCCATCGTGCCCGGCCTTATTTTTGAGACAGAGTCTTGCTCTGTCATCCAGGCTGGAGTGCAGTGGCATGATCTCAGTTCACTGCAGCCTCTGCTTCCCAGGTTCAAGCGATCCTTCTACCTCAGCCTCCCGAGTGGCTGGGATTACAGGCATGCACCACCACGCCCAGCTAGTTTTTGTATTTTTAGTAGAGGGGGTTTTGCCATGTTGGCCGGGCTGATCCCGAACTCCTGACCTCAAGTGGATTCACCTGCCTTGGCCTTCCAAAGTTGGGATTACAGGCGTGAGCCACCCTGCCTGGCCGAGAGCTTCTTTAGATTATGTTCCTAAAAGTGGAATTGCTATATCATAAGTTGATCTAATTAAGCCCACATTAGCCGTATATTTTAAGAATTTCAATGTTCTTATATCTTTGTCATCATTTAGTGTCTTTTTTTTTTTTTTACCCGTATGTTGGGTATACAATGGTACCTTGTTTTTTTTTCTTTTTTTTTTTTGAAACGGAGTTTCGCTCTTGTTGCCCAGGCTGGAGTGCAATGGCGCGATCTCAGCTCACCACAACCTCCACCTCCTGGGTTCAAGCGATTCTCCTGCCTCAGCCTCCTGAATAGCTGGGATTACAGGTGCCTGCCACCATGCCCAACTAATTTTTCTATTTTTAGTAGAGACGGGGTTTCACCATGTTGGCTGGTCTGGTCTTGAACTCCTGATCCATCTGCCTCAGCCTCCCAAAGTGCTGGGATTACAGGCATGAGCCACTGAGCCTGGCCGGTATCTTGTTTTAATTGCATTTCCTTGATTAATACTGAGTGTTAAGAGTTTCATATGTTTATTGGCCATTTACTTTTCTTGTCAGTGAATTTTCTATTTATATCTTTTCTACTTAAAAACAAATTGAGTCATGTGTCTTTTTTTTTTTTTTTTTGAGACAGTGACCTGCTCTGTCACCCAAACTGGAGTGCAGTGGCATGATCATGGCTCACTACATCCTCAGCTTCCCAGGCTTAAGCAATCCTCCTGCCTCTGTCTCCCAAGTAGCTGGGATTATAGGCTCCTGCCACCATGCCTGGTTAATGTTTTTATTTTTAAAATTTTTTTGGCTGGGCGTGGTGGCTCACGCCTGTAATCCCAGGAATTTGGGAGGCCGAGGCGGGTGGATCACGAGGTCAGGAGTTCGAGACCAGCCTGACCAACATGGTGAAACCCCATCTCTACTAAAAATACAAAAATTAGCTGGGTGTGGTGGCGCGTGCCTGTAATCCCAGCTACTCGGGAGGCTGGGGCAGAAGAATTGCTTGAATCTGGGAGGCGGAGGTTGCAGTGAGCTGAGATCATGCCACTGCACTCCAGCCTGGGAGACAGGGCGAGACTCCATCTCAAAAAAATAAATAAATGAAAATTTTAAAAAATAAATAAATAAAATTTTTTTGTAGAGGCCTGGCACAGTGGCTCACACCTGTAATCCCAGCATTTTGGGAGGCTGAGGTGGGCAGATCACGAGGTTAAGAGATCGAGACCATCCTAGCCAACATGGTAAAACCCCATCTCTGCTAAAAATACAGAAATCAGCTGGGCATGGTGGCACGTGCCTGTAGTCCCAGCTACTTGGGAGGCTGAGGCAGGAGAATTGCTTGAACTTGGGAGGCAGAGGTTGCAGTGAGCTGACATCATGCCATTGCACTCCAGCCTAGTGACAGAGCGAGACTCCGTCCCCCCGCCAAAAAATTTTTTTTTGTGGAGATGAGATCTTGTTAGGTTGCCCAGGCTGGTCTTCAAGTGATCCTCCTGCCTCAGCATCGCAAAGTACTGAGATTATAAGCATGAACCACCGCCACCTGGCCCATATGTCTTTTTTATATTTATTTAAACAGGTTTTTAAAAAATATTCTGGGCTGGACACCACGCCCCACACCTGTGATCCCAGCACTTGGGGAGGTGAAGGCAGCAGATTGTGTGAGCTCAGAAACTTGAGACTAGCCTGGGCAATATGGCAAAACCCTGTGTTTACGAAAAAATACAAAAATTAGCTGGGCATGGTGATGCGTGCATGTAGTCCCACCTACTTGACAAGCTGAGGTGGGAGGATCGCTTGAGCCCAGGAGGCTGAGGCTGTAGTGAGCCATGTTCACGCCACCACACTCCATCTTGGGTGATAGAACTAGACCACATCTCTTAAAAAAAAATAAAAAGTCTCATTCTCTCTGTATATATATAAATATTCTGAATATTAATTCTTTGTTAGGTATTTTCTTAGCAAATGATATCTCCCTAACTGTGACTTAACTTTTCATTTTGTTTATGATGTCTTTTGTCATACAGAAAATTTTCATTTTAATGTGGTTACATTAGTTCATCTTTTTCCTTTGTGGTTTATGCCTTTTGTACCTTGTTTTAGTAAGTTATTTAGTGTAAAGCACTTGGAAGAGTGATTGTACATGAAGCTCCATAAGTATTTGCTGATACTGTTGTATTTGTTGTTGATGAAGTTTTTCCTTTCTCCAGTATCACAAAGATACTGTCATATGTGTATGTGTATATGTATTTTTGTTTTTTAAAGTTTTATTTTTTACACTTACATATTTAATCACTGTGGGATTTGTTTTTCTATATAGTTTATAATAATTTTATCTTTTTCTACATAGGTAATCAATTATCCCAGTCTTTCCTCATGAATTTATAATATTATACATGGGTCTTTTTCTAAGATGTTTTTTGTCCCTGTGGTCTTTTTGCCCCCCTTCCTGTTTTAATAACATATGGAGTTTTAATTATAATATCTCTGTAACAATTAGTATAGTATATGATAATATCTGGAAGAAAAAGTTCCTCAATTAAAAAAAACTTTCTGGTAGTCTGCTCACTTTATTCTTCCTTGTAAATTTAATGACCATCTTGTAAAGTCTCTAAAAAACCATGTCAAGAGTTTGGTTGAAGTTGCATTAAATTTACAGATTAAATTTGGGAGAATTAACATTTCTTCAACATTGATATTTTTTCATCCCCAAATTTTCCCATTTATGTGAGACTTCTCTTATGTTCTTTTCTTGGTATGAGCTCATGTTAGTTCTAGGTACTATATAGGTTTTGTTATCATAAAGCGTTCTTCTTTTGTTTAGTAAGCACTTAGACATACTGATTACTGTATTTCAGGCACAATTCTAAGCACTTTACAAGTATAAACTCACTTAATTCTTAAAATAACCTTATCAGATAGGAACTGTTACCACATTTCACACATGAGAAAACTGAGGCACTGAATGGTTGAGTAATTTGCTCAAGGTCACACAGGTAGTAAGTGGCAGAGATAGATAAGAACTTTGGGCAATCTGCCTCCAGCGTTCATGCTCTTAACCACTACACTGTGCTGCCTGTATCTGTTTTTTGGGTTTTTTTTGAGACAGGGTCTTGCTTTGTTGCCCAGGCTGGAGAGCAATGGTGCGATCTCGGCTCACTGCAACCTCCACCTCCCAGGTTCAAGCGATTCTCCTGCCTCAGCCACCTGAGCAGCTGGGATTACAGGCGCCAAACACCATGCCCGACTGATTTTTGTATTTTTAGTAGAGATAGGGTTTCACCATGTTGGCCAGGCTGCTCTAGAACTCCTGACCTCAGGTGATCCGCCCACCTTGGCCTGTCAAAGTGGTGGGATTATGGGCGTGAACCACCTCACTCGACCCTGTATCTGTTTTAAAATAATGTTTTCTAATTTGGGGTGTTGGGTATTGGAATACTGTTGATTTTTGTATATTGATCTTATATCCGTCAAGGTTAGCACTCATTAGTTCTAGTAGTTCATCAATGTTAATAAGCATTGACTACAAAAACCGAACGTTTATATGTGCATATACACATATATACACTGCTATAGTTTGGACACTTGTCCCCTCCAAATATCATGCTGAAATTTGATCCCCAGTGTTGGAGGTGGAGTCTAATGGGAGGTGAGTGGGTCATGGGGATGGATCCCTCAATAGTAGATGAATGCCCTCTCGAAGAGCCGGAGGTATGAGGGGAGGGGAGTGAGTTCTTACTCTATTAGTTCTTTTGAGAGCTGAGTGCTAAGAAGAGTCCCAGTAACAACATCTCCTTCCTGTCTCACCATGTGATCTCTGCATGGGCCAGCTCCCCTTCTTCTTCCATGGGGGTAAGCAGCTTGAGGTCCTCACCAGATGCCAAGTCTTCAACTTTTCTAGACATCAGAATCAACCAAATAAACATTTTTTTCTTTGTAAATTGCACAGTCTCAGGTATTCCTTTATAGCAACACTAAATAGACTATGACATGCAGAAACATTTGTATAATTATCTTTAGGTGATACAGGTATATTTTTAGATATATGTCTTGAGTCTTAGAGATATGCACAAGGCAACATGTAGAAACATGTTCACTGAAATATTTTTTAACTATACCAGCAGTTAAAAGGAATGAACTAGATTGGGAGATACCAACATAGAAACATAAAAAAGAAAATATTAAGTAAAAAAGGAAAATTCAAATGTATGTACATTTATAAATGTATCATTTATGAAAATTTTTAGTACTACATGAAACAGTTACATGTATTCTTTATGGATCCATATGTAAACCTTATAACTTTTTAGAGTAATTTGTATCTACTAACATTAAAAATGCACAAGCTAGGTTGGGTGCGGTGGCTAACGCCTGTAATCCCAGCACTTTGGGAGGCCGAGGCAGGTGGATCACCTGAGGTCAGGAGTTCAAGAACGGCCTGGCCAACATGGTGTAACCCCGTCTCTACTAAAAATACAAAAAAATTAGCCAGGTGTGGTGGCAGGCACCTGTAATTCCAACTACTTAGGAGGCTGAGGCAGGAGAATTGCTTGAACCCAAGAGATGGAGGTTGCAGTGAGCTGAGGTAAAAGAGTGAAACTCTGTCAAAAAAAAAAAAAAAAAAAAAAAGCACAAGCCTGTTTACACAAATATCCCACCAGTAGGAATTTATCTCATAAATATAATTGCAATAGTACATTGATGTATGTATGTGTGTGTGTATATATATATATATATATATATATATATATATATAAAATTTTATATTTTTTTGAGACGGTGTTTCACTGTCACCCAGGCTGGAGTGCAGTGGCGTGATCTCAGCTCACTGCAACCTCCGCCTCCCGGGTTCAAGTGATTCTCCTGCCTCAGCCTCTGGAGTAGCTGGGATTACAGACACCCACCACCACTCCCGGCTAATTTCTGTATTTTTAGTAGAGACGGGATTTCACCATGTTGGCCAGGCTGGTCTAAAACTCCTGACCTCAAGTGATCTGCCCACCTTGGCCTCCCAAAGTGCTGGGATTACAGGTGTGAGCCACTGAGCCCAGCCTTTTGATATATATTTATATAAGCAAATATGTTGCGGGATTGTTAGAAATAGCAGCAAACTGTATAAACAACTGAAATAATGAAGAAACTGGCAAAGACAAATCTATATAAAAGTTACTGTGTACCAGTTTTAAATATTGAGGCATATTTGTATATGCTAATGGGGAAAGACCTTCAAGATATATTACACAGAAAAGAGCAAGATATAGAATAGTATGTATGGTATGATCTCATTTGTGTTAATTTATACATGTAAATGTAAACACGTGCTGGGAAGATATAAACTAAAATGATAGTTATTGTCTATGGAAGGGATGGTGGGGAAGTAGAATTTAGGTTTATTGATCTAAGACAGTTTTAGCTTTTGTGCTTCTTTTCCCCCAACAAATTTATTTATTTTTAATTATCTATTTTTTTTTTTTTTTTGAGGTGGGGTCTCACTCTGTTGCCCAGGCTGGAGTGCGGTGGTGCGATCTCGGCTCACTGCCACCTCCACCTCCTGGGTTCAAGCAATTCTCCTGCCTCAGCCTCCCAAGTAACTGAGATTACAGGCGTGTGCCACCACATCCAGCTAATTTTTGTATTTTTAGTAGAGACAGGGTTTTACCATGTTGGCCAGGCTGGTCTCAAACTCCTGACCTCAGGTGACGCGTCTGCCTCAGCCTCCCAAAGTGCTAGGGTTATAGGGGGAACCACTGCGCCCAGCCCTTTTGTGTGTTTTCTTTTCCTTTTTTTCTTTTTCTTTTCTTTTTTTTTTTTTTTTTGAGATAGAGTCTTGCTCTGTTAGCCAGGCTGGAATACAGTGGTGCGATCTTAGCTCACTTCAACCTCCGCCATCTGGGTTCAAGTGATTCTCGTGTCAGCCTACCGAGTAGCTGGGATTACAGGCACCTACCACCACACCCGGCTAATTTTTGTATTTTTAGTAAAGACAGGGTTTTGCCCTATTGGCCAGGCTGGTCTGGAACTCCTGACCTCAAGTGATGTGCCTACCTCAGCCTCCCAAAGTGCTGGGATTACAGGCATGAGCCATGTTTTATTTATTTTCTTAAAAAACTCAATGTTAATATAATTTAATTTTAGGGGTTGCCAGAATCTAGTGTTTGTTATAACGTAATATGAAATCTCCATATTTTTGGTTTTCTCAAAGGCTAACTTTGTGCTCAGAAGATTTGTAGAACATTTCAGAGGCCAGGCATGGCTCATGCCTGTAATCTCAGTACTTTGAGGGGCCAAGGTAGAAGGATCACTTGAGCCCAGGAGTTGAAGATCATCTTGGGCAACCGGATTAGTCTGTTCTCACGCTGCTGATAAAGACATACCTGAGACTGGGCAATTTATAAAGGAAAGAGGTTTAATTGACTCACAGTTCAGCATAGCTGGGGAGGCCTTAGGAAAGTTACAATCATGGCGGAAGGGGAAGCAAACACGCGAGTCTTCACATGACGGCAACAAGAAGAAGTGCCAAGCAAAAGGGAGAAAAGTTCCTTATAAAACGATCAGATCTCGTGAGAACTCACTCACTATCACGAGAACAGCATGAGGGTAACTACCCCCATGATTCAGTTACCTCCCACCAGCTCCCTCCCACAACACATAGGGATTATGGGAACTGAAGTTCAAGATGAGATTTGGTTGGGGACACAGCCAAACCATATCAGCAACATGGCGAGGCCCCATCTCTACAGAAAATAAAAAAATTGCCTGGGTGTGGTGGCTCACACCTGTGGTCCCAAACTACTTGGGAGGCTGAGGCAGGAGGACTGCTTGAGCCCAGGAGGTTGAGGCTGCAGTGAGCTGTGATCACCCCACTGCACTCCGCACTGGGCAACAGAGTGAAACGCTGTCTCAAGAAGAAAAATAAAAGAACATTTCAGAAATTTCCAGAAGGCTTACATCTATATTTAGTATGGCTGGCATTTTGAAAACCAGTAAATTGAGAAACTGAAGATGTAACTTAACTTACAAAGTAGGTGTGCCTTTTTGTCTCAAAGTTTCCATCAAAATCAGTTTCTTTTCTCTGATACTTTCAATCCTTGAGAACAGAGAATGTCTGCATATTTACTGGCTTAAAATTTCATACCCTAACATCATTAGCATATCAAGATGTTTTAGTGTACTCATCTTTATCACCAGATGTTGAGTTGATTGGTATTCCCTAATTTTTCTTCAGATAATCAAATGAATGTTTCTGTCATCAATTTCCCAAAATATATCTCCATACCAAGTTACATGTTCTTTCTATAGTTTTATGTTTTTAATGAACCATGTAGTTAAAATCATTCTGTTTTAATACTCGTACTTGCATGGCTATAAAATTTCTACTCTTGATGTTTTTATATGTAATTATTTCTAGGATCTGAAGAAGATGATGAAGTTGTGGCAATGATTAAGGAATTGTTAGATACTAGAATACGGTACGTGCTCCTCTCTCTACCTGAATTCAAGTGCTTTGGAGGCATTTTTCATTATAGCAATATAGTTTTAGTTGGCCATGAGATTATAGTAGATTTTCAAAATAAGTGCAAGTTAATGTAAACCACAACAGGTAGCCGTGACAATTGAATTTAAAGCCTGTATCTTCTCTACATTTACTCAAAATTTTAAAACATCCAATTTATTTAAACATATTCAATGAAGAAATGTATTCTTCACAGTCTCAATTTAGATTTGATATTGTTATAATACCAAATTTCTTAAAAAGAAAAAAAAAAGACTTAATGTTTGGCAAGGTTGTGAAGAGAGAATGAGTACCTATTTTCAGTATATTGCCCATACAGAATAAATGTTAAGTGAGTGGAGAACAGCAGGCTTCTACTTTTGCTTGTAGCAGACCAATAGTCATGCTGAGAACTCCCAGAAAAGCTGGATAAAGTACAATAAAAAGAATTTGTTTGAAAGCATTAGATAGCTGCCAGAGCAAGCAAAATGTGAGGTGCCAAGATCCTGGAGAGAAGGGAAGCTCACTGAGTTTTCCCTTCAGGCATTTGCTGTTCCTTGCTACATAGCTAGGGTAGAAGAAGCTGGGCAGAGGGCAGCTGCCAAGAATCAGAGAAACCACTGGGCTTTCAGAAAATTTGTTTAGATGGGAAGACAAAAATTAAAATTCTGGGTTACCAATGAAATCTTGATTTCAAGGACCAAGATCCTAGAGAGCAGGGAAGTTAAGAAAAGTAAGCCTATAGTTTTTGGTTTTTTTTTAAGACGGAGTCTTGCTCTGTCACCCAGGCTGGCATGCAATCTCAGCTCACTACAGCCTCGCCTCCCGGGTTCAAGCGGTTCTCCAGATTCAGCCTCCTGAGTAGCTGGGATTACAGGCACAGGCCACCACACCCAGCTAATTTTTGTATTTTTGGAAGAGACAGGGTTTCACCATGTTGGCCAGGCTGGTCTTGAACTCCTGACCTTGTGATCCGCCCACCTCAACTTCTCAAAGTGCTGGGATTACAGACATGAGCCACTGCGCCCAGCCAAGTAAGCCTATAGTTAGTAACAATGTATTGTATTCTTGAAAATTGTGGCTGGGTGTGGTGGCTCACGCTTGTAATCCCAGCTGTTTGGGAGGCGGAGGTAGGTGGATCACCTAAGATCAGGAGTTCAAGACCAGCCTGGCCAACATGTTGAAACCCCATCTCTACTAAGAATACAAAAATTAGCCAGGCGTGGTGGTGGGCATCTGTAATCCCAGCTACTAGGGAGACCGAGGTAGGAGAATCACTTGAACCCTGGAGGCGGAGGTTGCAGTCAGCCAAGATTATGCCATTGCACTCCAGCCTGGGCGACGAGCAAAACTCTTTCTCAAAAAAAAAAAAAAAAAAAAAAATTTGCTAAGATAGTAGTTATTAAGTGTTCTTGACACAAAAAATAAGTATGCGAGGTAATGTATATGTTAGTATATGTTAATTAGCTTGATTTAGCCATTCCATGGTGTATACAGATATTTTTTTTTTGAGACAGAGTCTTGCTCTGTCACCCAGGCTGGAGTGCTGCACGATATCAGCTCACTGCAACCTCTGCCTCCCAGGTTCAAGTGATTCTCCTGCCTCAGCCTCCTGAGTAGCTGGGATTACAGGCATGTACCACCACACCCAGCTAATTTTTGTAGTTTTAGTAGAGACAGGGTTTCACCGTGTTGGCCAGGTTGGTCACGACCTCCTGACCTCAGGTGATCTACCCTCCTCGGCCTCCCAAAGTGCCGGGATTACAGGCGTGGGTCACCGCTCCCGGCCTACATATTTCAAAACATCATGTTGTACATGGAAATATCTATAATTTTTGTGAATTAAGAATAATTAATTGGAGGCCGGGTGCGGTGCCTCACGCCTGTAATCCCAGCACTTTGGGAGGCCGAGGTGGGTGGATCATGAGGTCAGGAGATTGAGACCATCCTGGCTAACACAGTGAAACCCTGTCTCTATTAAAAATACAAAAAATTAGCCGGGCATGGTGGCGGGGGCCTGTAGTCCCAGCTACTCGGGAGGCTGAGGCAGGAGAATGGCGTGAACCTGGGAGGCGGAGCTTGCAGTGACCCAAGATTGCACCACTGCACTCCAGCCTGGGCGACAGAGTGAGACTCTATCTCAAAAAAAAAAAAAGTAACCCTGGAACTAAAATTATAATAACTGAACTTAAGAACTCATTAGATTGGACATAGTTGAAGAGAAGATTAGTATACTGGAATTTAAGTCAGTAGAAAATATTCAGCCTGAAGCACAGGGAGAGAAGAGAATAGAAGATATGGGAAAGAAGCATGAGATGGTGGGCACGGTGCTCACACCTATAATTCCAGCACTTTGGGAGGCTGAGGTAGGAGGATTGCTTGAGCTCAGAAGTTAGAGACCACCCTGGCAACATAGTGAGACCTTGTCTCTACAAAAAATTAAAAAATTAGCTGGGTGTGGTGGTGTGCACCTGTAGTCTCAGCTGTTCCTGAGGCGGGAAGATTGCTTGAGCCCGGGAGATTGAGGCTGCAGTGGGCTGTGATCACACCATTGCACTCTGGTCAAGGAGATAGAACAAGACCCTGTCTCACCAGAAAAAAAAAAATGAATCAAACCTCCGGAGGGGAGAAATAGAATAAAAAATAATTCATCAATCTGAAACAATGCAAAATAGGAAACAGTAAATGGTAATATAAACTCAAAAGTGTTGGCATTTAAATGACAGTAGTTTGATGAACAAAAATAAGATTGTCAAATTGGATGTGAAAAAACAAAAAAACAAAATCAACTATAGACTGCTTAGAAGAGATATAGGGGCCAGGCATGGCGGCTAATGCCTGTAATCCTAGCATTTTGGGAGGCCAAGGTGGCAGATTGCTTGAGCCCAGGAGTTTGAGACCAGCCTGGGCAACATAGTGAGACCCCGTCTCTACAATGAAAGAAAGAGAGAAAGAGAAAGAAAGAGAGAGGGAGGGAGGAAGGAAGTGAAGGAAGGAAGGAGGGAGGGAGGGGAAAAGAAAAGAGAAGAGAAAAGGAAAGAAATAGAATATTTGTATGACCTTCGGGTAGGCAATTTTTTTTTTTTTCCCCAACGGGACACAAGAAATCAGATAAAGACCGGGCGCGGTGGCTTACACCTGTAATCCCAGCACTTTGAGAGGCCGAGGTGAATGGATCATCTGAGGTTGGGAGTTCGAGACCACCCTGACCAACATGGAGAAACCTTGTGTCTACTAAAAAAATAAAAAATTAGCCACGCATGGTGGCGGGCACCTGTAATCCCAGCTACTCGGGAGGCTGAGGCAGGAGAATCCCTTGAACCCGGGAGGCGGAGGTTACAGTGAGCCGAGATCGAGCCATTGCACTCCAGCCTGGGCAACAAGAGCGAAACTCCGTCTTAAAAAATAAATATATGTATATATATATCAGATAAAAATCAAGGAAAATACATATAAATTGGACTACAGTAAAATTGTGACTGTCTCTTCATCAGAAGATGCCATTGGCTGGGCACAGTGGCTTGTGCCTGTAATTCCAGCTACTTAAAAGGCTGAGGCAGGGGAGGCTCCCTTGAGCTTAGGAGTTTTAGGTAGCAGTGAGTGAGCTGTGATCATGCCACTGTATTCCAGCCTATGTGACAAAGCGAGACTGTTGAAAAGTGCCATTTACAGTCAAAAGGCAGGGTACAGATTAGAAGATATTTACAGTGTTTATATGACAATACATAAATAACTTGTACAAATTGGTAAGAAAAAGACAATCAGACACTGGAGCAGGTACTTCGCAAAAGATGATCAAATAGTGGCTGGGCGCAGTGGCTGACACCCATAATCCCGGCACTTTGGGAGGCTGAGGTGAGCGGATCACCTGAGGTCAGGAGTTCAAGATCAGCTTGGCCAACATGGTGAAACATGGTCTCTACTAAAAATACAAAAAATTAGCTGGGGGTATTGGTGCATGCCTGTGATCCCAGCTATCTGGGAGTCTGAGGCAGGAGAATCACCTGTACCCGGGAGGCGGAAGTTGCAGTGAGCTGAGATCGTGCCATTGCACTCCAGCCTGGGCAACAGAGTGAGACTCTGTCTCCAAAAAAAAAAAAGGAAAAAAGATAATCAAGTAGCCACTAAACATGAAAAAATGCTTAACCTCATTAGTTATTGTGAATATTCAAACCATAATTAAATATTTGTACAAATCCAGTAGAATAGTTAAAACTATTAAGACTGACAACACCAATTGTTGGTGAGGATGTGGAGCAACAGAAACTCTCATACACTGCTGGTGGGAATGTAAGTTTATATAACTGGAAAACTATATGGCAGTATTTATTAAATCTCAACATATTCATACTCTTTATTCAGCAATTTCACTTTCAGGTATATTCCCAGTAGTAATATATATGCATACCAAAAGACATTTCTAAGAATCTTTATAACTGCACTATTTGTAAAAGCCAAAACCTAATGTTAACCTAAATGTCTATCAACAGTAGAATGGATAAATAAATTCTGGTATATTTGCTTAATGGAATACTATGCAGCAGTGAGAGTAAATGACCTAGTACTATACTCAGCAACATAGGTGAATCTCACAAAGAGCATAGGAAGCCAGATACAAAAGAGTAATTCTACGTGATTTATAAATAGAATTTATATTTGTAAATTATAAAGTTCAGAGACTGGCAAAACTCATCAGTGGTGATATGAATTAGGATAATGGCAGCATTTTTGTTGTGGGGAGTGATTGGAAGGAAGCCCAAAGGGGACTTCTGGAGGTTTGGTGTTGTTTCTTGGTTTGGGTGGTTATAAATGTGTGTTCACTTTGTGAAAACTTAGTGAACTGTGCATACATGATTTAAGCATTTTTCTGTATTAATGTTGTATTTCAATGAAAAGTTTACCTGAAAATGAAGCCAGCATGTGACAGTCTCCCTTTTCCTTCACTCAAAAGAAGTGACTGAGTATATTTTAGGTAATCACAATAATTATTAGGAAATTTGAAATCTTAAGTGCTGTAAAATATTGTTTTATTTAAAAAAAATTTCTTTAGAGACAGGGTCTCGCTGTGTCACCCAAGCTGGAGTGCACTGGTGTGATAATAGCTCACTGCAGCTTCCAACTCCTGGGCTCAAGCAGTCCTCCTACCTTGGCCTCTCAAATTGCTGGGAATATAGGTGTGAGCCACCATGCCCAGCCTTAAAAAGATATTAGCAAGCAAGATCAAATGCGGTAAGCGGAGGAAATATTTGTATGAGTGAATTTTGGTATTTTACCTGAGAGTAAAAAAAAAAAATTTAATTCTAAATAAAACTTAGCCACAGTTATTATTCTGTATTATAAAAGTAGCTCTAACTTTGTGAATTTTACTAATATAAAATTTAAGCTCTGAGCTGTATTAAATTTTTTCAATGAAAACTTGTATTTTAAAGAATATGTCATAAATATTCTTTGACCTCACAGGCCAACTGTGCAGGAAGATGGAGGGGATGTAATCTACAAAGGCTTTGAAGATGGCATTGTACAGCTGAAACTCCAGGGTTCTTGTACCAGCTGCCCTAGTTCAATCATTACTCTGAAAAATGGAATTCAGAACATGCTGCAGTTTTATATTCCGGAGGTAGAAGGCGTAGAACAGGTATGCCAATATTATATGACAGTCTAGATTTTTTTCATTTTTTCTTTTTCTTTGTAGATACAAAGGCTGGAAATAGATGTTAAGGCAAGTATTTGAAAAGAAGTTCATGACCTAGCTTTTTCTTCAAGGGCTGGATTTTTGTGTTGCAATTTTTATCAGACTTGAAGTCTCTTATTTTAGAAGTAACTTTGGGCTGGGCGCAGTGGCTCAAACCTATAATCCCAGCACTTTGGGAGGCTGAGGTGGGTGGATCACCTGAGGTTGGGAGTTCCAGACCAGCCTGACCAACATGGAGAAAACCCCGTCTCTACTAAAAATACAAAATTAGCTGGGCATGGTGGCAGACGCCTGTAATCCCAGCTACTTGGGAGGCTGAGGCAGGAGAATTGCTTGAACCTGGGAGGCGGAGGTTGCGGTGAGCCGAGATCGCGCCATTGCACTCCAGCCTGGGCAACAAAAGCGAAACTCCGTCAAAAAAAAAAAAAAATGAAGTAACTTTAGTGTTATGAGAACCTACTATGTGCCAGGCATTTTTGCTCATTTCATCTTCTAATGACACAGTGCATTAAGTCATTCCCATTTTGCACATAAGGCTACAGAGACTCAGAGGGCATATTGCTGCCCTGATTGCACAAAAATTATGAAAAAGGTTTAAAATGTAACACAGTGTTTTATAGATGAGATTTAGAAATCTTTAGTGGAAGAACTCTACTACATCATATTTACCAATTTTTTTTTTTTTTTTTTTGTAGAGACGGGGTCTTGCTATGTTGCCCAAGTTGGTCTTGAATTCCTGGCCTCAGGTGATCCTCCCAAAATGCTGGGATTAAGGATTAACACAACTGGCCTAATCTATGTATTCTTAAATATGCAAGCAAGAAGCCCATTAAGAAATCATAGTTTGTTGTTATACTGAGTAGAATTCTAGAGCTTTACGTGTAGCACAATATCAACATTTTTTTTTTTGCCAACATACCTAAGGAGTATAACACAGCACCTTGTCATCAGTAATAATGAGTCTCACTGCAGTGATTCTCAACCAAAAAGCATGGCCTTATGGAGAGAGATTATCAAGGAGTGAAGGGATGTGTGGAAATTAGAAATTTCCAACCCACAGAATTTCAGGTAATTCATTCTTTTTTTTTTTTTTTTTGGAGACAGAATCTTGTTCTGTTGCCCAGGCTGGAGTGCAGTGACACGCTATCTCGGCTCACTGCAACCTCCACCTCCCAGGTTGAAGCAGTTCCCATCCCTCAGCCTCATGAGTAGCTGGGATTACAGGCACATGCCACCATTTTTTGTATTTTGTATTTTAGTAGAGACGGGGTTTCATCATGTTGCCCAGGCTGATTTCAAACTCCTGAGCTCAGGCAATTTGCCCGCCTCGGCCTCCCAGAGTGCTAGGATTACAGGCATGAGCCACCGTGCCTGACCACCTCAGGTAATTCTGTGCCCTTAAGGGCTCCATTGGGAATCACTCATCCTTGGGTAGTATTAAAATTCATCTGTTCCACAGTGAGCAGGTCTATATAGACCTATCCCCAAAGTCTTAGGGAGCTGAGAGGCTGAAGACAGAGGCTGGCAAATCCAGTTGGTCAGAAAGAAACATTTAATAGGGACTGAGGAACAGAAGCCATTTATCGGGCAGCTGCAAGATGATGGATTCCTGCATTGTTACCCGCTAGACTCAGGGCTTATATACCAGGAGGAATGGGTATACATGCTTCAGAAGATATGTGTAGGACAATTGAAGTCAGCCCCTCTGGAAAAGGCAAGAATGCTATTTGCCTAATAGCCTATAATTTGCTTAAGGGCAAGATTTATGCTAAGTATGTGTTTGTTTAGGATAACATCAAGATTATTTTGACCTAAAGGCAGAATTAAGTAGAAAACTTAGAGGCATTCCTAGAACTGAGGGTAGTCAATGTGGCAGATTAGCATCCAAGATGGAGTTGCTTTAGCCTCCACACCATCGTTTTGGTCCAGTACATGACATCTTCTCTTTGAAGTTTTTATCCATCCCCCACTTGGAATTAAGTTCTTCTTTGACAGGTCCAAAGCTTCTGTTTTTGCTTTATGTTTATGTAGCTTTCTGTATCTGTTTTAGCTTTATGTTTACGTGGAAGCTCCCTAAGAGACTTGAAATCATATCCAAGTCTTTGTGTTCCTCTGCAACAACTAGCTGTGTGCCTTACAAATGTCCTATACATGCTTTGTATTAAGTATTTGGGAATATTATTCCAAATTAAGGAATAATTCTGCCTAAAATATGAGTTGGTTGACAAAATTTTTTGGATTGGGTATTGTTGAAATTGGATGTAAAATATTAATTTCTTGGGAATAAATACCAATTTTTACTCAACCAAAAAGACAGCCTATGAAAGAATTCTTTTTCTATTGATTGTCTCAGATCAGAGCCAGAATCTGGATTTTTTTTTTTTTTTTTTTTGAGACGTAGTTTCACTCTTGTTGCCCAGGCTGGAGTACAATGGCTTGATCTTGGCTCACTGCAGCCTCCACCTCCCGAGTTCAAATGATTCTCCTGCCTTAGCTTCCCAGGTAGCTGGGATTACAGGCGCGCGCCACCACGCCTGGCTAATTTTTATATTTTTAGTAGAGATGGGGGTTTCGCCATGTTGACCGGGCTGGTCTTGAACTCTTGACCTCAGGTGATCCACCTGCCTCAGCCTCCCAAAGTGCTGGGATTACAGGCATGAGCCACTGTGCCTGGCCTAGATTTTTTTTAAAAAAAAAAACCTTACTTTGTTCCATTATCATCTATATGCCTTAAAAAATTATGTTAGTTGATACTTTGGTGGATTGACTGAGGAACATTTTTATTCAATTGTCCAGGGTAGGGTGATGAATTGGCCTTCAGATTAGAAACTTGAATTGGCATCTAATTGTAGTAGGTGTGGTGAGGAGAAAAAAACATTCTTAGGTTTATGTAACTTTTTCCTTCTCCAATGGAGTTAGTCTGTTATCTTAGTAATACATTAACTCATGGAAAGATAATAGCTGTTGTAACATTTTCCTGAGGCTTAAAATGATCTTTTATCTCAGTAAGACTAAAATAATTAGTTCCTAATATGGTGGGGTTTTTTTGTTTTGTTTTGTTTTTCACTTTCCTTGGGGATTCATTTTAATAAAAATAAATGTTTTTAAAATAACAATTTGGTATAGCTTCACAGAATATATTTAAGTAAATAAGATGGTTTTGAAAAAAAGAAAAAGTCATTTACATTAGTCTTATGGCTAGAGAATACCAGTTAAATTGTTTTTTTTTTTTTGAGACGGAGTCTTGCTCTATCACCAAGCTGGAGTGCTCTATCACCAGGCACTAGGCTCACTGCAACCTCCACCTCCCCAGTTCATGCCATTCTCCTGCCTTAGTCTCCCGGGTACCTGGGACTACAGGCGCCCACCACCACGACCGGCTAATTTTTTGTATTTTTAGTAGAGACGGGGTTTCACTGTGTTAGCCAGGATGGTCTTGATCTTCTGCCCTCATGATCTGCCTGCCTCAGCCTCCCAAAGTGCTGGGATTACAGGCGTGAGCCACCGCGCCTGGCCCCAGTTAATTATTTATAGTCTTTTCTGCCCAGCTGAGACTCTGCTATGGGTAGCCTCTTTGAGACAAGGAGAAGTGATCAATGCTTTAATTAATTTCCAAATATTTAATTTGCTTTTATTTTATTTTATTTTTTTTTTGAGACAGAGTCTCGCTGTGTTGCCCACGCTGGAGTGCAGTGGCGCGATCTCGGCTCACTGCAAGCTCTGCTTCCCAGGTTCACGCCATCCTCCTGCCTCAGCCTCCCGAGTAGCTGGGACTACAGGCGCCCGCCTGGCTAATTTTTTGTATTTTCAGTAGAGATGGGGTTGCTTTTATGTTTTTAGGATACCGGGTTATGATTCAAACCTTGTTCTTTGGGGCTGTTGATAGATTTATTCTTACTGGCTTGTCATGCCTCATTATAGAGTGTATCAGGTAAAGAAGTAATATTAAAATCAGGAAAACAGCAAAATCTAATCATTTTCTTAATTCTTAAATTGTCTTTGTTTTTTGGTTTTAGGTTATGGATGATGAATCAGATGAAAAAGAAGCAAACTCACCTTAAAATAATCTGGATTTTCTTTGGGCATAACAGTCAGACTTGTTGATAATATATATCAAGTTTTTATTATTAATATGCTGAGGAACTTGAAGATTAATAAAATATGCTCTTCAGAGAATGATATATAAATATTGCATGTTTGCTTTACCTCATATGAGTTATTTATAACCTCTTGAATCATCTTCTGTACACGTGGATTTTATCCAAGGATATTTTTATTTTTGTCCCTCATTTCCCATGGCTCTTTCTTTGCATATGTGTGAAGGAGTTTAAAATACATTTCCCCCCATCTAATTTATTTACTTTTTTCCATACAGGAAGAAACAGAATGCTTTTTAGAATATTCTAAAATAGCTTTTTGTGAAATATCTAAAACTATTTTTACTGAAGTTTTTAGCTTAAGAAACAGCTAAACAAGTCTGTTTTAAAAATGGTATCTGGCTACTAGCCCCCAATTAAGTAGCAAAGAACTGCTTAAGACCAAAAAAAAGAAATCAAAAATGTCCGGGTATGGTGGCTAACGCCTATAATCCCAGCACTTTGGGAGGCCGAGGTGGGCAGATCACGAGGTCAGGAGTTTGAGACCAGCCTGAACAACATGGTGAAACCCCGTCTCCACTAAAAATACAAAAATTAGCCGGGCGCGGAGGCACGCGCCTGTAATCCCAGCTACTTAGGAGGCTGAGGCAGGAGAACTGCTTGAACCCGGGAGGCGGAGGTGGCAGTGAGCTGAGATCACGCCACTGCACTCCAGCCTGGGGGACGGAGCGAGACTCCATCTCAAAAAAAAAAAAAAAAAAAAAAAAAAAAAAGGTGAAAAACTTGAAAACTAACTCCCAGAATCTGGACACAGTTTCTATTGGTTAAGATGGAGATGGCCAAATTAGAAAAACTGCCTCAGCATGCCCAGCCTTTACCTTATCAATCAGAATTGCTGAAGAAAAGAGAAGAAGCTGCTTTGGTCCTCCCACTGGCTTCTGACTCAGAGATCCAAAATCTGTACCATGCCAGAAGTGTGCATCATTATTTTTGTACTCTAGGGGTACTGCTTTTTCAGGTAGCCAAAAGAGTGATTTAGCCTCCTCTCTCATTTTTCTACAGTAATTCAGAGACTGCAGTTAACAGAAAATACAGGGAAAGGAAAGATGGGAAAAATAGTTGTGATGCATTGCATCTCTGGAATTCTAGTCCCTCAAATTAAGGAGATTAAGATAGTGATGGAAACAGGAAGAACTCTAGCAGTTGTGAGTGCTGGGAATTGAAGTTTTTACTTTTATCCTTTGGTTCACTGAACCAAATAGTAGGGTTGGAGAATTCATTCCTTGAGATATCATGTATGAATTTAATTTAGACACTGGGAATTGCTTCATAAGCAAGGCAACTTAACCTGCCCTTTAGTTGAAGCTACAGGAAATTGACATCGTGGATGAGATGCCAGTAATGGCAGAT
This sequence comes from Homo sapiens, assembly GCF_000001405.40. Lineage (NCBI taxonomy): Eukaryota > Metazoa > Chordata > Mammalia > Primates > Hominidae > Homo > Homo sapiens. The sequence continues at coordinate 69,394,799 of NC_000002.12, read as the reverse complement.
CTTGTATGTGGCCATGAAATAAGTGGCTGAATTGGATGGAGGATTAGTTTATTAGAAGAGAGGAAATTGGCCTGGCGCAGTGGCTCATGCCTGTAATCCCAACACTTTGGGAGGCTGAGGTGGGTGGATCACTTGAGGTAAGGAATTCGAGACCAGCCTGGCCAATGGTGAAACCTTGTCTCTACTAAAAATACAACAATTAGCCAGGCAAGGTGGCATGTGCCTGTAATCCCAGCTACTCAGGAGGATGAGGCACGAAAATCCCTTGAACCTGGGAGGCGGAGGTTGCAGTGAGCTGGGATCGTGCCATTGCACTCCAACCTGGGTGACAGAGCGAGAGTCTGTCTCAAACAAACAAACAAAAAAACAGGAAATTATTCAATTGAGAGGCCAAAGAGGAAGAGAGGAAAGATTTTCTACAAAAGCAACAGCCATGAAGAACAAGGAGGAAAGGTGTGGGAAGAACATTCTAGGCATAAGAACAGTATAATCAGAATTGTAAGTGTGAAATGTATTTGGGAACCTCAAGAAACTAAGTATGGCTTGAGTATAAAGTGAAAATGGTGCATGAGTAGGCAGTGGTAGTATAGAGAGTGCCACAGAAACTCTTGGTTGCCTACCCAACATACACCCTCACTTCTTGTTAAGGAAGGCACTCTCAGTAGGTCTCACCTCAGTCCCAGGGGATAGTTATGATTAAACCAGTCACTTTAACTCCATTTTTCTTTTCCAGTCATTAGTCTGTGGGTAGCCATATGACCTAGCTCTGGCCAGTAAACTGGAAGAGAAAGTCTATTGGAGAATTCTGGAAAGATTGTCTTTCCTAGTTAAGAGAGTGTGTATGTGAGTTAATCTCTGGAAAGAAGGCTCTTTTTTTTTTCCTCCATCCATTCCTTTTCTTCCTGCTTGGTACACTGTAGAGTGTGATGTTCAAAGCAATGACAGTCAACTTGTAATCATGACTAAAAGGTGGTCCACTGAGAATAGCAAAGAGCAAAGAAAGGGTCTGGATCCTTGGCCTTGCACGGTGGCTCACACCTGTAATCCCACCACTTTGGGACACCCAGGCGGGTAGATCACTTGAGGCCAAGGGTTTGAGACCAGTGTGGCCACCATGGTGAAACCCCATCTCTACTTAAAAACACAAAAATTAGCCTGGTGCAGTGGCACATGCCACCTAGTAGTCCCAGCTACTAGGGAGTCTGAGGCTTGAGAATCACTTGAGCCTGGAAGGTGGAGGTTGCAGTGAGCCGAGATCACATCACTGCACTCCACCATGGGCGACAGCAAGACTCTGTCTCAGGAAAAAAAAAAAAAGGGTCTGGATCCTTGAGGCATTGTTGGCCTTTTGGCCAGACTAAGAATTACTCACTTTCAGAGTTTATATGATGTGAGATAAATGTTTTTCTTGTTTTAGCTATTGTTATCAGGTATTCTGTAACTTGAAGCTGATTGCATTCTGAGAGACTGGTAAATGATGGAGGACTTGGTAAATACTTTTACCGATTTTTCATTTGTGGTAAACTGCCAAATGTCAACCTTAAAATGAAAACAGGCCGGCCGCGGTGGCTCACACCTGTAATTCCAGCACTTTGGGAGGCTGAGGCGGGTGGATCACCTGAGGTCAGGAGTTCGAGACCAGTCTGGCCAACATGGTAAAACCCTGTCTCTACTAAAAAAATACAAAAATTAGCTGGGCATGGTGGTGGGCGCCTGTAATCCCAGATACTCGGGAGGCAGAGGCAGGAGAACCGCTGGAACCCAGGAGGCAGAGGTGGCAGTGAGCCGAGATCACGCAACTGCACTCCAGCCTCGGTGACAGAGCAAGACGCCATGTCAAACAACAAAAACAACAACAACAAATTAACATGTATTTTTTAATTAATTGAACCACTATTCAAAGGTTAAGTTTAATCAGGTAATGGTTTTTATTCTGGAATATTTATACTGAATTTCTCCCTATCTAATCCCAAAGAAAGACTAATAATCACTATTAGTTGTGTTTAGCCAGAACAAAAATTAAACAAAAACCAAAAATACAAGAAACCCCCAAAATGTATAAAATATTTTGTATCTATTTTATTTTTTTCTTTTTAAAATAGAGATGGGGTCTTACTCTGTTGCCCAGGCTGGAGTTGCAGTGGTGCAATCATAGCTCAGTGCAGCCTCAAACTCCTGGGCTCAAGCCATCTTCCTGCCTCAGCCTCCCAAGTAGCTAGGACTACAGGCATGCACAACCATGTCCAGCTTTTATAAAATATTTTACATGAAATATCCTGAAAACACTTTGTAAATATGGGATGCTTCAGTAAGTATTTGAAACTAAGATTATTGGTCAAGAGTAAGCCAGGCACTTGGAGGGTTTTTCTTTTTGAGACAGGGTGTCACTCTACTGCCCAGGCTGGAGTGCAGTGGCGTGATTATGGGTCACTGCAGCCTTGACTTCCCAGACTCAAGTGATTCCCCACCTCCACCTCTCAAGTAGTTGGGACTATAGGTGCGCACTACCACACCCAGCTAATTTTCGTTTTTTTTTTTTTTTTTTTTTTTTTTTTTTTGTAGAGACGGGATTTTACCATGTTGCTCAGGTGGATCTGCAACTCGTGGGCTTAAGTGATCCACCTGCCTCAGCATCCCAAAGTGCTGAGATTACAGGCGTGAGCCACCACGCCTGGCCTGAGGATTTTTCACTAACCAAAATTAGGATGAAGCCCTATGCAGGATGACATACAGTCACATGAGAGCAACATATATAAAAATAGCAAACGTTCATTGAACATTCAGTGTTCATTTATTCATTGAACATCCTTCATCCTCAAGCCTGAGGTTTTCACAAAGACTGTTCTAAGCACCTTATATTTATGAAGTCATTTAATCCTACGTGATAGTTAACTATTGTCCCTCCTCCGCCCCCCCCACCGCCCCTGCCTTTTTATTTTGAGACGAAGTCTTGCTCTGTCGTCCAGGCTGGAGTGCAGTGGCACCATCTCAGCTCACTGCAACCTCCTCCTCCCAAGTTCAAGCAATTCTTCTGGAATTACAGGCATGCGCCACCACACCTGACTATTTTTGTATTTTTGGTAGAGACAGGGTTTCACCATATTGGCCAGGCTGGTCCCTGACCTCAAGTGATCCACCCGCCTTGGCCTCCCAAAGTGCTGGGATTACAGGCTTGAGCCACTGTGCCCGGCCTATTGTCCCCATTTTTATAAACTGGAAGATGGAGGCACAAGGAAAAGTACATTGTCCATTGCCATGCAACTTGAGTGGAAAAGCTAGGAACATGAACTCTGGCATTCTGGCTGCAGGGCCTATGCACATTATAGCTATACTATTCTGCCTTAAGGAAGTTGGGCTCATACCCCTCTTGAGTATTCCTACTTGAGGGAGGAGAGAAGCTTTCCTTGCTTTCATAGCTACTTACGAGTGGGCAAGAGTCTAGAACCACAGTAGACAAAAGCAGTGGTATGTACATGTGTGTCCATTTTTTTATGCAGGAATATGAAACTAGTTGCTTTCCAGTCCAGAGGGAATCTACACCCCTCTTGGGAAATCCCAGCCATATACTCCATTTTGCCATATCAGTGTTATCTGTGATTATTCCCTAGGAGCTTACAAGATACACAGAAGCAACTTTTCAAGTATCCCTTGAAAGAAACCCTAGAAAAATAGTACTTTTTCTGTGTCCTTACGTTTCAAGTGATCTTTCAGTTCTAGGCAGCTCCCTGAATGGTCCACCCCTTATTGTGGCTCTGTTCACATCCAACAGGACAGAAATAGTAGGTTAAAGGTAGGACCAGTTTATCTCATGGTTTTCAATTTGTTGACTTTCTTGGCAGTAGAAAGAGTTTCTTTCTCGCAGAGCTAGAAAACTCTGCCCCAGCTTCTGCCTACTGGAAAAATTTGGAGCCACGTTGGAGAGGAGTATTGGGGAGGGCATAGCTTCTAGTTGGAGTTAGCATCCTTTGTCCTCAAGCCTCAGGTTTTCTGGGGGGCAATCAGGTCATATTTGCTTGATGCGGTGGACATATTTTTTTGTGTGCCTTCTTGGTGTTCTTCTTTTAGCAACACCTTCCCCTTTCCTTTGAAGAACTGCTTCCTCTTGCCGTATGTGGCTATATGACTCTATAGGGCTTTGGTGGAGCTGTCCTATCACAATGTCTTGCCTTCTTTGCCACAGGAGTGGGGCATGTGACTCACGCTGGACTGGCCAGAATCCTTGTCTAGAATATAAAAAGTAAGGATGGAGGAATAGCCTCTCTCATTTTGGGCTGCAAGCTATAAAGTTGTGATTACAGAGCTATTTGAGGATTATTTCCCTGTCCATGAGGTCAGAGAGGTAGTTCAAGAGTTCTGACAACATTCTGTCCCTGGGTATAAATGTGCTGAAAGCTGTTTGTATTCCTGTTCTTTCCAATTACGTGAGCTAGTAAATCCCCTTCTTTAGTTTGAGTGGTCTTCTATTTATTATTTGTCAGTGAAAGCTCTGCCCTCTAGGCACATCTTTCACCATGACTGTGAGAAATAAATTTGTGAGAGCTGCATCCTTGAAGAGCTCTGTGAAAGCTCTTTCTGTGGGAGTGCTGCCACTGAATTGGGAAATCTAGTACTCATCCTGTGGGTGAAGAGTAACCACGATATTGGAAGCAAGGAAAAACTGGATCACATTTGTATTTTTGACAGGTCCCTCTGGAGCCAAAGTGTGTGGGATGAACTGCGGGAGGCTAAAGGGGTTCACTCAAAGGGTCTTTCTGAGGCCTTGATTGGTGCCTTTTGTTCTTGTCCTCATTTCTTTTCACAGGCCTCAGGGGCTCAACCTATTTCTTTTTCCTTTGATACTTGCTACCATCTTCTCTGTCCACTGGGGTACATTTCTCCACAAAGCTCCCTAAAAAGTAGGACATATGTACCCCAGCTCCCCATATTCTTATGCAAAGGAATTTTTATTTTAATAATTTTATTGCTATTACTGGAATTCACATAAGGGTTAATAAAAATGACTACAGCTATTTCAATTAAGGTTCTTCGTTGCGTTAGTAATGGCAACTGGAAGCTCTGATGGCCTTCAGCCATCAGATCCAATGGGACTGAATCTACGAACAGGGAAATGGACTTACATAAAGAGATGGTGAATGACACCCCCTTGCCATCATTACTTTTTTTGTTGTCGTTCAGAATGTTTTGATCAGGAGAGAAAATCCATTCCCTCATTTGTTTGAATTAGACCCAGATGTCCCCTTCCCTTCATAGATCATTTATTTTCTTCTCCTTCAGGCCTTATTCCCAAAGGTCCAGTTAAGGCGGAGCTCTGTATAAAGGGAGGTCAGGCACCCAAAGTGTGTATCTTAACTGGCGCATGGTTACAAAGAGTTCTTTGTTGTGTTGGGTTAGTGAGGTTCTTCAAGGCTGATTTGGGAAAATACTGTCCTTCAAAGTTTCTTCTCTTTTTTGTCAAATTATTTTTTTATTTACTTTTTTTTTAACTTTTTTTTTTTTTTCTGAGTTGGGGACTTTCCAGTCTTTACTGAAAACTTTTAAAAATTTGTATTTAGACAAATTCTAAAAGACCTGTAACACTAGTTTCTTCTTCTCAACTGATTCATAAATATCTTCCAAAATAGTTTGTTGAGTGGAGATGGATAAGACAAATTGATAGTCATTGTGGTGGAGTAGCAGGCAGAAGAAGAAAGCAAAGGGTTAAATAGATTACTATAGTTGGAGCATGAGAACTCTGGTAGTACTGCTGACATTTTCTTTGTGGCATTGACAGGTTTGCTGCCAGTGCACAAAGATGTTGCTTAAGCATTGGAACCATACCTTGGCTTTTAGGTAATACAACGGAGTTCTAACCAGAGCCTTAGATGAGGGTTCTGAGGCTAGATGTATATCCACAGTCTTTTGTTTCTTGAATTAAGAAATGTATTATTACCAAAAAGCTCACTGTTTTTTTTTTTTTTAAACTTTGCTCTGGGTGATCCAGGGACCTGTTTAAGGGATTGAAATATCAAAAGGGCTTTTAGGTGAGAAATACTCTGCTTAGTTAAATGTGACATTTTTCAGCTTCTCTGAGGCAAGTGAAAAAAGGCACTTTTCCCCGTAAGAAGAACTGAAAGCCTTATGCTCACTTAATCATATAACCAGCCATAGAAGGTTAATTCCGCTAAGAAAATAGGACTTTTTTTCACTCATTCCAAAATAAATTTGATCTTTTACTTTGTGCTGTGGTCTAAAAGTGTTGGGTATGTAAAATCTAGTTCTAGCTTCAAGAAACTTACAGCCCAGTGGGAAAATACAGAAAATCATAAAATATCAAAGAATATTTCTTTACAGTGAGTAGCTCAAAGAGTAAGAGGTTAATGCATGTCTCCAAGTCTGTCTAGGGGGGATAAAAAAGGCTTTCCTGAAGAGGTAGCATCTAAACAGAGACGTGGTGGGGATTCTATGCAGAGTAACCAAAGTGTGCAAAAGATTTGAGAATCTTGGCCCAGTTGAGGAACTACCTGTTGAGCCTGTTGGGAGTGTATAGGGCTGGAAGGACGGCTAAGACCAGACACATGAACAGCAGTCAGCAGGCTAAGACCAGACACATGAACAGCAGTCAGCACTCCAGGAATTCTGTGTGCCATGTACGTTTTTGATACTACTCTACTCTAGAGCCATTATAGAGTTCTGATTACTCCACATTTGACTAAAGATACCATTTAAGGCTGTTTAAAGCAAATGCCCAGGTAATAAATTCTCAGAAACATCATCCCTCTCTAATCAAGTCTCTCTTGTCAGACATGGCGCATTAATTCATAGAATGAATCGTTCGTAAGTCAAACGCGCGGCTGTTAAAGCTAGGGAATTCCTAGCCGTCTCAGGTGGGTCATGGGAGGAGGTGGGCCAGCAGTTTCTTACGTCCAGGCTCATAGTCGGATAGTTGAGCCTTACATTCCTCCTCTACCCCTCCACAATAAACTGAGGGTTATGGAGGCAACGGATGCGGAGGGCTTTTAGGGGCCAAGCATATTACACAAGGAATTGAATTGCTTATTACCAGAGAGGCTGACCTTTGGGGCTTTACAGTCAAGAATTTTGTTATCTCTCTCCTCCCACCTCAACCTAATTCTTTGCAATTTTTTTCAGCCTTATGTTCCCCAGGATTCCCTTTTCATACTTCCTGCTTTTTTCCTCCTCTTTCCTCGCTTCGTGCAGTGCTGGCGCCTGGGGCCTGGGGCTGCACGGGGCACGCACCCGGGCTATTGCTTTGCTAACAATTCCATCCTTCTCTTTCCGTCATTCCCTGCCAGGTGCTGAGTTTCTCCCTCCCTCTCGGCTCGGTCCCTCCCGCGGCTCGCCCCGGGGCGGGCGTCTCCAGGAACTCCAGGCGGACGCGGCCACGAGCCACTGCCACGTCGCCGCCGCCAGCAGTCCAGCGCCTGCGTGGGCTCGGGGGGCGGGGCAGCGCTGGGAGGCGGGACTTGCGCGTGAGCGGCGCGTGAGCGGTTCAATGGAGCCTACGGGCGGCGGCGCGCTGCGCGCCGAGGGGCGGGGCCCGGCGGCGGTTGCTGGCGGAGCCCGGGAGGCGGAGAAGGCTGTCGTTGCCTTGGCCGTCGCATCCCCGAGGGAGTCGTGTCGGCGCCACCCCGGCCCCCGAGCCCGCAGATTGCCCACCGAAGCTCGTGTGTGCACCCCCGATCCCGCCAGCCACTCGCCCCTGGCCTCGCGGGCCGTGTCTCCGGCATCATGTGTGGTAAGGGGGCCGGGAGCGGGGGGCGTGTTGCCGGGTGGCGCTGGGGTGCGGTGCGGGTGCCGCTAAGGCCCAAGGCGACGGGCGGAAGCGGGAGTGTGGAGGGTGCGAAGTCTGGGTGATGGGCAAGGGGCGCCCAGTGGTGGCTGCGGGGGCGGGGGCCGGCATCCACGGGCGGGAGAGGGGGTGGCGGCCGGGAGAAAGGCACCTGAGAGGAAGGCGGGCCCCCTTTGCCGGGGGCTAGCGGGCGCCTTGGCGCGGAGAAGGAACCGAAAGGGGAGAGAAACGCCTTTATTGAAAAAGGAGGAGAGAGCTGAGGGAATTGAGGTGTGGAGGGGGTTGCCTTCAAAAGGGCCCACCAGGTGAGTGAGGAAACCTGTGGAACCTCGGGCGAGGTCTCTTGAACTTACCTTGCATTTTTCTAAAAATCTTTAAAAAAATATTTTACTTGTTTCTGGGGAGGCCCAATAGAAAACAGACCCTAGCTAGAGCCACGGTAGTGCCATTAAACGTGATACTTCCTGCCATCCCTTGTCTCAACAGAAACCATTGCTAATCAATAACTTGGTTCATGGGCTTAGACCTGATCCTCTGGTGGAAGAGGCCTTCAAATGTCTGTGGCGATAGGTTATACATAATTTATCATTTGCGTGTGCACCCATTAAAAATGCCAGCTCTGAAAAATATCAGTTATACCTTGGATGTATACCCCTTTAGAATACCAACTATGAAAAATATCATTTATCCCTTGCATGTGCATCCATTAAAAATACTAGCTATGGAAAGTTGAGCAAATATCTTTCCTAGAGCCTTAAAAAATTAAGGTTAGGCCCTTTTATTCCATGTTTTGAGAGTCGTTTATTATGACCTAAGTGTTAGTGAAAGAGACTTTGAGAATCGTGTCTGACATGACTGATATCTTCTAAAATTGGTGTTAATTTGGCTATTGCCAGTAAAAATAATTGTATTCTTACCTTTCTTATTGAAATTTACAACCGACTTTATCCCTGGAAGAAAGTACACTTTTTTTTTTTTTTTTTAAAGGGAAGTACCATTGTAAGAGAATTGAAAACTCTCTGGGAGACTTCTTATTTGCAGCCTTTTACACGAAGGAACTGAACAGGAGGTGGATTGTACTCGTTAGTGTATATATTTCCTGTATTTAACTTTATGCTCATTTCAGCTTCTGAAAATGAGGAGCAGGTTTAAATTTAGAGTAGATTAAAAAAAAACCCACATAAAAACAGAAACACCTATAAATAGCTTACTGAAATTATTAGAGTAGAGCTGACTTCAGAATCAGACTTTTGCAGTGTCTACTTAGTAGAATGGTTTTGCATTTAGTTTGGAGCTGTGAAGTAGTGAATTTGCAAACTGGTCAATCTCCAGTGTGCTTCATTTGGTAGTTAACTGTTCCTGAATGATGAGGGGTGTGCCTCATCAAGTACTCAACATTCTGGTTGCAGGTCATTTCATCATGTTCCAAGAAAAAAACGTAGTCAAAGTACTTACTGAAAAAAAAATAAATAAATAAATAAATCAGCGCTGGGCGTGGTGGCTCCCGCCTATAATCTCAGCACTTTGGGAGGCCGAGGCAGGTGGATCACCTGAGCTCAGGAGTTCAAGACTAGCCTGGCCAACGTGGTGAAACTCCATGTCTACTAAAAATACAAAATTAGCTGGGCGTGGTGGTACGCGCCTGTAATCCCAGCTACTCGGGAGGCTGAGGCAGGAGAATTGCTTGAACCCAGGAGGTGGAGGTTGCAGTGAGCCGGGATCGCGCCATTGTAATCCAGCCTGGGTAAAAAAGAGCAAAACTCCATCTCAAAAATGATAAATAAATATAAATAAATAAATCAGATATGGAAATCAGGTTCAGATAAGGGAGATACCTTTAGGGTGGAGACTAAATGTTGGGAGTTTTCACATAGTTTGTGTCTCCATTCCATAGAGTTTTACGGCTGAGGAAACAGGTATTGAAGAAATAAAAAGTGAATATTTGAGGCATTTCTGAGGTCCTGCTTTTAAGTCATACCACGGTTTTGCCTGATTCTAGGGATAGGGTTCAGAATTTATTTTCTCTCTAATGTAAATTCTGAAAGATAAGAAGATGAGTGTCATTATTTTCCTCCCACATCTTAGTCATTGAACTAAAATTCCTGAGCAGAGAAATGGAGTGAAAATTAGACTAGATGGGAAAATCTGGAAGCTTACTTTCTGATTACTTGCTATCTAGTTAAGTTTTTCTCTTTCTTTCCTTCTTTCTTTTCTTTTCTTTCTTTCTTTCTTTTTCTTTCTTTCTTCTTTCTCTCTCTTTCTTTCTTTCTCTTCTTTCTTTTCTTTCTTTCTTTTTTCTTTTTTTTTTTTTTTTTTTGTGACGGGGCCTCTCTCTGTCGCCCAGGCTGGAGTGCAGCGGCATGATCTTGGCTCACTGCAGCCTCTGTCTCCGGGGTTCAACCTCCCGAGTAGCTGGGATTACAGGGGTGTACCACCACACCTGGCTAATTTTTGCATTTTTGGTAGAGGTGGGGTTTCACCATGTTGACCAGACTGGTCTGCTGACCTCAGGTAATCCACCTACCACAGCCTCCCAAAGTGCTGGGATTACAGGAGTGAGCCACCTTACCCGGCCCTAGTTAAATTTGCCTAAAAGATTATTTTATTTCAACGTTGTGCATTGTTGAAGCAGAAGAATGAGGATTGAAGATTCTGATGTGCTTTTTTTCAATCAGATATACTGATAAAATTGATATGTTTACCAGCTTGTATTGGGATGTTAATAAGTGTTAGGAAAAAAGATCCTCTGGTCCAGTAAATTTGGGAAGCAACATATTAAATCGCGTGGTAATGTTTTGTTTTGTTTTTTGATTGGAGGATTTCTTGGAATCTTTAATGTATTAATAATAAGCATTGAGAATCTCCCAGAGAAGAATAGTGTGTCTATTTTCCAAATTTATTTTATCTTCCTTTTTCTTGGTAGTTTGGAATATACTTTGTCCTTTTTATTTGCATTATTTTTGGTTTTGCTGAGTGTCAAGTCACTTAAGCTATCCCTAGCTTTTAACAGATTTTGCTATTGTTTTTATAAATGTGAAGTTATACCCTTCTGATTCGACGGTGTATATAAAATGGAATTTTGGGGATGGGCGCGGTGGCTCACGCCTGCAATCCCAGCACTTTGGGAGGCTGAGGTGGGTGGATCACCTGAGGTCAGGAGTTTGAGACCAGCCTGACCAACATGGTGAAACCCTGTCTCTACTAAAAATCCAAAAAAATTAGCCGGGCGTAGTGGCGCATGCCTGTAATCCTAGTTACTCGGAAGCCCGAGGCAGGAGAATCTCTTGAACCCAGGAGGTGGAGGTTGCAGTGAGCTGAGATAGTGCCATTCTACTCCAGCCTGGGCGACAAGAGTGAGAGACTGTCTCAAAATAAATAAATAAATAAGTAAATAAATAAATAAATAAATGGAATGTTTGCAAATGAGATCCTTTTTAAAAGCAGTAAAGGAACTTGCAATTTTAAAGTATCCTAAAATGAATTTTTCAAAAGTTTTTTGTAATTATACTGTCTAATGGCTTTGGAGATAATTGAGGGATGCTGAGATTGGCTGCTAGGATTGGTCATAAAACCAGTACTATTAACATATCCTTACATATACTGGATATGAAGAAGTTGTGAGAGAAAATAATTGCTTAATAAGCATTTCTTCAATTGTCCCCTGGAAATGGAGGTTAATAGGTTCTGGTAATGAGCAGTAGAAGGCGGGAAAGGGTTTTGTAACACAAGTTTGGGAAATTCTGCTCTTGGAGATTCACAATTAGCAAGATTAAAGGTTCCAGAAAGTTCTAAATATATACCTAACTTTAACCAGGTAGTTCTTAAACCTTTAATTATGAAACCTTTCTTTACTTCATTCCTTTTTAGCATCCGGTGAAATAGTGTTCTGTTTCTGTGGTTTGAGAATTTTTTGACCGTATATTTCAGGTGCCTAGAAAGTGTTAGAAGATACTTGCAGGTATTTGAAATGATGGCTTTATACTTGGCACTCTGCCCTTTGCAGAGATGACTAAAATAAGAGAGTTGCCTTCAAGAAATTGCTGCCTGATCAGAGGAAAGAAAATGAATGCACATGCAACAGCTTCAGGTGAAAATACACAGTCCTTGTTCATTGCCATGTCATAGACCACAAGTAGAATGAGTAGAAATTTAGAGACTGGAGAGCTCTGGGGTTTGGGTTTCTGTGTTAGGTTCAGGAATGTTCTGGGTGATGGGGCAGGACTTTTACTCAACTTGTAGAGTATTAGTATACTGTGAGAGGTAATCATTAATGGCATATGTTAACCGTCAGTGAATGGAGGCGGAAATAGTTTGAGAACTACTACCAGATGAAGGAGGAAATAGAAGTGCCAGGAAAACAGACCAAGGAACAGTGGTTAAAGGCAGAAGAGTTCCAAAGTAGTATATTGCCTTGAACAGAGTCTATAAAAGTAGAAAAAGGTCATTCATATGTAATACTGCAGAGAAGTTAATTGGATATGGTTATGAAGAAATTATTAGAGAAATTGCATATGTCAAGGCAGAAGGGTCTCAGTTTGTGTTTAGGAGGAGGGCTGCAAGTAATATGAAAAAGAAGAGGATTTTGGGATTGAGGTCCCCTGGGAGTGTTGAGAAGTTGAATTCTAGAGCTGTGGTTCCTGACCTACAAGCCCTGAAGTTGTTACAGGGTGTTCATTGCTTATTCATATGCTTATAACTTTGTCTGTAAGTTGAATAAAGATTGTTCTAGATCATTGAATAATAAAAATTTAACCCATTGTTGTGAAGGAGCCTCAGAATATTTTGATGTTAACAAAAGAGTTCTGTATTTACAAAGTTGGAGAAACACTCATCAAGAGTTAGGAGTAAGGCCCAGTGTGGGGTTCCCTCTGGTAATACCAGCATTTTGGGAGGCTGAGGTGGGCGAATCACTTGAGGTCAGGAGTTTGAGACCAGCCTGGCCAACATAGCGAAGCCCCATCTCTACTAAAAATACAAAAATTAGCCAGCTGTTGTGGTACGCACCTGTAATCCCAGCTACTTGGGAGGCTAAGGGAGGAGAAGTGCTTGGACCTGGGAGGTGAAGGTTGCAGTGAGCTGAGAACACGCCACTGTACCCCAGCCTGGGTGACTGAGTGACACTCTGTCTCAATTAAAAAAAAAAAAAAGAGTTATAAGTAGCCAGTGTTTTGGCTTACACCTGTAATCCCAGCCACTCAGGAAGCTGAGGCAGGAGGATTGCTTGACGCTAGGAGTTCAAGATCAGCCCGGGCAACATAGTGAGATCCCATCTCTATTAAAAAAAAAAAAATTAGCCAGGCATGGTGGTGCATACCTGTAGTCCAGTCTACTTAGAAGACTGAGGTGGGAGGATTGAGTCCAGGAGTTTGAGGCTGCAGTGAGCTATGATTGTGCTGCTGCACTCCAGCCTGGGTACTGGGTGACAGAGCAGGACTGTTAAAAAAAAAAAAAAAAGTTACAAGTAGGGGAGAGGCTAGCTTCAGAGAGTAGTATGTGTAATATGTCTCTCTTGAGATTACAAGGAAGGATGAGAAGTATTTATATATTGTTAAACTGTTGAAAAGAAGATGGGTGAGGGGCAGTGACTCATGCTTGTGAACTCAGCATTTTGGGAGGCTGAGGTGGGAGGATCACTTGAGGCTTGGAGTTTGATACCAGCCCGGACAGCATATTGAGACCTTGTCTCTATATTTTAAAAACAAAAAAAGAAAATGAAGACTTTAATTCTGGCCAGGCGCAGTGGCTCACGCCTATAATCCCAGCACTTTGGGAGGCCGAGGCGGGCAGATCACCTGAGGTCAGGAGTTCGAGACCAGCCTGGCCAGCGTGGTGAAACCCTGTCACTGCTAAAAATACAAAAATTAGCCAGGCGTGGTAACACACGCCTGTAATCCCAGCTGCTGCTCAAGAGGCTGAGGCGGGAGAATCGCTTGAACTCAGGAGGTGGAGGTTGCAGTGAGCTGAGATAGCGCCACTGCCCTCCAGCCTGGGTGACAGAACGAGACTCTGTCTAAAAAAAAAAAAGACTTTAATTCTATAAAGTAAGAATCTACCAAAAATGAAAAAGAAGCTGGGAAGAGAAAATGAGGATTTGAGAGTAGTATGTAGCTTAGACTCTAAAATAATATCTGGGAGAAGTTTGAAAGTTAAGCAAGTGATGAATTAATAGGATTGGTCAGCAGTTCGGAGGGCCCATCCGAAAGTGGACCGAAATGGATAGGATAGATGAGTTCTCCTTGGCTGTCATAGTTCAGTGTAGAGATGCTCAGAGACTAGGAGTCAGAGCACAGTGGACCCAGAGGGTTTGACTTGGCAGTATGATGAAAAATTGTAGTCTGATGTGAATGGTCAGAAGAGAGAGAGATGGAATATTTGAAGATTGTGAGCAGGAAGTACATGCTTTTTTTTCTCAAGAAAGATGATGACATAGGTTGACTGTGAGGGAATGTATAGAGATGTCATGACTTAACTAGTGATTTGAGCTCCAGAATGTTAAATGTGCAAGAGACGTGTCATGGAGCCCCTTCTAGTGGCAATAGTTACAGTAAAGTAGGGGAGACATGAACCAATTAAACACACAAATAATTGAAAGTCTTAATTGTTTCACTCCATATGTTATTTTTGTATGTGTGATTTATTTTATTTTACTTTTACATTTTTTATTTTTTTGAGACAGAGTCTCACTGTGTCGCCCAGCCTGGAGTGCAGTGGCGCAATCTCGGCCCACTTCACCCTCTGCCCCACCTCCTGGGCTCAAGTGATTCTTCTGCCTCAGCCTCCTGAGTAGCTGGGACAGGCACGCGTCACCATGCCTGGCTAGGAATTTTGTATTTTTAATGGAGACGGGGTTTCACCATGTTGGCCAGGCTGATCTCGAACTCCTGACCTCAAGTGATCCACCCTCCTCAGCCTCCCAAATTGCTGGGATTACAGGCGTGAGCCACGGCATCTGGCCTTTATATGTGCTTTTAGGATTGTAGAAGATGTACCTTGGCTGGATGCATTGGCTCATGCCTGTAATCCCAGCACTTTGGGAGGCCGAAACAAGAGGATCGCTTGAGTCCAGGAGTTCGAGACCAGCCTGGGCAATGTAGTAAGACCTCATTTCTACAAGAAATAAAAAAATAACTGGGCGTGGTAGCTTACGTCTGTAATCCCAGCTACTCCAGAGGCTGAGGCAGGAGAATTGCTTGAACCTGGGAGACAGGTTGCAGTGAGCCAAGATCGCATCACTATACTCCAGCCTTGGCGACAAGAGCAAAACTCCATCTCAAAAATTAAAAATAAATAAGTAAATAAATAAATAAATTACAGGCACATTAGCATGTGCCTGTGGTCCCAGCTACTTGGGAGGCTGAGATGAGGGGATCACTTGAGTCCAGGAGGTGGTGGTTTTAATGAGCTGGGATTGTGCCACTGTACTCCAGCCTGGGCGACAGAGCAGACCCCTGGTGAAAAGAAAAAAGAAAATGTATCTCAAATAATACTTAATTTTAAAGAAATCTTAAATGTAGAATGTGATTCCATAATTATAATATTGACTAGTTCACTGCAACCTTGAACCCCTGGGCTCAAGTGATTCTCTCACCTCAGCCTTCCAAGTATCTGGGACTACAGGCATGCACCACCATGCCTAATTTTTTATTTTTGGTAGAGGCAGGGTCTCCCTGTATTGCCCAGGCTGATCTCAAACTCCTGCCCATGATCCTCCCGCCTTGGCCTACGAAAGTGCTGGGATTACAGGTATCTGCTACTGTGCCTGGCCTGTAGAAAAATTTATAGCTGAAGGACTGGGAGTGTGTGTATGGGAATAACAGTAGTTATCTCTGAGAAAGGGGTTGGAACCTGTGTGGAGACAGAAAGGAGAGATTTTCACAATTCTGTAGCATCTGTATAGTTTTAATATTTATTTATTTATTTCAAATTTTAATAGAGACAGGGTCTTGGTATGTTGCCCTGGCTGGTTTCGAACTCCTGAGCTCAAGTAACCTCTGCCTCTCTTCCCACAGTGCTGGGATTACAGATGTGAGCCACTGCTCCTGGCCTACTTTGAATTTTTAATGATGGTGATGAATTAATTTGTGACTAGCATTATAAGAAAAATAAAATTTAGAGTTTAAGTGACATTGTAGGTAGATTTTGATTCAGAAGTTTTAAGTTTAGAGAATGAATTTGAACACTTATCACTGATAAGTTACAATGTTTAGGGTCCCAAAATATTGCAGCTGTCAAATGATAAAATATATAAAAATAAAATTTAGTATTCATAAGGACATAAATGCAACCAGACATAGGAATTTTAATAATTTGACGAGTCAGTTTTCTTTTCAGTAAGGTTTAACAGTCTGTATTTGCAGCTACATTGCTTTCAACCAGGTGTGTCTAGTCTGTGATCCAGATTGCTTCTGAAATTTTGTTAGCAAGGTGCTCATAATTGCTTTTTTGTCATTGAATTTAAGTTGCCATTTATTGAGAATGATGCCTGTAGGTTCAAGCATCTGCTTCAGTTATGGAGTTATTTTATTCCAAGTATATTCCATTAGTAAGAAAGCTTACACTTGTGAAGTGCATGCTGATTTGGGGGTAGAGAATCTATGCTTATACAGCTACTGTGTGTGCTCTTAGAGCAATTACTGAAGAGTGGCGGAAAGTTGATATTAGGCTTTTGTCATTACCTTACTTAAGAACTGTTTATTGGGAGTTTAGGCCGGGTGCAGTGGCTTATGCCTGTAATCCTAGCACTTTGGGAGGCTGAGGCGAGTGGATCACCTGAGGTCAGGAGTTCGAGACCAGCCTAGCCAACATGGCGAAACCCCATCTCTACTAAAAATACAAAAAATTAGCCGGGCATGGCGGCGGCCACTGTAATTCCAGCTACTTGGGAGGCTGAGGCAGGAGAATTGCTGGAACCTGGGAGGTGGAGGTTGCAGTGAGCTGAGATGGCGCCAGCCTTGGCGACAAAGCGAGACTCTGTTTCAAAAAAACAAAAAACAAAAAACTGTTTATTGGGAGTTTTGATAAGACAAGTCAAAGACCTGAAAATAGAGGTCAGACTAACGATTTCTGCTCTAACAAGCATCATTGTGAGTTGTGAATGCCTCCCTTGTGAACATGCCCTGTGTACCTGATGAATTGCTGCCAGTATTGTCTCGGGCACCCCAAGATTACAGTTAACCCGGTATCCCCGCAGGTGGAATGTCTTGGGCTAGTAGTGCTATCAAGGGACAGGGCTATGAAACTGACAGGTTCAACTTCTTAGCTCCCATTTTCCTCATCAGGTATGTCTGAGGCTAATCCCCTTCCTTCTTCTAGCTCTGTTACTTTTTTGTTTGTTTCTTTGTTTGTTTTTTTGAGACGGAGTCTTGCTCTGTTGCCCAGGCTGGAGTGCAGTGGTGCAGTCTAGGTTCACTGCAACCTCTGCCTCCCAGGTTCAAGCTATTCTCGTGCCTCAGCCTCCCGAGTAGCTGAGACTACAGGCACGTGCCACCACAGCTGGCTATTTTTTTTTTTTTATTTTTATTTTTAGTAGAGACGGGGTTTCACCATGTTGGTTAGGCTGGTCTTGAACTCCTGACCTCGTGATCCGCCCGCCTCGGCCTCCCAAAGTGTCGGGATTACAGGTGTGAGCCACTGTGCCCAGCCAAAATGTTCTTAAGCTCTCAAGATTCATATAGTGAGCCATTATAAACCAAGGAGATTGGAGTTAGAAGTATTATTAAAGTTGAATGCTGTTGTTGAGTTACATTATTAAAAACAGTGAATTTAATATTGCATTACTTAATCTTTTTTTTTTTTTTTTTTTTGAGACGGAGTCTTGCTCTGTTGCCCAGGCTAGAGTGCAGTGGCACGATCTCAGCTCACTGCAACCTCTGCCTCCCAGGTTCAAGCAATTCTCCTGCTTCAGCCGCCTGAGTAGCTGCGATTGCAGGCACCTGCCATCATGCCTGGCTAATTTTGGTATTTTTGTGGAGACGGAGTTTCAGCGTGTTGCCCAGGCTGGTCTTGAACTCCTTACCTCATGTGATCCACTCGCCTTGGCCTCCAAGTTGCTGGGATTACAGGCGTGAGCCACCCAGCCCTGCCGCATTAATCTTTAAAAAAAAGTAGAGTCTATAAATTGTCTTAAAAACAATTTTATATCATTAGCATTTAAATAGTTTTAACACATTCATATACATCTTTAATCTTTAAATCATTTACCATCCGGCTTACATTTTTATGTTTTTACCAACTTTCATTTTTATCATCTGGCTTACATTTTTACTTTTACTATCAGACTTAGATTTCTTAAAAAAGAGAGAGTTTAGGAGTGAGTTTTTCTGGATGTGCTTAGAATTTGGCAGCTCTGGACAATCTGCAAACAATCCTCGACAGGCTTCTGTTTTCAAATAAGCTAGATTGTATCCTCCTTTAGTGGACTCTAGCTGATGCAGTCACAGTGGTGGGAACTAGTTCAGATTCAGTTTTTTTCACACTTTTTTTTTTTTCTTTTGAGATGGAGTCTCGCTCTGTCTCCCAGGCTGGAGTGCAGCAGTGCGATCTCGGCTCACTGCAACCTCCGCCTCCTGGGTTCAAGGGTTCAAGTGATTCTCCCCGTCTCAGCCTACCAAGTAGCTGGAGTACAGGTGCACGCCACCATGCCCGGCCAATTTTTGTATTTTTAGTAGTAACTATGGGTTTCGCCATGTTGGCCAGGCTGGTCTTGATTTCCTGGCTTCAGGTGATGCGCCTGCCTTAGCTTCCCAAAGTTGGGATTACAGGCGTGAGCCACTGCACCTGGCCCACATTTGTATTAAAGTATTGTTTTAGAAAAGATTTGTGTGCTGTGTATTGTCTTTTAATGACCTGGTTAAAATACTTAATTGATAGTTATCTGTACGTGTTTAATCTTTCTCAAAGATCAGTGACCCA
The DNA here is from genome assembly GCF_000001405.40 of Homo sapiens. Taxonomy (NCBI): domain Eukaryota; kingdom Metazoa; phylum Chordata; class Mammalia; order Primates; family Hominidae; genus Homo; species Homo sapiens. The sequence goes on along the minus strand of NC_000002.12, from coordinate 69,376,099 downwards.
TAGGTGAAGAGTGCAAAGTTTGATTTACAATTGGGTTATTCGTTTATTCATATTACAGATACTTCATGAAGGAACAGCAGTAGCAACAAAAACCCCGGACTCATTCTTCTGAATTAAATGGGTGCAGATTGGTCTGGAGACTCTTCTGCTGCCCTCTAGTGTTTATATCATGAGTAGCCATTGAAAGTTGGAAGCTGCACATTGCTGTGCCGCTACCACTCTTACCTTAGCAATATCCTTAAGCAGCATGTTGTTTATCCTTATCTTAATTGCTGTGCTTTGAGGTTGGGAATGCTATTTGTGGGTATCTCTGGGATATCAGTTAACTCAATTTCTATTTTTGAATTATGTAAGATAGATGTTCTACCCTCCCTTACAGGGTGGTGGTGCTGTGAAAGTAAGATGACTGTACATTACAGGAAAGCTTAAAAAAATAAAAATGTAAGGTGTGTGTGTATCTTTTTTTAATCTGAATGAAATATGGGATTTCTGTAAGTCTTTGGCCTGGAACTGCTTCTTTGGGGAGAGTTGAAACCGTTGTTTCAGGTTATTTTGGATTTTAATGTGTGAGTTTCTCTTTTTTAGGGCATAATAATTTATTTGAGAAAATTGCAATGTATTGATCATGGTGATCAGCATGTATGTTATGGCTTTCCTGTTGGGTATCAACAATGTGCCATTTTTGTATACTGAAATATTTCAGTAGGATCACACTCTATAGAAGTAAATGTCTCTTTTCAGATGGAAATGAAGACTAGTTTTTTGGGAGTTCTATCTCACAGAATTAATTTAAACTTCTTATGAATCAGAATTACAGTGAAATGTAGTTAAGAAAAAAGGAAGTTTTAAAATAAGCAGCTTGAACTTGTATTTTTGTATATTTTATATAATTTAGTCTTCAGTTTTGATACATTAAAGCTGTGTCCACTCTGGCCAAAGCACAGCCATGGAAAACCTCAGATAATGCCCATGCTGCCATTCCTAAAAGTGTGGATTTCCTTTACCTGTGTTTTGTTACTTCTTTGCTTATCCCGTTCAGTTCACATTGTATTACTGCTTTGATTTCTAGTTTTGTTTTTCCAAATGATTGCTCTTTTTCTGTGAATTTTCAAGGGTTGTTATGTGGTTGTCATTTGCTAATGTGATGAACAAGTAATTCAAGCAATTATCTTTTAAGATAGTTATATATTTGGTCAGTTTTTACTATTTTACGTAATTATTTAAGGGGTGAGTATTTTTCATATCATTTATTCCTAAATGTCACTGATAGCATGGTTATTGGAAATAAGCAAAATTAATCTCATTGGTACAGATTTTAGGGCCTATATATGTTGCTTAAATTACTTTAGAAATTTTTTTCTTGAAACGAAATGCTCTGTATATAGGACATAAACCATGAATTTGTTAATTGGTTTTTAAAAAAATTAAATTTCACTTGACAAAAATGGCAGTCATGGAAAATAAGTAGCCAGCTTTATAAGCTTCTTTGCCAGGTGCAGTGGCTCACACCTGTAATCCTAGCACTTTGGGAGGCCGAGGCGGGCAGATCACGAGGTCAGGAGATTGAGACCATCCTGGCTAACATAGTAAAACCCCGTTTCTACTAAATATACAAAAAATTAGCTGGGCGTGGTGGCAGGCACCTGTAGTCCCAGCTACTCGGGAGGCTGAGGCAGGAGAATGGTGTGAACCCGGGAGGCGGAGCTTGCCGTGAGCCGAGATCGTGCTGCTGGACTCCATCCTGCGTGACAGAGTGAGACTCTGTCTCAAAAAAAAAAAAGAAAAAATTATAAATGTGTATTTTGACATGTTTAGTTTTTTATACTTATGAGAAACTCCCCCTTGAAAAAGTTCCATTGCCTTTAAACGGTTTGAAATGTTTGAAAGACAGAATCTAACTTCACGTTTTTTCACATACTTGACATAATTATGCTAATTTTGATTTTTTAAATCAGAATTTTTCATTAAATATTTGTTTATTTGCAGGTATATTTGCTTACTTAAACTACCATGTTCCTCGAACGAGACGAGAAATCCTGGAGACCCTAATCAAAGGCCTTCAGAGACTGGAGTACAGAGGATATGATTCTGCTGGTACTTTAAAAAAAATACTATGGATTTTGCATGATTCTTTAAATAGATACTATTTTTATTGTTATTAGGAGACTAGACTATTAAAGTCTGTTTTGTTTTGAGTAAGTGTAAATTGGAAGAATTTTTGTCTTTTATCATATTTAAAGGATTTATTTATGTAATCTCAACAGTGTTACCATTTATGTGGAGTATTGCTTATGATGATCTCTTAAGAATATTATTGTAAAAACATCATATGGGGGATTATTGTGGTAAAACAAAATTCGTGAAGGTCTTACTCTAAATTCTTTTTTCTTTCCTATAACTTTAATTTTTATCCATTGATTTCATGCTTTGACACATAAACTTGCCTCAGATTCTTTTTTCTTATTTTTATTATTTATTTTTGAGATAGGGTCTCACTCTGTCACCCCAGCTGGAGTGTAGTGGTGCGGTCATAGCTCACTACAGTCTCGAACTCTGGGCTCAGGCAATCCTCCCTCCGTAGCCTCCTCAGTAGCTAGGACTATAGCTGTGTGCCACCATGCCCAGCTAATTTTTAAAAAGTTTTTGTAGACACGAGAGTCTCACTATGTTGCCTGGGCTGGTCTCAAACTCCTGGCCTCAAGTGATCCTCCTGCCTTGGCCTTTCAAAGTGCTGGGATTACAGGCAAGCCACTGATTCCAGCCTCATCTATCTTAAATAAATTACACATAAACATAACTTTCTGGCAACTTTATGTTCTACCCTAGCTCCTTCCCTCAACTATGTCAGAGGTTCCTAAGACCATCCTCAGATTTGACGATTCCCTAGGAGGACTCACAGAACTCAGCATTTGGTTGTACTCATGGCTATGTTTCATTATAACAAAAGAATACAAAGCACAATCAGCAAAGGGAGAAGGTGCAGGAATTGAAGTCTTGAGAAAGCTAGGCACAAGCTGCTCACCAGTGGATCAGTGCCTAAGGTTTTCATTGGGGGTTGGTCACATAGGCACCCTCTGCCCAGCATGTACCAAAATTCTAGACTCCCAAAATAAGAGCAGATGTTCAGCATAAACCACTTTGTTTGCACAGTTTGTGTAGTGAGACACTTTTGGTTAGGGTGGTAGGAATCCTTCCAAAAACCAAGTTTCTAGACACCAGTGAAGGGCCAACCTTGAAAACAGGCCTTTCTGAGGATAGCAGTTTCACACCTGCTGTGTTAACTCTTTTTTGTACACTTAACATTGCCACATGGAATGGACATTTGTCTTCCTTGACTTTCCTTAGTAATGGAAAGTCAGTTCCTCAACTCCTTTGTTTTTAAAATTCTCTCCTTCCTTAGCTTCCTTGACAGCACATCTTATTCTCTTCCTAAGATGCTAAGATTACTTCTTTTCTGTTTGCTTTGGAGGCTCCTTTCTTCTACTTACAGCTCAAATATTAATGTTCTTCAAGATTCTTTTTTTTTTTGAGGTGAGTCTTGCTCTGTCACCCAGGCTGGAGTGCAATGGTGCGATCTCGGCTGACTGTTGCAACCTCTGTCTTCCGGATTCAGCTGATTCTTCTGCCTTAGCCTCTCCAGTAGCTGGGATAACAGGCATGCACCACCACGCCTGGCTAATTTTTGTATTTTTAGTAGAGATGGGGTTTCACCATGTTGCCTAGGCTGGTCTTGAACTCCTGACCTCAGGAGATCCACCCGCCCTGGCCTCCCAAAGTGCTGGGATTATAGGCGTGAGCCACTGCACCCAGCCAATATTCTTTTCTAGATCCACTTCTCTTATTTGGTGTCTTCATGGGTGAGCTCTGACTCATCAATCTTCTTTTTTTTTTTTTTTTTTTTGAGATGGAGTCTCACTCTGTCACAAGGCTGGAGTGCAGTGGCGTGATCTTGGCTCACTGCAGCCTCCACCTCCCGAGTTCAAGCAATTCTCCTGCCTCACCCTCCTGAGTAGCTGGGATTACAGGTGCCTGCCACCACACCCAGCTAATTTTTGTATTTTTAGTAGAGACGGGGTTTCACCATGTTGGCCAGGATGGTCTCGATCTCCTGACCTCGTGATCTGCCCGCCTCGGCCTCCCAAAGTGCTGGGATTACAGGCGTGAGCCGCCGTGCCTGGCCCATCAGCCTTCTGTTAATATATGTTGGTAACTTCTTTGTTTTATTCTTTTTATTTTTTATTTATTTTTAATTTTTATTTTTTTGAGATGGAGTCTTGCTCTGTCGCCCAGCCTGGAGTGCAGTGGCATGATCTCAGCTCACTGCAAGCTCCACCTCCCGGGTTCACGCCATTCTCCTGCCTCAGCCTCCCGAGTAGCTGGGACAACAGGCACCCGCCACCACGCCCGGCTAATTTTTTGTATTTTTAGTAGAGACGGGGTTTCACCATGTTAGCCAGGATGGTCTCGATCTCCTGACCTCGTGATCTGCCCGCCTCACCCTCCCAAAATGCTGGGATTACAGACATGAGCCACCGCGCCCGGCCAGTATTTTTTATTTTTAATTTTAATTTTTTTGTGTGAGAGTATGTTGGTGACTTCTAATCCAGATGTATTTCTTTTAATCCAGATTTATCTCCCAAGCTGTATTCTAGGCCTCCTACAAGTTTCTTCCTAGATAGACCATGATATTTTAAACTTTGCATGTTCAAAAATTGAACTGAGGCCGGGCGTGGTGACTCACGCCTGTAATCCCAGCACTTTGGGAGGCTGAGGTGGATGGATCACTTGAGGTAAGGAGTTCAAGACCAGCCTAACCAACATGGTGAAACCCCATCTCTACTTAAAAAAAAAAAAAAATTAGCCACGCATTGTGGTGTGCACCTGTGATCCCAGCTATTTGGGAGGCTGAGGCAGGAGAATTGCTGAACCTGGGAGGCAGAGGTTGCAGGGAGCTGAGATTGCGCCACTGCCCTCCATCCTGGGCGACAGAGCAAGAACCTGTCTCAAAAAAAAAAAAAAAAAAGAAAAGAAAAGAAAAATAAGCTGAATACATTGCAGTCCTCACCCTGCTCCCCACCCTGTTTTTTGTTTGTTTGTTTTTGAGATGAATCTCACTCTGTCGCCCAGGCTGGAATGCAGTGGTGTGATCTCAGCTCACTGCAACCTCCACCTCTCGGGTTCAAGCCATTCTCCTGCCTCAGCCTCCCAAGTAGCTGGGATTACAGGCATGCCCACTCTGTTTTTCTATGTCCCTTTTATTGAGAATCATTCAACAAGTCCTTCAAGCCATTCAACAAGTCCTTTGAGGTATTCCACACTTCTCCTGCTTTCTCACTTACATTCAGTCAGTTCCACTTTTCAATATCATTTATTTCTGTCTGCATTACCACTGTTTAGTTCAGGTCCTCTTCATTTTTGCTTTGCTGTAGCTGTAGCTTTTGACAGCTGGTTTCTTCCTTCCGTTTCTCTCCCTCCAGTTCTTTCCCTACACTTGTTTCTAGAAGGGCTTTGCTAAACATTTTTGCCGAATCACTTCTCTGCTTAAAGGACAGTGTTTTCCCAGTATCTTCAGGGTAGCTTTTTCAAATTCCTTAGCAACTTAAGGAGACTCTTAAGAGATGTATTCTGTGACCTTCTTTCCTTAGCTACCTTCTGAGGTGGGTGCCCATCTTTTGCATTTCTCCATTGTATCCCAATTGTAACCTGTAGTATTTTTATTATAATTCATAATCACGCTGAATTATTTTTTCCTTGTCTGTCTTCTCGATAGACTTAGAAATTTGAGGACAGGAATGGAGTTATTTTTGTTTTTGTGTCTAGCAGCTATCCTGGTTCTTGACACACAATAGGTTTTCAGTAGGTAATTGAATTAATACATTAGTGAATTAATTAGATGAGAATGTATTTTTTAATTAAAAATTTTGCCTCACATTAATAATTTTATCAGTAGCCAGTTTCTAAATTTTGCTTTTTTACCTCATGATGGTTTAGGTGTGGGATTTGATGGAGGCAATGATAAAGATTGGGAAGCCAATGCCTGCAAAATCCAGCTTATTAAGAAGAAAGGAAAAGTTAAGGCACTGGATGAAGAAGTTCACAGTAACGTACTTAATTTGATTTTTGTCCCCTTTCCCCTTCTCTTCCTTTTCCCCTCCCCATTCTCCTCTAAGTTACTCCCTCCCCCCATATTTTGGGACCAATTTTAATGATAATGGTCTGTAACATTGAAGGGAGGAAAGAAAAGTAGTTTTGTTACTGTCTGGACTAGTTTTAAAATGTACCTGAGCCTGAAAAATAATCATTGCAACTAGGGAAGGAAATTAGTTAGGTATATTACCTTCAGTGTAAGCTCTGAATATTAAATGAAGTATCTTCAGAGCCACCATTCCTGAGGAAGAGCTTTTCATAAGACAAAAGGTATTTTTAGTGATGCCCTTTTACACATGTCTTCACTTGCTAATTGTCTTCACTTTGGATTAAATGCCTAGCTTGGATGTAGTCAATTTTGACATTGCACCTTTGAATAGGTCTGATATAATCTGGTAAGTATCATGTTTTCCCTCACAGTTTTCTTCTCTGGCACAAGGAGTTGTCAGAGATGTATGCCCCATCAAAGAGGATTTACTTCTCAGTATTTAGATCATAACATTATTCTTACACATTTTATTTTTTTCACAAGAAACTTGAAAACAAAGCAAACTTTGAAGTAGATTGATTGAAAAAATATTTTTAAAATTCTCCACAAAACCCAGGAAACCGCAAGTATTTTATGTACCTACTCATATGAATGCCATCATAATCATTGTAAAAGAGTACAGGTAGAGGAAAATGATGGATTTTGTCTTTTTTTTTTCCCACATAAGCCATACGTTTAGCTCTGTAGTACTTGTTTAACGAATTAAATCAATACTTATTTTGCCTGTATTGTAGTGTAAGATTAGCTAGGGGTAAAGCAGACACCCAAATAACTATACTTCAAAAACAGTAGTATAAATATCTACTATGTGTTCTGCATCCTGTATACCAGGCTGATTGTAGCAGGTTCTGTAGGAGAGAACAGACATTGCTGTGAGATTCAGGGGAGAGTTCCCACAAGTTGACGAGACTGGGAATACATAGGGAATGGGTGCTGATTATATTTGGTCAGTGAAGATGTGAAGGGAGGACCTTCTGAGTAGATAGCATAGCAAGATAAGAAGAGTAATGGCAGGCGTGTTGATGGAATGATAGTAGTCCTTTTTATTTACAGTATTGGTAGACAAATAAGGGAGGCTAGAAAGGCAGATTGTGAACAGAATCACCATTTTTCAATGTCAGCATATTGAAACATGCCTCTTCGTGGTCAACTTTTTTTTTTTTTTCTTCCCTTCCCAGATGGAGTCTCGCTGTAACGCCCAGGCTGGAGTGCAATGGTGCAATCTTGGTTCACTGCAACTTCTGCCTCCCAGATTCAAGCGATTCTCCTGTTTCAGACTCCCGAGTGGCTGGGATTACCAGGCGTGTGCCATCATGCCCGGCTAATTTTTGTATTTTTGGTAGAGATGGGGTTTCACCATATTGGCCAGGCTGGTCTTGAACTCCTGACCTCAAGTGATTCGCCTGCCTCGGCCTCTCAAAGTAGTGGGATTACAGGCATTAGCCACTGAGCCTGGCCAACTGGTTTGTTTTTGAAGTGTAGTTATCTGAGTGTCTACTTTACTCACAGCTAATTTTTTTTTAAGATGGACTCTTGGTCTGTTGCACAGGCTGGAGTGTAGTGACACAATCTCGGTTCACTGCAACCTCTGCTTCCTGGTTCACGCCATTCTCCTGCCTCAGCCTCCTGAGTAGCTGGGACCACAGGCGCCCGCCACAACGCCTGGCTAATTATTTCGTATTTTTAGTAGAGATGGGGTTTCACCATGTTAGCCAGGATAGTCTCGATCTCCTGACCTCGTGATCTGCCCGCCTTGGCCTCCCAAGTGCTGGGATTGCAGGCGTGAGCCACCACACCTTGCTAATTTTTGTATTTTTAGTAGAGACGGGGTTTTGCCATGTTGGCCAGGCTGGTCTTGAACTCCTGACCTCAGGCGATCCACCCTCTTTGACCTCCCAAAGTGCTAGAATTACAGGCTTGAACCACTGCACCTGGCCAACCCCTAGCTAATCTTACCCTGCAATACATGCAAAATAAGTATTGATTGAATTTATTATCTACAAATGGAAACTTGTAGATATTGCTGGTGAATTTGTAACTGGTAAATCACTTTAAAGAGCAATCTGGCCATATCTACATGGGAAATGCCTATAACCTGAGACTAAGCACTTCCACTCTTGGATATATACTTGAAGGAAACACAGTGAACAAGGTGACATGACAACAAGATTCACTGTTGCAAAATTTAGAAACAGCCTAAATGTCTATAAGTAAGGGAATGGGATGATATAATAAGTTGTGTGTGCCGGGCGTGGTGGCTCACGCTTGTAATCCTGGCACTTTGGGAGGCCGAGGTGGGCGGATTGCCTGAGCTCTGGTGTTTGAGACCAGCCTGGGCAACATGGTGAAACCCCATCTCTACTAAAATACAAAAAATTAGCCGGGTGTGGCGGCGTGCACCTGTAGTTCCAGCTATTCGGGAGGCTGAGGCAGGAGAATCACTTGAATCCAGGAGGCGGAGGTTGCAGTGAGCTGAGATCGTGCCACTGCACTCCAGCCTGGGTGACAGAGTGAGACTCCGTCTCCACAAAACAACAACAACAACAACAACAACAACAAAAAATAAGTTGTATATGATAGTGAATGAGCATATGTAGCTTTTGAAAGAAGTGTACTGAATCTGGTTCTGCATATGGGAACATGGATAATTCCTGGTATGTAAAGTATAGGACATTTAAAAACACAAAACGGTACTATCATTTATGGTCTCATGTTAACATAATCATAGTTTAAAAGGCATGAATAGTAAGACTGTGTCAACTTGAAAATCTTCTGAGGAGTAAGTGAATGGGATGGGGATATAAAGGAGGTTATCAACTGCATTTTTTACATTTATTTATTTCAAGTTTCCATATACCACACTGATTTTTTACATTTTAGATCTTAAAAAATATGTAAAGCACAGATGACTAGATGTTTTGTTAACTCTGAGTATGGGTAGTTGGGTGTTCATTATTCCCAGCAAATTTAAATATGTTTGAAGTATTTTTTTTGAAAAGGGAAGATGACATCTGAGAAAAGGCAGGCAGAGGGCAAGGAGCCATGGGAGTAGAGGTAGGGTAAGATAGAAGATGCAAATGAGGAAATTATTGAAGCACTACGGCCCAAGAAGATCAAGGCACAGGCAAGGAGTTAGCCTTTAAAGGAAAAAGTGTACTTTAGGAATCAAAGATGAAAGACAAACTTAAAGCAGATAATTACCAGGTGAGAGGACAAAAGCTGAGTAAAGTGGAAATTGAGGGATTGCAGGTAGGATTGAGCTTTATGGAGAATAGAAAAGATATGATGAACTGTCAGGGAACTGGATTGAGCTATCAGTTTAATGAATAAGGAACTTGGATACATGTTTCTTAGGTAGCAACAGTGAAATAGATATGTGAATTTGAAAGGGTCTTAATTTACAGAATTTTCTGACTTTCTTCAGTATTGCTTGGCAGTAGATGGGAGAAGAGAAACCGAGTGTGGGGGTTAATCTAGACTTAAGATTCAGCAAAGGGCTTTAAAATGGGTAACAGACAATAAGGAAGCGTCAAGGATTCAAAGTCATGATTAATTTATATGACAGGAAATATTTATTATGAGAAATGTGCTTATTGTCATAGCAATAATTTTTTCTTACTAGACATTCGGTAATGTTCCTACAGCAACAGTGAAATAAAGGTGTGGTAATTATCATGAATTTGAAATGGATTCAATATATAGAATCTTGTGACTTTCTCCAGTATTGCCTGCCAGCATGTGCAAGGAGATACTGCTTTAATTATAGTTAGCTTAAAAAAGTTGTCAAAGAGGCCAGGCGTGGTGGCTCACGCCTGTAATCCCAGCACTTTGGGAGGTTGAGGTGGGCGGATCACCTGAGGTCAGGAGTTCGAGACCAGCCTGGCCAACATGGTGAAACCCTGTCTGTACTAAAAATACAAAAAATTAGCCAGGCGTGGTGGTGCGTGCCTGTAATCCCAGCTACTCAGGAGGCTGAGATAGGAGAATCGCTTGAACCCGGGAGGGAGAGGTTGCAGTGAGCCAAGATTGCGCCATTGTACTTACTCCAGCTTGGGCACAAGAGCAAAACTCCGTTTCAAAAAAAAAATAAAAAAAGTAGTCAAAGATGTTTTCATTTCTTGCATTGGCCTGTTGAATAATGGTAAATGGTATTTTTCTTGAGGTCATTTATCAGGTTGCCTTAATTACTTAGAACACAGTTAAGCCAGGAAAGAATAGATGCCTGAGTTTATTCATTGATAGATTGAGCCATCCAACAAAAAGGTATCTGCCATGTATACCTTTTAGTGCTTAGGATTCAAAAATAATAAGGTAGGCTGCTGTTTTTGTAGAACTCAAATTCTGGTGGAAGCTAGGTTGACAACATATAAATGTTATAGTACAATAGAATATACCATTGTGGTTTTATTTATTTATTTATTTACTTATTTTTGAGACGGAGTCTTGCTCTTTCGCCCAGGCTGGAGGGCAGTGGCATGATCTCAGCTCACTGCAGCTTCCCCTTCCTGGGTTCAATTGATTCTCCTACCTCAGCCTCCTGAGTAGCTGGGATTACAGGCGTGTGCTACCACGCCCAGCTAATTTTTTCAGTAGAGACAGGGTTTCACCATGTTGGCCAGGCTGGTCTTAAACTCCTGACCTCTGGTGATCCACCTGCCTCAGCCTCCCAAAGTGCTGGGATTACAGGCATGAGCCGTGGTGCTCGGCCAGTTTGCTCTTAATTTAGACCTAACTCTGATAAACTTTGTTATCTGGGTTCTTAGCCAAATTAATTTTATATTTAGGAAATTAAGAGCATTACTAGTTAATAACTGGAGCTGTCCATTTTTTTAAGAAACCCCAAGAAAAGATAGCTTATATGAAAAATAAGAATCAGCTACTTCTTTTTTTTTTTTTTTTTTTTTTTTTTGAGAGGGAGTCTCGCTCTGTCACCCAGGCTGGAGTGCAGTGATGTGATCTCAGCTCACTGTAACCTCTACCTCCTGGGTTCAAGCGATTCTCCTGCCTCAACCTCCCGAGTAGCTGGGATTACAGGCGCGCACCACCACACCCGGCTAATTTTTGTAGTTTTAGTAGAGACAGGGTTTCACCATGTTGGTAAGGCTGGTCTTGGACTCCTGACCTTGTGTCCCACCCGCCTCTGCCTCCCGAAGTGCTGGGATTACAGGCATGAGCCACCACATCTGGACAAATCAGCTACTTTTCAAGATAAAGGAACATTGGCCTATGCCGATTTCCCAGTAGCCCCATACTTTCATAGCATTGCTCGGTTCTTAAATACCTATTTGATTTTGGAGGCACTCCATAGTTGCAGTTTCTATTGTGAGACGTGTGTACACTCACCAGAGACCAAAGAAATTGCAGTCATAAGGTTGTGTGTCATTGGGAAAATGAATTTATTTTTACATGTTTAATTAAATTGATAATGACTTTTTAAGGCAAGAATTAAATATAGATTTAAAAGATTACATTAATTGTTTTTGTCCTTAACTCTTGAGTATTTGTATCTCCAGGAAACTTGAAAGAATAGTACATTATTACCTATATATACTTCACCTAACTTTATCTGTTATTAAAATTTTGTCATGTTTGCTTTAACTCTGTATTAGTTTTTTGGTTGTTATTGAAACCATTTGCCTTCAATATTTCAGTTGCATAAACTCCTAAATCTTTATTTATCTTTATTTTTAATTTTTGTGGGTATATAGTAGGTGTGTAAACTTACTGGGTACATGAGATGTCTTGATACAGACGTACAATGTGTTCCTAAGTCTTTTTTTTTTTTTTTTGAGATGGAGTCTCGCTCTGTTGCCCAGGCTGGAGTGCAGTGGCATGATCTCAGCTCACTGCAACCTCTGCCTCCTGGGTTCAGGCGAATATCCTGCCTCTGCCTCCGGAGTAGCCAGGACTACAGGCGCGTGCCACCATGCCTGGCCAATTTTTGTATTTTTAGTAGAGATGGGGTTTCCCCATGTTGGCCAGACTGGTCTTGAACTCCTGACCTCAGGTGATCCACCTGCCTCGGCCTCCCACAGTGCTGGGATTACGGGCGTGAGCCACTGCACCCTGCCTCCTAAGTCTTTTAATCACTATTTTGAATATGCCTGATCTTTAGTTTCAGTGATTGTATATTCCAAGAGAGCAGCATTGTAATAATTGTATTTAAATATAGCTTATAGCATTATCTCTGCAGCATGATTTAATATTGAAATTTTTCTTTTCATATTCTTCAGAGCAACAAGATATGGATTTGGATATAGAATTTGATGTACACCTTGGAATAGCTCATACCCGTTGGGCAACACATGGAGAACCCAGTCCTGTCAATAGCCACCCCCAGCGCTCTGATAAAAATAATGGTATGGAAAGATTTTTTGTGCTTTGGAATGATTGTGGAAACCTAATAATGGGGGCAGAATGAAGGCTTTTAGATTTTCATTATTTTAATAATTTTTCATCTGGAAAATTTCAAACATTCAGAAGTAGTAGAGAGCATATGGAGCTGAGAGTGCTGGCTCATGCCTGTAATCCCAGCACTTTGGGAGCCTGAGTTGGGAGGATTGCTTGAGTCCAGGAGTTCACGATCAGCCGTGGCAACATAGTGAGACCCTGTCTCTACAAAAAATAAAAAAATAAGTTAGGCATTGTGGTGCATGCTTGTAGTCTCAGCTACTCGGGAGACTGAGGTGGGAGGATCGTTTAAGCCCAGGAGGTAGAGGCTGCAGTGAGCCGTGGTCACACCTCATGCCATTGCCCTCCAACCTGGACAACAGAATGAGACCCTGTCTGTCCACCATGCCTGGCTAATTTTTGTATTTTTAGTAGAGACGGGGTTTCACTGTGTTGACCAGGCTGGTCTTGAACTCCTGACCTCAAGTGATCCTCCCGTCTCGGCCTCCCAAAGTGCTGGGATTATAGGCATGAACCACTGCTCCTGGCTGAGAACTTTTGTTATTGGTTTTGTCCTTAGGGCATATCTCTCTAGAAATGTATAATCAAATTACTGTGTTTTAGAGTTACTTGGAATAGTCTTTCTCCATGCAGTTGTGCTACGTGTTACTTTAATATGTTTTAGAAACATTTTTTTTATTTTTATTATTATTTTTTGAGACCAAGTCTCGCTGTGTCGCCCAGGCTGGAGTGCAGTGGTGCGATATCGGCTCACTGCAACCTCCACCTTCCAGGTTCAAGCAATTCTCCTGCCTCAGCCTCCCAAGTAGCTGGGACTACAGGTGTGTGCCACTACACCCGGGTAATTTTTTGTATTTTTAGTAGAGACGGCATTTCACTGTATTAGCCAGGATGGTCTCGATCTCCTGACCTTGTGATCCGCCCACCTCAGCCTCCTAAAGTGCTGGGATTACAGGAGTGAGCCACTGTACCTGTCCTATTTTTTATTTTTAAGGATTGATATTCTTTAAAAATAAATGTTATTTATAATTATTTAAAATATTTACATAATTCCGAAGTCACATCTTTAAAATAAGACACACTAAAAGAAGTCTACCCAGCACTTTGGAAGGCTGAGATGGAGGGATTGCCTGAGCCCAGGAGTTTGAGACCAGCCTGAGCAACATGGCAAAATCCTGTGCCTACAGAAAATACAAAAATTAGCTTGATGGTGGCATGCGCCCATAGTCCCAGCTACTCAGGAGGCTAAGGCAGGAGGATCACCTGAACCTGGGGGTTGAGGCTGCAGTGAGCCATGATTGCCCCATTGCACTTCAGCCTGGGTGACAGAGTGAGACTGTCTCAACAAAACAAGTCTAGACTCTTCTGTTTCCTCTTATTCCCCTCGTAGGTAACATTCACCAATTATTGAGTCTGTTCTTTCATTTAAAAAAAATAAGCAAATACATACAGAATACATACAAAAGTGTGTATGTGTGTATTTATCCCTCCCCATTTTTTTTCCTTTTATTTTAGAGACAGGGTCTCACTCCTCCACCCAGGCTGGGTACAGTGGTGGGATCATAGCTCACTGTAACCTCAAATTCTTGGGCACAAGTGATCTTCCTGCCTCAGCCTCCTGAGTAGCTAGGATCACAGGCTTGCACCACCACACCCAGCTAATTTATTTTATTTTTGTAGAGATAGGGGTCTTGCTTTGTTGCTCAGGCTGGTTACAAATTTCTGGACTCAAGTAATCTTCCCACCTCAGCCTCCCAAAGTGCTGAGATTACAGGCATGAACCACTGCACCCAGCCCTTGCTGATTTTTAGTTTAATTCAGAAGCTGCCTATTTAGGCTTCTTGTGCTTCAATACTTACTGTTGAATTTGATCATAATGCTAGCAATAATTTAGACTTTTGACACTGACAAGGCCTTTATGAAAGATTCCCGAAAACTTACATCTAGATTATGTTTTGAGAATTTGGCTTTAAGTTAAGACCTTTAAATTAGCTGTTTATTAATCTCTTTGTTCTAGCATGAAGTTTTTTTTTTTTTTTTTTTTTGAGAAGGAATCTCGCTCTTTCTCCAAGGCTGGAGTGCAATGGCATGCTTTCCGCTCACTGCAACCTCTGCCTCCTGGATTCAGCGATTCTTCTGCCTCAAGCCTCCCAAGTAGCTGGAATTACAGGCGCCTGACACCACGCCTGGCAATTTTTTGTATTTTTAGTAGAGACAAGGTTTCACCATGTTGGCTAGGCTGGTCTCGAACTCCTGAGCTCAGGTGATCCATCTATCTCAGCCCCCCAGAATGCTGGGATTACAGGCATGAGCCACCGCACCCGGCAAGTTTTTTTATAAATTTATTTTTGTGGTTGCTATCATCTCTAAAAAATCTAGTGAAAATGTTTATTATTTGGTTTCTAATTACTGTCAGCCAAAATATCAGATCTTTATGTATATTAAGAACATTGTTGGGGGCCGGGTGTGGTGACTCATGCCTGTAATCCTAGCACTTTGGGAGGCCAAGGCAGGTGGATCACCTGAAATTAGGAGTTGGAGACCAGCCTGACCAATATGGCAAAACCCCGTCTCTATTAAAAATACAAAAATTAGCTGGGTATGGTGGCATGCACCTGTAATCCCAGCTACTTGAGAGGCTGAGCCAGGAGAATCGCTGGAACCCAAGAGGTGGAGGTTGCAGTGAGCCGAGATCGTGCCACTTCACTCCAGTCTGGGTGACAGAGCAAGACTTTGTCTCAGAAAAGGAAAAAGAACATTTTGGCCTGGCATAGTGGCTCATGTCTGTAATCTCAAGACACTGGAAGGATGAAGTGGGAGGATTGCTTCAGCTCAGGAGACTAGCCTGGGCAACATAGCGAGACTCTCTCTACAGAAAAATAAAAAAATTAGTTGAGTGTGGTGTAAGCAGCTGTAATCCCAGCTGCTTGGAAGGCTGATGTGGAAGAATCACCTGAGCCCAGGAGTTTAAGGCTGCAGTGAGTCATGATTGAGCCACTGTACTCCAGCTTGGTGACAGAGCAACATCGTGTCTCCAAAAAAAAAAAAAATATTTTGATAATTTCATATAAAATTTAATTTAGCAGTAATTTTTCTCCTAACTGAAATGAACTCTGAATAATAAATCCAGGATTGGTAGGATTTTTTTTTTTTTTTTTTTTTTTGAGACAGAATCTCACTCTGTTGCCCAGGCTGGAATGCAGTGGTGGGATCTCGGCTCACTGCAACCTCTGCCTCCCAGATTCAAGCGATTCTCCTGCCTCAGCCTCCCAAGTAGCTGGGTTTACAGGCACGTGCCACCACGCCTGGCTAATGTTTTGTATTTTTAGTAGAGACAGGGTTTCGCCATGTTGAACAGGATGGTCTCAAACTCCTGACCTCAGGTGGTCTGCCCATCTCGACCTCTTAAAGTGCTGGGATTACAGGCATGAGCCACCGTGCTCAGCCGGATTGGTAGTTTTTATGTACCAGCAGTCGCTACAAATAATGATATTGTCAACTCTTGATTATCTGTTCTTACAGTTTTCAAAATTAGTTAAAAAAGATGAAAATTATCCCGAGATCATGTCTATTTTCTCTTGGAATGATATTTTAACATTTATGTTTCTGACATTCTATGACTTATTTGGATCTCAAACAAGTAAATTTAACTATGGAACTGATTGGTTTTTCTTAGCAAATTCCTTAGTTCTAGTTCTTAAATTCATTTAGTGTAAATCAGATTATTGTTTTAGTTTGAAAGGACTTCTCTTTAAACTTTTACTCAAGAATGAATGAACAGAGAAATAAGAAGAATATTTAGTTCAGCTCTCTCATTTTGCAAATGAGGCAACAGACCCAATAAACTTGCTCCTTTCACATGGGTAACATTTGATTACTAGTTTAGCCACAACTGAAATTGTTATCTCTAGACTTCCTGTTTATTTCCCTACTGTACCCACCTCCCCTGCACTGTTTGCTTCAGCTATGCCACATAAACAATGCTGCTGATCTACCTGATGATAATCTGGTAAATGAGAAGTAGATGTAATTATGTTATAAATAACATAAATAGTATATAGCATGTTAAAAATTTTTGACTTGAGAAAAATCCAGTTAGAGTAATAGCTATTTTAGATTTATCATACTTCTAACTTTTTTGTCTTCAACACTTTTACCTCTTTTAGAATTTATCGTTATTCACAATGGAATCATCACCAACTACAAAGACTTGAAAAAGTTTTTGGTAAGTAAGGTGACCTCAAAAGACCCCAGTCTTTGAGAATACTTCTAACGAGAGCACTGGGGTCGGTTGTTGGGATGTGCAACAAACACCATATGTGTGTCATCAATTAATTTCTTGGACAATTCCAAGGGCACGGTGGTTTATTGGATTTTTCTTTGCTAACAGTGGAACAATTGTGTTTTTTAATATGAAAAGGAAATGATTAGCATTTGACTGTAATATACATGACAAAAGGCTCAAATAAAATTGGAATTTTGTGGAGACATTTTTTGCATTCTGAGAGATTGTCATGCTTTAAAGTTCCTAGGATATATTAATACAAGAAGAATCAGGACAAATTAAATGAAAGTTTTATGTCGTAAATAGCTATATACTGTATAGTAGTGGTCATAGTGCTGACCTGCATGAGTGCTTTCTTAGGGCTGTTCAATTGAACTTTCTCCAGTGTTGGAAGACAGTGTATCTGGGCTATTCAGTATAGTAGCCACTGTCCACATGTGGTTGTTGAGCTAGTATGACTGAGGAACTGAATTTTAAATTTTATTTAATTTTAATTAAATTGAAATAGCCACATACAGCTAATGGCTATTTATTAGACAGTAAGTTAAGTGTATGTTCAGTTAAACAGAGTCCCACACTGTTTTAGAGTCACTGATCAGCTGGTGACTTTAATTTTGAATAATGGGATATGGTGTTCAAAGAATATTAGAAATTAGTGGCATTTTGACGGAACAATTCTGTAGAAAAGGTTTTTTTATCATTAATATTTCTTTAATTGTATCTTTTTTTTCTTTCTACTTACAGGAAAGCAAAGGCTATGACTTCGAATCTGAAACAGACACAGAGACAATTGCCAAGCTCGTTAAGTATATGTATGACAATCGGGAAAGTCAAGATACCAGCTTTACTACCTTGGTGGAGAGAGTTATCCAACAATTGGTATTAAGCCACATTTTTAAAGATAATTATGCCAACATTAATGCTGAGAAACTTTCTGGAAATTAAGTTTGATAAGCAGGAACTGTGCTATTTTTTTATTTTTGGCTTTTATTTCTCATATAACTATTCAAGTTGAATAATTTTGAGAAACTGATTGATTTATTGATTCCCCCCCACCCTCCATTTAAAATTCTACTTACTTCATTCAGGTTTAATGTCATGAAAATGAAAATTAATCCAAAATCAGTGTGTCTAAAAACTATGCATATATGCACACATCCATATGCACCACACGTGGACATGTACACAGTACACACGATGGAGGATTAGTTATTCCCTTGCTTCTTGCTCATCCGAGTGTTCTTCTCAACCAATAACTTAGCACAATAGTAGCTTCACAGCTACCACAGTTTATTTTCTGGGATAATGCCTGCTTGTCTCTGAGCCAACAAAGTCAACTACTTATTTTTCCTTTTGGGGACTTTCCCTTGGCTCTGAACTTCTATAGAAAAGCATTTCCAAGCCCATGAGAAAATCAGTATTCTTTTTGATTCCATCCAACATTCCTAATTAAAGATTAAAGACATCAAAGATCTACAAATGTCCAAATCCATAGTGATACCTACATTTCCCTTCCCCACTCATAACTCTAGCTTTCCCACTTAAAAGTCCTTTACTTCCCAAATACGGTCCAGCCCTCACTTCTCTCCCACCTGCACCCAAATCTTATATCTGTAGCAAAAAGAGGAAGCAGGAAGATGGAGAATGTAGAGGCCTATTCCTTCCCTTTCCCCAAGGCAGAGTGGAGTAGTGTGCCTTCCCAGCCTTTTCTCGTTTCTAACAGGCTTTGCCTTTTATTCATTGTATAATCCAGTTTGTGTTCCAAGGTGGTTCTTCCCTCTCCTACTTCATGTTCCTCTTTTATCTGTTCTTGATTCCTGTAAGCTCTGTCCCTGAGGATTCGGGTTGATGGAGTTGTATGGTGTGCATGTTAATAATTGTATATATTTATATCTCTAATATCAAGGTCAGAAAGAGTGGAAGTTAACAGTGGTGTACAATTACTAGGGCAGAGAATAGGTTTTGGATTTTGATCTTAGGATCTTTTCTAATTCTGTCGTTCCTCTGATAATTCATAGTATTATGACGATATAGATAGGTAGATGATGGAGATAGGATATATAGGTTCAGAAGTGTTCATAGCCTGTAGAAAGGATGACTTTTTAAATGATCTATTTTTGTAGTTGTTATCTATTGAGCATATTTTGGGTGTAGGCTTGGTTAAAAAAGTGGGTCTTGGCTGCGCGTGGTGGCTCACGCCTGTAATCCCAGCACTTTGGGAGGCCGAGGTGGGCAGATCACGAGGTCAAGAGATGGAGACCATCCTGGCCAACATGGTGAAACCCTGTCTCTATTAAAAATACAAAAATTAGCGTGGGGGTGCGTGCCTGTAATCCCAGCTACTCGGGAGGCTGAGGCAGGAGAATCACTTGAACCAGGGAGTTGGGGGTTGCAGTGAGCCGAGATCGTGCCACTGCACCCCAGCCTGGTCACAGAGTGAGACTCCATCTCAAAAAAAAAAAAAAATGTGGGTCTTGGATACACCAAAGCTTAGGAGTAAGTGTTTACTTAAACTTTAGACTTGTTTATAAACTGGTACAAAAGAGCATTTGTGTGAACAAAAAATTTCTGCGCTGAAGCCAGTATGTTCTAGGCATTTCTGACTTGATAATTGATTAAATAGTGCTAATGGATTTTTTTCCCTCCCTAGGAAGGTGCTTTTGCACTTGTGTTTAAAAGTGTTCATTTTCCCGGGCAAGCAGTTGGCACAAGGTACATATAACTCTAACAATGACTAATGTATTTCAACATATTTGAGTTACATGTTTATTCTTCGTAGACTATACATGACCCTTTATTATAAAGGCTCTGCCCTTTATTAGATATATTCATGTGAGCATATTTTCACATCTTCCTTCTTGTCTGTTGCTTACCACTCTTCCATTTAACAGAATCCCTGAAGAAAGCAAATACAGGCCGGGCGCTGTGGCTCACACCTGTAATCCTAGCATTTTGGGAGGTCGAGGCAGGCGGATCATCTGAGGTCAGGAGTTTGAGACCAGCCAGGCCAACATGGCGAAACCCCGTCTCTACTAAATATAGAAAAATTAGCCGGGTGTGGTAGCACATGCCTGTAATCCCAGCTACTCGGGAGGCTGAGGCAAGGAGAACCGCTTGAACCCAGGAGGCAAGAGGTTTCAGTGAGCCGAGATCGTGCCACTGCACTCCAGCCTGGCCTACAGAGCGAGACTCTGTCTGAAAAAAAAAAAAAAAAAAAAAAAAAAGAAAGCAAATATATTTTGGCATTTAATTGGCCTTTTGTCTTTGTTGGGCGCACCAAGGTTACTTTGTGAATTTGGATATTGAATATTATCTAATAAAGTTAAAATATTAGCTTTTTCTGTATTTTTTGAAACATATATTCTAGACAGATTCCTAGATAATTGTACCATCACTACTTCTTGCTAGGATATTTAGGCCTGATCATGAAGTCCTAAGTGAGGCGCCCTAAGATATTATGGTAAGAGAGATATTTTTAATCTGAAAACAGGGTGACTAAGGAGAAGGTGCTACACTTTCATATATTGGCATTCTGTGCACAATTGAAAGGAAGGTTCCCTTTAACATTACAAAGGAAAAAAATTAAAATACATTGTTACAGAACAGGTGTTGGCAAGTTTTCTGGAGTGGGCCGGATAGTAACTATTTTAGGCTTTCTGGACCATGTAGCCTCTGTAGCAACTACTCAACTTTGCAGTTGTAGTGTGAAAGCAGCTGCAGAAAATAAGTAAAAGAATGGGCATGGGTATGTTCCAAAATAACTGTATTTAATACAATTTTTATTTGTCAATTAAGAAAAATAATTAAAAAAAAACCAAAAACCTGTATTAGGCTGGGCGTGGTGACTCATGCCTGTAATCCCAGCACTTTGGGAGGCTGAGATGGGTGGATTGCTTGACCCCAGGAGTTCCAGATCAGCCTAGGCAACATGACAAAATCCCATCTCTATAAAAAATAAAAAATTTAGCTGGGTGTGGTGGTGCATGCCTGTAGTCCCAGCTACTCAGGAGGCTGAGGCAAGGGGATCACTTGAGGCCAGGAGGTCAAGGCTGCAGTGAGCTGTGATTGCGCCACTGCACTCTAGCCTGGGAGACAGAGCAAGGCTGTTGTCAAAAAACAAACAAATAAACAAAAACCGTTTATTTATAAAAATAAACCCTGGGGCTGCAGGTCAGTTTGCTGACCCCTGATAGAGAATATTTTGGATATAGGATCTTGTTCTGTCATCCAGGCTGGAGTGCAGTGGCGCGATCTTGGCTCACTCCAACCTTCACCTCCCAGACTCAGGCAATCCTCCTAACTCAGCCTTCCGAGTAGCTGAGACTGTAGGCACGTGCCATCACACCTGGCTAATTAGGAGACGGGGTTTTGCCATGTTTCCCAGAGTGGTCTTGAACTCGTGGGCTCAAGTGATCTGCCTGCCTAGGCCTCCTGAAGTGCTGGGATTACGGGTGTGAGCCATTGCACCTGGCCCAATACTGATTTTTTTAAAAAATTCTTTTTATCTAGTTCTTATATCTGAAGTTGAGCTTGGGGAGGATGATTTAAACATTTGAAGAGTATTGGCCCATTAAATTTTATGTCATTAGTCCATTATTTATAAAAATGGTTTAATTCTAACTGCTTTTGCAATTTACAGGCGAGGTAGCCCTCTGTTGATTGGTGTACGGAGTGAACATAAACTTTCTACTGATCACATTCCTATACTCTACAGAACAGGTAAAATTACCTCTACAAATGCAGTGCAGTAGATATGAAGAATTATTTTCCTTAAGTTGGAATAGATGGCTCTTTGGTCAGATGCACATGTATATATAGTTCTGTCTAGACATGAAAAAGATTTGTTTTTGTGAGTTCTCTGATGATTAGAATTTTTTTCTGTTGTGTATCCTTAGCTAGGACTCAGATTGGATCAAAATTCACACGGTGGGGATCACAGGGAGAAAGAGGTGGGAAATGCACTCTGCATGGATGGGGAGGATCTTATCCTCTTTTGTTTATTCTTTACTAATTCTTTTGTTCTTGGAGTGAATGAATGTGCTGGGCCTCTAAAAATGTGCTTATTTTGTGGGGAAGCATATTTTGACATTTTTCTAATTTGCGGAGTATATTTTGCGTGTCTGCTTTTGGCATTTAGAAAGTGCTTTTAATAATTTCATTAAAATTTCTGAAATTTGAGAAAATAGTTGAAATTGTAAATTATTTTTTCCTTTGTTTTAAAATCATGTAGGATGTATGCTTAGATTAGGAAAAGAGCATTGTGTGCTAGGTTATTATAGATTGACTAAGTGGTAGTTATTTGAATCATTTAGGCTAACTTTTAACTGAAATATGTTTAAGTGGTCTTTATTTTTTATACATGACATATTGTTGGATTTACATTTGCTATCTTGATTGGCTTTATTTGAATTTGTAGTGATTGTTCTTTTATATTGTTTATGTGTAAAGTTTATTTTTTGTTTTTCTTATTTATTTACTTCGATGTAACTTTTTTATAGAGCGGCAGGGGGAGACAGGGTCTTGCTCTGTTGCCCAGGCTGGAGTGCAGTGCAGTGGTATGGTCATACCTCACTGCAATTTCGAACTCTTGGGCTCAGGTGGATCCTCTTGCCTCAGCCTCTCAAATAGCTAGTACTACAAGCGTGTGCCATCATACCCAGCTAATTCTTATTTTTAGCCAGGGTTTTGCTCTCTCAGCCAGGCTGGAGTGCAGTGGTTTCGTCATGGCTCACTTCAGCCTTGGCTGCCTAGGCTCAAGTGATTCTCCCACCTCAGCCTCTTGAGTAGCTGGGACCACAGGCATGTGCCACCACCCCCAGCCAATTTTTTTATTTGTAAAAAGGAAGTCTTGCTATGTTGGCCAGGCTGGTCTCAAACTCTTGGGCTTAAGGGATCCTCCCACCTCAACCTCCTAAATTACAGGGATTACAGGAATGAGCCACTGTGCCTGGCTCCCAGCTAACTTTAAATTTTTTGTACAAATGGAGTCTTGCTATATTGCCCAGGCTGTTCTTGAACTCCTGGAGTCAAGTGATCCACCTGCCTCAGCCTCCCAAAGTGCTGAGATCACAGGTGTGAGCCACTGTGCCCAGCCCAGAAGTGTTCTTTTCATTTAAACAGACATTGATATCTCAAATTTTTTTTACCTTATTTATTTATTTTTTGAAACAGTCTTGTTCTGTTGCCCAGGCTGGAGTGCAGTGACATGATCTTGGCTCACTGCAACCTCTGCCTCCCGGGTTCAAGCGAGTCTCATGCCTCAGCCTCCAGAGTAGCTGGGACTACCAGTGCACACCACCACACCCGGCTAACTTTTGTATTTTTAGTAGAGACGGGGTTTCGCCATTTTGGCCGGGCTAATCTCGAACTCCTGACCTCAGGTGATCCGCCCACCTCGGCCTCCCAAAGTGCTGGGATTACAGGTGTGAGCCGCTGCACCCAGCCTCAAATTTTTTTTACATATTTTAACTAAATATACTTTGTTATTTGAAGAATGAAATTATCAATATTTGGAGAAAAAACACAGTGAAACTCAAGCCTATTAGGACATTTTATAAGCAAAAGTAGTTGTTTTTTTTTTTTTTTTTTTTTTTTTGAGACGAAGTCTCGCTCTGTTGCTCAGGCTGTAGTGCAGTGGCGTGATCTCGGCTCACTGCAACCTCGGCCTCCCGGGTTCAAGCGAGTGTCTTGCCTCAGCCTCCTGAGTAGCTGGGATTACAGGCACGTGCCACCACACCCAGCAAATTTTTCTATTTTTAGTAGAGACGGGGTTTCAGGCTGTTGCTCAGGCTGGTCTCAAACTCCTGACCTCATGATCCGCCCACCTCGGCCTCCCAAAGTGCTGGGATTACAGGCCTGAGCCACCACACCTGGTTGCATTTATTTTTTTAAAATGCTGAGCTCTCTTTTTATGTGTTTTTAAATTCACTTTTTTGTTTTGTTTTTGAGACAAAGTCATGCTCTGTCACCCAGGCTGGAGTGCAATGGCACAATCTCACCTCACTGCAACCTCCACCTCCCAGGTTCAAGCGATTCTCCCACCTCAGCCTCCGGAATAGCTGAGACTACAGGTGTACTCTACCACTCTCAGCTAATTTTTTGTGTTTTTAGTAGAGACGAGGTTTCACCATGTTGGCCAGGCTGGTCTTGAACTCCTGACCTCAAGTGATCTGCCCACCTCGGCCTCCCAAAGTGCTGGGATTAAAAGCATGAGCCACTGTGCCTGGTCTCTGTTTTTTAACATACAGTAATATTTACTCTTTTTCATGTAGTTTCACCAATTTTGTCAGATGCGAAATTGCATAAGTACCACCATAATCAAGATACAGAACAATTTCATCACTCAATAAGGTCCCTCAACCTGCCCTCTGTCATCAACCCTTGTCTCATTCCCAGCCCCTGGCAAACACTAATATGTTATTTTTCTATAATGTTACTTTTTCTTGGATGTCATCTTACATTTATTTTTCAGTTTGGCATCTTTGCTGTTAAATATGAATGGGAAAAGTTACTTTGTTTTCATCACTAAAACATCAAATAATCACAGATGGTGGAAAACTTCGAATATACTTTTTTTGGCTTTTATTTTTAATAGATATATAATTATATGTTTATGTGGTGTATATTTCAATACATGTGTACAATGTATAATGATCAGCTCAGGATAAATAGCACATTTGAATGCACATTTCTGATAATTATCAAGTCTGCCTTTATATGTGCATTTTAAGAGGATAGATGAAATAGCAGTTTTTATAAGTATACTTGTGATGTTCTCTGGCTATTGTGTCCATAGTTCTAAGTTCTGTTATGTCCTGGCCTTGAAGAAAGGTGCATTTTTGTCTCTAGGACATTTATGTAGTCTTCAACTAATAGATTTTTTTCCTATATAAGGCCAATTTATAAAACCTTAGCATTCCAGTTTTGATGAAAAAGTTAATATTAATGTCTTGACAAATTAAGTAGAGGTGTCATAATTCTGAAATACAAGAATTAAAAGGATATTAGCTTTGCAAAAAGACCCTACTTTATCCTGACTTAAAGGAAGAGTAAGAAAACCCAAGTTGAAGAAAGGAGAGTTTCTTGGTTTATAAATTTTGTCTCTAACAGTGGGTGCCACATATGATATACCGTGATTAGAGAGTGATATGCATCTGTTTTGTTTTCAAATCAGAATTAGTGTAGACTACAACTTGATTTGTTATGCTGACTTGCTGCTAAAATCTAGTGAGGTTTTGTTATGATACAATAAAAATTAATTTGCCACTAGCCTTCATTTTCTTTTTCTTTTTTTTTTTTTTTTGAGACAGAGTTTTTGCTCTGTTGCCCAGGCTGGAGTACAATGGCGTGTGATTTCGGCTCACTGCAGCCTCCACTTCCTGGGTTCAAGTGATTCTCCTGCCTAAGCCTCCCAAGTAGCTGGGATTATAGGCGTCTGCCACCACGTCTGGCCAATTTTTGTATTTTCAGTAGAGATGGGGTTTCGCCATGTTGACCAGGCTGGTCTTGAACTCCTGACCTCAAGTGATTCACCTGCCTCGGCCTTCCAAAGTGCTAGGATTACAGGCGTGAGCCCCTGTGTTCATTTTATTTTTCGTTGCACAATTTTGATATTTTAAATGTAATTTTGTTATAATTATAGGTACACAAACTTTTATGTGTTAAGATCATTGTTTTGTATAAAGTTAAAATTAATTTATACATACTTTTGATTTAAAAAACCGGTTAATATTAAGGAATTACTTGTCTTTTACCTGGAAAATAAATATTATATTAAAAAAACATATAATGTAGCACTTTTACCTGCCACGCACTCTTTGATAGTTGCTACTTCACTGTACACTTTTTGTCTGTTCTTATTGGCTTATTGCATGGAAATAAGGTGATCTACTTGGCTTTTTAAATTTGCTAAAATTGTTTTGTGTTGCTATGATTTTTTCTTGATTTTATAGAATATTATGCATATTTCTACATTGGACATGATTTTCTACATGTTTGCCAATTCATGTTAACTATATGCTTTAGGCAAAGACAAGAAAGGAAGCTGCAATCTCTCTCGTGTGGACAGCACAACCTGCCTTTTCCCGGTGGAAGAAAAAGCAGTGGAGTATTACTTTGCTTCTGATGCAAGGTGAGCTTCCTTAGTTGATTCAAAGAGATTTTTAGTAAAACTTCTCATTCTGCAGGAAACCCAAGAAGTCATTGTGTATCAGTCTAGTTGTGCTCTGTGAGATAACTTTTTAAATTAAAGAAATACAGGTGACCATTTTGGAGATGGGGCTGTAAGGACACTTTTTCTGTCATTTCAAAGTATGTGGGTCAGTTTACTAAGAACACATATACTGCTTGAGACTTGTTCCAGTGTATTTATTTTAGAGCTCTTACATTTTTTTCCTTCTTATTTCAGGAGCCTTATCCAGGTTTTGAAGGGAGGAGATTCTAGATTGAAGAGTAAAATGGCTTAGTTAGTATCCCAATAGTTATAGCATAGTTGCTAAACTATTGTAGTTTTAGTCTAATGTAGATACTCATCTTTTACATTTAGAATTAATTTGCAGCATAATCATTTTTATAAAGGGATAGTAGTAGACTAAGATATTTTGAGAGAAAATGCAGGGGGATGTTTACATGCATTTGTAAATGAAATAGTAATGAGGATAAAATAAAATCACCGAAATTGCAAACAAGTATTTGAGTCATCCACTGTACCTGAAAATAAGAGAAAATAATAAAAATAAGAAAATAATGCCATTTAGGACATCAGGGAATATATTATCTCAGTGGGAAAACAAGCTTTACTCTTTAATGTTTTTACAGGTGTGTAAGGTGTGTAGTCAGGGCTAAGATGTGTAAGATTACACAGTTGACAGTTATGGCTTAAATACACTGGAATTACAGAAACATATCAGCCTTTTCTCATTCATTTATACATTCATATTGAACACTGGGTGAAGTCATATGCTAGCGTCAGGAGATAATGGTGAGTAAAAATAAAAATATTACTTTTCCTTAGGAGCTCTTCCATAGTGAGGAGGCAAATTTTAAACAATGATCACAGAAGTGTAGAATTCCAGCTGTGACAAGAGCTGCAGAATGCTAGTAACAGAGTGATTTACCCTTGGTGGGTAAATTTCTTTAAGGGAATGATGTTTGAACTGAGAGTTAAGGAGAGATTAGGAGTTAATTAGGTTAACAGGTAGAGGGAGGAACATTCATTCTTTGCAAATGGCTCAGCCTGTGAGAGTTTAGGATGGCTTTGAGTGTGGCCAGAATAGAGAGAGTGAGAGGAAGCTTGGGGGGAGATGAAGCTGGAGAAGGAGGTATAGGGATTACGGTAAGGCACTTTGTTGTCTCTCTGAGAGCCAAAGGGAAACTGTCAAATGGTTTGTTGAGTGAAGGAGAAATCTTTATTAGAGTTGTTGCCTTTTGATATCAATTTTGGCAGAAATGGAGGATGGACGGAGAGAGATCAGAGAGAAAGTGGGTGGACTAATTGGGAGATCGCTGCAGTAGTCCACCCGAGGAGCTGATGGGAGCTTGAATTTGTCTGGTGGTGGACATAGAAACTAAGAATATTTGGAAGTTAAAATTTCAGGACTTGGTAATGGATAGAATGAGGAGGAAACAACCATGCTTTCTGATCTAATCTGTTTGGTTTAGATTGCTATGCAGAGTTCCTTTTATTTTTTGTCCACAATGACCACCTTCCCCATACTTTCCTGTAGGGGTTGGCATTAGTAACCAGAAAATTCTCTGAGATACTGCAGAGTGATAGAGTTTATATTGAAATTTGGTTCTTGTATCCAAATGATAGTTTCATTTGTAATAATGATCCTTGGTTATCGATTGTAATATCTCCTTGAAAACTTTATAGTGCTGTCATAGAACACACCAATCGCGTCATCTTTCTGGAAGATGATGATGTTGCAGCAGTAGTGGATGGACGTCTTTCTATCCATCGAATTAAACGAACTGCAGGAGATCACCCCGGACGAGCTGTGCAAACACTCCAGATGGAACTCCAGCAGATCATGAAGGGTGAAAGTTTTTGTCATGTTATAGCTTGCTGTCCTTACTGGAAAGAATATATTCTACTTCCTTTCCTAGCATATTAAATCTAGTAATGAATGATGAGTGGAATCTTCCACATGATTAGTGAAGGGACAACGCTAGGAAAAGGGATGATTCTTTAGAGAAATTATCTGCTGTTTTTACAATCGTCTTCAAACTAATTAATGATTTGTTATTTGTAACATTATAAAAAGGTTATTAACACTTGATACTTTAAAGATACTTTATAAACATAAAAATAGTTAATGTTCTGTTCCTTTTTATTCTCTTTGTGCTTTAGTTTTCTTATATATAACATGAGGATAATATAGCCTGCCTCATTAAGGTTGTTTTGAGGATTAAGAAGCTACTATATGGCTGGGTGCGGTGGCTCACACCTGTAATCTTAGCACTTTGGGAGGCCGAGGTGGGCAGATCACCTAAGGTGGGGAGTTTGAGACCAGTCTGGCCTTGCCAACGTGGAGAAACCCCGACTGTACTAAAAAATACAAAATTAGCTGGGTGTGGTGGCGCATGCCTGTAATCCCAGCTACTCGGGAGGCTGAGGCAGGAGAATGGCTTGAACCCGGGAGGCAGAGGTTTCAGTGAGCCGAGATTGCGCCATTGCACTCCAGCCTTGGCAACAAGAGCAAAACTCTGTCTCAAAAAAAAAAAAAAGAAGCTTAAAACAGTGTCTGACACACTTAGTCGTATGTAATATTTGCTTCTGTTAACTATTATAATTATTATGATTTGGATTATTTTATTCCTTTCTGATGGGATTGTGGTAGGAATAAAAACTAACATTGGCCAGGCACGGTGGCTCATGCCTGTAATCTCAACACTTAGGGAGGCCAAGGTAGGAGGATCACTTGAGCTCAGGAGTTTGAGACCAGCCTGGGCAACATAGTGAGACCTTATCTCTACTACAAACTAAAAAAAAAAAAAGTCCAGGTGCACTGGCTCACACCTGTAATCCTAGCACTTTGGGAGGCTGAAGCAGGCAGATTGCCAGAGCTCAGGAGTTCAAGACCAGCCTCAGCAACATAGCAAAACCCTGTTTCTACTAAAAATACAAAGAAAATTATGGGCATGGTGGCATGTACCTGTAGTCTCAGTGACTGGGGAGGCTGAGGTGGGAGAATCACTTGAACCCAGGAGGCAGAGGTTGCAGTGAGGTGAGATCGTGCCGCTGCACTCCAGCCTGGGCGACAGAGTGAGACTCTGTCTCAAACAAAACAAAACAAAACAAAACAAAACTATGAGCCGGGCATGGTAGTGTGTGCCTGTAGTCTCAGCTACTCAGGTGGCTGAGGTGTGAGAATTGCTTGAGCCCAGGAGATTGAGGCTGCAGTGAGCGGTGATCTTGCGGTGATCACTTCAGTCTGGGTGACAAAGACCCTGTCTCAAAAAAAAAAGTAAAAATAAGAAATAACATTTATTGCATAACTCTATATATATATATGTCAGATTTTTTGCTTTATTAATCCATACTACAATCCATACTGTGAAGTAATTGGTCTCTTATTTTATAGATTAATAATTTCCCCAGTTTAGATAGTAAAGGATAGAACTACAGTTTGGGTGGGTTGCACTCCAAAACTTAAAGCTTGTCCCAGTTGACTGAGTGCGGTGGCTCACGCCTGTAATCCCAGCACTTTGGGAGGCCGAGGTGGTTGGATCATGAGGTCAGGAGTTCGAGACCAGCCTGGTCAGTATGGTGAAACCTTGTCTCTACTAAAAATACAAAAAATTAGCCGGGCGTGGTAGCACACGCCTGTAGTCACAGCTACTCAGGAGGCTGAGGCAGGGGAATCCCTTGAATCCAGGAGGCCAAGATTGCAGTGAGCCTACATCATGCCACTCCACTCCAGCCTGGGTGACAGAGCAAGACTCCGTCTCAAAAAAAAAAAAGCTTGTCTCATTCACTTGTTGTAACTGCACATTTCAAGTATGAAGTTAATTAAAAGTGACTTTTACTGTTATTTTTTTCCACAGAGTAAAATATGTTCACCCAATCTTTTAGGCAGTCATGTCTATTGCATGAACTTTTGTTATATTTTATTTACCAAGATTATATTAAAGGAAACTTTTAGTTGTGTACAAATTCTTTTATTTGATTTGTTTTTGTTTTAATTATGTGATTTCTATTACTATAGGCAACTTCAGTTCATTTATGCAGAAGGAAATATTTGAGCAGCCAGAGTCTGTCGTGAACACAATGAGAGGAAGAGTCAACTTTGATGACTATACTGGTAATTACATATGAATTATTTTATTATTTCAGTGTCTCTGACAGTAGGAGGTGCCATTAACAACCTGAAAGTTCATTGCCCTTAATAGCCTTGTAGAACAACTACAGCTGCCAGCCATCAGTGGAGCCCAGCCATCTTGGAAAAAGTTCTTTAGTGTGTGATTCTACCTATATAAGATATCTAGAATAGTCAGATTCACAGAAAGAGAAAGTAGATTAATGGTTACCAAGGGCTGTGGGGAGGGGAAATGGGGAGTCACTGTTTAAAGGGTACAGAGTTTCAGTTGTGGGATGATGAAATTACAGAAATGGATTGTAGTGATGGTTGCACAATAATGTGAATGTGCTTAATGCCACTGAATTGTACATTTAAACATAGTTAAAATGGTAAATTTTATGTGTAGGTCACCCACTGTGTACCAGGGACTGTCCTAGGTACTGTGAATTCTAAGAAGAATAAGACCTGGTCCCGTTGCTGGGCAGCTTATGTGTATCTGCCTGGCCTAGGTTTCCTTTCTGAGTGTATAAATAAGTAAAAGTGTGAACTTCCCCAGAGGTCTTTCAGTTATTTGCCTGATGCCTTTGGATAACCTGTACCCTCCTGCATTTTTAAGGTAGAGGTGAGAGTACAACACTACTCTTTTTTTTAGGATGGAGTTTTGCTATTGTTGCCCAGGCTGGGGTGCAGTGGTGCCATCTCGGCTCACCGCAACTGCTGCCTCCCGGGTTCAAGTGATTCTCCTGCCTCAGCCTCCCAAGTAGCTGGGATTACAGGCATGTACCACCAGAGGAATTGTATCTGCCTCTGTAGACAGAGGTGGTTGTTGAAGATGGTTGAGCTGGAAGAACTGGGAGAGTAGCAGTAAATTCTTTTATGGTATTTATGGAAATGAGGTCAGGAAAAAGATTTGTTTTATAAGGGAAGAAAATGAGACAAACTTTGGGAAGTTCACGGTTTTAAAAAGTACTTTTGGCTGGGTGCAGTGGCTCATGCCTGTAATCCCAGCGCTTTGGGAACCCAAAGCGGGAGGATCGCTTGAGCTCAGGAATTCTAGACCAGTCTGACCTCCTTTTTACTAAAAATTTTTAAAAAATTAGCTGGGTGTGGTGGTGGGTGCCTGTAGCCCTGGCTACTGAAGAGCCTGAGGTGGGAGGATTGCTTGAGCCCTGTAGATCGAGGCTGCAGTGAGCTCTGACTCCACCACTGCACTGCAGCCTGGTTGAAAGACCTGTCTCAAAAAAAAAAAATAAAAAAGAGTACTTATATCTGTATTATGTACATAAAAGTTCTGTAATAAAACAGGATAGCTGTCATCTTTTTTGTTGTTAGGATGAGGAGATTGAGGCTTTCAGTTTGTCAAAGGTCACATTGTTAGTCATTTATTGAACCAAACTACTCCCCATGTATTCATTGTTCTAAGTGCTCTCCATCCCCTCCCCTGTCCATCAGGCATTCTTTCTTTTGCCTGTAGTGATGGCTTACCTCATCTCAAAAGGGATCAGGCTTTTCTCAAAAGCATCAAATTTAGAGCTTTGGGCAGCTTCTTTCAGAACTATCCCAACTATCCTCAGCCACCAGAAATTTCTAGGACTAATTTTAAGGAAACAACCGTGGCCAGCTAATCTCACTGTCTTACATCCATGTCATTCTTTGTCATCATCTGCAATACAGGTCTTTCTGGTAGTTGGTCTGCCTTTTTTTTTTTTTTTTTTTTTTTGCTTTGCTTTTATATTGAGTCTTTGCCTTTGCATGACCCTGATCCAGCCTTTTACTGCTGTTTCCTTTCTTCTCAAACATTTGTAATTAATGCCAAGGTCTGTGGAAAACACTGTAGGCAGAGGTACACAAACAGGCTTGGTCTAGTGCAGTAACAGCAAGAAGGCCAGTCTGGCTGGTGTGGCCTGAGTGAGAAGGGATGTGCTAGGTCAGAGTAAGCAGGAGACAGGTCTTATGGGACTTGAAGGCCAAAGTAAGTAGTTCGGATTTGATTATAAATTATTTGGGAAGCTAGTGACACTTTTTATTTTGTTTGGTTTTGTTTTCTACTTGCTAATTTTTTAAAATAGAGAAACATACCTTCTTTCATTATTGAAATTCAAAACGGAGAACATATAATTATTCAAAAGATAAAAAGTAAAACACATACCTTGGTTTTATAGTATAACTAACTAAGATAAAAAAGAAGGTGGACTGGCTGGGCGTGGTGGCTGACACCTGTAATCCCAGCACTTTGGGAGGCCAAGGTGGGTGGATTACTTGAGGTCAGGAGTCCGAGACGAGCCTAGCCAACATGGTGAAACCCTCTCTACTAAAAATAGAAAAAAATTAGCTGGGCGTGGTGGCTCGCGGCCTGTAATCCCAGCTACTAAGGAGGCCAAGGCTGGAGAATCGCTTGAACCTGGGAGGTGGAGGTTGCAGTGAGCCGAGATTGCACCACTGCACTCCAGCTTGGGCTACAGAGCAAGACTCTGTCTCAAAAAAAAAAAAAAGGTGAGGAGATGAAGAGAGCAGGGGCAGAGTAGACAGACTGAAAATGGTTCAGAGAGAGCAGCAGGATGAGGCCCACGAGGAGGTACCTGTCATTCTCCTCAGCCAGATTTGGAATTGTTTGAGTCCAGAAGCTCTCAGTGCCTTGACCACTATATTTACTTGGTGGGTGATTAGGGAATTTTAGTTGACCAGTTGAATGAATGTTGAATGAGAATTTCTCACAGATAGAAAACTAGCCTGTGTGGAAGGATTTCTGGACAAGACACATGGAGAACAACATGTAAATAGCTATAGAAACTGAAAATGAAAAAGAGGACAGACTTCATTGGAGGGTCTTTATGTTTTTAAAGGATCACTGTAAGAGATCCTTCTGGTAGCATATGGAGAGCAGACTCCAGGAGGTGGAGAACAGAAGAGAGAACTGGAGAATGTTGCTGTCGTCCAGGGAGAGATGCTGGGTTTGAAGATAAATGTGGAGGGATCAGAACAATCAAGCATTTTGACTGAAGCATTAGGGGAATGGGGACGGCAAAGACTGAGAGGAGAGTGGGTTTATGTTACTCTACAGAGCACCTTTCTGGGCACCAGAGGGGAAATAAACGTAACTGAGATAATGTTTTTCCCAGACAGGTTTATTGAGACATAATTAGATATAATAAAATTCACCATTCCTAGTGTATAACTCTAAGTTTGACAAACCTCTACAACATAGTCATAATCATAACCTCTACAAAGTCAAGATGTAGAACAGTTCCATCACTCCCAAAATTTCCTTGCACCCTATTGTTGTCAACCCCTCCTCCAGCTCCAGCCCTCTACATCTAATGATCTGTTTTCTGTGTCCCTCTACTTTTGCCTTTAAGATAACTTTCAAAGAGAAGAATGTAAAAATAACTAACTAAGGTAGAATGTAATAAATACTGTAATTGTGTGGGGATGTAGAGAGGTGAGTAAGGTCAGTTACAAGTTTGGGGGCGCCAGTGAAGTTGTGACTTATTTAATTTACTTTTCAAAATTACAGAGAACTGTGCTTTCCAAGAGGAATATTAATTCTTTAAAACAGCAGTATTCTTCCTCATATTGGCAGTGGATACTCACAAAATGCGATTGCCTAGTTCACATGGTTCTTTGCTAAATAATTATGTACACAAACTTTTATTTCAGTGAATTTGGGTGGTTTGAAGGATCACATAAAGGAGATCCAGAGATGCCGGCGTTTGATTCTTATTGCTTGTGGAACAAGTTACCATGCTGGTGTAGCAGTAAGTGCTTTTTAAAATTTTAATTATGTTGAATATTAGAGAATATCTGTAGACCAAGTAGTAGTCTAATAACATACTGTGTAAAACTATGTTTTGTTAATGTGTTATCTTTTCCCTTTTGTGATAAAAAAAGAAGGTAAGGGGAGAAATTTACCAGCTGCTTGGAATTATTTATCCATGGAAGATCTGTAGAAAAGGTCCCTAGATATACAGATAGACCTCCTGCAACGGACTTCATGAAAGGCCAAGAGGGGGAGAGTTTGTGTACTGTCCTAGACTTGTAGCCTAGGGAGCTTGCCTACATGTGTAAGAGCCATCGTTGGGTTTTGCTTAGCATTGTTCACTTGCCCTAGACAGATGGCCTGCATCATGTGTGAACCTCAGTGCAATTTTACTTTGTGGGCACATTACTGCAAAGAAAGGTAGTCTGCTTTTTTTTTTAAATCAGATTTTATTCTTTAAATTGTTCTTTTAGAAGCTGAAATTCAGTATCAAAAATGTGTATTGTCAGTGCAGAAGCATAGGTGTATGAGGGTCTTTTATTCCAATAAAAGACCAATATTTGCCCACGTAGTTTCCTTAGAAAGAGACAGTTTATGTGTTGCTGATGTCAACTGTTATGAACAGAAGACCTTTACATTCAATTTCTGCTTTTAGGATTGACTTCCAAAGTTCCTGACATAACTTATTTATTTGCTGAGGCATAAATATTTATTAGGAGCCATTTATTTAAGCAGTGAGTGAAACTATCTGGTCACCTGCCCTTGCATCTCAACAAGCTTTGCTCTTTTCTAAGACTACACCAAATACCTCCTCCCCTCCTCCCCCAAAATTATATGGTCCTAAACAGAAAGTCTATGTAATGTTGAAGGGTAGAGGTCTAAAAAAGTGATTGTTTTGTCTGGGTGTTGTGGCTCACACCTGTAATCCCAGCACTTTGGGAGGGCAAAGTGGGAGGATCAGTTGACCCTAGGAGTTTGAGCCTGGGCAACATAGCGAGACCCCGTCTCTACCAAAAAAAAAAAATTATCGGGGTGTGGTGGCAACTCCCTGTAGTCCTAGCTACTTGGGAGGCTGAGGCAGGAGGATCGCTTGAGTCCAGAAGGTGAGGCTGCAGTGAGCCTAGATTGCACCGCTGAACTCCAACCTGGGCGACAAAACCAGGCCCTGTCTCAAAAAAAAAAAAAAATTTTGAACACGGGAAGAAGAAAGATGTAAACACGTTAGTGGTGGCTTAGATCTATTACTGAATGAGCCCTGTATTCAGAAATAGAAAATTTGATTAAACGCTTCATCTAACGCTAAGACAATTTGGGGGCAGAAATTATATACTCTGTTAGAATTCTCTAATGTAAGATTTTTTGTTGTTTTGTGGATGCCAAGACTACTGTAGTAAACAAACATTAGAAATCCCCCTGTGGTTTATCAGACAAAATAGTACCATTTATTTTATCCTGTTTTACATTTTTGTTGTTGTTTCATGACACATTTACATGTTTTTTTTTTAGTATCTATATCCTGAATAACTGACTACACTCTAATCATTCTTAACTCATTTATGCCAGAGGTTGCAAAATTTTTTTGTGAAAAATCATCAGACCTTGGTGCTGACCTTGAGCAGTAGGATATAAATAACTCCCACATGCTTAACGTTCCAGTGATGGAACACTAGGCATAAATGATTTAAGTATAGCCTACTTAATATGCTTTTCAAAATTTTAATTTTCTCTAGGTTTTGTAGTGGCATTCAGTGGAATTTATAGCATTAAGTTACTCTATTGTGATGGAAATATGTCATTTTGTGTATTTATAAAAAGTTGTTCGCAGCTGGGTGCAGTGGTGTGTGCCTATAGTTCCAGCTCCTCGGAAGCTGGGGCAGGAGGATCACTTGAGACCAGGAATTTGAGGCCACAGTGCCCTAGAATCATGCCTCTGAATAGCTGCTACACTCCAGCCTGGGCAACAAACCAAGACCCCATCTTTAACCAAAAAAAAAAAAAAAAAAAAAAAAGTTGCCCCAACTAAAATAATAAACTATTAATTAGCACAGATAAATCTTGAGATTACTTTTTTGGGGTTTATTACTTTTAAATATCTGGTAAGCCTCCAGATTTCTATCTTTCTCTCTTCTTTCCCCATCTTTTTATTTTGAAGAATATGATTCCAATGTAACATTTATATTATAAACTGGGTGAAAAGGTTTGGTTTACATTTATTTGTGGGAAAACATTTAGCATTTTAGTGTCGGTAACTTAATTATGTATAATAAAATATATTAATGGAAAAGAATAATAAAAAATAGGAGCATTTTATCTTCAATGATTTTCTTTACATGATGTTGTAATATTGTTAAAAAATGCCAAATCAAAGTTATTTAATATTTTTGGGGGAACCAAGTAAAACGATTCTGTTCAAATTTGTGGGCAAGCAAAAGTTAAGGGCTATGAAATAAGGGCACCTTTAAGTTCTTTATTGCTGAGAAGGAGGAAAGCTGAGATGGGTGAGAGATGGGGAGGGCCACTTGCCTGAAGAGGCTGGTGAAAGGCTGTCAGGTTAGGTGAGCTCCACAGTTAGAATTAAAGCAACACTAAATGTATACATTGGTTGAGCTTAAAGTTTTTGCTGCCTAAAAGATAATTTTTCTGTTTTTGATTTTCCGATGTTTAGTGTAAAAATAATTAGAATGGAAATTTACTGAAATGAAGGTTAAACTACGTTTTGCACAGAGGCATACTGCTCCCTACTTCATTCCCCCTGCCCCATGCCACAAAAGTTGAAAATAGTGAGCCCTGTTAAACAAGATTTCTAAAATATATTGACTTCTTTTGGGAAATGGTCATATTTATGAATACGTTGTACTTTTAAAGTGTTTAATTTTTCTCTATATATTTGTACATCTGTTACCTGATTTGAAACCCCTCCCTAACATGGGTATTACATGAATTTTCATTTTAAAGATTAGGAATTGGGAGGTTAGAGATAACACACAAGCTGACTCAGAACCATGCTCTTTCCACTTCTCAAAACGTTTTATATGTGTGGGTATGTTTCCTTATAAGAATGTATGTGTCCAGGCGCAGTGGCTCATGCCTGTAATCCCAGCACTTTGGGAGGCTGAGGCGAGCAGATCATGAGGTCAGGAGATTGAGACCATCCTGGCCAACATGGTGAAACCCCATCTCTACTAAGCTGGGCATGGTGGCGCACGCCTATAGTCCCAGCTACTCAGGAGGCTGAGGCAGGAGAATTGCTTGAACCCGGGAGGCGGAGGTTACGGTGAGCCGAGATGGCACCACTGCACTCCAGCCTGGCGACAGAGCGAGACTCCGTCTCAAAAAAAAAAAAAAAAGGAATGTATACATAGATAGTTGTCTAAAGAGACTGATAGTAAAATGTTAGCCATGCTTATCTCAAGTGGTAGGATTTTGATTTTTTTTTTTTAAATATTTTAATCTGGGTTGTTTTTATTTTCTAACGTGTCATTTTTGTAATCAGAAAAAGCAAAAACTATACATTGAATCCAAAGAAGTCCGATGAAAGAGTATTTGAAGGAAAGTTCTGTGACCAAGTCATATTTTCTCTGCAGACACGTCAAGTTCTTGAGGAGCTGACTGAGTTGCCTGTGATGGTGGAACTAGCAAGTGACTTCCTGGACAGAAACACACCAGTCTTTCGAGATGATGTTTGCTTTTTCCTTAGTCAATCAGGTGTGTTAATTTTAAAGACTTAAAAGGAAGGAAAGTTATTCTTTCTAATAATTCTAGCATATCTTGGCAAAAGCTGATATTTAAAGATAAACTGGCATTGCAGATGACTTGACGAATACAGATTTATTTTAATGTTACATAATTCTTTATGAATTAGTAAAAATGAACACCTTTTGTGTTCAAAGAGCTGGATTTTCAATGACAGAGAAGGAAGAGAGATCCTGACAAGCCATATTACTTAAAGTTTTATAAATTTATTAAGTGGATGTTTTGTATTTTATTTAAAACAAGTAATATTGTTGAAAGTGTGGTCAATTTGTTTTTGCTCCTAAGAAACAGCATATGTTAAAACTGTTCTGTGTGTTATGGTTGGCCTACTTTTTACACAGGTGAGACAGCAGATACTTTGATGGGTCTTCGTTACTGTAAGGAGAGAGGAGCTTTAACTGTGGGGATCACAAACACAGTTGGCAGTTCCATATCACGGGAGACAGATTGTGGAGTTCATATTAATGCTGGTCCTGAGATTGGTGTGGCCAGTACAAAGGTAAATTCTTGACTCATTTCTCTGATGATTATTTAATCATAGTGTCAGTGAAGCAGACTAGTCTGTAGACTAGTCTGTATCTTATTTTTGTTAGCAGTTATAGAACTCACACATTTTATTTTTGTTAGCAGTTATAGAACTCACACATTTTACTAATCATTGTAATTATTGTAGGACTTTAGGGTCAGATAGATAAAAGACTTGTCATTCTCTCCCTCTTCCTGATAGAGTTTAAAAGGGACTTATGTATATAATGTAAGTCCATTTTGAAAAGGTCTCTGCTGGCTATCCTTGTCTATCGCTTACTGCCCTCCTGCTAGGCACAGTAGGATACATAACAAGTATATAACATCCCCTTCTTTTATGAAGTATAGTCTGGAATTTGAAAAGTAACAAATTAGAAACATCCACTTTAACCATTTTTGGAATTTTTATTTACCTATTTATGGTTTCTAATAAATAATGTAAAAATATACATACTACCTCTGAAAGTTTGTAAGGAGGAATACACCTTTGGTATAAAATTTGGCAACTGCCAGGCATGGTGGCTCACGCCTGTAATCCCAGCACTTTGGGAGGCTGAGGCGGGCGGATCATTTGAGCTCAGGAGTTCAAGACCAGCCTGGCCAACATGGTGAATCCCGTCTCTACTAAAAATACAAAAATTAGCCAGGTGTGGTAGCACGTGCCTGTAATCCCAGCATACCCGGGAGGCTGAGGCAAGAGAATCACTTGAACCTGGGAGGTGGAGGTTGCAGTGAAGCGAGATTGTGCCACTGCACTCCAGTCTGGGTGACAGAGCAAGAGTCCATCTAAAAAAAAAAAAAAAAAAAAAAATTTAAAATTTGGCAATTAAAAAAAATTTTTTAATGAGTATTGTATGACAATATCTTTCTCTTTAGATATTGCTCTGGGGAGGTTTAAAGGTACTGTCTTGTGTTTTGAAGGCCTGGTAAGACTACTTTGCTCTTTGGAATTGGAATATGCATAAATTTAGGTGGCTAATAAAAATAGGAAATCTTAGAAAGTTGTATAAATACAAGAGATGTTATCCCTCCACAAGTGTTTTTTTGGGGTTTTAGGTTTGTTTGGTTGTTATTTAGAGACAGGGTCTTGTTTTGTCACCCAGGCTGGGGCTGGAGTGCAGTGACAGGAATCATAGCTCCCTGCAGCCTCAGACTCATGGGCTCAAGTGATCTCTGCCTCAGCTTCCTGAGTGGCTGGGACTGCAGATGCACCAGGCTAGTTTTTTTTTTTTTTTTAAGATGGGGTCTCACTATGTTGTCCAATGTGTTACTTTTTATGATTTCACATTTTTGTTTTCTCAATATTTTTCTACTTAAGTTTGATATTTCTTGCTGATTATCTAATAAGATGTTGGGATATTGGTGGATTTGAGTTTAATTAAAGGATTGTGAAAGACAATGTTAATGTGTACATAACTGCATTTGAATTCTTTTCCCTCAAAGATTCTCATAGAGAATTTTTTGTAGAAAGTTTGTGATTCTTATATAAAAATTCTTCTTTTCTTTTTCTTTTTCTTTTTTTTTTTTTTTTTGGAGACAGACTCTCACTCTGTTGGCCAGGCTGGAGTGCAGTGGCGTGATCTCAGCTCACTGCAACCCCCGCCTCCTGGGTTCAAGCGATTCTCCTGCCTCAGCCTCCCAGGTAGCTGGGATTACAGGCACCTGCCACCACGCCTGGCTAATTTTTGTATTTTTGATAGCAATGGGGTTTCACCATGTTGGCCAGGCTTGTCTTGAACTCCTGACCTCAAGTGATCTGCCTGCCTCAACCTCCCAAAGTGCTGGAATTACAGGCATGAGCCACACTGTACCTGGCCCCCCACCTTTTTTTTTTTTTTTGGAGACAGGGTCTCTCCTCTTTATCATCCAGAGTACATAGAGTGCAGTGGTGCTCATGGCTTACTGCAGCCTGGACCTTCCCAGGCTCAGGTGATCCTCCCACCTTAGCCTCCTGAGTAGCTGGGACTACAGGTACAGGCCACTACCCATGCCTGGCTAATTTTTGTATTTTTTTGTAGAGACGGAGTTTTACCATGTTGCCTAGGCCAGTCTCGAACTCTTGGGCTCAAACGATCTGCCTGCTTTGGCCTCCCAAAGTGCTGGGGTTACAGGCATAAAAACTCTTGAGTGAGATTTTTATTTCTTGGGTATTTCGATATTGCTAACACTATAATTTACAGAGTGCTGAAACTTGAATTTTCTCCATATGGTAATTAAAACGTGTTACATGTTTGTGCTTGGGTTTCCATCCTGTGGCTGAATAAATGACCAGCCACCTTTAGTAGCACTTAAGGATTTGATTGGGGGATTGGAATCCCAGAGGCTCTTTATTTATAACAGATTGTGAAACAAGGGCTACAACGTGGTGTATGTGGGATATGGGATTGTTTGGATGGATGCCATTGACTTAATCTTTTCATAAAATGTTTCTGGAATTGTGAGCTGCCAAGGGAAATATATATTTTACATTTCTCATTCCTTTGTTTATGAGAACTTTAATTTGCCTCAACATTTTATGATGATGATTTTCAAATATACAGCAGAGTTTTAAAAATTTTACATACAGGCTGGGTGCAGTGGCTCACAACTGTTATCCTGGCACTTTGGGAGGCTGAATTGGGAGGATCACTTGAGGCTAAGAGTTCAAGACCAGCCGAGGCATCAGAGTGAGACCTTATCTCTATAAAAAATACAAAAATTAGCGGGGCATGGTGGTGCGTGCGTGTAGTCCCAGCTACTCAGGAGGCTGAGGCACGAGGATCCCTTGAGCCTGAGAGTTTGAGGCTGCAGTGAGCCATGATCACACCACTACACTCTAGCTTGGATGATAGAGTGAGACCCTGTCTTAAAAAAAAAAATAAAAATTTTACATTAGCATTGGTATACCCACCATCTAGCTTCTACCATAGCATATTCACCAATTTTAAGTGTACAGTTTTAGTAAATTCATTTGGCTGTACAACTGTTATCACAATCCAGTTTTAGAAGATGATCACCTGAAATATTCCTTTGTGTTTCTTTGTAGTCAATCCTTACTCCTACCCTCCAGCCTCATACTCAGGAACTACTGTTTTCTCTTGCTGTATTATGGCATTTTCCAGAAAATTTTTGTAAATGGAATTGTATAACACGTCTTGTGTGTCTAGCTTCTTTCATTTAGCCTGAAGTTTGTTTTTTAAATAAAGCCAGTTAAATTTAGCAGTGAGGTATTGTATACCAACTTTAGTAACGCTAATGTTAATGAGTTCTAGTGACCCACTATTGGACTACCCTAGCCTGAAGTTTTTGAGATTTGTTCATGTTGTTATTTGTATCATTAGTTCTTTCTTTCTGCAAATCTTTTTTTTAAATATTTTTATTTTGAAATAACTATATAGGAAGTTGCAAAGATAGTACAGAGAAGTCTTACATACTTTTTACCCATTACCCCAGTGGTTACCACCTATATAAGAAAAATTAGCATCTTTTTAGTACAGACTTTAATTTTTTTCAAAAATAACTCTTAAAAAAATTGAGTAAGTATGGCAATTTAGTATTTCATTTTTCTTGGATTCTAAAGTAATTTTATTCAAATGTCTTAGACATTTTGGGCTTAGTTACTTACAATAAGTTTTGGGTTATTTAGTCACAGACCATTCCAGGTGGCAAATAAGAGTTTTTATGTTAATGGGTATTGAAAGAAGTCGATTATTATTACTATTATTATTATTATTTTGAGATGGAGTTTTGCTCTTGTTGCCCAGGCTGGAGTGCAGTGGTGTGATCTCTGCTCACTGTAACTTCCGCCCTCCGGTTTCAAGTGATTCTCCTGCCTCAGCCTCTCAAGTAGCTGGGATTACAGGTAACTGCCACCACGCCTGGCCAATTTTTGTATTTTTAGTAGAGACTGGGTGTCACCTTGTTGGCCAGTCTGGTCTCGAACTCCTGACCACGTGATCCACCCGTCTTGGCCTCCCAAAGTGCTGGGATTACAGGCGTAAGCCACCGCGCCCAGCCAAAAGTTGATTATTGATCCTAATCCCTGGGCCCAGTGATGGAGCACATAGAAGAATTCTGTGATCTTGCCTGTAAATTCTCAACTTTGCCTGAAAAACTGTCAGGATTAGAGGGATCTTACTGAGTTTCTCATAGTATCAGACCATAGACAAGTTGATACTACTGGAGGAATTGATGGGTATAAATGGTAGGTTCAGCAATTTTTATATGTTATTGCAGGTGTTTAGAATTTCACCACAGTGCTGACTTTTGTTGATTTAAAAAAATAAAAATGTAACTTTGTTTTTGGCTGAACAAAAAGAAAAACCAAGTTTAAAATTTCAGAGTCAGCATTTTCCTGGTAAACTCTTTCAAACCTCGGTAGATTCTGAATGTAGGGTATAGCTTATTTTTCCTCATAATTGGTTTCCTGGTATGTATTGATGAAATTAAAAATATGAAATTCAAATTAGAAATTAAACTGTAATAGCAATGCAATGGAAAAACATGGATTAAAGTTGCTCCGTTTAATATTTGTACTTAAAAACTAGTGTTCAGATGGTTTCAG
The DNA here is from genome assembly GCF_000001405.40 of Homo sapiens. Lineage (NCBI taxonomy): Eukaryota > Metazoa > Chordata > Mammalia > Primates > Hominidae > Homo > Homo sapiens. The sequence goes on along the minus strand of NC_000002.12, from coordinate 69,333,328 downwards.
TTCAAACAAATAAACACTAGTTTGTAGAATAACATTTTTAGTTATGGGCTACAGGAACTGGAATACTCATTATCTGATCAGTTTGGATTGGAAACAGTTTAAGTATTCCAGGGGTCCAAGATACCTCTGGCCTGGTAGTATGTTTTGTGATTAATTGATTAATTGAAAAGTAAACCACAGTAGGAAGAAGTAGACTGGAAGAGTCTGGAATTTAGAATATAGATGTGCTCATTAGTCTCGGAGGCAGAGGACTCCAAATTCACTTTAGTGTTATGGGAAAAGATTCCAGTCTGCTGGTGGAATATAATAGGTGTACAGGGAGGCAGTTGTGGAGGACCATGTGAGCAGCTGGAGGCTGGGAAGTCCAGCAGGAGGAAACAGGGAGTCTCATTTAACTATTGGGATGTTAAGGAGTTACCAGACTGTGATTTTATTATAGAGGGAGTCTCATCCACATCATGCCAGGAAATCACTAATGGAGTAATCCCTTATCAAGAGAAGAGTAATAGAAATTCAGCATATAATCCGCGCGCGCACACACACACCCCTCAGCATAAATTTCCTAAAGCTAAAATTATATCTAACACTGTAACTGACAACAGCACAATAACCTACTGAAAGAGATGTAAATAAAAGCCTCAAATATCTGAAACATAAAAATGTTTTTCAAAATAACTATTGGATTAAAAAAAATCAGAACTACCATTAAGAAAGACTTACTAGAGGCCGGGCGTGGTGGCTCATGCTTGTAATCCCAGCACTTTGGGCAGATCACTTGAGGACAGGAGTTCAAGACCAGCCTGGCCAACATAGTGAAACCCCGTCTCTACTAAAAAAACACGAGAAAATTAGCCGGGCATGGTGGCGGGCGCCTGTAATCCCAGCTACTTGGGGTGGCTGAAGCAGGAGAATCACGCGAACCCAGGAGGCTGAGGTTGCAGTGAGCCAAGATCATGCCATTGCAATCCAGCCTGGGCAACAAGAGCAAAACTGTGTCTCAAAAAAAAAAAAAAAAGAAAAGAAAAGAAAGACTAGAAAAAAGTAAACAATAAATAATAGGGGTAAAAATTTAGAGTGTGTGGCCAAAGTGATAAATAGAGGGAAATAGCATTAAATTCCTAGCACAAATTGATGAAAATGCCATATTTTTAAATGGAAAGATTGTTTTGTAAAGAAATGACATATCTTGGGTTAGAATTAGTGTTCCTTCAACTTGCACTAAAATTAATTTCAAACAGGCTAAAAAGGAAAATGTTAAAAAAATAAAAAGGAACAGTGAAAACAAAAGAAGTAAGAAAATTTAATAATACTTAGTTTATGTAGGATGTGGAAGAGTTATCTGAGTCTAAAAGTACTACGTAAAAGTTAAAAAATTATGTCAGCACCAATATAAAAGGTCAGTCCACGATGAGAAAAAATATTTGAGACATAACAATAACTACCTTCTTTTTTTTAATTTTAGAGAATAGTATTGTATTGAATACGTTTTATTCACAGAAAAATAAACTTTAATCTACAATGAATGCCAGATTATACAGCAGAAAGCAGTTTTCTTAGTTTTCCACATAGAAAGGTTCTTACTAAGTGAAAAAAACCATAAAATTATATTCAGAAATATATTACTCTGTCTCAAAACATTTCACATGATTATTCACAATACTAATACAATTAGATCAGTCATTCAGTCAGGTTAAAATATAACAGTAATGAAAAAAATGCAAAATCTAACATAAATTATATTAAAACCCTTGTTACATCACACCAAAAATGCAAATTTCTTACTAAATCCAGAAAAATGGTAACATATATAGTAATTTAAGGTATTACATTAATGGTACAGAATAAGAAAGAAGTGGTAAACTCTGAAAATCTGTAGGCATATCTGCAAACTTCAGACTTCAAAGTAGAATCTGACCACCCAAACATTAATGTAGCATTTGTCTAATTTTTTTGTTTTGAACAATAACTACCTTCTTAAAACCAATTTGAATAAAGAAACTCAAGTTGAAAAACAGGTGAGGAACAACAAAGTCAGTTGTCAAAAGAGAAAATATAAATGGTCAACAAACATGAAAAAAAAGCTTAGCTTTAGGATTCAAGATATGTATGCTAAAATAGTAGTGAAGGTTCATTGTCCCGCAGTCAAAATGGTAAAAGTTTGCTAAAGAGATAATTCTCAGTATTTCACAGAACTTGACAAAACAGGCACATCTCACAGTCACATAAAGTTAGTAAGAATGAAAATAGTCTTGGCAGTAGGATTGTGAGTTTTGAAATACATACAATTCTGTATCCTAAGAAACTAATTGTCTTTTAGTTCAAGCTGTCATCAATAAAATTTATAGTACGTTTTGAGCCTGTGTGTCAGGGATTATACAGAACTGAATGCGTTACATTTGTCTCATTTAATTGTCATTATAATCTTGTAAGTGTCATGTGCATTTAACAGATGGGGTATCTGAGGCCTAAAGAGATGAAAACTGCTCAAGGTTATAATGTAACTTGACAGAGTTCAGTTTTAGGATTACACTTGTACTATTATTTAGGAGTGAAAGCAAGTTATAAAATTGTACCTGCTAATTAATTTTCTTAACTGTGTAAAGAAAAGAAAAACAGTAAAAACTTTAAGGCAATATTCACAAGTGTTATTAATAGCATATTATTAATGTAATTATTTCTAATAACAGATGAGATTAAATATTATTTCTGTTTACTTTTCTACAACTGTAGTTTTCCTTTTTTTTTTTTTTAATGCAAACTTAAAACATAAAACTGGGATTGAGGAACAGGCAATAGGCAAAGGTGGAAATCAAAGAGCAATTAAAAAAAAAAATCCAGCAATACCAGTGCAAGTACCCCAAGGAGAGTTTATCAAGCACTTGCCTTTTGACTTACACCAAAAACTAAATGTGGTTAGGCACATGCTGATTTGCTCATCTTTTCCTTCCTTTCTTAGGGATATTAGGAATTTTATAAGCATTCAATGGGTTATAAGGTGTTTGGCTTTTGTATCTAAGAAATAAAGGTTGAGTCATTTGTTCAAGATTCAGAAAAGGAGAATAGTGATAGATTTCCCAAGTACTGGTTCAGTTCACTGTTACTAAGATAGTTTATTTTTGTTTTTTGGAGACAGGGTCTCACTCTGTCCCAGGCTGCAGTGCTGTGGTGCGATCCTGGTTCACTGCAACCTCTGCCTCCCGGGCTCAAGTGATCCTCCTGAGTAGCTGGGACCACAGGTGCACACCACCACACCCAGCTAATTTTTGTATTTTTTTTAGAGACAGGGTTTCGCTATGTTGCCCAGGCTGGTCTCGAACTCCTAAGCTCAAGCGATCCCCCTGCCCTGGCCTTCCAAAGTGCTGAGATTACAGGCATGAGCCACCATGCTTGGCCCTAACGTAGTTTTAAGAGATAGAGAATATATACTGTAAAACCAATGGGAATTTTATTTTCAGCTTTTTAAAATTAAAAGTTCTAAATTCTTCAGATGCAGCTGCAACTAATTGTCCTGCTTTTTTGTGATGTTTCAGGCTTATACCAGCCAGTTTGTATCCCTTGTGATGTTTGCCCTTATGATGTGTGATGATCGGATCTCCATGCAAGAAAGACGCAAAGAGATCATGCTTGGATTGAAACGGCTGCCTGGTACAAAGACACTCATATATTACACTTTTGTTGTCTAAGGGAGTGGGTAATAGGTAAAATTCTCTTATCCTTGAAGCTGTGGCTTGTAGCTATTTAGTCAATAAGATCTTTCTACGTTTGCTCCGATGTATTAAAAAAATACCCATACTGATTGATAGCACAGAGGAATAGAAACACTGGTCTTTTGTTATTTGCTGCCAATATATTGTTATTTTATTTGTTTGGTTTATTGTCCTTTTTTGCTAATATTACTTCTTAGATTTGATTAAGGAAGTACTGAGCATGGATGACGAAATTCAGAAACTAGCAACAGAACTTTATCATCAGAAGTCAGTTCTGATAATGGGACGAGGCTATCATTATGCTACTTGTCTTGAAGGGGCACTGGTAAGTTTTCTCAGTTCTAATTAGTATCAGTCCATTGACCTGCAGACCTGACACATAGTCATACTTTTACATTAAATGAATGAAATAGGTAGAACTTTTGAAAGTGCTTCTGTATTTATGCATTGTGGTTTGTTTACTTTGAGAAAGTGCAACAGAGAACTCTGTTCAGAAGTGAAAATCAAAAAGAGTACATTTTAACATGATAAACTTGGATTTAGCAAGTAACTTGGGTTAATTTGTTCAAATATGAATAAAGATTAAGTTCTCTAGATAAGAAATTTAATTGAGGTCAAGCTGGGCACAGTGGCTCACGTCTATAATCCCAGCACTTTGGGAGGACATGGCAGGTAGATCAAACTTGAAGTCAGAAGTTCGAGACCAGCCTGGCCAACGTGGTGAAACCCCATCTCTACTAATAATACAAAAACATTAGCTGGATGTGGTAATGCATGACTATAATCCCAGCTACTTGGGAGGCTAAGGCGGGAAGATCACTTGAACCTAGGAGGTGGAGGTGGCAGTGAGCCGAGATCACACCACTGTACTCCAGCCTGGGCGATCGAAGAAGACTCTGTCTTAAAAAAAAAAAAAAAAAGGGTTAACCAGAAATATGAATATGTTTGTGATAATCTAAAATCTTTAAAAAGTCCTTGTGGAGCTTTAAAACTTCCAATTACATGTTGATAATATAGAAATAGTGATCTATTAACTTGTTAGATATATTTATAGATCAGTGGTCCTTTAATACTTTTGGATAGATAGACAGTGGCTTGACATATCAGATGCTTTTTATAATATTTACTTAAACATGGATTTTTGAAAAGTGGATTGAAGACAAATCTGGTTCTTTCCTATTAGAAAATCAAAGAAATTACTTATATGCACTCTGAAGGCATCCTTGCTGGTGAATTGAAACATGGCCCTCTGGCTTTGGTGGATAAATTGATGCCTGTGATCATGATCATCATGAGAGATCACACTTATGCCAAGTGTCAGAATGCTCTTCAGCAAGTGGTTGCTCGGCAGGTAAGTCGGGGGACTGTGAGAACACCTTGGGGATCAAAGAGGGGAGTTACGCTAGCTTATTTGAATGACTTACAAAACATGTTTACACGTGTTAACTCATTTACTTTGGAATACAGCCTTTGAGGTTTACATGTGAGGAATCAGATACTTAAGAGTTTTTTTTTTTTTTTTTTTTTGAGATGGAGTCTCTGTCACCCACCCTGGAGTGCAGTGGCACAATCTTGGCTCACTGCAACCTCTGCCTCCTGGGTTCAGGCAATTTTCCTGCCTCAGCCTCCCAAGTAGCTGGGATTACAGGCACACTCCACCACGCCTGGCTAATTTTGTATTTTTGGTAGAGATGGGGTTTCATGTTGGCCAGGCTGGTGTCGAACTCCTGACCTGAAGTGATCCACCTGCCTCAACCCCCCAAAGTTCTGGGATTACAGGCATGAGCCACCCCGCCTGGCCCAGATACTTAGAGCTTTAAGAAGACCAAGGTCATAGATCTCATATTGGGCAGAACCAAGACCAGAACTGAGGTCTTGGTCTCCACATCCTGTCTTCTTTTAGTTAACATATGCTGTTCCTTTTTAATTTAATACTTCTAAAACATTTAAAAATGTATTTTAAAATATTTTTAAATATATATTTCAGCTGGTTGCAGTGGCACATGACTGTAGTCCCAGCTACTCTGGGGACTGAGGCAGGAGGATCACTTGAGTCCAGGAGTTTGAATACAGCCTGGGTAGCATAGTGAGACCCTGTCTCTAAAACAGTAAATAAAATAAATTAAAAAAAATTACACACACGCGATATATTTCAGGGGAAATCTAACATCTAGGTTTTATTTTAATATTATATAATTGAGTTTTCTTCAGATCAGTTGGCTTTATATATAAATTCCAAAAGATATTATTCCCTAAGCACAATGTGGTGGTAATGAACTTGAGCTTTGAAGTTAGGCAAACCTGCAGTCAAGTACTAAGCCTGGTATTTCTTAGTTGCATGAGTTTAAACAAATTACTGGATCCCATAACGCTTCTGTTTCCTCGACTATAAGTAATAACAATCAGATTTACTACACAGGAATTTAAAGAAGTCTGTCCGTGAGGCTTCATATGGATTATGCAGTGCAATTTTTGCACATTCGTAAGCTATAGCCCTGCCTTTGCCCACCAGTGATGTTGTGTATGTGTGTGATTTTCTTTCCTAGGGGCGGCCTGTGGTAATTTGTGATAAGGAGGATACTGAGACCATTAAGAACACAAAAAGAACGATCAAGGTGCCCCACTCAGTGGACTGCTTGCAGGGCATTCTCAGCGTGATCCCTTTACAGTTGCTGGCTTTCCACCTTGCTGTGCTGAGAGGCTATGATGTAAGTCATCTACCACTGCAGAAATCTTGGGATGGTTTTTTACCTGGATACATTCTGATTTTTTTCTCCTAAATTTTTAACAATAGTGTTTGAGAAATCTATCAAATATATATCTGTCACCTGTTATATTTTCATGGCCCAATTTGTAGGTTACATCACAACATCTTCTTACCCATAGAACTTGAAGGAACCTTGGGGTTCACCTCCAAGATTGTGACTCACCTTGGGTAGTCTCCACCTGTTTTCTTAATATAACCTCTATCTCTTAACAGGGCAGCTATTGGCATTTGGCAGGACAATTCTTTTTTGTTTGGAACTGTCCCACACATTGAAGACTTTGTAGCATTCCTGGTTTCTCAGCCATTGTGGCAACCAAAACATAGTGCTTTTGTTTTTAGTGTCCCCTATGAGGGCTACTACTTCTGTAGAGGACCACAGTAGCTCTTTCTGTGTGAACTGGCACCTTTAGAATGCTTTTTCCTAACCAATTTCAGTTTTTTTCAGGACACATTATGTGATTATATTTTCTAATCTAATTCTTTGTAGTCTGTAATAAAGATGGTTAATGAATGTATTGTTTTCTGTTTTTATAAACAAAAATAATTTGCTTATAGTAACCACCCCCTTCCCCAGTCTATATAATCTCTCAAATCTTGCTTTTTTTTTTTTTCTTTTTGCAGGTTGATTTCCCACGGAATCTTGCCAAATCTGTGACTGTAGAGTGAGGAATATCTATACAAAATGTACGAAACTGTATGATTAAGCAACACAAGACACCTTTTGTATTTAAAACCTTGATTTAAAATATCACCCCTTGAAGCCTTTTTTTAGTAAATCCTTATTTATATATCAGTTATAATTATTCCACTCAATATGTGATTTTTGTGAAGTTACCTCTTACATTTTCCCAGTAATTTGTGGAGGACTTTGAATAATGGAATCTATATTGGAATCTGTATCAGAAAGATTCTAGCTATTATTTTCTTTAAAGAATGCTGGGTGTTGCATTTCTGGACCCTCCACTTCAATCTGAGAAGACAATATGTTTCTAAAAATTGGTACTTGTTTCACCATACTTCATTCAGACCAGTGAAAGAGTAGTGCATTTAATTGGAGTATCTAAAGCCAGTGGCAGTGTATGCTCATACTTGGACAGTTAGGGAAGGGTTTGCCAAGTTTTAAGAGAAGATGTGATTTATTTTGAAATTTGTTTCTGTTTTGTTTTTAAATCAAACTGTAAAACTTAAAACTGAAAAATTTTATTGGTAGGATTTATATCTAAGTTTGGTTAGCCTTAGTTTCTCAGACTTGTTGTCTATTATCTGTAGGTGGAAGAAATTTAGGAAGCGAAATATTACAGTAGTGCATTGGTGGGTCTCAATCCTTAACATATTTGCACAATTTTATAGCACAAACTTTAAATTCAAGCTGCTTTGGACAACTGACAATATGATTTTAAATTTGAAGATGGGATGTGTACATGTTGGGTATCCTACTACTTTGTGTTTTCATCTCCTAAAAGTGGTTTTTATTTCCTTGTATCTGTAGTCTTTTATTTTTTAAATGACTGCTGAATGACATATTTTATCTTGTTCTTTAAAATCACAACACAGAGCTGCTATTAAATTAATATTGATATATTCAGTATTCTCTTCAACTTTGTCACGAGGAAGAATTTCCTGTAGTTAATTTTAACTTTCCTTCATTACATTGTTGCATAAAACTAGTCCCTTAGTGCCAGTTTGGAAGTTACTTGCAATTGTTTGGAAGATTTGCAGGTCGCTGACCTCATCATTTCACTCTAAGTATATGTGGTAGGCTAAGCTCAGAAAAAGGTATGTATGCTTTACACTGATAGGCACCAAATTTAGTATTGTATCCTAAGTATTTTTCCTCTTCTGTATTTTCTGTGCTCTACCCCTGAAATATATTTAGGAATAAAGAAGATATAAATAAAGTGATATTGGGGTATGTTCAGCTTGTAAGTGTCAGAAATGGAAGTTGACAATTTGGATTAAAATATTTAAAGTAGAATGTTATTATTTGATACCCCCAAAATTGTGAGTAATAATTTCTTAATGGAGCTTTTCTGGCCAGATCTTCAGGGCTATAGGAGAGTGTGTTTGTTTTTGGTGAAGTCCTTCTTTTTCAAAGGTTTTTACTTTTAAATTGTGAAGATAAGCTATTTAGCACAATTATTTAAGTAAGCTGTTTTTTCCTTTCTTTTCTTTCTTTTCTTGTTTTAACTTCTGGGTGAGGTTAAGATTTTCTAATAGTTATTGTTGTTGCCAGAGAAGCATAGAATTCTGCTTGTGTCTTAGGGTTAGAGAAAGATTTGTTATATTTTGAGGTAATTTGGAAGGACTTTCATACATGGTGACTAGAAACCTGATCTTTTTAAGAATAAAATAGGGTCACTATTTACATTATATATAATATATGGCTATTATAGCTATATTAATCTACTTTAATTGTTTCTAAGATTATTTTGTGTAAGTCAGCTAGCGTGTGTATAGTGTCATTTCTTATGTTTTGTATATTAACGTTTTACAAACACAATTTGTGTGGGTTTGTAGCATTTCTTATAGTTTAAAGTATGATTCAGCATTCTAAGTTAAAACTAATATGTGAAGTCAGTCATTAGTCTGCATAATCTCTGTCTCCCTCTGTGTGTGTCTTTCTATAAAGCACATGTGTACACACACACACACAAATATACTGAAAGCTAGGGTAAGTTCTAAACTGAATATCAAAAACCAAAATCAAGAACAAAGAAGTGATATTTTCCAAACAAACATGGATTCTCTGCCGGGTGCAGTGGCTCAGCCTGTAATACCAGCCTCCACTTTGGGAGTCTGAGGTGGGAGTATTGCTTGAGCTCAAGAGTTGGAGAACAGCCTGGGCAACATGGTGAGACCTGGTCTTTACAAAAATTTTTTTGGCCGGACGCAGTGGCTCACACCTGTAATCCCAGCACTTTGGGAGGCCGAGGCAGGTTGATCATGAGGTCAAGAGATCGAGACCATCCTGGCCAACATGGTGAAACCCCGTCTTTACTAAAAATACAAAAATTAGCTGGGAGTGGTGGCGTGCGCCTGTAGTCCCAACTACTTGGGAGGCTGAGGCAGGAGAATCGCTTGAACCCAGGAGGCGGAGGTTGCAGTGAGGCGAGATCACGCCACTACACTCCAGCCTGGCGACAGAGCAAGACTCTCTCAAAAAAAAAAAAAAAAAATTTTTTTTTTAAATGGGCTGGGCATGGTGGCTTGTGCCTGTAGTCTCAGCAACTTGGGAGGCTTAAGTAGTAGGATCGCTTGAGCCTGGGAGGTTGAGGCTGCAGTGAGCTGTGATTGTGCCACTGTGCTTCAGCTTGAGTGACAGAGTGAGACCCTCCTGACTCAAAACAAAAAACATGGTTTCTCCTCTCTCTCCTGTCTTCTTACTCTCTATCCCATTTGATGTAGTGATTTTTAAATGCTTTTGTAAGTTAATTCTTAACACAAAAGAGACATTGTAATGAGGCACACCACTAAAGTGAGCATGCCCAATTAAAACCAGTGTAATATAGGATAAGAAAATCTGATTTTTCAAAAAAGATACTCTACATAAAGAATCCTTCATATAAAAAGTTCTTTCTTGTAGTACATTTAAAGTTTTAATTCACTCATGTATAACTGAGAGTTCCTTTGAGCCCTTTTTAGGCAGGGAGGCATGTCTGTCATCTAGCGTGTGGCCCAGTAAGTGATTATTACATTGGAATCAGTTTTTCAGTCTTTTAAAATAAATTCTGTGCCATAAGAATAAAAGATAAAGAGAAAAATTAATGTTAACTATTTTTAGCTTATTATAACTATGTCAACAAGTGTTTATTAATACCTATTATGGGAAAGTCACTGTGGTTGGCATTGAAAATTACATCATCTTTAAAGCAGTATTTGTCCCCAGATGGACTCATCACTAGCAAAGACTAGGTTCATTGGAAGGCATAGGGTGAGAGAATGGGAAGATGAAGTGGAGGCGGGTTGTTAAAGTGCTGTCAGTGAGTGATTTTGTCTACTTGAATAATGGTCCATGTTTGGGGGCATATTGTGTTTCATAAGAAGTGAAAGGTATTTGCAAAGTAAGCTACAAATGACCCATAAATCTGTTAACAACAGTCCTTAATATGCAAAGATGAAAAACAAGCATTACTGCTACCCAAAGGGAACTGGTGCTTGGTGATGTGCAGATGGGGCTGTTGGTTAAGAGAGCTATTACAGGTTTTCTCTCTTAGGTTTCATAGGAGGTAGTTACTGAGATGAGATTGTTTTATCTTTTTGAATACAGATCTCTTGTCTTGAGTTAGTTCTGAGGATGGGAGTAATAAAGGAGTTTTTTGTTTTTTTGTTTGTTTGTTTGTTTTGGCTCCTTAGTAATACTCCTCTGACATTTATTTCTATTATTCTTCAAAGAAAGGAAACCAACTGAAATGTTTGCTTTAACAAACATTTTAATAAGTTCTCTGGGTTTTTTTTTCCCCTTTTAAAAAAATTAGCATATACCATAGCAATAAAAGAACTAATGTTAACTATTGTATGCTACAACTTAAGTGATTTTTCTAAAGAAGCACAATGTCATTGAAAGTATTATTGAAAAGGATCATAGTCACATTGAATTTGTGAAGGCCAAAGAAATTGAAGGGAGTGATATTTTCATTTTATGATATTCACATATTTAGTAAATTTTGTGTACAAGAATACCAGGCAGAGTGTTTTACCCATGGAAACAGGTTTCAGATTACTTTATTTTTACTGTTAGAGTCTCAAGTTTAGAAATGCTAACACTTAAATCAGTTTTTTTCTCACTATACTTGAAGATTGTTAATATTTTGATATCTTCCTAGCTTGATGAATTTAAACATATCTTCAGATCTGTGACAGTGACAGCCAATAGGACTGATAATATTAGCTTCAAACCAATAATATCCAGGGTTAAAATAAAAATCATAGTGAAAGTACGATTGTAAAATTATGCTATATTAACTTTTAAGTCTGTAATAACTTGACATCAAAATGTTATGTAATTACCATAAATAATGGCTAGCGAGAACATCTTTGGAAATTCTCAAATTACCTTTCTTACTACACTGTTTGCAGAATGAATGTAGAAATGATCCTGTTAGCTTTCTGAATGTTCTGTGGTTGAATGTGTTTTTGCTTAAATAAAGCTTTTGGTATTTGTTTAAATTACACTTCTTGAGAAGTGGAAATTTTAGGATCATCTTTGCTTTGTTTCAGTTTTGTGATTTTTGAAATGAATGTTTAGTTTACTGAGCCAGTTGGTCATTTCTTCCTCATGTCGTTAAGTCCAGTGAGTAAGCCTGAACTGTGAATAAATTACCAAAAACTTGCTTAGAATTTCATTTTGAAGCAATTTGCTAATATTTGAAGTGTATACACATTTGTAGTTATGTTAGAAATTGTATTGTACTAAGAATGTAATCAATGTCTACTTTAGTTGTAAACATTTCTGATGTCAAAACTTTATTCATTACTGTTGATTTTAAGAATAAGAAATCACTGCCTAAATATTACCAAAAGCCACTGTCTCTACCCGAACTTCCCAGTTTGGGAAAGAATCGTTAGATAAAACAAAGGCTCTGCCCTTTCTGATACCAAACTCCACAGATACTTTCTCACATCTTTTAAAACATTTTGCAATAACATATTGTTTATAGGAAGTTTACGGGGTATGCAATGATTAAAACTTTTAAGTGAATTGATAGTTGCAAAAGAAAGGATAATATTTAAGGTCAGTGAGTAGCAAGACAATCTAAAGTTTCTGTAATATCTGGCTCTCTGTTAATTATAGAGCAAAGTTTCCCTTACAGAATCCTTTTATGAACAGCAAGCTAGAGTCTATCCCTAGTGGTTATAGCACCTGCTGCGTTTTTCAGGAGACAGTTAGGCCAGGGTGATTTGAATGGATAGATGTGCTGTTTTGCCTGCTTGTAGAATTCAGCCCAGTCTTTGGTCTCTCTCTCTCTCTCCCTCCTCCACCTCTCCCTCTCTCTTCTTCTGCACCAGAGCCTAAGGCTGCGCCACCAAGATGCGTCATTTTTTCCAGAGGCTTCTTTTTTTTTTTTTTGAGATGGAGTTTTGCTCTGTTGCCCAGGCTGGCATGCAGTGCTGCAATCTTGGCTGACTGCAACTTCCACCTCCCGTGTTCACACGAGTCTTTTGCCTCAGCCTCTGGATTAGCTGGGATTACAGGCACGTGCCACCATGCCTAGCTAATTTTTGTGTTTTTAGTAGAGACGGGGTTTCACCATGTTGGCCAGGCTAGTCTCAAACTCCTGACCTTAAGTGATCTGCCCGCCTTGGCCTCCCAAAGTGCTGGGATTACAGGCATGAGTCACCGTGTCCTGCCCAGACATATCAAATTTGACAGGTATTGTATACCCTTTGGATCTTTAGGAATTAATTTTTGCCTCTGTCACTCAGCTTTGTATATTTTGAAATGGAGATAAGTATAGGGAGGTCTTGGAAGGAAAATTGCCAGAATTCCCAAACCATGTAACACTCATTGAGAATTCCAGATCCATTATATCTAAAGGGCAAGTGAAGGAAACAGTATTGTGAACTGGGTATAACTCCTTGGTTCTTAACTAGTACATTCTTAATCTGTGAGACCCAAAGGTTGATAAACAATAATTTAAGATTGTACAGTACTCTAAACGTCTGCAAAGGTCTAGATGTTATCAGTATCACTAGTTTTTATTTCTGCCAGTAGCTCCCTTTTAGGTTACATTGTTGTCCTCTTTCCAGTGTCGCATCTGTCATTGGTTTTTCACTATGGCAAGTTCATTAAAAAGCTTGCTCCATTGTTATCTTCAAGTAATGCCCATAAGGAGATGGAAGATATCTGAGACAATTAAGGCTTTAGCTTCTAGGCAAGAGAAATAACGTTGCATTAAATTTCAAGTTTCTTTCTGCTAGACTTGAATGTGTCTAGCCACTCTAATTTATGGGGGCTTTTGGTTTTTTCCTATTGTACTTTGTATGTAGAATTGTTTTGAAATATCAAGCATATTTACTTTGAATTTGAACTCTTTCTTAATTTTGTATTTATCCTTTGAATAAAATGTAAATCCAATATTTATTATTAATTTACTTTCATTGCTGCTACGTAGAAACCTAGGAAGTGTTGGGAATCTTTGTAGGATTTCTGTCTTTTGTTCTTGGTTGTTAGCTTGGACCCATGTGGCATTACTAAAGTTTAGAGCATTTCTTTGTTTGAAAAAAACTAATTTAGAAACTTTTTCATATATGTAGTCTTTTTTTGGTGCTTGAAGTGGTAAAAATAAGCTGGCCTCTGAATACAGAATTGACTTTGCTGACATGACACTGGGAATTTAAATGATTTCTGTCTTCCCAGCAGGGACAAATTTGTATAAATTAGTTTGTGCATTCCTAGTTCTATTAGAAGATAGGGCTGATTATTATTATTATTATTTTGAGAAAGGGTCTCTCCCAGTTGCCTAGGCTGGAAGGCAGTGGCATGATCATAGCTCAATGCAGCCTTGACCTCCTAGGCTCAAGGTGTCCTTCCAACTCAGCCTTCCAAGTTGTTGGGACCACAGGTATGCTCTAGTACATGCAGCTAATTTTTTATTAGTACAGAATATTCAGCAGACATTGTCCAGCACAGTTCACCCTTTGCAACACACATCTAGACTCACCCTTGAACTCATGTTTAAAGTTCCAAAGAAAAACATGGTGAAACCCCATCTCTACTAAAAATACAAAAAATTAGCCGGGCGTGGTGGCAGGCCCCTGTAGCCCCAGCTACTCGGGAGGCTGAGGCAGGAGAATGGCATGAATCCGGGAGGCGGAGCTTGCAGTGAGTGGAGATCGCGCCACTGCACTCCAGCCTGGGCGACAGTGAGACTCCGACTCAAAAAAAAGACTATCATGATTCTGCCTGCCATGGATCAGCTATCCCTTTTGAAATGAAGACACGCTCACCCTCTTCCCAAGAAGAGGAGATAAGAAGTTACACAAATTACTTGGTCCATTTCTGTGTGGTATTATTCCTCTTGCTTAATCACAACCTCCCTTGATATAAAAGTCTTATACACAGTCATCCCCTCTTGTCTACAAGGGATATATTCCAAGACCCCCAGTGGATACCTGAAACCACAGATAGTACCAATCCCTATTTATATTTATACTGGTTTTTTTTGTTTTTTTTTTTGATCTGATAACCGGCATAGCTACTAAGTGATTAATGGACAGGTAGTGTATAAGGGTAGAGACACCAGACATAGGGGTGTTTCATGTCCTGGGTGGGACAGCTCAAGGTTTCATCATGCTACTCAGATGGCATGCAATTTAAAACTTATTAATTGAAGCCATGCTTGTAATCCCCTAGGACTTTGGGAGGCCAAGGCAGGAGAATTACACTCCCATAAGTATTCCAAGACATAAAAGCTCAAAATCCAAAATGATACACATGGGAGATAAGATACTACAAATGATAGAATCAAATTTGCCAACACTGCAAACATTTTAGGCAGTCCTCCCGCCTCAGCCTCCTGAATAGCTGGGACTACAGGTGCATGCCACCACACCTGATTTTTTTCCTTTATGTAGAGATGGGGTCTTGCTATGTTTGCCTAGGCTGGTTTCAAACTCCTGGCCTCATGCAATTCTCCCCCATTCAAAAGAAGAGAGACTCTCTAGAATCTCTTTATCTGACTAAGGAAACTACTTTCCAAAAAAATGCAATTGTCTTAAGACCCCCTTTTCTAGGAATCTTATAACCAGGAAAGATAAACCACTGGAGAAGACAAAGAGATTAAAAGTTGTCATCATGCCCAGATAGACTTTTCATCTGTTCTTCTGAGAACAGCTTTGAGAGTTTACTTGAAAGACTATTTGCATAAGGCAACCTTTGTTCACAATGTAGTTCTACCCCTCACCTTCCTGTAATTTGCTGATCATATTCAGTTTTCTAAGATAATCAATTATAAGATAATGTCTGCCTCCCAGGTTGATTCATTTTCCCTAGAAATTATTTACTACCCTTCCAAAACAGCTCCCCACCCCATTTTCCTCTTCCTTATAAAGAGGGTGTTTGAATTTCAGCCATGTGTCCTTGCTTTGAGTCTCATATTTGTGGGATTCCCATGTCCATGTGCATATGAAATTTGTGTGCCTTTTCTCCTGTTAATCTGTCATAGCTCATTTCAGCAAACCTTCAGAGAGGAAAGAAGGAAAGCTTTACTTCCATCTCTGCAATCTGTAGATTACTTATAATACCTAATACAGCCAGGCATAGTGGCTCACACCTGCAACCCCAGTGCTTTGGGAGGCTGAGGTAGGAGGATTGTTGGAGTCCAGGAGCTTGAGACTAGCCTAGGCAATGTAATGAGACACCATCTCTAGAAAAATAAAAATAAAAAAATTAGCCAGGCATGGTGGCTTGTGCCTGTAGTCCTACCTACTCAGGAGGCTGAGATAGGAGAATTACTTGAGCCTAGGAGTTCAAGGTTGCAGTGAGCTATGATTGTGTCATTGCACTCCAGCCTGGACGACAGAACAAGACCATGTCTCTAAACAAAACAGACCACCCAATATAATGTAAATGCTGTGTAAATAGTTGTATTGTATTTTAAAATTGGTATTTTTTATTGTTGTAATTTTATATATCTTTTTAAACAAATATTTTGGATCCATGGTTGGTTGAGTCCATGGATGTAGAACCCATGGGTACAAAGGGCTGACTGTATCAGAAGCAGTAAGAGGAATCAAATGTATGACAAAGGAATAAGACAATAAAGAAGGACAAGGCAGATTTCAGGAAGGACTGAAAATGAAATATAACAATTGAAATTAGAATGGATAAACAGATTAGGCCCAGCTGAAGAGAGAATTAGTGAACAAAAAGATAGGTCTGAAGAAATAATCCAGAATGCAGCATTTACTATAGAGAGTGATAGAAAATGAGAAAAGTCAAAGCTTCTTGACTTTTTAGAGAATTTTCTAGACCAGATTAAAGGCAAATCCTAGAATTTAGAGTGCTTCACACATCTTAAGCTGATAAAAGGAAATTGCATTCTTAAACACATTGTTTTGAAACTGAACACAAAAGATGAAGAGATCTAAAAAGCCAGAGAGATAAGACTACCCACAAAAAGTCAATAATTAGACTGACAGCTTATTTCCCAACTGCACCAGTGGAAACAAGGACAATGGAACTATTTCAAAGTGCTGAAAAAATAATTCATGAAACTGAATTTGAAGACTGATGGGAAAAATGTGCTATCTGATGAATAAAAACTGGGACTCTCACTAAAATCTTCCAAAGATAAATGCTAAGGTGATGGAAAATGATCCCACAAAGGCTTAAGATACAACATAATGAATGGTGGCTGGGTGTGGTGGCACATACCTGTAGTCCCAGTTACTCAGGAGGCTGAGGCAGCAGGATCACTTAAGCCAAGGAGTTCAAGGCTGTAGTGGACTATGATCATGCCTGTGAATAGCCACTGCACTCCAGCCTGAGCAACATAGCAAGATCCCATCTCTTTAAAAAATAAAAAAGAATGGTGAGCGAAACAAAACAAAACACTTTTAAGTGAGGGTAAATCTAAAGCACTAACGGTCTAAAACAGTAATATTTTAGGAGCTATAAAACAATCCATAATGAACTAAAATGCTAGACAATAATATTGTAACTTAGGAGTAGATGAGCAGGGTTAAAACATAAGGCTCTTTTTATGATGTGGCAAGAGGGTAAAGATAACTTCTGACTTTGTGAAGTTAAATATGGATATTTAAACTTTTATGAAAACTAAGATTAGAGAATATAGTTCCCAAAGTAACAGAAGAAAAAAAATGGAATTTAGGAAATCCAAGTACATTGGTAATAATCACAACAAGTATAGAAGACATCTAAAACACAGGGACACAGAAAAGTTGAATGTGAAAGGCTGGAAAAAGGTACACCAGGCAAATCCCAACCCAAGGAAAGATGGCAAGCTACATGAATATGACAAGATAGACTGTAAGTGAAAATGACTTATTTGAAAATAGTGCGTCTTCCATGGAAAAGTTTGGTAGCTTCTCAAAAAGTTAAACATGGAATTACCATACGAACCAGCAGTTCCACTCCTAGGTATATACCCAATAGAACTGAAAACAGAAACTCAGGTACTTGTACACCAATGTTTATATCAGGATTACTTATAACAGCCAAAAGGCGGAAACAACCCAAGTGTCCATCAACGAATGAATAAAGGAAATGTGATATATACACACAATGGAATACTACTGAGTCATAAAGAGGAATGAAGTCCTGATACACTCCAAATCATAGCTGAACCTTGAAAACATAAGCAAAATAAGCCAGACATTAACGAACAAATATTATATGATTCCATTTATATAAAATATCTACAATAGGCAAATTCATAGAGACAGAAAGTAAATTAGAGATTACCAGAGGCTTGAAAGAGGAAAAAATGGGGAGTTATTGCTTAATAGATACAGAGTTTCCATTTTGGGTGATGAAAACTTTTGAAGATGGATAGTGGTGATCATTGCACAACATTGTGAATGTAATTAGTGCCACTGGATTGTACACTGAAGAATGGTTAAAATGGCAAATTTTATGTTATATGTATTTTACCACAATAAAAACAGTTTAAGACTGGATGTAGTGGCTCGTGCCTGTAATCCAAGCACTTTGGGATGCTGAGGCTGGAGGATCACTTGAGCTCAGGAGTTTATACCAGCCTGGGCCACATAGTGAGTTCCTGTGTCTACAAAACAAACAAAAAACCAAAACCCTTAACTGGGTGTGGTGGTGCATCTGTGGTCCCAGCTACTCAGGAGGCTGAGGTAGAAGGATCACTTGTGCCAGGAGCTTGAGTCTACAGTGAGCTATGATTGTACCACTGCACTCCAGCCTGGGTAACAGAGCAAGACCCTGTCCCAAAAAAAGTTTAAAAAAGCATTACTAGAGACAAAAATTGTTACCATCAAATGATAAAAGTTTCAATTCAACAGGTATTGCATTTAACACTTTTGCCAAATGGTGAATAAATCTTTGTCTCTCATTATGGTTTTAATTTATATTTCCTTTTTTTCTTTTTTTGGAGATGGAGTCTTGCTCTGTCACCCAGGCTGGAGTGCAGTGGCGCCATCTCGGCTCACTGCAACCTCTGCCTCCCGGGTTCAAGCGATTCTCTTGCCTCAGCCTCCCGAGTAGCTGAGACTACAGGTGAGCGCCACCACGCCCAGCTGATAGTTTGTATTTTTAGTAGAGACGGGGTTTCACCATTTTAGCAAGGATGGTCTCGATCTCCTGACCTCATGATCCGCCCACCTCAGCCTCCCAAAGTGCTGGGATTACAGGCGTGAGCCACTGTGCCTGGCCTATATTTCCTTGATTATTAATGATTTGAGCATCTTTTCATATGTGTATTGACTGCTTTTTTTGGTGATGAATCTGATCAAATCTTTTTAAAATCAGTTTTTAAAAATTGGATGATTTATTGTTTACTTTTTAACTTGGAGGGGTTTTTTACATATTCTGAATTCTAGTTCTTTGTTGTGTATTGCAAATATGTTCTCCCCTTTGTGACCTGTCTTTTCATTCTCTTTTTCGTATTGTATAGAAATTCTTAACTTTAATGTAGTCAAATTGATTACTTATTTTCCCTGATTTGTGCTTTTATGTAACTTGTTCAAGGAATCCTTCCTAGGTCTTAAACATATCCTCCTGTATTGTTTTCTAAAACCCTTAAAGCTTTTCCTTTCATCCTTGGATTTTTAGTTCACCTGAAATGGATTTTAAGTTTGATATGATGTAGGAATTCATTTTAACTTTTTTTTTTTTTTTTTTTGGCCGGGCATGGTGGCTCATGCCTGTAATCCCAGCACTTTAGGAGGCCGAGGTGGATAGATCTCTTGACGTCAGGAGTTCGAGACCAGCCTGGCCAACATTACAAAATCCCGTCTGCATTAAAAATACAAAAATTAGCCAGGCATAGTGGCGGGCGCCTGTAATCCTGGCTACTCGGGAGGCTTAGGCATGAGAATCGCTTGAACCTGGGAGGCAGAGGTTGCAGTGAGCCAAGGTCACGCCATTGCACTCCAACCTGGGTGATAGAGCCAGTCAGTCTCAAAAAGAAAAAAAACAAAAACAACAACAAAAAAAACACTTTTTTTTTTAATGAAGATATCCTATTTCCCAGCATGTTTATCAAAAATCCCATCCTTTCCCAATTTCTCTGCAACGTCACCTCTCATATCAAGTGTTCATATAAGTGGGTTTGTTTCCATGGGCTATTTGTCTCTGTACCAATTCAACACTGTCTGCATTATGTAGCTTTATAAGAAGTCTTGATATCTGGTAGGGCAACCCTCCTTTTCTCACTGTTTTTCTTCAAGAATATCTTGGCTATTCTTTTTCTTTTCAATTTATATAAGGATTTTAGAAGCAGCTTGTCAAGTTACACAACTGCTGAGGTTTTTATTGGAATTGCCTTAATATTATAGATGAATATGGGGAGAATTGGCAGTTTTACAATGTTGAGCCTTCCAGGCTATGCATGTGGTTTGAGCACATCTCTGCTTATTTGTGTCTCATTAATGACTCTACATTTCTATAATTTTTATCCATAGAGTCTGTTGTAGACTGAATAATGACTTCCAAAGATATCAGGTCCTAACCCTGGGACCTTGTAAATGTTACCTTATATGGAAAAGAGTATTTGCAGATGTGATTGAGTTAAGGATCTTGGGATGCAGAGGTTTTCCTGGATTATTTGGGTGGGGCCTGTAGGTATCATTGTAAGAGGGAGGCAGAAGGAGATTTGACACAAAGAGGAGAAGGCACTTAACCACAGAGGTAGAAACTGGAGGGATGCAGCCACAAGCCAAGGAATGCCAGCAGCCACCAGAAGCTGGAAGGGACAAGAAAGATTTTTCCCATAGAGCTGCCATACCAGCATCCACTCAGTCATACTGACTTCGGACTTCTGGTCTCCAGAACAACTGTGAAAGGATAAATCTCTGTTGTTTTTAGGTCACCAAGTTAGTGGTAACTTGTTTCAGCAGCCACAGGAAACAATTCAGAGGCTTTGCACATCTTTCGTTATATTTATTCCTAGGTATTTGATATTTTCTGTTGTTCTTAAAATGATATATTTTTAAAAGCTGTTTGTTGCTGTTATGGAAAATCCAGTGAAATTTGCTGTGTTGATTTTTGTTTGCTGCAACTTTGCTAAACTTACTTGTTAATTCTAATGGATTTTTCTAGGTATATACTCATATTACCTGTGAATAACAGCACGTTTGTTTCTTTTCTTCTAATCTTTACGTATTTTTAAAAAATTGCTCTACAGTGCTGCCTAGGGCATCCATTACAGTTTGAACTGAAATGGTAATGGAAACATCTTTGTTTTGTCCCTGATCTCAAAGGAAAGGTTTCAACATTTTATCATTATATTTACTGTAGACTTTTGTAGATACTCTCTATCAGGTTAAGAACTTTTTTCTTCTTCTTCTTGGTTTCTAAGAGGTAGGGGGTTTTTTGTGTGTTGCTTTTTTGCTTTTGTTTTTGAGCAGGGTCTTGCTCTGTCACTCAGGCTGGAGTGCAGTGGCGTGATCCTGGCTCACTGCAACCTCCACCTCCCTGGTTCAAGCGATTCTCATGCCTCAGCCTCCCAAGTACCTGTGATTTCAGGTGCCTGCCACCACGCCTGGCTAATTTTTTTGTATTTTTAGTAGAGACAGGGTTTCACCATGTTGGCCAGGCTGGTTTTGAACTCCTGAGCTCAGGCAGTCTACCCGCCTCGGCCTCCCAGAGTGCTAGGATTACAGGTGTGAGCCACCACGCCTGGCCGAAACATCATCTTTAGATCTCATAGTTTTATTGTGTCCATTGTACAACCTCAGGCAAGAGTGTGCGGGAGCCACGACTCTGTCTTCCTGGAGGGGGAAATGTTCATTGAAATTTGTTCAGGAACCATTTTCTCTTTATATATGTGGACAGAGCCACTGAAATCTATTGTTTGAACCTTGGTATGGGAGGGAGCACTGTGTGCTCACGCAGACCTGGATCTCAGTGAAATAATAGGGGCAAAAGGACCTTGCATATAGTTGCTTATATATTTATAACACTTTGAAGAAAGTAATGATGTAAAAGTCCAGATTTATGCTAATATTTTGTTTAGCTTCTCTTTCCCTGCTCTGAGGATTGGTGCTAGAGCTAAAGAGAGAGACATCATTTTCTCAGTGTTATGTTTGGATTGAAACACCAGGATAAGCCAGTTTGCCCTTATCTGAAAGTCATTTTGATTCCCGTCTACCCTGGGTTGAGTTAGAAATGTGTGAAATGAATCCTGAGTTGAGGTGTGAAAAAGCAAATGAAGATCTTACACACATATTCATTGAAAGAATGTCTATAAAAGGGCTTTTAATGCTGCAATATAGGTAACATGTGTAATACCTGTAACATGTGGAAGGTAAAACTCATCAGAAATGTGAATGGGAAGTAGAAAATCAAGAGACAGAGACAGCATTATTTATTCTCTATTAAATGAAGAACTTTAAAAACGTTGAAAAGTAAGCAAAACTATGGCCAGCCAAGTAAGAGAAGCAGAGAAATACCAAAACTGACCAAACTCAATAAATAACTTTAACTTGGCTTATTGCAACATCACAGTATCTCTGCAGGTCTGGTTCCATATCAGGCTGTTTCCCTAATGTATCTCTAGGAGAACATTTCAAGTCAAAGACATACTTTATGCTCAGCCATAAATCTCATGCTTTATATGCTTGAAAATAATAAAAGTTCTAGAGTCGAGTTAATTTCACTTCTTTCTTTTATATTATTAATGCTCCCATCCTTTTGGAGATTGGAATGTGGAATGCAATGTGGCAAATATTAAAAAGTGGGAAAAGATGTAGGAAAATAATCTGATGTCAATTTTCTTTTCCCTTGGAGTGGAGCAATCCTTTCCCCCAGAGCTCAGGCCCAGCTTGGCTTCTCGGCAGCCTCAGGCGGCCACACGGAGAGGGTGGCTCTCCCACCTGCCTTCTTGAATGGGCTCTCTCGGATGGAGAGGTTGGAGAAGGGACCCCACTTGGGGCTAAGTGGATACAGATGTGCTTGGACATGTCGGAATGGGGCGGCCTGGCCACCCAAAAGACTTCTTGTGGGGAGGGCCTGAGGAGCTTCCTGCAGGGCAGAAATGATGAGTTTGCCCTCAGCCACAGGAGGAAGCTTAATGCGGAGAAGGGCCACCTGCCACCACTTGGACTGGCCCTGGGATCTGTGGCCGGGATCTTTGGTTGGCCGGGGCATGTGAGTAAACTCTAAGGTCATCTGCTGACAATGCCTGTGAGGCAGTGGGCACAGCGGCCTGGTTTGGGGCGTGTTTCTTGAGTGTAGCACAAAGGGAGGCGAGGGGCTCTCCTCGGAGCAGCCTCCTCACCCACCACCAAGTGCTTTGACTTCCAGGGACAGCACAGAGGTGATGCAGGTCCTATCGGGCCCTGTTGCGGAGACAAGCCGCCCTACGTCTGGCAGTGGATTTGTTCAGGGCCACATCCAGGCACACGACCCAGAGGACTCAGAGACCTCCTAGGAGGCAAGGCCCTTGCAAGCAAGTGGGAGAAACACCTGGAGCCAATGGGATCTGGGTTCCTGTGGGTCACATGTTAGTGTCATTTCATCGGCCCTGCAGGCTTGGGAGGCCCAAGGAAACTTGGGTTACATAAAAAGGGAAAAGCATACTGTAGTTTGGCAAACAAAATGCGTCTTTGTGTGTGAGAGTGTGTGTGAGAGAAATGAGCTTTCATTTAGAAGCATCGGCAGCGGTTCTAACTGGTTCCCAAGTCCTTTTAAAATGATATTTTCTGAGCCTGGAAACCAAGCAGGCAGATCATGGAATTTTGGCTGGAGATGTTTTTTTAAAAATGTAGGCTAGCAATGAAAAAGGAGGTGGTAATTTGGCTCTGAGGCCTTTACGGGCTGCAGAGCAAACCCAGCAGGGTTACCATGGCGGCGCTTCTACTGTTTATATAAACAAAGGTTTTTTTCCTGACAAACATACTTCATATTTAATAATCTTCAATCCACAGGGGCCTCTTCCCTCTCTTTGTGTGTCGCTAGTTCAAGCCATTTGGAACTGGGGAGAGTTTTATTATTGCATGTGGTTGTTTTCAGGCACCCAATACACTTCAGAATTAAGTGTTAAGTGCTGGTATCTTGAAGTGCAGGGTGAGAGGTAGTCCGTGATTGTAAGAGAGATGAACCTGCATGAGAAAATGCAAAACAGGCTTTTCCTGGGTCCAGAGTCTCCTGGGCCAGCCACACCCAGCATTCAGAAGTAGACACTGCCACAGTAATTCAGTTCACACTCCCAATACAACTTGCACAGCACCTACCACACCTCTCTGAGTGGCACCGCAGCCTTCAGATTACCACTGCCTGAGATGTCCACTTCCTGTTAGCCCATATCTAATTATGTGTGGAGACTTAACAAATCCTGTATTGTGAGAGGACTCCTCTGGTTATGGGTAACAGAAACCCTACTCTATGGAACTGAAGCACAAAAGGGGACTTAGAACTGGATCGTGTCACTGGAAATGCCAGGGTAACCTGGCTTCAGGAATCACCGACCCAGCTTGTGTGCCTGTATCCCAGATTCTGGCACATCTGACATAATCCCTGTGACCCTCCTCTCCATAGTTTCCCCATAGTCTCCAGGAAGACTCCGTCTTTTTAGACATGTTGGGTCTGACCTAAGGACTTTGAGTGTTCTCAGGCATTTCTCTAGGGACACAGAGTGACCAGAAATGCCAGCCAGCTTGGGCAAAGCCACTTGCCTTTTCCTCCCTCTGGAACATCCAGCCACCTCTCTAGACCTGCCCAGGAGCTCAGAGCAGCCTAGGAGGTCCTCTCAGTTGTTGCCCCCTCACTGTCCTCTGGGGTCTCCAGAGCCAGCAGGGAGTACTGAGGGTCCCTCCCAGCTGCAAGCTCCAGAATTCTCTACAGATGCCACTGCCAGGGTTACCCTGTGAATAAACTGGTTCTACTCCAAGGGTGTCACACGTGCATGATGTAGGTAGACATGGCATCGGGACTCCAATGATCCCAGACAGAATCTGCATGACCTCCTGTGAATATCGCCAGCAGCAGCCAATCTGTGGGTCCATATTTTGGCTTAATTCCCCCAGCTTTGGGGTCCTTCATAACGACAGGACATTGGTGTCCTCCTCCACCACTCCAAATGCCACAGGCATTTATCAAAGTCCCCAGGAGTTTGCGTGTGTGTTTAGGAAGAAGCCCATTACGTCTTCTGCGGGTCTGGGTTAGCAATCGTCTGCACCTGTTGTGCCCTCTCCTCAGGGCCCATGCCTTGCCCCGCAAGCTGGTCACCCCACAGCGGCTGCTCCTGAGGTATTACCAGGCTCAGTTCTTGCACTGAGTGGGGCTGGGACCACATACCACAGGGTCACTCTCTCATTCACTGCTCCACCATCTCCTTTCCACTAAACTTTCTTCTGCACTAAAAGATCCTCATATCCCCTGCCATGAACACCACAGCCATCTATTTCAGCAGGTGACCCCCTGTTAAACAGAGCCACCAGAGAGACCCCCAGGAGCACAGCGCTGGTTGGAGAACACCACAGCTGGGGTCTAGATGTCCTCATTCTCGGCCTTCTTCTTTTATACCCAAACGATGCTTTCTCTGTTAATAATATCTGAGAGAACTGTTGCTTAAAAATGTAAAACGAAACCACCGTGTAAATGGAGCGGGGTCTTCCTTGGAAAGTCTAACCTTGGGGGCACCTAGTTGATGTAAAGAAACCACTGGCTGTCAGAGGGGAAGGGGGATTTGAGGACAGCCGAGTCAGGGAGCGTGGAGCAGCCAGGCTTTGTGGCAGGGCCTTCCACAGGGGCATGCTGGAGCTCAGCACTGAGAGCACCGGGAAGAGAGGGACAGCAATGGGCACCTCAGCCCCTCAGCAGGAGAAGATGGCGACCGCCACAGTGGCCCAGACTCCTGGAACTTCTGAACTACTTGGTAATTGGTTGGAATTTTCGGGGGTCCGCAGAACCCACAGTTCTCCAGGTGGAGCCGAACCAGAAAAATGCTACTTTGTGGTGTTACTGTGACCCCCACCCCCGCGCCGTATCCACCCCAGGTGCATTGATTAGGAAGTTGGTTCTGGCTATTTAAAACAGTGCTGAAACAGGTGGGTGTGAGCGGGGGAGCGGAATCACACAAACCGCGCTGGTCACAGCAGAGGAGCGCCCCACACGACAGCCTTGCGGAGACGGGCAGCGGCCACACGGGGGCAGCGCCTTCCCAGCCTGAATGAGCACAGACGCCGCGAAGCCCCCGAGAGTCGAGAGGAAGCGCAGTTAAGGGGCGGCCACGCGTCTCGGCCCTGTGCCCTTCCTTACATTTCTCGCTCTGCGGGGCGCGCCATGCCTGCAAACACAGGGCATCAATGGTCTTGGGAGGCTGGAATGTGGGGTGTGCAGAATCCATCCAGCGCAGTCTAGGGCAGGACCCAAGGGACACCCTGTGGGGGTGCTCTGGGCTGGTCCCCTCCAAGCCCCTCTGCCCGCTCCCTGATCTCACTCAGATCGGTCCCCTCTCCCTCAGAGAGCGGCCCTTGAGCTTCAGGCACTTTTCTAGGCCCTGGGGGCACAGCCGTCCCGGGGCGCCGTCTGGAGGGCAGGGACAGTAGTGTCCCCGCAGCGCCTCCTACCTGCCACCACCTCCACCTGTGCCGGGAGCCCCAGACCCGCCGGCCGAGCCGGGTGCGGAAGAGGCTGCAGGCGCCCGGGGCCCGGCCTTCGGAAGTAGGGGTCGCAGAGGGGCTCCGGCCTTGCGGTATCTTGTGTCGGCCGCACCCCAGGGTGTGGCTCTGGAACGGGTAGTGGGGAAGCTGCGGCGGCGCGCAGTGATCCCAGCGGGGCGTCTGGAGACAACAGAAGGGGCGGTGCTCACGGGACCGGCGTCTTTCCCGGGGGCCACAGTCGGGCCAGCGGGGCATCTCTCCGGACGGCCCCTCCCCGCTCTCTCTGCTCGGATGTTCACGCTTCCACCCTCAGCGCGGGGCCGCCCTGCCTCCCCCTCCGGAGCCCCCAAGCGGGTGTCAAGGGCAGCCGCACCCACGCGGAAAGCTCAGTTTCCCCTCCTGTCCTTTAGGTTTCTGTGGCTTCTTTCTGCCTCCGTAGCTGGAGCCAGGACGTGGCCGTGGTCCGGGAGAGCTGCGCCCAGAGTCCCGGCTTCCTGCGTGAGGGGGAGCGGCTGGGAAGCGGGTTCCTGGCGGCTGGACCACCGCCCCAGGTGGGCGTGCGAACTCAGGGCCTGGATTCGCACACAGAGAGCCCTCCTACAGCTGTGCACGCCCCGCGCCGGCTCCCCTTCCTGGTTTTTGATGGATACAGCCGGTCCCAGGCCCACCAGTTTAAATGAGTTTAAATCCCCACGCAGCCGACATTGAGGAGAGAATTCAGGAAGCTGGCACGGCTGCATCTCCAGCCAGAAGGTTTTGTGTCTGACATTTGATTGCAAATTGCAACGTTTCAAGGCTTTATAGCTCAGGGGTTGAAGGCAGGAGAGGGAGCCTATCTGTAAATATCTTTCTCCTTAAAATGTGGTCTCTCCCGCCTCTCTTCCTTTTGGCTCCTTTCCTTTTTTTTGGCACAGGAAGATGGCTGAGGTCAGCGAGGCTGGGTTGTTTCCCTGTCCACAGCGCATTAGGGACCAGAAAAGAATGTTGGTGTCTCTAAGGTGAGCTGCTGTCGCCTCAGGGTCCCGGGCTGGGGGTGACAAGGGCTAAGCTAAGACGAGGCCCCTAGGTGAGTGGATTTTGCATTGATTTGGAAGCTGGTTCAGGCTATTCAAAACAGTGCTGAATTCTTTGATGTTGAGGTCGCTTTGGACCTCGAGGTCCCACTTATGCCGGCTTCTTGCTCCAGGAGCGACGGCCCTGGTAGAGAAAGGGAAGTCGCGCAGCCTCTCAGGTGGCCAGGTCTCCCGCTAACCCCCACTGGCAGCTTGTCTGAGGTCTGACTGCAGAGCTGTCCGAAAGGAGCTGGGCTAGGAGATGCCAGTGGGATGTCCCAGCCACACAAAACTGCAGGCAGAAATGGGTTGACCATGCCTCAGTCTTGACTGCCCCACCCATTGCCCACCCCAGTGCCTGACCAGCTTGCAATGACTTGACCAGTACATGTGACCCTCAGCAGCCACCTGCTAATATAAGCTCCCATTTCAATCCACTTCACATGCCACCTGCCCATTCAGGACCCTCACCTCCAACGCCCCCCCCCCCCCCACCCCTTGCTGCAGCATGCCTCAACTCCCCAGGCCTTGCTCAGCCTGCTGTCTTAGAAGAACTGGTCGTGTGTGGTCCAGGGCTCTGGGCTCTGGCCTCTGCATCGTGTCAGCACGTGGCTGCCCTGGGCTGGAAGAGGGACGCTGCTGTCCCTTCTGGTATTCTGGGCAAGGGGATGAGGAGGCTTTTCTCCAAGGCCCTGTAACGCAGCTGAGATCAGGCTGAAATTTTTAGCAGGACCGTCCTGGAGGCTTGGACAAGCACAGGGCAGTGAGGTGCAGTCCACCTCCCAGGGTGGTGGCTACTAGGGCCATAGGAGCATCCTTGGGGAGATGGGGACCCCCCGCAGAGTTGTAGCTGCCATCATCTCTCCCCCAGAGAGAGGGTTCTACCTGCTCTCTATATTCAGGAGAGAGGATGAGGACTTCCATTCACCTTTGGGACAGCCTTTACTTTGTCCCCGGGCCCAAAGAGAAGAGGAAATTCCTTTTTCCTGCAGCCCGGGACTCAGATCCTCTCATTTCTGTGCCTTGGTCTGTCTGTGCCTAGGACACTTGACAGTGGGGTTCATCCAGTTGCGGAGAGAGAGAGGGACAGTAGCCCCATCCTCAGCGACAGCAGCCCCACCCTCAGCGACAGCCCCACCCTGGGCCCTGCAGGCTGCGCTCCACAGAGCCACAGCTGCTATCAGCGCACTCGGGTATCAGCCGCGCACGGGGGGATGTCGGGAGCTCAGTGCATTCCTTTCCCTCCACCCACCCTCAGATCAGGCAGCACTCATGTCTGCCTGGAACATCTGCGTTCAGATTCCTGGAGGCTTCGCAGTTACCTTCAGGGATAATGTGGGCATTTGCTTCACTCAAGATGGTTTTCCTAGAAAAGGGCAAATCTGACTCTGGGGTGAATTTAGGCATCAACTCATATGGAAGTAAACTGCTGGATCCTTGAAGTACAGCTTATGCAGAGTTTAAAAATTCTCCAGGTTTGGGTCCAAGCTACAGCATCACTTTCCATGGCTTTCTCTCCTCTCATCTGTCTCCTATTCTCCACCCTAGCTATTTGAAAGCTCCCCATTCCTCTCAATTCTCCTACCACCCCCTTCCCCAACTGCCTGCCCTCAATTCTGGGTGGCTGCCCTAATTTGGGGTGAAAATAGAAGCCAGCAATCCACCATCCCTCAGCTTCCCATCGACTCACCTGCACAAAGAGGCATGGTGGCTCCTAGCCTCTCCTTTTCTCCTGTCACACTGGAGAAGGCTCACCACCCTGCCAAACCTGGCCCTCCTGCATCTGGGAGGAGGAGGCAGGCAGCAGGAGGCTCTGTAGGCAGCCTCTAAAAAGACCCTGGCTTCCATCTTGCTTGCCCTGTCCTGCTCTTTGACTTGCTCACTCTGCTGAAAGCTGGGTACTGTGTTGTGAGCTGCCCTGCGGAGAAACTTGTGAGGCAAGGAGCTGAGTTCTTTGGTTCAATAGCCTGTAAATAACTGAATTCTGCCAATAACCACATGAAGGGCTTGGAAGTGAGCCCTCCTCCCTCAGATGAGCCTTCAGATGAGACCACATCCCAGCTGACTGCAGCCTCATCACAGACCCTGAGCCCAAGGACCCAGCTACACCAGTTCAGATTCTTGACTCACAGGAATTGTGAGAAAATAAATGTTTATTATTTTCAACTGCAAAATTTGGGAATAATTTGTTACACAGCTATAGATAATGAATACAATGGTTCTCAGACTTGTTAATTTCTCAGCCCTGAAAATTTTGGAAAAAATTGGGGATTCATATAAATTTCCCAGCTTTTTATTTTACAAAATATGTCTTGAAAAATGATAACCACTCTTTTCTTTCCTTATTGTTGTTATAAATGAAGGATCAACATTTCATTTTAATTATTTTTTATGTAGGTATTATTTTCACTTTGGGAGGCCAAAGTAGGAGGATCATTTGAGGCTAGGAGTTGGAGACCAGCCTGTGCAACATAGTGAAACCTCATCTCAATGAAAAAGGTATTATTTTCATACAGTACAATTTGTCTGTTTAAAATCTGAAGGTCAAAAGTAGTTGCTGCAATTTCCCAGCCAACAGGAAGGGAGAGGATGTGTCCATAGCAGATGTCTTCAAGCAAATAGCTTTGAAATTTCACACCTAACTTTTGCTGAGATATCATTGGCTCAAAATAAGTCACACAAGCAACCCAGCTGTATGGCAGGCTGGGAAATGTAGACTCTAGTTGGTTAATTAAATGCCCACTTAAAAGCCAGGGGATTCTATTATTATGGAAGGAGACAGTTCTGTGTTGTCTTCTAAATTGTCAGCCTCTGCCTCTCTTCTGGATTCTATCCATCAGCATGTCATGGGCTTCTCATTTAAAAAAGCACCTCCTTTGACTGCACACGCCGCACGCTCCTTGTTAGCACCTGCCCTTCCTCTTCCTTAAACTCTTTTCCCTTTTTCCTCACTTCCATTCACTCCTCAACCCTAGGCAGTACAGCTATTCCCTGACACTCCTCTGAGACCAGTGGTCTTTTTTTGTTGAATTCATTCTTTTCAGAGCCTCCCTTACTGGCTGTCTCTGTAGCTTCCAGCACGTTGATACTCTCTCCTGGAATACTCTGTGTCCTTCACTTATTTGCTTTTATAGCCTCATGTTTTCTACATTAATTGTAGTCACTCATAGACAGCCCCTGCTATGAATGACTCCTTTTCTGCTTTCTTCTTCCTTTTTTTTTTTTTTTTTTTTTTTTTTGGAGATGGAGTTTTGCTCTTGTTATCCAGGCTGGAGTGCAATGGCACGATCTCAGCTCACCACAACCTCTGCCTCCTGGGTTCAAGCAATTCTCCTGCCTCAGCCTCCTGAGTAGCTGGGATTACAGGCATCCACCACCATGCCCAGCTAATTTTTTTTTTTTTGTATGTTTAGTACAGACAGGGTTTCACCATATTGGCCAGGCTGGCCTTGAACTCCTGACCTCAGGTGATCCACCCACCTCAGCCTCCCAAAGTGCTGGGATTACAGGTGTGAGCCACTGCGCCTGGCCCTTTTCTGCCTTCTATTATCTCTCAGCATTTCCCAGGGCACTTTCATCTTATTTTCTCCTTCCACTCCATACACTTATTCTGAGCAGATCCACTTCTAGGATAAACCAGTTAGGATTGTGTTTAGCTGCATGTAACAGAAACCCAGCAAATAGTGGCCAGCACAAGCAGGGGGTTAATTTCTAATGAAGCAGGGAGTCTGGGGGCTGGCCAAGACCAGGGCTCATTAGGCCCCTTCTGTATTCTGCTTTGCCATCTTTAATGTGTGGCTATTTTCCCATGGTGCAAGATGGCTGCCACATCCTCAGGCATCACGTCTACATTCCAGGCATGAAGAAGGAAAAGGGAAAAGGGCAGGAGGCAAAGGGAGGGTGCTGACTGAGTCTGTTACATTTTATAAAGGCTATCTCAGGAGGCCTCCCAGTGCCTTCCACCCCCATTTCACAACCAGGTCCTGTGGCCTGCCCTAGGTACTACAGTGTCATAGGAAATGAGTTATTTAGCTGGGCACAGTGCAGACCAAAACAAAACCAGGGGTCGTGGTGTTAATAAGAAAGAAAGAGAAGATAATAAGTGGGTGGGAAAGCAGCCATGGGTGCCACCCATGACTTTAATTGGCATCTATCTGCTGATAACTCAAAAAAATTCATATCTTTTATACAAATGGCCAGTAAGCACATGAAACAATACAAAACATCACTAATCACTAGGGAAATGTAAATAAAAACCATGATGAGATACCACTTCACAATCCTTAAGATAGCCATTGTTTTAAGTAAACTCAAAACAAGTGTACAGATGTGGAGAATTTGGAATTCTTGTGCATTGCTGGTGGGAATGTAAAACGGTGTAGCGTGTCCGAAAAACAGTCTGGCAATTCACCCAAAATTAAACATAGAATTACCATAGGATCTGGCAATTCCACTTCTAGGTATATATCCCAAGTAATTGATGGCAGGGACTTGAATAAACATTTGTGCACCCATGTTCATAGAAGCATTATTCATAATAGCCAGAAGGTGGAAACAACCCAAATGTCCATTAACAGATGAATGGATAAACAAAAGGTGTGTGTGCATGCAATGGAATATTATTTAGCCTTAAAAAGCAATAAAGGTTATTGATTTATTGATTTATTTACTTATTTTTTGAGATGGAGTTTTTGCTCTGTTGCCCAGGCTGGAGTGCAATGGCACCATCTTGGCTCACTGCAACCTCCGCCTTCTGGGTTCAAGCAATTCACCTGGCTCAGCTGGGACTACAGGTGCCCACCAACATGCCTGGCTAATTTTTGTATTTTTAGTAGAGACAGGGTTTCACCCTGTTGGCCAGGATGGTATCTAACTCTTGACCTCAGGTGATCCTCCTGCCTCGGCCTCCCAAAGTGCTGGGATTACAGGTGTGAGCCATTGCACCCCGCCTGAAAAAGCAATGAAGTTCTGACACATGGTACAACATGGATGACCCTTGAAGACATTATACTAACTGAAACAAGTCAGACACAAAAGGACAAATATTGTATGATTCCACTTACACGAGGTACCTGGAATAGGCAAGTTCATAGAGAATAAAGTAGAAGGTAGAACAGAGGTTACCGGGGCTGGAGAGAGGGGGGAATGGGGAGTTATTGCTTAATGAGTACAGACAGAGTTTCGGTTTTGCAAGATGAAGAGTTCTGGAGGTGGATGGTAGTGATGGTTGCACAATAATGTGCATGTACTTAACACTACTGAACTATATACTTAAAATGGTTAAAATGGTATTTTTTTTGAGACAGGGTCTCTGGAATCTCACTATATTGCCCAGGCTGGTCTCAAACTCCTGGGCTTAAGCAATCCTCCCACCTCAGCCTCCTGAGTAGTTGGAACTACCTGCCACCCTGTCTGACTTAAAATGGTAAATTTTATGTTATATGTATGTTACCATAATTTAAAAAAACTCCCTATCTTCAGTTTTGAACCCTCATACTTTCAAGGCTTGTCTATTCAAGCACTGGACATTTGGCTTGGATGTCACCTTAAACTCTATACCCAGAACTGAACTCATGAAGTCCCACGCTGGGCTCTATGTGTTACCTCTCTGAGGTCACATTCACAAGCTTTGTCACTGGCCTGCAAAGCTTTATACCTTGCCAAGACGGGAGTGCCCAGAGCTCCACCTCCCTCTGGAATAGGAGGGTCTTGGAAGGTTCTGGTCTCAGCCCCAGGTCCAGGGGGCCCAGGCTTCCTTATCAAGTCCAGATCATCATCCCCCGCCCTTCCAAAAACAAACAAAACACCTCCTTTCTCTTTCCCTCCCAAATTCCTTTTCAGAGCCCTTGGTGTCTTTTCCTGCTTTGATCTTGGGGGAAGACCATCCTGTCCATGTTGCCAGATTTTGGACAAGAGGTTGGGCTCTGCCCTTGGGACAAGGGCAAGCTGCTCTACCCTTTTCCAGAACAATGCCTGTCAAGGAGTCTCAGGGTGGGGAAAGCCTTGTCAAGCACGCAGGGTTCTGTCACACCCTTCCTCAGGACCAGGAGCTTCCCTGGGGGAGGATGTATGAGCCAGCATCCTTCCTGGTCAGCTGTTGTTGACTATGACCCCAGCCTGGGACTGTGAGTGCCTACCCTCTGCACATTTGCAAACAGCTGGTCTGCTGGCTCCTGTGAGGAGAAAGATATACTCCAAAGGGACTTGTAGTGTCTGCCTACATATGAAAAAGTCTGGTGTCCTGTAGAAATTTCTGCTTCACCTGGCACTTCTACAAACAAAATGTAAAGCAATTCTTGGCCAGGCAAGGTGGCTCATGCCTGTAATTCAAGCATTTCAAAAGGCCAAGGCTGGAGCATCACTTGAGGCCAGGAATTCAAGACCATGCTGGGCAATATAGTGAGACCCTCTCTCTACAAAAAATATAAACATGAACCAGGCATGGTAATGTGCGCTTGTGGTCCCAGCTACTCGGGAGGCTGAAGCGAGAGGATCACTTGAGCTCAGGGAGTCAAGGCTGCAGTGAGCCCTGATTGCACTACTGCACTTCAGCCTGGGAGACAGAGCAAGACTCTGTCTCAAATAAAAATAAAAATAAAAAGATAACTCACCAGGAGACATGCTAATTAACAATGAAGACGGGGAAGAGACTGAGATTTGGGGACATTTCTGATCCTATCAGCCATAAGCCATTAGCTCAGGCACACACACGATCTTGTTTATTAGACCCGAAAGCCTGATTGAAAGGTATTTGTTATCTCCTGCTGCATAACAGATTCCCCTGAAACTTAGTGGTTCAAAATAACATTTATTATCTCATAGTTTCTGTGGGTTAGGAATACAGAATGGCTTGACAGGGTTCTCTGGCTCAGGGTCTCACAATCTGCGATTAAAGCCTCAGCTGGGGCTGCAGTCATCTCAAGGCTCTCCAGGGTAGGATCCTCCTCCAAGTGCACTCGCTGAGTGTTGGTGAGAATCAGCTCATCGCTGGCTGTTGGCCAGAGGCCACCTCAGTTCCTTGCCATGGGGGCCTCTCTGTAGGGTAGCTCACAGTAGCAGCCAGAGTGAGCACACTGGAGGGGCCAGAGAGAGTGTGAGCAGGAGGGTGGTCAGTCTTTTATACCCCAAGCATGATTTTGCTGTATTCTCTTAATTAGAAGCAGCTCCGTAGGTCTAGCCCCCATGCAAGGGGAGGAGACTAACCAGGGCACAAATACCAGGAGCTGGGGGTTATTGGGAGTCATTTTAAAAGCATCTCACCATACTTGCTAAATAGCCACTGAGTTCTCTTTTGGCTTTGGATATTTTGTCTTGCAGGGAACTTTGGTCAATCAGAGGTTAGGAGGTGGAGAAATAAGCAGACACAGGTCCATGCAGTTCCCCCTGCCTTTCCCGGTAGCTGTCTTTCCCACTTGTGTTGATTTCAGCATTTTCAGACACAGATGGTGAGGTTGCGCATGTGTGTGAAGGGCCAGGGTTTCTCCTTGGCCTCTGAAGAAGAAAAGCGCAGTGGTTCTTAGGGCTGCCTTCCCTCTCCTTGCTCTGACTCGCCCTGGTGGTTTGGCCTTGCTCTGTGGTTTGTTTACATGGCTGGGCAAGGAAGATGACTTACCCTATCCAGGCTCCTAAGCCACATGGAGCCCTGGCAGGGCTGATTTCAAAGTGAATCATCAGTCAAAATAAGTCCTAACCAATGCCATGAGCAAACGTCCATGTCCGTGGGGACAGTGTCTTTCCTGCAGACGCACATGACAAATCACACTTCTGTGTCTTTGCATGTGCTGTTCCCCATCTGAAAACCCCATCCTACCAGCCCATCCATCCTTGCAGGTGCCCCTTCGTGAACCTTCCTGGCTCTTCCCTTTCTCTTCTGAAGTTCGCGAGCAGGCAATGTCTGTGGCACGCAATCTGGTTCCTGGTTCCATCTTGCCTCATAGGGATCTTCATTGCCCTCGTGTGGGCCTTATGCTCTGCCTGCAGTGAGACAGAAGCCTCACCAGGGAAAGCCTTGTTGTCTAATTCTTTCAGCTCCACTTTGCTGCCCAGTCCTGGGTAGAGCTCACAGATATTTGAGGGCAGAAGCCTGGTCAGGTCTTGTATTTGAAGCCTCCCTCTATCCCTCTCCCAATCCCCTTGCACAGTGTCAGGCCGCAACAGGCTTTCTCTAGGTAAATGTAAATTTGATGTTGGTGTTACAGCATTTGCATTGATGGGACCTGTTATAGAGAAGGCAGATGGAGAGGAGAGGCTGTGGCCTCTTCCTTCAGGCAGCTGTGATGACAGAGCCTGCTTTGACTCACGTCCACCTCTGCTCATTTCACCCTCTTTGCCCATTCACTCACGGGGCACTGTGATGCTGGCATCTACAGGGCATCTCGGTCAGACCTACCCTCTGTGGGGTGCCCAGGAGGTGCTGCCTGTGGGGCCGTGCTCAGTCTGGGGAAAGGGAGTCTAGATCTTTATTTCTAGGCCAGCAACCCCCACCCTCACGCTACATTACTGCCTTTTGGAAAGGGCATTTGTTTTTTTGCTTTGAAGGAAGGAGAAGGAAAATGTGTGTGGGATCAGCAGGGAGGGGTTGGGCATTGCTCAGGAGCCTCCTGACACAGGCACGGCCGGAGCGCTGAACAAGGGAGTTCTGGGTGGGGCATTCAAGGGCTGCTGCAGACAGAGGAGCCGGCATCTGGAGAGGACCACACCATGTGTTCTGTGCTTGGCGCCGCAGTTCCACACTCCCAGGACAAGGCCTAAAATGTCTGGGTGCTCGGTTTGCCATTGGGAACAGGAGGCGATGAGGTCCTTCTGGTGGAACTCGTGTATCTTGTGCGCGCTGGGGATCCTGGGGCTGCCTTGGTTGGGTGGGTGCGAGGGCAGCACCTCTCATGCTCTGCTGCAACCAGCATTTAGCAACAGCGTTTCTGGAGCCCTGGCGGTGCTCTGGCCTTCGGGGTAGTGGACGCTGACACCACAAAATCAGATGTGGCAGGTCCCTGCCCTGGAGCAACCCTTGCAGTCTAAAGGGAGAAAGACAGGGTGACATCGGAGGTTTGTGTCCCCTGCTGTGGGTGCTCAGAGGAGGGGGTACCAGGCCGGAGATGTAATGTGTATGGGGGTGCAGAATGGGTTTGGCCTGGCTGCAGTGTGAGAGTTTCAAGCAGGCATGAAACAGTCAGGGTTGTATTTTAGAAAGATCACTGTGGCTGGTGTGGAAAGAGGGTTGGGGGGGTACCAGGAGAGTGGTGGCTGTGCTGGGTGGAGGCTCTGCGGCCATCCAGGAGAGTAATTCCAGAGGGCAGGCAGCCCGGCAGGAGACACCAGGGGAAAGCAGCTAGAGTTCCTGCTGTTTTGTGTGTAGTGCATGTGCATGTGGTTTTGATTGTGTGCATGCATGTGTATGTGTGTGTTTGTGCTCATGTGTGTGCCTGTGTGCATGCATGTGTGTGTGTCCACACATGAGTGTAGGTGTGTGCATGTGTGTGAGCGTGTGTGTGGGTTGTGGGAGAGTATAAGAATGAACATTTACTGAACTTGGTATTGTAGTCTTCATTTTACATTTACATTACATAAACTGAAGCTCAGATATTTTATTTTTTTGAGATGGAGTCTTACTCTGTTGCTCAGGCTAGAGTGCAGTGGCACAGCCTCTGCTCATTGTAACCTCCACCTCCTGGCTAATTTTTGTATTTTTAGTAGAGACAGGGTTTCACCATGTTGGCCAGGCTGGTCTTGAATGCCTGACCTCAGGTGATCCACTTGCCTTGGCCTCCTAAAGTGCTGGGATTACAGGCGTGAGCCACCGCACCTGACCTCAGATATGTTAAATACCTTCCTTTTTTTATTCAATGAATATTTGAGCATTGTCCATTTGGAGGGCATATTTTACATATTTTGCCACATTTAATCCTTACACTTATAAAGGAGTTACTATCATCTCCCCATTTTGTAGATGAGGAAACTGACACTTGGACAGATACAAATCCTGACACGATTGAACAGGGTGATGTGTTTCTACATGGCAAATGTCATCTGAAACATTTTCAAATGATGGGCTTCTCATTTTGAATATTCAACATAGTCTTTTACTTTTTTACACAAAAAGGGCAATCTAGGTGCCTTTCATGATCCTCCAAGGATAAAGGAAAGAAGGAATGAGGGGATAGGTATAGATTTCATAAAACAATAAGAAGGCACAAAGTCAAGTCTACAAGCACAGCATCCTTAAAGCAGCATCCTGTGACAAAGTCCAAAGCAATAAATTGGGGTTATGGAGGATTCCACAAGGCCCCGATTCATGTAATTCTTTCTTTCTTTCTTTTTTTTGAGATGGAGTTTTGCTCTTGTTGCCCAGGCTGGAGTGCAATGGTGTGATCTCGGCTCACCACAACCTCTGCCTGCTGGTTTCAAGCAATTCTCCTGCCTCAGCCTCCCGAGTAGCTGGGATTAACAGGCATGCACCACCACGCCCGGCTAATTTTGTATTTTTAGTAGAGATGGGGTTTCTTCATGTTGGTCAGGCTAGTCTCAAACCCCTGACCTCAGGTGATCCGCCCGCCTCTGCGTACCAAAGTGTTGGGATTACAGGCGTGAGCCACTGCGCCCAGCACTTCTTTCTGTTTTAATATTAAGCCTCTAACTTTGGCATGTGCTAACACAATGTGAAAAGGAAAGGAGGAGTGGTTGTGAAATGTACTGTAAACTAGCACTTCTGGATTTTAACATGTGCACAAGCCCCCTGGGTGTGGTATTAGAATGCAGATTCTGATCCAGTAGGTCTGGGTAGGGCCTGAGAGTCCCCATTTCTAACAAGCTCCCAGGAGACGTCTCTACTGCAAGGCTGTCAATGACGTGAAGAAGTCACAGGTGCCTGCCGTTAGTGGAGAGTGGGAATGTGGGCGAGAGTCTGATGGGAGGAGATGAGTTTTATTTTGGATGTGTTGCATTTGAGGCACTCCGATTTTTCCAGAAGAGTCAGTATGACAAAAACTAAGCGAGAAGAGTCAGTGGGAAGAGTGGGGCGTGCTGCTTCCTCCTGTTTGCCTCGAGGTCCGCCACCCCCAGCTCTTCTCACTGTGCCAGGAGGAGTACCTTTAGGACTGTCAGCAATGGCTCTCTCACCTTCTGGACTGTGGTTGGGTTCAAGCCAATGGGGAGCCCTGCAGGAGGGTGCTGGAAGGAGATGAGTAGATTGGGGTGTGTGTTTCCCTGACCCTTACTCTCCAATGCAGGCCCCAGCTTGTTGGGGTGGGGGTTCTTCTCAACATAGCTCACTCTCTCTGGTGCTGGTAGCTTTTCTCTGTTACTGGCCCTGGTATACTGCACCATTCCTTGTTAGTGAGGGGACTGTTTTTGGAGGTATGGGCTTGTTTGGGCAAAGCAACCAGCTTGTGTGTGCCATCTGTGTTCTGTTTGGCAATGACCAATAGAGAGGACATGGTCGACAATGCTAGATGTTGTAAGAGAAGGAATTGGAACCAGGACATCCACTTTTGCAATTGAGAGCTCTGTGTCCAAGAGCAATTCTCAAAATATTCCCAATTTGATGGGCATAGTGAATTGAGAGATGAGTGAGGCTTGAGAAAGTGTTAGACGACTCCTCCAAAAAGTTGGACTATGAAGAGAATGAGGGAAGCCAGGAAGTAGCCAGAGTGAACACTGGGATTGAGGAAAGGGATTTAGGATTGGAGACCCTGGAGTACATTTGCAGGCAGAGAGGAAGGCCCTGTCAGAGACAGAGAGATTGAAGATGCAAAAGAGGGAGAGTGGGCGATGGATGAAGAATCCCAGAGGTCCAAGGCCTCAGGATCAACACAAGACATGGAAGACTCAGCTTTGTGAAGGAGGAGGCATGTTTTTATAGCAGATGAGAAGGAAAGGATAGTGAGTGATGAAACAAGGACTTGGCACAGGGAAGGGCACCAGCTGATCTCCTCTTGGGTGATCATCTTTTCACTGACAGAGGAGGCAGATCTCCACCTGAGAGTGAAGGGGCAAAGGGCAGGTGTGGTAAGTTTAGCTGTTATAAGGAGGAAAATCAGGAATATCTGGAGAAGGCCAGGCACGGTGATTCATGCCTGTAATCCAGCACTTTAGGAAGTCGAGGCGGGTGGATTGCTTGAGCCCAGGAGTTCAGCCTGGGCAACATGGTGAAACCCCATTTCTACTAAAAATGCAAAAAATTAGCTGGGCATGGTGCCGTGCGCCTGTAGTTTCAGCTACTTGGGAGGCTGAGGTAGGAGGACCACCTGAGCCTGGGAGGTCAGTGTTGCAAATGAGCTGTGATTGCACCACTGCACTCCAGCCTAGGTGACAGAATGAGAGACCCTATTTCAAAAATAAAAAAGAAGTATCTGGAGAAAAATGGAAAGTGAGGTGACAGCCAGGTGGTCTTTTGCATACGCTATGACCTGAATTTGATGTGCCTCTAAAAGTCACGTGTCGGCAGCCACGCTCCAATGCGATCGTGTAACAGGTGGGCCTTTTGGAAAGTGATTAGGTCATGAGGTCAGAGCCCTCACGAGTGGGGTTAGAGGCCTTATAAAAGAGGCTGAAGGGAGCTGCCTCGCCTGTTCCACCATGTGAGGACGCAGCAACAAGATGCCGTCTTTGACGTGGAGAGCCCTCACCAGAAACTGAGTCTGCTGGTGCCACAGTCTTGGACCTCTCAGCCTCCAGAACTGTGAGCAATACATTTTCTGTTGTTCATAAGTAATTACCCCGCCTATGGTATTTTGTTATAGCAGCCCAAACAGACTAAGACACCATGTTACATGGTTCCTAATTGCTCTCACCATGTGGCTACCCTTCATGCATTTGCTCATTCCCTCTGCCCTCACAACCACTTCTGTGGCAGCCGTCAACACCAAATGCATTGTAATTGTGAGGGCCTTTGCCTTTATGGGGTAATTACTCGTCCTCCAGGATCTCTGTGTTGGCCCTCCTCTGTTCCTACCTGGTATCTGGTGCAGGATGAAGCATGTGAATCCTCATGTGGTTTGCCTGCTGGCTCTGGCTGACCTCAGGATGAGGTGCGGCCTGCCTTCCCAGGTGTATGGGCATCTGGCTGCACCTTGCATTTGGCTCAGTTCACCATGGCACTGGTATGACATGACTGGCTCTGGCATGACATGGAATTCCAGATCCAGTGCCTCGCTCCATCTTATCCTCGGGGCCTCTCTTTTGAGAGGGAGAATCTAAGTGGCTCAGGCCAACCAGTGGATTTGTTTCTCCTGGGCCAGGTTTCCACTCAGGTTTCGGTCAGCTCTGGCCGGAGTGTGGGGTCATGCGTTACAGACATGGGCCCATAGACTCACCCATCAGCAGAAATTGTGGACGGGGTTCCAGCAACTTTATAGAAGCTCTTCGTGAGATTAACACCCTCCTGAGAGTTTAGTACCTTGGGATTTGGACTGATGTGAATGAAACTGTTTGAGGAAAATTCCTTTGGTTGTTTCCCTGGGATGCTGAAAGGTCCCTAAGGGATAGCAAGGAATTCGCTAATGGTTCCCTAAAGACATTTTATCATGAAGTAGAAATCCCTTAGAGGAAAGAAGTGACTTGTGGGAGATGTGAATTCAGAGGCTGAGGTGGCAGAAATCGACCCTGGGCATGTTTATTATCACTGCTTGCTCAGAGCAGTCATACCCATAGTCTGAGAAAGCATGAGACTGCAGGCTTGGCTGGACCTCATAGCCCAGTGAAGAGGCTCCATCCCGTTCTTCCTAAGGAAAGAACTTGGGATTTGGAGTTGAAGGGTCTTGCTCTGCACCATATAATTTTAGGCAAATCTTTATCTCACTGAGATTATAATCTTCAAAAGACAACATCTTTGGACAAATAATACATTGGGTTAAATTCACACCAAGGTGTGGATGACAGACTACCCAAACTTTTCCTTGGCACAAGACCATGGAGGGAAGATGTCAGTAAATCTAAAGCCAGGAATTCTATTAAGGAGATTTCTGCACACTTAGCCTTGGGCTGATTAAGCTTAGGCCTGAGTGCATAGGGGTGGTGTTCACTGGCCTTTAA
Organism: Homo sapiens; assembly: GCF_000001405.40. Taxonomy (NCBI): domain Eukaryota; kingdom Metazoa; phylum Chordata; class Mammalia; order Primates; family Hominidae; genus Homo; species Homo sapiens. The sequence goes on along the minus strand of NC_000002.12, from coordinate 69,292,019 downwards.
ACATTCACGTCTATGTGGAAGAAAGCCATTACTTAGAGAGTCTGTACGGTGTGGGTCTCCCTCACGGACTTTAAAATCTGGGCTCTGTTTTCCATGACTGTCCTTTCCTGAGATACTTGCTGACTTTCCTCTTGACTTTGCACACCAATCCTGTTTGAAAGAAACAGTTTCAAACACTGCCAGAGTATTCAGCTGTGACTCTTCACCTGCACCCATGTAGATATGTGTTCCCTCCACAAAGGGCCAATCTCCCTGGCTTATTGCTACTTTTATTTAAAAGCAGAAACAAAAAACTGGGAAGCTTCCTACCCAAAACAACAACAACAACAAAACCCCATTGGGTTTGTTTTTCAAGGAAAGCACCCATAGTTCTTTCAAATCTCACATGCCACATGCATTTCTTTTGAAAAGATCCCTGACTTAATGTCTCTCCAAGGGCCTTGCAAAGATGATCTCATCCCCTGAAATTGGCAGGGAAGAAGCATTCTGGTTCTGTTCCAGCACAAGAACAGAAAGGTAGTTGTTAAGCAGAAATTGTCCAGTTAATAATCAAACAAGCTCAGTCTCTTCTTCCCAGAAAGATTTCAGCCAAATTCTGGAGATACTTTCTGCAGGCAGGGTTTACCCTAGACCCCACAGGCATCTGATTCTGGCTTCTATCAGAGGTTTTAAGGCCTGGTTGGTTTTGAGGGCCTCTGAGGAGGAAAATGGGGCTGGAGAGGAGCAGACTAATGTGGAACCCTCCTACTCCAAACACACAGAAATGCAGGATGAAGGGAAACCAAATTAGTCCAATTGCTGGGACTGAAGAGGGAATGGAAAAACATAGCTGGAAGTGGTGAGCAGCTCCACAGCAGACCTGGGGTGTGGATGTGTCTGTGCTGTTATTAGGCTGGGGTAAGGTCCATGCAGAGATGAGAATCAGAGGCTTGGGCTAGTGCCATGCAGGAGCCTAAACAAGAAAGCAAAACCTGGAGCAATTGCAGGACTGAACTCTTAGGGAAAGAGGGACTAGGATAAAAAATCCACCCATTGAATTGGGAAGATGCCAAGAAAGTTTGCTTGTGCTTAGGTTCTGGGTGAAAAAATAAAATCCTTTTGTGAGAAAGTAAAATCCCAAGTATATGCTTTGAGAGGTTGGAAGACTGAATTTATACTGTCTGTGAGTTATGAACATCATAAATTAAGAGATGCACGTGAAGAGTGGGCCTGTGTATGTTACTGCTGAGGATACATGCTGACATAGATGGAAAATCACTCTGGTCATAAAAGATTTCCATCGAAAAATCAAGCTCAGTTGAAGATGAGCGTTCAGTAAAAAATTACAATATATCTGATAGACCCACCATAAACAAGAGTTTTCAGACACTTGTAGGGAGGTCAGCAACCTCAAACCCTAGATCATAGAAAAACAATTTGAAAGAGACCATCAAAGATAGGGATGTTTAAATGATTAAAGAGATACACAGGCTGGGTGTGGTGGCTCACACCTATAATCCCGGCACTTTGGGAGATTGAGGCAGGAGGCAGGAGGATCAATTGAGCCCAGAAGTTTGAGACCAGTCTGGGTGACATATGGAGGCCCTGCCTCTACAAAAAATAAAAAACTAGCTGGTGTTGTGGTATATACCTGTAGTCCCAGCGACTCAGTAGGCTGACATGGGAGGGTCGCTTGAGCCCAGGAGGTCAAGGCTGCAAGGAGCTGTGATTGTGCCACTGCACTCCAGCCTGGACAAGAGAGCAAGACTCTGTTTCAACAAATAAATAAAAAACAAAAAAGCCACAATGAAAGAATAATACATTATGAAAAGGAATGGGAGTAACACTGACAATGAAACATATTTGTGTTTATGTTCAGATTTCAGAAATAAGTAGACTAAAACTGAGGATAACAGGTTGTCACCAAAATAAAACACAAACATACAACAACACCAACAATTCAACAACACCTCCACCAGTCCCTAAAAAAAGCAACTCAAAGTAAAAAATTCCAAAATACAGGTCTTGGAAAGAGAAAACAGAATGCTTACATCTTGTTCTTGCGTATGTCAGCCCACTGAACTTAGTACAGTTTATATACCCTTATAAAATATGCCAGCTGGCATTAGGATTATCATGAAGGAAAAACAATGCAGACACCAAATTGGGTTACCTAGGATACAAAAATAACATTTTTATTATAACAATATGATAATGGAAGGAATTGAGAATACTGTACCAGTACGGTCCTTGGATGAGCAGCCCCATAAAACCATACAGTGGGAGATAGTGAGTGGAGAATTTGGGTGGAGTCATGGGATGGAAAAAGAACATTACAAAGAAATCATGTAGGGTGTACATTCAAGCATACATGTTCGAGAACTTTGGTACTAAACATGCCTGATGATCAGCCACCATCAACATAACAACTTAGAGTTAGCTTGCCTCCTCCACTCCAGTGTTGCTATAGAGACTGTAGAGTCCACTTTCTTGTTAGTCCCTATGAGCTGAGTTGGGATTGTCATGGTTGTAGAAAAAAGAAAAAGCTGAAAAGAAAAAAAATTATCATTATTTGAGATTATTTGATGGCCAAAATAGAACATTTATGAGAACCTACAGGTAAAATATTAGAAATAACAAGAATGTTTAGTAAGGTTACTGGAAATGAGCAATATACAAAATAATCAGTAAAGGCTAGGAGTGGCTCACGTCTGTAATCCCATCACTTTGGGAGGCTGAGGAAAGTGGATTGCTTGAACCCAGGAGTTCAAGACCAGCCTGGACAACATGGTGAAACCCCGTTTCTACAAAAAAAAAAACCCACAAAACAAAATTAGCCAGACATGGTAGCATGTGCCTGTGGTCCCAGCTACTCAGGGGGCTGGGGTGGGAGGATGGCTTGAGCCCAGGAGATCAAGGCTGCAGTGAGCTGTGATTGCACTGCTGCACTCCAGCCTGGGTGACAGAGCGAGACATTGTCTCAAAGCAACAATGACAATAAAACCAAAAAAATCAGTAGCAAAATTTAGAAAATTTACTTAAAATACATTTAAAACAACAATAGCAACAACAAAAACTGAATATGCACATCTATTATATATCAATAAAAAATAAAAACACTATGAACTTCTAGAAAGAAATATGAGGATAAGACCTTTAAAGAAAAGGTGAAAACAATTTTTTGAAAGACATGAAACAAGACCAGGTAGTTGGGAGACAAAATATATTCATGGATAAAAAGTCTTTGTACATAAAATGTCAATTTTTGTCCAAATCAAATTAAAGTTAATTCAATTCTAACAAAAATGTCCAAGAGAGTTTTTCACAGAACTTGACAAAATAGGTCCAAAAATTCATATAAAAGAGGAAACAGTTATAAATTTCAAAAATCTTAATCATAATAATGCTGATAATGAGAAATACGCCCTCAGATTTCAAAAAATTTTGCAAGCTATAGAAAGTTAAACAGTGTAATATTGGCATAGAAATAGTAAAAGCTACCAATGGGACAGCCTGGAGAGTGTAGAAAAAGACTTATGTATATTAAGAATTTGGTTTATGACACAAGTAGCATTCAAAGCAGTATGAAGAAAGAATAATAAATTGGTCTTGAACAATAAACTATGAAAAAAGAAAAAATAGGATTCCCACCTCACTATACGTAACACATGTGTGCACATGCATATATACACAATTCCAGCTGGATTAAAATCTATAGAATGTAAAATTTTGAAATGTTAAGAAAATATAGACTAATTGTTACAACTTCAGGATATGGAAAAATGTTTTAAACTGGACAGCATAGGCAAAAAAGAAATTTGATAAATTTGACTTCATGAAAATGGGAAGATACTTACTCTGTAACCCAACCTGGAGTGCAGTGGTGCAATCTCCGCTCACTGCAACCTCAGCCTCCCGGGTTAAATGATTCTCTTGCCTCCATCTTAAAAAAAAAAAAAAAAAATCAGAATGTACCGCAAGTAGTTAAGAGTGTTATTTCATGAAAATTTTGTTTCAGATTACATATGCGCTCACATACACAGGTATATATGTCTACGTATATGCATGCACGTGTGTGTGTGTGTGCGTGCATGTTTACAGGGTCAAAGTATAAAATGCTTTTCATGGATTGAGTGTGGTAAAAAGTGTGAAATCTATTGTTTTACTACATTGTCTTACAATATTCTGTGTTTATAGGTCCAAAAGTATGCATGGGAGAGATAAATAGTGTTAGGACAGTGGTTCCCTTCGGCGTGGGAGGGAACGGGAAGACTTGGGGTCAGGGTGTGAGGATTTGCTCCATCTATGTTGATATATTACAAAATATATCCAAAACAAATGCAAATGATGTTAACATCTGTTGTCTAGGATGTCCTCGGGTGTTCATTACATCTGTGCCTTTTCATATGCTTGAAATATATCATAATTAAAGATAAAAAATTAAACAAAATTTCACCAACAGCATGGCATTTGCCTGTAATCCTGGCTACTCGGGAGGCTGATGAGAGAGGATCACTTGAGTCCAGGAGTTTGAGACCAGCCTGGGCAACATAGCGAGACACTGTCTCTAAAACAAAACAAAACAAAACAAAACAAAAAATGTAACCAACCATAAAAAGTATGGAGATGTGGGTAGGGAGGGAACAGGGACTCAGATGTCTTCAAGAAGCTTGCAGCTTAGGAGCCAGTTGTGTTGACTTCTCTGTGGCCAGATGTCCCAGGAGCCTCTGCTCCTGTGGGCTGGTGGCTGGTGAGTGACTGCCACATATTGTTGTGGCCTTGTTGCTTCACTCCTGACTGGCATTGCCACTGATTTGATTCTTACCCAGTTAGATCACAAGCCATCTGAGGGCAGCAATGAGTCTGAACATTTTCATCACCCTCCAGCTCCTGGCACCTGGCAGGACCAATAGACTTGACACAGGAAAAAGTTGCTGCTTGCTGTTTATTGAACATTCTTTCCCCAGGAACCCTCTGTGCCTCTGGCCCTACAATTCTCATTAGAAAAGATTTTATGTTTTTTTAATTATGAAAAATGTCAGACTTACTAAAAGTTTGGAGAATAATTTATTTTTTTTTTAATTTTAATTTTTTTTTTTGAGATGGAGTCTCGCTCTGTCGCCCAGGCTGGAGTGTGGTGGTGCGATCTTGGCTCACTGCAAGCTCCGCCTCCCGGGTTCACGCCATTCTCCTGCCTCAGCCTCCCGAGTAGCTGGGACCACAGATGCCTGCCACCACGCCCGGCTAATTTTTTTGTATTTTTTTTAGTAGAGATGGGGCTTCACTGTGTTAGCCAGGATGGTCTCGATCTCCTGACCTCGTGATCCACAATAAATGCCATTTGCTTTTTTAAACTATTATATTTATGAGATGTATCCATGCAGATACCACTATCTCTAGTTCATTTTTGTGAATATGCCACCAATTGTTTATCCATCTAGGTGTTTTTATTGCTCACTATTACAAATAATGCTGCAGGGAACATTCTGATTCATGTCTCCTGGAAGGTTAGGGTATGTACACCTAGGAGCAGATTGCTCAGTTGAAGGTGATATGGTTTGGCTCTGTGTCCTCACCCAAGTCTCATCTCTAATTGTAATCCCCATGTGTGGAAGGAGTGAAGTGATTGGATTATGGGGGTGGTTTCCTCCATGCTGTTCTCGTGATAGTGAGTGAATTTTCATGAGATCTGATGGTTTTATAAATGGTAGCTTTTCCTGCGCTCTCACACTATCTCTCTACCCTGCTGCCATGTAAGACACACCTGCTTCCCCTTTCGCCATGATTGTAAGTTTCCTGAGGCCTCCCCAGCCAAGTGGAACTGTGAGTCAATTAAAAACCTCTTTCCTTTATAAATTATGCAGTCTTGAGTAGTATCTTTATAGCAGTTTGAAAACGGACTAATACAGAAGCGTAGGCCATATTTCTTGAGAAACAGGATGTGAAATGCAAACCTTCCTGTGATCTTATGGTGGAGGCCTGAACATCTGGGCCCAGTTTTTCCTGGTGAGCAGTTTTTCTTATTTTTACTGACTTGTAGGAGCTTTAAAGACGTTTTTCTGGATACCACTTCCTTGTCGGTTATACTCACTGTGAATGCCAACTTCCAGGCTGCATTTGCCTAGGATGCCTTAGTTACATCTTCTGCTTAAAAATACTTAAAAAATTCGATTTGAGTCAAATTTGTTTATCTTTTTCTTATTGCTTGTGTCTTTGGGTCTTGTGTGTGAACTTTTGTTAGAATTTCATCAAGCCCTGTTTAATGGAGAGATTTTTCTCTGACTCAATTCGGTAGTTTATTTTTAGTGGCATAATGGGTTTTAGTTTATATCATTTGTTAGGGTCCTCTAGCCAGGCCTAGCTCTATTATAATCCATGTAAACTAGTACTTAGGCCTGCAGAGATCCAAGCAGCTTCAAGGCCTGCCAGATCCATTTCATCTCATGGGTGGGGCCCTCTTCACCTGTCTCTCATCATAATCCTCCAAAAGAACCACCACAATCTAGCTCCTGAGCTTGGCTGGAATTTTTCCAACAAGGGCAGATTGAAATTCTTTTCTTGAATAGAGTTAGAAGGAGATTAATAAATAGAAAATAGGGGTCGTTTAGTTTGGATTTGGAACAAGACAGTTTTTTGGAGCAAGAACTTGCTTTGAAATCCCAGTCACATCATTAATTCTGAGTCTTTTTAAAAATCTATAATATAGGAATAATAGGACCTCAACTGAAGAATTTGTGATGAATATTAAATGTATAATTCTGGATACAGAACCACCACAACAAACAATAGTAGCTAAATTTGTTGAGTGCTTAATATGTGCTAGTCACAGAGCTAAATATTTGCATGAATTATCTCACTTGGTCTTTATGACAATCCTATTAAGTACCACTACCATGTAATATAAGGGTTAAGGTAAAGGTTTTGATCATGTTTAATTCTCAGCTCACCTACTTACTGTGTGACCTTAAGTTCTTGCATTTTGTTTTTCTTATCTGTAAAATGGAAATGTAATAACACACATATACATACAGTTGTCCGTTAGTATTTATGGGGAAATTGGTTCCATGGATATCAAAGTCTATCAGTGCTTAAGTCTCTTATATAAAATGGCTTAGGCCAGGCACAGTAGCTCAAGCCTGTAATCCCAACACTTTGGGAGGCTGAGGCAGTTGGATCGATTGAGCCCCGGAATTCAAGACCAGTCTGGGTAACAGGGCAAAACCTCATCTCTACTAAATGTACAAACATTAGCCAGGTGTGGTGGTGAGCACCTGTAATCCCAGGTACTTGGGAGCCTGAGGCAGGGAAGGTTGCCTGAGCCTAGCAGGTGGAGGTTGCAGTGAGTTGAGATTGTGCCACTACACTCCAGCCTGGGCAACAGAGGAGGTTCTGTCTCAAATTTAAAACAAAAGCTTAGTATTTGCTTAGAACCTATGCACATCCTCACTTATACTTTAAATCATTTCCAGATTACTTATAGTACCTAATACAATGTACATGCTACATAAGTGCTTGCTATACCGTATAGTTTTTCAAATTTGTATTTTTTATTGTTTTGTTTTTCTGAATATTTTTGATTTATAGTTAATTAAATCTGCAAATGTGGAACTGTGGAAAAGGAGGGCTGACTCTATAGTCACAGGTTGCTTAATAAAGGGGATATGTTTTGAGAAACGTGTCATTAGGCGGTTTTGCCATTGCATGGACATCAAGGAGTGTACTTACACAAACCTAGGTGGTATAGCCTACTACACGCCTAGGCTATTCGGTATAGTCTATTATGCCTAGGCTACAAACCTATACAACATGTTCCTGTGCTGAATCCTGTAGGCAGTTATAGCACAGTGGTAAGTATTTATGTATCCAAACATATCTAAACATAGAAAAGGTACAGTAAAAATATGGTACTGTTTATCTATGGGACCATCGTTGAATATGTGATTTGCATTGATGGAAATGCTGTTATACCATGCATGACTGTACGTATTTGCTAGGGCTGCCATAACAAAGTACCACAAACCAAGTGGCTTTACCAACAGGAATTTATTGTCTCAGCTCTGCAGGCTAGAAGTCCAAGATCAAGGTGTCAGCAGGGTTGTGCTCCCTCTGAAGGCACCAGGGAAAGACCTGTTCCTGGCCTTTCTCCTAGCTTCTGGGAGTTCTTGGCTTGTGGCAAAATAGTTTCAATCTTTACATGGCATTCTCCCTATGTGTGTGTCTCTGTGTCCAAATTTCTTCTTTTTTTTATTTATTAATTTTCTCTGAGAAAGAGTCTTGCTCTGTTGCCCAGGCCGGAGTGCAGTGGCATGATCTCAGCTCACTGCAACCTCTGCCTCCCAGGTTCAAGAAATGCTCCTGCCTCAGCCTTCTGAGTAGCTGAGATCACAGGTGCACACCACTATGCCCAGCTAATTTTTGTGTTTTTAGTAGAGACAGGGTTTCACCATGTGGTCCAGGCTGGTCTCAAACTCCTGACCTCATGATCCGCCTGTCTCAGACTCCCAAAGTGCTGGGATTACAGGCGTGAGCCACTTCGCCCAGCCTAAATTTCCTCTTTTTGTAAGAATACCTGTCATGTTGGATTAGGGGCTCATCCTACTCTAGTAAAATGTCATCTTAAATTACCTAATTACTTCCACAACAATCCTATATCCAAATAAGTCCACATTCTATGATACTGGGGGTTAGGATTTCAACATGTAAATGTTTGGGAAATACCATTCAACCCATAACAATATACATGATGAGTTTGTCATGAGGTTGAAAAGAGTTGATCGATGTAGACGATTTACAACATTGGTTCATAGAAAATGATCAGGAAAGTGTTAGCTGTCATTACTACTACCATGAATCAGATGGAGAAACTGAAGCTCAGAGAGGTGGCATGACTTTCCTAAGGTCACACAGCCACTAAATGGCAGATTCAGGACTTTCAGCCAGATATGGCTGATTTCAAAACTTCTGCACCATGTATCTTCATTGCCTAAGAGGATAGAAGAGAGGGAGGCATTTATAATTCAAGGTGACATTCAGAAGAGGCTCACCTGGGTGTAATTATCTACAAAGAAGGTTCTGAAAATCATCCTCAGTACTTCACTTGCATATTTATATTCCATATAAATTTTCTTATTTCCAAGTAAAATGGCTGTCAATGAATGAAATGAAATAAAGAAAAAATGAGCTGTCAGTCATTGCATCATTTTCTTTTTTCTCTTGGTTATTTACTGCATTGGATTACTTACGTTCCATTTCCTTCTAGTTATTTCCTCCACTTAGTGTTGCCCAAAGCAGGGTCCCACCTTTCCTTATCAGGGCTGCCCTCCATGTAAGATCTCTTATTGGGTTTTCCTTTCCTCCCAGTCAAAATCTACCTCTCCTATGTCCCATTCTCATAACAGAGCTTTTACTCAGTTGTCCTGGTTAAAAAAATAATGCAGGTCAGGTGCAGTGGCTCATGCCTATAATCCTAGCACTTTGGGAGGCAGAGGTGGGAGGATTGATTGAGCTCAGGAGTTCGAGACTGGAGTTTGAGACCAGCCTGGGCAATGTAGTGAGACCATGTCTCTACAAAAAACTTAAAAATTAGTTAGGCATGACTTAAATGTTAGACCTAAAACCGTAAAAACCCTAGAAGAAAACCTAGGCAATACCATTCAGGACAGAGGCATGGGCAAAGACTTCATGACTAAAACACCAAAAGCAATGGCAACAAAAGCCAAAATAGACAGATGGGATCTAATTAAACTAAAGAGCTTCTGCACAGCAAAAGAAACTACCATCAGAGTGAACAGGCAACCTACAGAATGAAAGAAAATGTTCGCAATCTACCCATCTCACAAAGGGCTAATATCTAGAATCTACAAAGAATTTAAACAAATTTACAAGAAAAAATCAAACAACTCCATCAAAAAGTAGGCAAAGGATATGAACAGACGCTTCTCAAAAGAAGACTTTTATGCAGCCAACAGACACATGAAGAAATGCTCATCATCACTGGCCATCAGAGAAATGCAAATCAAAACCACAATGAGGTACCATCTCACATGAGTTAGAATGGTGACCATTAAAAAGGAAACAACAGGTGCTGGAAAGGATATGGAGAAATAGGAACACTTTTACACTGTTGATGGGAGTGTAAACTAGTTCAACCATTGTGGAAGACAGTGTGGCAGTTCCTCAAGGATCTAGAACTAGGAATACCATTTGACCCAGCCATCCCATTACTGGGTATATACCCAAAGGATTATAAATCATGCTACTATAAAGACACATGCACACGTATGTTTATTGTGGCACTATTCACAATAGCAAAGACTTGGAACCAACCCAAATGTCCATCAATAATAGACTGGATTAAGAAAATGTGGCACATATATACCGTGGAATACTATGCAACCATAAAAAAGGATGAGTTCATGTCCTTTGCAGGGACATGGATGAAGCTGGAAACCATCATTCTGAGCAAACTATTGCAAGGACAGAAAACCGAACACCGCATGTTCTCACTCATAGTTGGGAACTGAACAATGAGAACACATGGACACAGGAAGGGGATCATCACACACCAGGGCCTGTCAGGAGGTGGGGGGCTGGGGGAGGGATAGCATTAGGAGATATACCTAATGTAAATGATGAGTTAATGGGTGCAGCACGCCAACATGGCACATGTATACATATGTAACAAACTTGCACATTGTGCACATGTACCGTAGAACTGAAAGTACTATAAAAAATTAAAAGAATGAAAGATGGTTAGCCAAAAAGAAAAATTAATTAGGCATGGTGGTGCATGCCTGTATTCAGCTACTCAGGAGGCTGAGGTGGGAGGATTGAGCCCAGGAGGTGGAGGCTGCAGTGAGCCATGATTGTGCCACTGCACTCCAGCCTGGGTGACAGAGTGAGTCTCTGTCTCAAAAAAACAAAAATAAAACAACAAAGAAACAAAAACAGACAAGCTTTGCTGGGGTGTATTTGTTATACCCCTGGTGGGTTCCTAAAGACTGTGCCTCTGACAGCCTGGGAACAGGTGGTGGTGGGGCTTACACCAGGGACAAGTGTGAGATGGTCATGACTGGGCAGGCCCTGTCAGGGTCCGAAGGTTGAGAACAGTCTTACCATTTCCAGCCCCAAGTCCAAGTCTTCAAATTCCTTATTCAGGTTCCAGGGTGGCTGGTCCCATCTCTCCATCAGGACTCCCCAGTGAGGGTCCTCACCTATGAGATTCATGTCTTCGGTCCCATTTGGGAAGCTCTCCCTCAACGTGGAAACCTTTTGTGGATCCACAAAGAGCGGTCCTGCTGTAAATCTGGGTGGGCATCAGGCACTGAGGAATTATGATCGCCTTTTCCGATGTGGTTCATTGTGCAGCTAATTCTCACTGGTTATGCTGAGCGAGGATTCTTTGAGATTTTGTAAGGAAATTTCCTCATATTTTCCATTCCTTTCTTCCTAGAGACATTTTGCTGGCAGAGCAACAGCAACTTCTCTCAGCAGCCAGATGAGAAACAGAGCTTGGAGGCAGAGGCGAGAACAGTGCTGATGTGGCCGGTGCTGTTCCTTGGAATTAAAAAAAGGCAGTCCCACTTGGGGCCATTTTTCTGAAAAGTGAAGGGAAATGTAAAACATAAAACGGACCTAATCTCAAGAAAAGTGGACCCTGCTATGTGGGGAGAGATGGTTCTGGGTGAGATGATGCCGCAGTTCTCTATTAATACTTAGGTCATTGACACTCACCTTTTCATGTCGCAAGCCTGGCCTTGGTCTCTGGTCATGGACATGCCACACTCGTGGGTCGTGAGGGTTGGCCCTCTGCCTTATCTTCCCCAAAGACAGACTCACTGGCTCCTGAGCCCCAGGGATCTCCAAAAAGGGGCCTTTGTTGTGGGGACAGCCCCATCATCCCAGCTGGTGGCTACCTTCCAGCAGGTGTTATGTGGCTATGTCCCAGTTCCCAAGTTGCTGACCTTGTGTGATCTCTTCCCCACCCCTGCTGTGATGCTGGAATGACAACAGTTCCTCAAATCTGCAGAGCACTTTCAACTTCCAAAGGTCTTTGGCGAACACTGCCACTAATGTAATCCCTGACTTCCCATTAAGTTTGTGTTTAAGGAATTGTTATAACTTTTAAAGAAAATTATAAAATCAAAACAGCACACATAAATGGTTTTTAAAGAAGCAGAAAATATTACAGAAAGGCCAACAATGAAAACTTCCATTTCTCATGTCATCGCCAACCACCCCATGTTCTCCTTCCTAGAGGAAACCACTCTTAATGGTTTCTTTCTTTTAATTTAGTTTTTATTTTATTTTATTTTACCATGCCTTACAAGGCTTGTTATTAAAACAGCAGTATCAGGTTTCTTATCGGGATGATGAAATGATCTAAAACTAGACTATGGTGATGGTTGCACAGCTCTGTGAATATACTAAAACCCACTGAGTTGTACCCTTTAGATGGGTGAACTTTACAGTATGTAAATTATATCTTAATACAGAGCTGGACATTTTTCAGCAATGTGAAACATGTGATGTGATTTCAGTCCTATTAGGCAAATAAAGCAATTTGCGAGGGCTTTGAGAAGACACATAATCCCTAAATGGATAGACATGTGGCGTTAATTATTGATCACAATAGTTACTAACCATATAGTCACTGCTCTTAGAATAACACAGATTACTGTCTGGTCTACAAAGTCACATATGCAGAAAAATTCTTGTTTCTTTAGATATTGTCTGTGTTGACATACACTCAAAAATGTTGATGTTCTTTCTTCTACTTTGCTGACATCATATTTTCATTAAATACATGCTGCAGTATACTAAAAAAAATTATATCTCAAGCTGTTAGAAAAGGAGGCGGAGGCTGGGCACGGTGGCTCATGCCTGTAATCCCAGGACTTTGGGGAGGCCAAGGCGGGCGGATCACCTGAGGTCAGGGGTTTGAGACCAGCCTGGCCAACATGGTGAAATCCTGTCTCTACTAAAGATACAAAAATGAGCCAGGTGTGGTGGCGCGTGCCTGTAGTCCCAGCTACTTGGGAGGCTGAGGCAGGAGAATAGCTTGAACCTGGGAGACGGAGGTTATAGTGAGCCGAGATCGCACCACTGCACTCCAGCCTGGGAGAAAGCAAGACTCTGTCTTTTAAAAAAAAAAAAAAAAAAAAGACAGTCTCCTGACTCCCCCCTTCCAACTGCCACCACTGTCTCACTTCCTGAAGGCCATTACTTTCAAACAGCGTGATATTTTCTTCCATATTGCTAAATTATTTGTTTGCAATGTTATTTCTTCATTACTTAGTTTTAGGCATTTACTATTGACTTCCCATTAAAAAAAGATGAGGCTTTAACTTTCTTCCCTCTAACTGCCTTGGCCCCCACCATACCAAATATGCACTTCCCACCCCTCATCCTTCTCACAGAGAGTTACAGATATCCTGGTTAACACAGTGTTTCTGTTTATATTAACATGACGACAAAAGCACCACTGGCAGCTGTCCAGTTGTGTGGCGTGGAGGAGGGCATTCGAGGGTTTCACTGATTCTTAATTTGTCAACCTCCTATCTTCCCCTCTCTCTCACTTCTATTTCCCAAGGTCCCTGGATTCCAAATCTTTTGTTTCATCCAACGTGTAAATGATGCTTCATTGAGGCTTTCTCTACTGTGAGCGTGGAATTCAGTTTTTTTGGGGGGGGTCTCTGATTATTTATCACTCGTCCATCTGCCATTCAATTTCTGAAATTTTGTTGCTTTTTCTCATCTCACATTCTTGTCTTTTCTTGAGACAGATTTGTTGACATATAATTTATAGACCATACAATTTATTCATTTAAGGTGTACAACTCAGTAGCTTTTAGTATATTCAGAGAGTTGTGCATCCATCACCACAATCAATTTTGGAATATTTTCATCTTTTTATTTTTCTTTCTCCCACCCTTGATATCCTATCATCTCTTTTTCTGAGTTTATGCCTTTAAACATTCCTTTCAATTTTTTGAATTCCTTAGAATTTCCTTTGAATTCACTTGAGCCCAGGAGTTCGAGACCAGCCTGGGCAACATAGTGAGACTCAATCACTACAAAAATAAACTTGCTGGGTGTGGTGGTGTGCACCTGTAGTTCTAGCTACTCAGGAGGCTGAGGTGGGAGGATCCCTTGAGCCTCGGAGGCGGAGGTTGGAAGTTTAACCTCTTGCATTGGATCTATTGCTTTCTGGGTCCCGTGTCTTATCCTTTCTTTTTTAATTGTCTTATTTTGCTGGACTATATCATCAAGTATATTCATTAAAAGGTAGTAAATTTTTCATTCCTTCCAGGTCTGAAAATGTCTTTGTCCTAATTTTATACTTGGCAAGGTATAGAATTTTAGCTGAAACTGTGTTTTTTCTCAGGAGTTTGAAGCCTTTGTTCCACTGCTTTTTAGAATCTAAGATTTCTGTTGAGAGGTCTCATACCGATCTAGTTATTGTTCTCCTGTAGACAACTTTTTAAAACCTTTTGGGAAGCTTTTAGCATTTTCTCTTTATCCTTGGGGGGTCTTGAAATTTCATAATATGTCTGTCTATCTGTCTAGCTATCAATCTTCCTCTATCTATTCTCTTGTGCAGTGTACTTGGTTGATCCTTCAGTCTAAAGACTTGTGTCTTTCAACTTGGGGATTTTGGGGTACTATTTTAAAAACAATTCTCCTCCTTCTGTTTCCTGTATTCTCTCTTTTTCCTTTGGGACTTTTACCAGTCAGATGATGAACATTTCTGGGTTGGTTCTTTTTGTCTCATATATATATGTGTGTGTGTGTGTATATATATATATATATATACTTTTTTTTTTTTTTGAGATGGAGTCTTGCTCTGTCGCCAGGCTGGAGTGCAGTGGCATGATCTTGGCTCACTGCAACCTCCGCCTCCCAGGTTCAAGCGCTTTTCCTGCCTCAGCCTCCTGAGGAGCTGGGATTACAGGTGTCTGCCACCATGCCCAGCTAATTTATTTTTGTGTTTTTAGTAGAGATGGGGTTTCACCATATTGGCCAGACTGGTCTTGAACTCCTGACCTTGTGATCTGCCCGCCTTGGCCTCCCAAAGTGCTGGGGTTACAGGCATGAGCCACCGTGCCCAGCCCTGTCTTATATATTTTTTAAAAAAATTAAGATTTCCTTTTGTTCTCCCTGATGAAAATTTCCCAAACATTATTTTCCAATCATTCTGATGATTTTTTCTCTTTTCTTAGATTGCTCCTTAGATGAATAGTCTTTTGTTATTATCTTGTGTGACATTGTCTCAAATCTCTCTGAGTACATTAGTTAGAGATCTCCTTCTCTTCTGCCTTTTGAATTACCCATTTCTGATTGTTTGCATCGGTCTTTTTATTTTACGGTATAGGCTTCCCTCAAGTGTATAATGAGGTTTTAGTTGTTTGGTTATATTTGAGAATGAGGCAATAAGAAAAGGTGATTGTGAATCTGTGTGTGGAAGCGGAGCTTGTCAACAGGTAGGCTTTCCTTTAAGGATAGTGGGCAGGAAGTTGAACCTTAGCAAGAAAACTCCAAATGCCCTACGCCAGCTGCTGTAGCTTTTCCCAGTTTTACCCCTCCAAAAGAGAAGAACCTTGTGCTTTGTTTGTTCGGAGTAGGGAGGTGGTTATTACAGCACACCAGCCTGCTGGGAATTCTGTACATGGTGGAGGTAGGAGATGAGTTGAGGACGACTGCTCTACATATAGACTTTCATTGATCTCTTTGATTTCAGCCCTTCATCCCACTCCCACCCTAGCACCTGGCATTTCTGAGTTGGGAGTCTCTCTGGGGCTGTTCAGGACAGAGGTCTTCCTCTGTAGCTGCCCCCTACCCCCACTCATCAGTCTTATAGGCTGTAGCATCCTCTATCTTGTTTCATCTTTTGTCAGCTCCTTAAGTATTGTTTTTTATTTTTCAGAAATTTATTGAAATCTATTGTCCCTTGGTGACTACTCACACTTTCTTCATGGTGATGGACTTTTAGATATTTTTATTGTCATTTTAATGTGGTCTTGCAAGGCAGTGTGCTATCTTGAATTAGAAACTCTCTGTTAGTTTCAACAGGTATAGTGGAAAGATCTTGGTTGGGTTCCTTGACAGCTCTGCATTCTAGTTATATAGTTCAATGCATTTTTATGTCCTGTCATTCTTTCTAGCTGTGGCACTGCTATTATGTGGAAGCCTGGAAAAGTATTGAGAAAAGTTAGCTAATCAATTCATATTTTTGAGGCCCAGGTTCCCTACTTTTAAGTTATTCATGCTGTTAGCTACCATGATTCTAGTAGGTATATGGTTTTGTGCAAAATGCTGGAAAAACAAAGATGAATAAGTCATGGTTCCTTCCTGTCAGGAAGGTGGGGGTTGGGTAGAGACTAAAGAATAAGATTTTACTGTGAGTGGTATGATACAGATATACCAGAATAGGAGAAATCAGGGAAGGTATCACAGAGAAAGTGATATTTAAGCTTTAAATTAGAGTTATCCAGGCTTACAAGGGGGAAGGCAGGCATTCCGGGCAAATGGGCCAGCAAGTACCTAAGTGTGCAGTCATGACAGAACTTGGTGATTTTAGGGACAGAGCATAGGGTACTTGTGGAGGAACGGTGAGAAGTGAGACTGGAGAGTTAATAATGGCAGCCAACACATCATACATGTGCAATCACTACTTATATTTACAGATGGGGAAACTAAGGCACAGACTTACATGACCTTAAGATCCCTTAGTTAATAAGTCAGAGAGCTGGGATTTGATCCCTGGCAGTCTGGCTTAGAGTTCATTTTTTTTGTCAGGGGTTAGGTGATATGGTCTTATTTTTATTTTTTTTAATTGACACATAATAAGTGCACGTATTTGGGGGCACATGCGATATTTTGATTCATTCATATAATATTTAATTTTCAAATCAGGGTAATTGGGATATTCATTATCTTAACCATTTGTTTTATTTATGCAAGGAACATTTAAATTATTCTCTTCTAGCTGTTTTGAAAATAGTGTTCACACCAGGTCTTATTTCTTCTATCTAACTATATTTTTGTACACATCAATCAACCTCTCTTCATACCTCTCCACTTCTCTACATTTCTAGGATTCTGGTAACCATCATTCTACTCTCCATCTTCATGAGATTCACTTTTGTAGCTTCCAAATATGAGTGAAAACATGTGATGTTTGTCTTTCTGTACCTGGCTTATGTCATTTAACATAACAACCTCCAGTTCCATCCATGTTGCTGCAAACGTAGCATCTCATGTCCTGCTCATTTTTATGGATGAATAATACACATTTTCTTCATCCATTCATTTGCTGATGAGCACTTAGGTTGATTCAGTATTTTGGCTATTGTGAGTAGTGCTGCAATAAACATGGGAGTCCAGGTATCTCTTCAATATATTGATTTCCTTTCTTTTGCATATATACCCAGTAGTGAGATTGCTGGATCACATGGTAGTTCTATTTTTAGCTTTTTGAGGAACCGCCATACTGTTTTCCATAGAGATTGTACTAATTTACATTCCCACCAAGAGTGTATGAGGGTTCCCCTTTCTCCATATTCTTGCCAGCTTCTGTTATTCCTTGTCTTTTTTATGAAATCGATTTTAATTGGGGTGACATGCTACCTCATCGTGGTTTTGATTTGCATTTCTTTGGCGATGAGGGAAAGATAATAAGCATTTTAGTAAGGAGTTTGGGTTTTTTCCTGCACACAGACTTTAAGGTAGGTGAATAAAATGATCAATGCTGCGTTTTAGAGCCATAACTCTGGAGCCACCATTTGAGAGAGTGTTAGACCAGAGTCAGGGAGTGCAGAGAGCAAGTTAGGGAATGATTATTCTATGTACCAACAACAGATGATGGTTCTTGAATTTAGAAGTGGAAAGGGCTGCAATGGAAGAGTCCATCGAGTTATGTCAGAGGTGAAATCAACAGGACATGGTCACCGACTAGATGTAGGAGTTAGGAGAAAATTAGGGTCAGGATTAGGTGGCTGAGCCACTGGTAGTTTGCTAAATTTGAGAATGCAAGATGAACAGGCCTGGAGAAGAAAAAGAGAATGACTCAGTGTTGAGCACGGTGTAATTGAGGTGACTGCACAATATCCAGGTAGTCATGTCCAGAACTGGTTGGGAGGATGTGTCTGGGATGCTGGGAGGACATCTGTGTTGGAGGTACAGATTCAGAAGTCACTGGCTCATAAGGAAAATTGAAATCATAGGCATGGATATGACGAGAATATGTGTTATGGAGAGAGTCAAGCCCAGAGTCCTGGAAAGCATCAGAATGTATGAGCGCTGTGCCTGAGAACTTGGTTGATAGTATCCTTGAGGAGGGGTGGAGGGGTGTGGGTGGGGGAGGAGGTGGGAGGATTCCAGTAGTGCCTCTGGGGCTGTGGAACGTGAGGCTGAGGATTGGGAGGGAGGTCCCTGAAGGGCAGAAGGAGGAGGCCAGTGGTGAGGCGGTGATAGAGACAGGAATCTTCCCAGATATGAGGACTTTAGTGATGACAGAAGAAAGGGGTGGCAGGGAGGGTAGCATTCAAAAGTGCTGGAGTGAAGAGAAGATGCTTGATTGAGTTGAGTGATCAAAGGTGCTCTAGAAGGTGGATGAGGAAAAGGCAGGAAACATTCCCAACTGGCCTCTCTTCTCTCAGCAATTTCTGGTCCGCTTGGGCAGACTGCCTGTCCCTGCAGGTGGCGGTCAGCCCGTATAGATCTGCAGAGCGGAATCTGGCTTCCTGAAGTGCTGATGTGCTAGAACCACTGCAAACGTTTACATCCACATATTTTGCTTCCCCTGACCTGTGGACAGATGTGGAAATAGGAAGCCTAGCCAGCCAAAGTAAGCAGAGAGGCTTACAGATCCAAACTCTCCTTCTGTTTTAACTGGAACACCAGGACCCAGCTTCATTCCTCTAATCTGTTCCAGTCTCAAGGAAAATGGACCACCTCTGGCCTCATACTTTAGAGCAAAGCGTGCCAACTGCGCACCTCATGTCCCATTGGCTGCTCTGCACCACCACATATCCCTCTGTCCTGGCCGCACCAGAGAGCGCCCTCCAGTAGGCTGACTCCCTGAGGGTGTGTTGAGTGGTTTGTGGTTGTCTTCTGTGTGTGGCACAGTTCCTTTTCTGAACTTCTCATGACAGCCTGTCTAGTAGGTACTAGATTAGTCCTGTTTGCAACAAGAAAAAAAGGAAGCCCAATATCATACAAATACTAATGGGGAGAAGTGGAATTTGTTTTATTTAACTTTTCTTTTGTCAGAAAAAATTTTAAACAGAAACATTGAAAGAATAATGTAACTGGAGTTGGGCATGGTGGTGTCTGCCTGTAGTCCCAGCTACTCAGGACGGTGGGGTGGGAGGATTGCTTGAGCCCATGAGTTCAAGACCAGCCTGGGCAACAGAGTGAGACCCTATCTCTAAAAGAAAAAAAGAAGTAACTGATACCTCTGTACCTACCAATAGTTCTGTAAGACTATTGTAATAAGTAGCCATCCCTGCATCTGATTTTTTAAAGAAAATGAAATATTAACATACACAGTTGAAGCTCTCTGTGTCTCCCTTCCTGATGCCTTCCCCCCCACTTTAAAGCTCACCACTATTTGAAGTTGGCATTTATTACCATGCAAGTATTTTTATTTTTATTGAATATACTGTATTAAAAAACAATCTCTGGTATTGTTTTGCATAATAACATTTTCTAGACTGTGTTGCATGCTTTTAAATGTTGCATAAACGGTATCAAACTCTGCACTTCTTCAGAGTCTACTTGAGTTTATTTAGGATATCCATTGGAGATTGCAGACAGTGTTAACTTCACCTTGGCATTGAGCAATCAGCCTTGGTCAACTCCGACATGAAGGGATTACAGGCCCTGCAAGTTCAGTGTCTCACAGTTCCCTTCCCGTTTATAACTCAAAGCTCTAACTCCTTGAGTTCCTTATTTGGATGTTTAGGTCAATTTCCTCACTTCCTTGGATTCTATTACAGGCTTTATTATTAAAAGTTTGTCTTGGTCAAGCCTTATTCTTGCCAAACCATTCTGTTTAATGAATGAAATATGAACAATATTTTCCACAGTGCAGAGATGGGATGGAGGGTGGTGGAAAATGCAGGTCAACCACAAAGTCAAAGTCAGAGGACGGAGGAATTTCAGGAGCTTCTCCACAATGTTTGCAACAATCCCTATGCTCTTTCTACTCCCGTTTTTTGAGGAATCTCTCCCAATTTGGCACAAGGCACTCTCCGGGTATTGAACCCAGCAGGAAGTGGAATGTCTGGGTTTTATTGAGGCTATTTCTCATGTTATGAGGCTATTTCTTGTGTTTTGCCTGATTTTTTTTCCTATGAGTCAAAGACTACAAAATAAAAAATTCAACTGTCTTCATCAATAATGAGCTCTTCAGCTTCTATAGCAGTGATGCTCAATCTTTTCTGCAGAATTCTAGAATTTCCTGCAAAGATCAAAGTGTTCTATATCCATGCTGTGTAATACAGTAGTCATTAGCTATTAGCCACATGTGGCTACTGAGAACTCAAAATGTGGCTAGTGTGACTGGGAACTGAATTTTACATTTTATATAATTTCACTAGAGTAGTCACATGTGGCTAGTGATTATTGCATTGAACAGCACAGTTCTAGAGGATTTATACCACTATATGTTGGTAGAATTTTAACAAACCTTAATACATCAAATGAGCTCACATTAAATTTCAGCTGATTTATTTGCTCTTTCTTTTCCCAACTTGAAGTTAATATATGAAACCGGGCAGCTTGGACTGTTATGCTTGCTCAGGCCACTCTATTGTACAGAGTATTGTTTCTCCAAGAGCTTCTGTTAATCTACTGTTTGTAGTCAACATATCTTTGTGATTTTGATGACACTGATGAGCACCAGCTATTGGTGGGTGCATCTGCCTGCACCCCATCATTGGACATTGTCCCTCACATAGCTCACTCAGTCCACAACGTCATTCCCCAGCTTCATTGATTCTGCCTCCTTTAAATTCAGGCTGTCTTTCTCCTCCCTCTGCCTCAGCACAGTCTCACTTTGGGACATGAGCTGTCATGATGGCTCAAAGAGAAAGCTAATTAGAGGGGATAAATCAATGAATAGGAATATAGAGCTGCAGAAATTTTCCAGAATGCATGCAGAGAGGCAAAGAGTAGAAATATGAAAGGTTAAGAGACATGGATGATGAAGTGTGAAGGTCTAACATATATCTGATTGGAGTTCTAGAAGGAAAAGAGAGGATCAGCAATTTTTGAATTGATAATGACTGAGAATTTTTCTTAATTGGTGAAACATTTATGCATACTTCAGATTCAGGTAGCCCGATGAATTTATAACACTACAAACATATTCATCCTTCATAGTGAAACCGAAGAACACTAAAATCATGGAAAGGTCTAAAAATAACCAGAGAGTAAAGATGGATTAATACAAAGGAACTACAGTACCCACAGTTCACTTTTCCACAGCAAAATGGTATTCAGTAGACAATGGAATAAAATCTTCAATACTATGAGAGAAAATAACTGTCAATCTAGAATTGTAAGAAAGACTTTAGGAGAAAATATAGAAGAATTTCTTTGCAATCTTGGGGTAGAAAATGATTTTTAAAAAAGAAAACTCACAATTCATCTGGGAAAAGATTAATACACTTGATTACATTAAAATAAAGAGATTTCATTATCAGAAGTATCTTAAAGACAGTGGAAAGAGAAATTACAGAATAGGAGAAGATATTTGCAGCACTTGTAACAGTGAAAAGATTAGTATCCAGAATATATAAGCTCCCTTAAAAATTGATATGAAAATGACGAACAACCCAACAGGAAAATGAGTGGAACAGTTGACAGGCATGGTGGCATAGAAGGGGTACACAGATAACCAACAATCACTCAGAGATTGTACAACTCATGAGAAACCAGAGAAATGAAAATTTTAACTACAGCTACAATGAATTGTTAATATGTACCCACAGATTGGTAAAAATCAATGGGTCTGGCATGTTGACATGGGTATGGAATAACAGGAACTCTTTTTTTTTTTTTTTTTTGAGAGGGAGTCTCGCTCTGTCGCCCAGGCTGGAGTGCAGCGGCGCTATCTCGGCTCACTGCAAGCTCTGCCTCCCGGGTTCATGCCATTCTCCTGACTCAGCCTCCCGAGTAGCTGGGACTACAGGTGCCCGCCACCACGCCCAGCTAATTTTTTGTATTTTTAGTAGAGATGGGGTTTCACCGTGTTAGCCAGGATGGTCTTGATCTCCTGACCTTGTGATCCACCTGCCTCGGCCTCTCAAAGTGCTGGGATTACAGGTGTGAGCCACCGTGCCTGGCCAATAACAGAAACTCTTAAAGGCTTCTGGTCAAAGTGTAAATTGGTACCATAACTGAAAAAAAAAGGTCATTATTGACTGATGTTGAAAACGTGCATATCTTATGACCCAGCGTCCTACTTTTTGGCATATACTCAAATATTATGTTGTGTAATTCAGTAGCCACTAGCCACATGTGGTTATTGAGTCCGTGAAATATGTCTAGACTGCACTGACATGTGCTGAAAGTATAAATACTTAGTGAATTTTTAAGATTACTGTGAAAAAATTAAAAATATTTAAATTCATTTAAAAATATTATTAGTTAAAATCATAATATTTTGGATATATTGGTTTAAATAAAATATAGCATTAAAACCAATTCTGTCTCGTACTTTAATGTAGCTGAAATAAAATTTAAAATTACATATGTGGCTCTCACATGTGGATCACCTTGTTTTTCTTTCAGATAGTACTGCTCTAGAGACATTCTAGGAGATAGGTACAAGACTGTAAACCACAGCATTGTTTGAATTAGAAATAACCCAAATGCTCGTTGAGAAGAGAATGCAGAAATAAATTATGTTATATTAATTTAGTAATAATATTATACTCATTCTGTGATAACAAAACATGGCTGTTTCTTATGAATACTATGTTAAGGGGATGAAGCAAGTTGCAAAGAATACTGACAGTGTGGTTCCATTCATTGAAATTTCAAATTAAATGCAATATTCAAAAATGTATTACTTAGGGATACGTCCATAAATGGTAAAATCTAGAAGAAAAGGTAGGAAGGTAGAAGGGGAGAGGAAGAAGGGTGTTACTTTCAAGGTACAAGAATATTCTGTCTTCAGCAATATGGAGTTTACAAAGCATATTTTTTTTTGTTCTCCAACTTAAATCTATTCAGTGTTTTGTTTTTTTTTTTTCAAACCTGATAACTGGAATCGAGGGACTGATTTTTGTGGGGGCAGGGAAGAGATTTTGATTACTGATTTAATTTCTTTTAGAGAAAGTGCAGTGGCACGATCTCAGCTCACTGCAGCCTCTGCCTCTGGGGTTCAAGTGATTCTTGTGCCTCAGCCTCCTGAGTAGCTGAGACTACAGGCGCCCGCCACCGTGCCCAGCTAATTTTTGTAGTTTTAATAGAGATGGGTTTCATGATGTTGGCCAGGCTGGTCTTGAACTCCTGACCTCAAGTGTTCCGCCACCTTGGCCTCCCTAAGTGCTGGGATTACAGGCGTGAGCCACTGCGCCCAGCCTATATTTAATTTCTTTAATCATTTTTTAAAGGTTTCCTATGCCGAGTGATTTTTGCTAATTAATATTTTTATAAGAAAATTTCCCTTTTACTTTAGTATTCAAATTTATTTGCATTGGTTTTAAAATGTTTTTATATAATTTTAAAAAATTTCTGCTGTTTCTATAGGTATATCTCCTTTTTAGATCCTAATATTTTTATTTATACATTTTTCTCTTTATTCATGTTTGTTCTTGCTAGATGTTTGACCATTTTAATAATTTTTTTTAAAGAACCAGTTTTTGTTTTTTTGTGCATGGACTTTATCATTTTCTTATTCACCAATTTCTGTCCCCGTCTTTATTGTTTTCTTCCTACAACTCTCCTTAGATTTACTCAGTTAATTTTTTGAGACAAAGTCTCCCTCTGTCACCCAGGCTCGAGTGCAATGGCGCGATCTCAGCTCACTGCAACCTCCACCTCCCGGTCAAGTGATTCTCCTGCCTCAGCCTCCTGAGTAGCTGGGATTATAGGCGGGCACCACTGCACCTGGCTACTTTTTTTCTTTGTATTTTCAGTAGAGACAGGGTTTCACCATGTTGGCCAGGCTGGTCTTGAACTCCTGACTTCAGGTAATCCACCCACCTTGGCCTCCCAAAGTGCTAGGATTACAGGCATGAACCACCACACCCAGCCTGTACTTCAAGTTAAATATTTATTTATGACCTTCATTGTTTAGTAATACTTTTTATGCTATTAGTTTATTCATAACAAATTTACTGTTTTTTCTTTTCATAGATTCTTGAATGTTTAACTCATTCATTTTCAATCATTTATGTTTTGTAATAAATGGATTTAATGCTACAAATTCACTTCATATCATAAGTTTGGATATGTGGTTCTTTGATAATTTCTCAATATAGTATTTTGTAGTTTCCTCTTCTCATCCTTAAACTATTTAGGAATTTATTTAAATTTTTCCTAGCATAAATTTTAAAAACATTATTTTATTGTTAATTTATGATTTAATTGCACTATAGCCAGGTTGCAGTGTCTGTTATGAAATTGGTTGAGAATTTTTTTGACACCTAGAATGTAGTAGATTTTAATAAATATTCTACATATCCTTGGCCGGGTATGGTGGCTATGCCTGTAATCCCAGTACTTTGGGAGGCAGAGGCAGGCGGATCACGAGGTCAGGAGATCAAGACCACCCTGGCCAACACGGTGAAACTCCACCTCTACTAAAAATACAAAAAATTAGCTGAGCGTGGTAGTGCGCACCTGTAGTCCCAGCTACTCAGGAGGCTGAGGCAAGAGAATTGCTTGAACCCGGGAGGTGGAGGCTGCAGTGAGCGAAGATTGTGCCACTGCCACTCCAGCCTGGGTGACAGAGCGAGACTCTGTCTCAAAAAACAAAACAAAACAAAAAAACCCACCTGTTCTCTATTTGTTAATTGTGTGATTCCATGAAGCTCTATTAGATCAGGCTTAGTTATTTGTGTTATTTGAAATTTCTATGCCCTAAAAATTTTCACATTGCTTATCTATTTCTAATAGAAATAAGTTTAAAATTTCTGATCATTTTGGGTTTGACAATTTCTCCTTGAAATTCTCTGTTTTTGCTGTACGTATTTCAAGTGTATGATATTTAGGTACATTACAAACTTATGGCTTTTATATCTTCTTGGAAGCTACTTCCTCTCACGTTTATCAGTTAGAGTTTTGTTAAGGACACTGAGACTGTTCTAGGTGTCTTAGAAACAGCTAGAGCATAGGGAATTAGATGCTCTAAGATTGTTGGCCTAGCTGAAAGAGTTGGTTCTAGGCATTTTCCAGAATGATTCCTTGAGGAATACAGAACTGACTCAACAGAAGACCAATATTTCTAAGGCTACCATCTTGGCTGTGCCAAAATCAAGAAGCCATCCTTGCTGTACCAATTTCCTCTCAGGACCCAAGAAGCTGGAGAACAGACAGAAAAACTGCTGAAGTCAAGCCTGTCATTGCCACAACTCTGCATGTTAGTGAAGACAGCCAACAAGTTTGGAGGAACATGGCCTCTGTCTCACTTCCATCTTCTAACTCTTCAACTGGTATGAACGATGTGTAACCTCACTTGCATGCAAACCTTAGCCTCAGAGGAGATTGGGAAATGCCAGCATCTCCAGCTAGAAATAGTCCATCTTTATTTTTACTACTTCCCTGCCTCTTTTCCTGTCTTCTATTAGACTCATAAAATTATCTATATTCCCTTTCTTTTTTTCTTTGCCAGTTTGAAAGCTATAATTATATTGCTATTCTTTTAGTGTATACCTTAATTTTTAAAGCTAAGTTTAAATTATTTTAATATTTCAAAGTTACTTGGTATTTTATCTTGTCTTTCTAACCAAGGCAAAGACTTTATCATGTTTAATGATGCACTGACCATCCCCCTTTCTAATCTTGCTATTGTTGTAAAGTTTTATTCTTACATTTTAACACAGAAGTTAGCTTTACCGTTATTTCTTTGCAGTCAACAGTTAAATAAATTTATACTGTTTAAAAATGTGTTTTTTTGCTCACCATGGTTTATGGTAAAGTGTACATTTACTGTTCTGTCTACCAAAGTACATCTTTTAGGGTACACACACAACAAAAAGCTGACCTGCTGAGGCTGTTCTAGCAATCCAAAGCATTTGTAACAGATATACTTACCTTGCAGGCTCATTGTGAAGATTAAATGAAAGAGTAAATGTTAAAAAGTGTGGGACAGTTCCTAGCACATAGCTGGAGATCAGCAAATGTTCACATGTTGGAGAGTGGTAATGAAGTAAGAGGTGAGACTTGACTCCAGAGGTGGGGTTTGGATGCAGGACCAGATTGAGGACTAGCTAAAACAGGGATGGGTGGAAGCAGCTTTCTAATCAGACATGCCCACTAGTGTGCCATGGCAACACCTGGGGGTTACCACCCCATTCCATGGCAATGACCTGATGGCCCACAGATTACTACCCCTTCCCTAGAGAGTTCTGCATAAACTGCTCCTTAATCTCCATGCAATTAAAAATGGGTATAAATATGACTGCAAAACTGCCCTGAGCTCCTACTTTCTGCCTACAGGATACACCTGCTCAGCAGGAGCAGTCAGGGAGCTGTAACACAGCCTCTTCAAATAAAGCCATTTTCGTCTACTTGAGCCTGCCCTTCTCTCCTGGGCAAAGCCAAGAACCCTCACAGGCTAAGCCCCAGTTTAGGGCTTGCTTGCCCTGAATCAGTTATATGCTATCAGAATACATGATTTTTCATAAATATTTTCCCATGCTAGGAGCATTTGTTTTCGATTGGGTTCCTTGGAAAGAGAGTGAGTCAATGAGTTGTATATAGAAGTTTTATTGTGGAGTGGTCTATACACATAAGAAAACAAGGAAGGCAGATTGCAATATAGTTGCAGCAGAGGCCTCAAGTGATCCCACAAGGAGCCCTGGAGCTGGAATAGCCCTTCAGAGTAACCCCAAATTGAGGCAAGTGATCAGGTCTTTGTAGCCCTCCAACAACCAGTCTTTGGTCTTGGGCTGTCCCATGGGTGGGGTATGTAACCTTGGCCAAAGCAATCCCCTGTGGCTGAGAGGAATTCTCAGAAGGGATTCAGCTATGAACCACCAGCAGCTGATATTCCCAGCAGCTTGAGGATTTGTGTATTGTCCTTGAAGAGGGGCTCTGAGCAGAGCATCACAGTTTTCACCATGGTCCACCCTTTGAGTTGCTCAGATCCACTTGCCACCATGTTTGGGCATGCCTTCTCCAGCATTCTGGTTTGTCTCATTTCCTGAGGAGCTTACAAGAGAAATGTTGCTAGAATAAACTACAGCTGTTGTTGCTGTAGTTGATCTTAAGGCTGAAATGATTATGTATCATGCCCCTCTTTAGCTACCCATTCCAGTATCTCCTCACTTTCAAGCAGCATCTCTACTGGTCTACATGGCTTGCCTGAAGGGGTGACCCAGATCCTCATCCCTGTGGGGTGTGAGCCCTATTTCTCAGGCCATGACTGCTTTTCTTTCCCATTTACTACTAAAACAGGATACAGAAGCACCAAGGGACACTGGTGGATCACTTGACCGCATCGTGGAGAAGGAGTCCCACCTCCTGATGATCAGGAGCAATGACCCTGCCAGGATAGTGGCTCCTTTCCTTGCCTGCTGGTCTCTTGGCCTGAGGACTCTACAGTGGCTAGTAAGCAGCCATAGCTTCATTTTCAGTGGGATTCCCTTGGCCTTCCCTAGTGGAAGTGTTTGCTCTCTGGGAATCAGGACCACAAGGCTCACAGAGCTTAAGTGGCGGGGATAGGAAGCAAGTGGGCCACTGGCCGTCAGGTAAGTGGGGTCACCTCTGATTCCACCCCTTATTAGATCCATGTATTCTAACTACTTGGGGTGAGGATGGTGCCTCTCTTTGTAAAGTATTATTTCCAAGCTGGTGCCTCAGTTGTATCTGTAAGAGGCCATTCCTCTGCCCTGTCAGGCTGGTGGCTTCTGAGTAGTGCCATACCTGTTAGGACCAGTAGATTCCATGTGCCATGGTTTCACCACTTGCTGTGAAGGGGTCCTTGATTCAAGACAGTGCTATTCAGGATGCTGTGTTGGCGGATCAAACACTCTCATCACCTTGGATAGTGGATCTGGCTGAGGCCCTGGAGACAGGAAAGGCAAACCTATACCTGAAATATGTGTCAATTCCACATTGATAAATAAATAGCTGCTGCTTCCACAGTAAAAGGGGTCCAGTGTGGTCAACTTGCCATCAAATGGCTGACTAGTCTGGATTAGAGGCTCAATATTGGCTTCTGTTGCTGACAGGTTGAACTTTTGACAGCAGCAGTAGCTGGATCAGCTTTAGGGAATGGGAGCCCATGTGGCTGGGTCCTTGCATGACCTCCATCCCCACTGGTATTGGATTCTCCACTCAAAAGCTAACTGTGCCAGCACCTGGGTGGCTGATGAGAGAGGCCAGCTGGCATGAGCTGGCTGAGTGGTCCTGTTTACGTGGTTAATCTCTTCTGCAGTTGAAGTTCTCTGTTGTGTGTTAAAATGAGATATAAGATCTTCATACTCAGTGTCCATTCCTTAGCTCCATCAGTGGCCCTCTTCACCAGATCTCCCTGTGTCCAATTTTCTAATCTTCCTAATTTTGGGCCTCTGACCAACCTACCAGGCTTTTTGCCAATACTCCTGAATTCATTTATATTCTTACCTATGATTGCTCCTCTCCCTCCACAAAGTAGATGACCATGGGCACGGCCCAGAGCTCTGCTCACTGGGAGGATTTTTCCACACCCTTATCTATCAGGCCACTCCTGAATGAGGTTATATGATAGCATCAGTCCATTTTGGCTCATACTGACATGCTAAGCCAACCAATACATGAATCAAGCTTGGACTTTTCTCTCTTCATCAACTGGTCCTAAGAGACTTATCAGTCATGGATGTGAGAAAGGGACCCCGGTTCAACATGGGGAAAAACACAGCTTACACATATCCCTTCACCCTGCTTATGCCTGATTCCAGATTCCAGATGCACCGTTTCCATCTTATCATGGGTTGTTGGTCCTGCTTGACTTTATGACTGCATCCAGTGAATGGTGAGCAGGATTGGCCACATAATCATCTCATGTCCTGTGAACAGATGCTGTGTCTCCCAGAGCCCAGTAGAACACCAGGAACTGCTTTTCATGGGGCGTATGGTTTTCTATTGCAGATGGCATTGCCTTGCTCCAGAACCCCAGGCCCTACATTGTGTTTCTTCTATTGGGGTTTTCCATAAAACCCCATATGGAATCTTTTTACACCATTGATACTGCTAGTGCAATAGGCTCTGATCACTCGTATAACCCATATGGTGCTTTCACTACAGCCTGGGACTTGCTGCAGAGCCCTTTCCTTCTTCGAACCCCTGTCAAAGATAGTGGCTTCTTGTGTCACCCGGTAAGTGGGTCAGAACAGAATTCCCAAATGCAGAATATGCTGCCTCCAGAACCAACAGGGGCTACCAAGTATCGTGCTTTCTTCTTAGTGGTGGGAAGTGAGAGATGCAGTACTTTGTCTTTTACTTTGAGTGACATAATGGTATGCCCCAAACTACTGGATCCACATTCGTGATGGGGTAGCCCCTGAATCTTTAGAGGATTTATCTCCTACATGCCTTACCAAGGTCTCCGATATATTTGCCACTTCTTGCTCAACTGAACCCAACTGGCATAATGTTATGGATATAGTGGACCAATGAGATGTTTTGCACGTTGTCCAGATGGTTCAGGCTCTTCAGACAATATTAACACAGAGGCAAAATAATTAACAATAGCCCTGGGGTGAGACCATGCATGTATATGATTATTCCTTTTACAAGAATGAGAACTGTTTTTGATCCTCCTTTCTAATAGGTCTGGAAAAGGAAGCATTTGCCAGGTCTATGGCTGCGTGAATCTGCTTTAGTGAAGATCTGCATCTAGTATAGCAGTATAGTAGGGGCTACTAATTGGATGAGTTTTAGTAATTCGCTGTCATTTTCCATGATCCATCTAATTTTTGTAGGGAGCAGATGAATGAATTAAATGGTAATATCAGAGGACCCAATGTCTCTTAATTATGCGTTTTCCAGTGTAGCACTAATCTTTCCTGTCTCTCTTGGGATGCAATATTATTCTTAATATTACTGTCTTGGCCTGGGATGGGATTTGGAGGAAGCAGTTTCAAAGTCTTCTTCTTGGCTTGTCCCACTTCAGTATCTCTTACCCCAGAAGTCAAAGAATCAATGTAAATGTTTTGCAAACTACTAAGCATGTTCATTGCATTATACATTTGGGATCCAGTCTGTGGACCCAAGTAGACCCAGTGTGAACCTGGGTCAAGTCTCCATTTACTTAACCTGGCCCCCATGTGTCCCTTCTGTAACAAGGGTCTATAACCTGGGATGCCTTGGGTCTCTGGTTATCAATGTCAATTTATACCTCAATTCCAACAATCCTCAAAACGTCTGGAAAACCCTCCTTCCCCACTTTGTGAGTACCAAATAGATGGTCTTTGGGGAAATGTTGAGGAATTATTACTAGATACAGTAGTCATGGTGTGGCAAGACTTATTCTTATAGGAAATGGTCTCTCCTTCATCAGTGAATTCCTGGTCTGAGAACTTGCTAGATCCAGAAACTGGGCAACAGATTGTGATTTTGTTTATTGGGGTGGCTGTCCTCAAATTCCTCATCCATCTTTGGTGCCTTTGATTGTTTGGTTGCTTTGATTGTTCCTTTGTTGGCTGCCCATCTATCTTGCTCCTAGGGACCCTGTGTCCTGTTAACCATCTTCATACCTTCTATGGGTTGGGTCCCCCACTTGTTACTGTGGTCTTATGATAATTGTACCCATATTGCTTCTGATGGGTAAGTATCTCCATTCAGACTCTAATTTAATGTTGGGATTCTATACTTCTCATAGCTATCAGAGATCCTATTTCTACAGCAGCTTCTCTTACCATCAACCCTGGCCTACAGAGCACAGCCCCACTGAGCTTCTCAGCAATGCTGGTGTTCCCTTACCAGTGCATTCTTTACTGTTCTGGTCATTGGAGTACCTCTGGCCCTACCAGAGGGCATAGTGAGTCAGTGGGTTTTCCTGTCTTACTAGTATAACATTAAGCCTTGCCTACTTCCCCAAGCCTTTTGATCCTTTCTTCCTCCATCTGCCATAGAAATTCTGGCTTTTCTAATTCACTTAGGGTAGGTCATTACTGTTTCCAAGCTTCCAAAATCCATCCTTTATCAGGGGAACCAGCCCCCAGTATTTCAGCTTAGGTTCTTTTTATTTTCCCTAAGTGTTGGCCAGTCTGAGAAATAAGTGAAAGAATACAAAGAGAGGAATTTTACAGCTGGGCCTCCGGGGATAACATCACATATTGGTAGGTCCGTGATGTCCTCTGAGCTGCAAGTTTTTATTAGAGATTTTAAAAGTGGGGAAGGTGTATGAACAGGGAGTAGGTCACAAAGATCACATGCCTCAAAGTGCAATAAAGATCACAAGGCAAAGGCAAAATTAGAATTACTGGTGAGGGTCTATGTCCCACTATGCACGTGTTGTCTTGATAAACATCTTAACAGAAAACAGGTTCGAGAGCAGAGAACCCGTCTGACCAAAATTTACCAGGGTGGAATTTCCCAATCCTAGTAAGCCTGAGGGTACTGCAGGAGACCAGGGTGTATTTCAGTCCTTATCTCAACTGCATAAGACAGACACTCCCAGAGCGGCTGTTTATAGACCTCCCCCCAGAAATGCATTCCTTCTCCAGGGTATTCCTTGCGGGGAAAAGAATTCAGCGATATCTCTCTTACTTGCACGTCGTTTATAGGCTCTCTGCAAGAAGAAAAATATGGCTCTATTCTGCCTGACCCCGCAGGCAGTCAGACCTTATGGTTATCTTCCCTTGTTCCCTGAAAATCGCTGTTATTCTCTTCTTTTTCTAGGTGCACTGATTTCATATTGTTCAAACACACGTTTTACAATCAATTTGTACAATAGCAGTCCTGAGGTGACAAACATTCTCAGTTTACAAAGATAATGAGATTAAGAGATTAAAGTAAAGACAGGCATAAGAAATTATGAGTATTATTAGGGAAGTGATAAATGTCCATGAAATCTTCAAAATTTATGTTCAGAGATTGCAGTAAAGACAGGCGTAAGAAGTTATAAAAGTATTAATTTTGGGAACTGTTAAATGTCCATGAAATCTTCACAATTATGTTCTTCTGCTTCAGTTCCAGCCAGTCCCTCCGTTCGGGGTTCCTGACTTTCCGCAACAATCCTGGTGTATTAGTACCTTCTCCCGGGGTCCTTGCCAGAGTGCAAAGTCATTTGTCTCAGGAAAGTGTTCCCACATTGACAAGCTCCTTCTTCAACCTTATGTTCTGCCTACTCCCCCTTGATCCAGGTTTCTTGGGGTTCAGATCCAGGCACATGCTCCTGGCTCCTTTTTGAACATGCTAGCCATGTCCTAAAGCTTCTCTGGTGTGCTGATTCTTTCTTCCTTTAGCAGCACTTTGCCAGTTGGACCATGTTGGGATTCCAACCTTGTGATCAGTCTGGTTGTCATGATGGTAGGTGGTGGTCGATCCCAAGAGGGGCAAGCATTGTCTGCAAGGCAACTGCCTCATCTGAGGTTTCTGCATGATTTTCAAACAGAAAAGGAAGCAGTATCTTTAAAAAAAACATTTAAATTTAAAAAAAATTTTAATTTTTGTGGGTACATAGTAGTTACATATATTTATGAAGTACACGAGATATTTTGATACAGGCATATAATGTGTAATAATTACATCAGGGTAAATGGGGTATCCATCACCTCAAGCATTTATCATTCCTTTGTGTTACATACAATCCAATTATACTCTTATTTAAAATGTACAATGAATTATTGACCATAGTCTCCCTGCTGTGCTATCAAATATTAGATCTTATTCATTCTGTCTAACTATATTTTTATACTCATTAACCCTTCCCACTTACCCCCTCCTACCAACTACCCTTCCCAGCCTCTGGTAATCATCTTTCTGCTGTCTCTATGAGTTCAATTGTTTTTGTTTTTAGCTCCCCAAAATAAGTGAGAACATGTAGTTTGTCTTTTTGTGCCTGGCTTATTTCACTTAACATAATGACTTCCAGTTCCATCCATGTTGTTGCAAATGACAGAATCTCATTCTTTTTTATGGCTGAATAGTACTTCATTGTGTATATGTACCACATTTCTCTTATCCACTTGTTTGTTGATGGCCACTTAGGTTGCTTCCAAATCTTGGCTATTGTGAATAGTGCTGCAAAAACATGGGAGTGAACATATCTCTTTGATATACTAATTTCCTTTCTTTTGGGTAGATACCTAGCAGTGGGATGGCTGGATCTTATGATAGTTCTATTTTCAGTTTTTTGAGGAACCTCCAAACTGTTCTCCATAGTGGTTGTACTAATTTACATTCCCACCAACAATGTCAATTGCTACCACATCCTTGGCAGCATTTGTTGTCTGTCTTTTGGATAAAAGCCATTTTAACTAGGGTGAGATGACATCTCATTGTAGTTTTGATTTGCATTTCTCTGATGATCAATGATGTTGAGCACTTTTTCATATGCCTGTTTGCCATTTGTGTGTCTTTTGGGAAGTGTCAATTCAGATGTGTTGCTCATTTTTAATTAGATTATTAGATTTTTTCCTATAGAGTTGTTTGAGCTGCCTATATATTCTGATTATTAATCCCTTGTCAGCTGGATGGTTGGCAAATATTTTCTCCCATTCTGTGGATTGTCTCTTCACTTTGCTAATTGTTTCCTTTGCCTTGCAGAAGCTTTTTAACTTGATGTGTTCTCATTTGTCTGTTTTTGCTTTGGTTGCCTGTGCTTGTAGGGTATAGCTCAAGAAATCTTTGCCCAGTCCAATATTCTGGAGAGTTTCCCCAATGTTTTCTTTCATAGTTTCATAGTTTGCCAACTTAAATTCTTTAATTCATTTTGATTTGATTTTTGTATATGGTGAGGTCTAGTTTCATTCTTCTGCATATGGAAATCCAGTTTCCCCAGCTCTATTTATAGAAGACTGTCCTTTCCCCAATGTATGTTCTTGGTATTATCATTGAAAATGAGTTCACCGTAGATGTATGGATTTATTTCTGGGTTCTCTGTTCTGTTTTCTTGGTCTATGTGTCTGTTTTTATGCCAGTACCATGGTGTTTTGGTTACTATAGCTCTATAGTATAATTTGAAGTCAGATAATGTGATTCCTCCAGGTTTGTTCTTTTTGCTCTGGAGAGATTTGGTATTCTGGGTCTTTTGTGCTTCCATATAAATGTTAGGGTTGTTTTTTTCCTATTGTTGTGAAAGATGTCATTGGTATATTGATGGCGATTGCATTCAATCTGTAGATTGTGTTGGGCAGCATGGACATTTTAACAATATTGATTCTTCCAATCCATAAACATGGAATATCTCTCCATTTTTTGGTGCTGTCTTTCTTTCATTAATTTCCTTCATTAATGTTTTATAGTTTTCATTGTAGAGATCTTTCACTTGTTTGGTTAATTCCTAGATATTTTATTTGTAGCTAGTGTAAATGGGATTACTTTCTTGATTTCTTTTTCAGATTATTCACTGTTGACATGTAGAAATGTTATGAGTTTTTGTATGTTGATTTTGTATCCTACAACTTTACTGAATTTGTTTATCAGCTCTAATAGTTTTTTGGTGGAGTCTTTAGGTCATATCATCTGCAACAAGGATAATTTGATTTCTTCCTTTCTAATTTGCATGCCCTTTATTTCTTTCCTCTTGTCTGATTGCTCTAGCTAAGACTTCCGAGGCAGTATCCTCTAACAAATGGGAGTGGGCTTCTTTTATAGTCCCAACAAGTGTAGGGGAATCAGGGTCCCACTGCTTCCTTAGTAGGGCCCCGAATTTGACACAGGAGACTTCCTGGTGTTGGGAATTCAACCCTCTCTGAAGCTCCACTACTTTCTTTTTTTTTTTTTTGAGGTGGAGTCTCACTCTGTTTCCCAGGCTGTAGTGCAGTGGCATGATCTCGGCTCACTGCAAACTCTACCTCCCGGGTTCAAGAGATTCTCCTGCCTCAGCCTCCCGAGTAGCTGGGATTACAGATGCACACCACCATGCCTGGCTAGAGATGGGGTTTCACTATGTTGGCCAGGCTGGTCTCAAACTCCTGACCTCGAATGATCCCCTGCCTCAGCCTCCCAAAGTGCTGAAATTACAGGCATGAGCCACCACGCCCGGCCAGAAGCTCCACTACTGTTATGATGAAGTCCTTAGTTGGATCTCTGCTCTGCTGTCCTCTACCTGTAGCAGGTTGGGGTTTCCTTAAATGCTACCCAAGAGACCTTCTAGTTTTCTTATTTTTCCTTGAATTGATGATGAATGACACTGAGTCTGTCGTATCTTTCTTCAATGAATCAAGTCATAGCAATGGCCCTCAAATCCCATAGCCCTTATATTTACCATCTCTTATACCTTTTGAATACCAGATATATTGCACCAGCGAGTGCATCTCCCTCCACTGGTTTCCCATCCCAGCTCACCACCTGTGAAAATTTTAATAACTGCACCACAACAGGATTCTAAGGGCTCTCCATCCCCCACCTACCACAGGTGATGGGGTCCCCATTGCCCAAGTAATTGCTGTAAGTGATCTAGAATTCAATGAAAGAGTCTGCTTCTAAGGACTATTTCTGATATCAACTGTATTTGATCCCTGGGAACAGACACAGAGTTGGTGAGCTGTATTAGGAAATGCTCTCAAGAGATTAGAATTAAAGAAGGAAAGATTGAGTGGAAGGAGAAGCTGATTTGCGATACAGTTACAATGGAAGCCTCAGCTGACCTCTGGAGCTGGCATGGCTGTTCTGAGTATTCCCCAATTTGGGGAAAGGGGTCCAAGCCTTTGTATTAAGCGCTAGCCAGTCACTGGCCATGGGCCCACCCTGGGAGGGGCATAAACTTGGCTAAGGCCAAGAGCGAGTCCTAGTGAGGGATGCAGCTGTGAGCTGCCAGCAGCTGCTATTCCCAGTAGCTGGGGGTGGGTAGCAGGGGAAAATACCTTGAAGAGGGGATCAGAGCAAAATACCTAAACTGTCCTTATACATTTTCATAATATTAAGTAAAAAATACAAGGTAGAAACTTGTATTTATAGTATAATTTTAATTGTTAAAATTAATATACATAAAAGTGACTAGAAGAATTAAAATGCTTAAGAGGTTTTGTTTTGGAGCTGGGAAAATGAATGAATGACGTTCATTACTCACCTCTCACCACCTGTATCTTATACACACATAAAAAACCTTAGAATACTTAATTGAAAACACAAATTTCCCCACTGATTCCTCTCTATGGGCTGTTCAAATCAGTTAGAAAGTCAGCCTTAGTACTCCTTAGTAGATGGCTGGGTGAACAAGCTGTGATACATCCAGATAATTAAATATTATTCAGTAATTAAAAAAAGAAATGGAATATCAAGCAATGAAAAGGCATGGAGGAAATTTAAATGCATACTGCTAAGTGAAAGAAGCCAACCCAATAATCCTATGTACTGCATGATTCCAGCTATATGGCATTCTAGAAATCGCCAATTATGGAGAAGTTAAAAAAAATCATGGAGGCCGATGCAAAAGGATCTCTTGAGCTCAGGAGTTTGAAATCAGTCTGGGCAACATAGTGAGATCCTGTCTCTACAAAAAATAAAAATAAAAAAATTAGCTGGGCATGGCAGTGTGTGTCTGTGGCCCCAGCTCCTTGGGAGGCTGAGGTGGGAGGATTGCTTAAGCCCATGAGGTTGAGGCTGCAGGGAGCCATGATTGGGCCACTGCACTCCAGCCTGGGTGACATAGCAAGACCTTGTCTGAAAAAAAAAAAGATTAGGGGTTTACAGGGTTTGTGGGAGAGGAGGAGGATGGATGAATAGGTGAAGTGCAGGGGATACTTAGGGCAGTGGAAGTATTCTGTACGATACGTGGATGTGTGTGCGTATGTCAAAACCCACAGAACTGTACAACACAGAGTGAACTCTAATGTACTAGACTATGAACGTTGGTAAATAATAATGTGGGCTGGGTGTGGTGGCTGATGCCTGTAATCCCAACACTTTGGGAGGCTGAGGGGGGCAGATTGCTTGAGCCCAGGAGTTCAAGATCAGTCTGGGTAACATGGTGAAACCCCTTCTCTACAAAAAAATACAAAAATTAGCCAGGTGCGGTGGTATGTGCCTGTAGTCCTAGCTACTTGGGAGACTGAGGTGGGAGGATGCTTGAGCCCAGGAGGTTGAGGTTACAGTGAGCCATGATTGTGCCACTGCACTCCAGCGTGGGTGACAGAGCAAGGCCCTGTCTCAAAAAGAAAAAAGTAAATAATAATGTGTCAGTTTTGATTCATCAGTTGTAACAAATGTACCACACCAATGGAAGATGTTAGCAACAGGAAAAACTGTGTGCAGGGAATAGGGGATGTAAGAACTCTGCATTACGTCCTCAATTTTTCTGTAAACCTAAAACTGTTTCAAAAAATAAAGCACTAATTAAAAAAGAAGGAAAAAATAAAGTGAGCATCAGTTTCTATAATCTACTAGTAATGCCAGCAGTAGTTGTGACTGAATTAACAGATCACATGCTTAGCGGGCAGAAGAGAGGAGACCTCCTCCTCATAGACTGAACAAAGCCCTTTCTGGCAGTTGTGAAATATCAGAACATAAATCTACAGATCAACAGCTGCCTTGTTTATGACGCATTAATAGTTATCACAACAGCCTGACTCTTGATTCTGGAATCTTACTGTTTCCTCAGTGAGCCATGACCCAACCATTGAGTCTTGCTCTACGCATTCAAAGAATGGCAGGGGATCCGGTCCTGTGACAGAACACTTGATAAACGGATGAGACAAACTGGAGTTCAGTCTTCTGACGACTGCCAGGGCTGGCACTGTTTTTTCTTCTGGCACCTACCCCAAGTTCTTGGCATCGATTCTTATTTTTCCTCTCAAGCCAAATGCAAAAAGGACTTAACCTCAACAGACATAGATTGTGGAAGAATGTGCATGCGTTGAAAAGTAATCCAGTAAATTGACAAAGTTAATGAATTTTCAGAGGAATTCATTCAATACCACCCAGTGAGAGTCAGCACTTTGAATATTTCCACAAAGGCAATAGGAAAATGGGAATTTGTTTATTACCTTTGGCTCCTGAAAGAAAACATTGTCCCATACATAGCTTCCATGTCTATTGTTGATTTGCTTAAGCATTTAGAAACATTGAGATTCTTCATTTATAAGTTTATTTACTCATTACTTATAACTATTAATAGTTTTTTCACTGATTACTATGTGAGAGGCACCCTACGCATGAGATTGTTAGTGGAGAGGTTACAATAATATATGTTCTACTGTAGTATCAGAGTATGGGCAGCGGAAGGACCCTTTTTCTTTTTTTCTCCTTATTCC
The DNA here is from genome assembly GCF_000001405.40 of Homo sapiens. NCBI lineage: Eukaryota > Metazoa > Chordata > Mammalia > Primates > Hominidae > Homo > Homo sapiens. Next base: position 69,253,458 of record NC_000002.12, on the reverse strand, counting down.
TGCCTTAATTAGAGAGAAGACAACTCCTTTCAGCCCTTCTATTTCTCTCTCCACTCTTTTCTGGGAGATGAGATCTCTCTGATTGGCAAGATTATAAGAAACTTCCATTCATAAGGCAGTGTTACTAAGGGATACTGTCACTGTTAATTAGAAGCAAGAAAACTTGGCATGCATTTGCTTTTATTTAATCCATTTGGAATTTATTTTTGTATGTAGCAGAGATAGGAATTTCATCTTGTTTTTCCCAACTACTTAGTCGTTTATTAAAGAATTAGTTTTGGAAATGCTATTATTATGATAAACTAAACTTCCATTTATTTACAGGTCTGTTTCTGAAAACTGTTCTATCATCATATATTAACTATAGTTGTCCATTTTCTTTTCTAATTAAAACTTAGAATCAGCATTTGAAAGTAGACATCTTACTAGTTTTTTTTTTAATTGGCACGAGTTGAGTTTGTAGATTGAGAGAGAACTGAATTCTTTTCAATATTAACTCTTTCCATTCAAGAATGTAGTATAGTTCTCCATTAAGAATATTTCATTAAAGTTTTATAGTTGTCTTTCCATAAGTTTTGCACATTTTTTGTTAGGTTTATTTATAGTTAATTTCTGGTTAATTTATACACACACATGCACACATATATATATAATTTTTTCTATTATGAATGAATGAATAACTTGTTTCCTAACTGATCATTGATAGTGTTTTCCATGTACCTGGACAACTCTTATTAGTTCTAATAATTTTTAAGTTGATTCCATGGAATTTTTAGATAGTAAATTATATTCAAATCAGTTTTTTCTTCCTGATAATTATAATTACTTTTTCCTTTCATTTGTTTTATTGCACTGGCTAGGACCAAAGGTGGACAATAACACTGATGGTTGGAATCTTTTTCTTTTTGATTGTAAAGGTAATATTTAAAAATATTTTATGTTAAGTATATTTCCTGTAGGTTCGTGGTAGATACACTTTATCAGGTTAATGATGTTGCTTTTTTCCTCCCTATTGCTAAATTGCTAAGGAAGTTAAATTTTTTAAAAAAACTAATCACACTAAGACATAGTGATAGGATCACTTTTCGTTTTTACTAATGGTCCAAGATTAAACAGAGATAATTCTCTTTTAAGGATCTCATAAAAGCAAATATTGAAGGAGCCTATAAAAACGCCGATCTAAACATCAGAATGCACTGAAAACCAACAGTCACAGAAGTAACATGTAGAGTGGCCAGGGCCTGTTGAGAGTGAGCATTTGCTGAGGTAGCTTTCATGGGGCAAGTGAAAGTGTCTGACAAGTATTGGAGGTGGAATCAAAATCTCCTGGAGCTTTGCAGTCTTATTTCTTGTAGTGATTACATCACTGGGGTCAAATATAACACAGGCACTGACAATGGCCAGAAATGCTCATAAACACCCAATTCTGCCCAGAGTGGGGAAGGCAATCTAGTGTATGGCATCAGAAAGGATTATTTGTGGCAAATGCTTACAATGCCCATTTGAAGTAGGAAAAAGTATTTCTCTTCCTGGAGAGAAGACTGGGACCTACATTACTCCCCTTAGGGATGGGTTTATTCACCTGAGGTTTGAGACCCACCATCTTGGCCACCATTTAGAAGAAGAGGAATTGAACAGAGTCCACCCCAGCCAGGAGAAGCCCCTTCCTGCAATGTCAGATCAATGTGGATGCTTCTGCCTCATCTCATTTATGAACCACACTTTGGGTTTGCATGGAATATTTATCTCCACAGGAGCTTGGCTGGAAACGCAGATTATCATTAATTTCACACAAGTCTTTTACATTTACAGGCGTCCTGTAAATAATGTTAAGAGTAAAACTAAGCAAAAAGACATGGACTCTGTATCCTGCAAAGTTGGGGTGGGATTCACAGGGAAGCGAATGTCACACAGTGCTTGTATTTTAAAAAAATGTGAAGTTAGGGCTGTATAGGGTTTCCTGGCTACTCTTGGGGGTGCACATTTTTGGAAGGGACTCATCATAGGTGGTTGACAGTTCTCTTGTCTTACAACTTCTTTTTCAGAAGAAAGTGAAATGTTTTCTGCACTCAGCCCTCACAACCAGCATTTCTTGTACTTTAAAAATCCTTTGTAAGAATGTAAACTACTTAACTACCCAAAGGAAAATGTATTTTATGAGTTGCATCTATTTTAATGTTTACAAAGAAGTCCCAACTAAAGATGCTGGCTAAAGTACTGAATGTGCACAATTAACTGAATATCTTTTAACAGAATCTTGCTTTCAGCTCTCAAGTGACTCAGAGAAAATTGTGTTAGCTCAGCAATTGCTTTATAAGTACACTGCGAAATGGCACTTAAAACCAAGTAAAGGAGATGCATACTTTCAAACTCCAAAAACTAAAATGTCCCAACTTAAGTAGAGAAGGAAGAATCTTTATAACTTAGTGACTACTTGAATTTTGAGGAAAAAAAGAGAAAGGAATAAAAGATTACAGTGGTGGAATCATAAGGCTTCTAATTTGTTTAGATATGATAACTTGGGATGGGGTGTGGTGATTGAAAAGAACACAATACAATTGTAGTCAGCATAAAAATTACAATACAGTTGTAAAGAGAATAAAAATCATGTTTGGCATACGCCAACTCTATAACCTTATACCAAATATATAGTAACTGTTAAGTGACACCTGGTTTATAATGTATTTAGATGGACAAAGTATTATTCTGATTGTTTTGTATCTAAGTGATACTCCACAAAACAGATTTATCTGAAGACAGATTAGTGAAAAACGGTGGATCTCAAATTCATGTTCACAGTTAGCACCTGATAAATGATCTTATTCCCGTTATTAATGGTTCCTTTGTTCAACTTAATGCATTGGATCATTACTCAGGGTTATTTCAAGCAATTTCATGACAAAGTTGATTGATCATGCAAACAATATGTAGGATTTTAACATTCTTTATACCACACAGAAAACTTTTTTCACAATTCTAGTACTTTTCTAGCTTTATTTGTTACACTTAAATTCAGTTAGAATTTATTTTGGTGTAAGGAGTGAGGTAGGGCTCCAGCTTTTCCTGTTTCTTTTCAAATTTCTAACCCATTATCTCAAAACCATTTACGATTGGGAGTCTGAGGCAGGAGGATCACTTGAGGCCAGGAGTTTGAGACCAGCCTGGGCAACACAGTGAGACCCTATCTCTAAAAATAAACAAACAAAAAATCCACACACACACACACACACACACACACACACACACACACACTAGCCAGGTGTGGTGGCATATGCCCATAGTCCCAGCTACTTGGGAAGGTGAAGCGGGAGAATTGCTTGAGCCTAGGGGTTTGAGGCTGCAGTAAACCATGATTGCATCACTGCACTCCAGCCTGGGTGACAGAGTAAGATCCTGTCTCAAAATAACCCCCAAAACACAATTATTAAAGATATAATTTTAAAATGTGTTCATACCCATACCTATTAAAAAGCAAATACTAATGAAAACTTAGAAAAGACTTGTGGCATGACTTTCTGTTTGTGGATGGTTTTATTCCAATTAAGATGTATTCAAGGCTCAATGAGATCTTACAAAGAAATTCAGGAACTAGAAGGAGATGCTCTTCTACCTACAAAATAAATGGAGGAGCTGAATTAAAACTGCTAGGAGGGATAAAGTGAGTTGTATCAGAAATGCAGAAGCAATACAAAGATTTTGAGATGTACATAGAAAGGTATTTATTGCAGCACTGTCCACAACACTGTCTGGTTCTTGGGTTGCTGCAAATCTCTGGACTCCTTGTAAAATCAATCCTAGTTGCCTTTCTGCTACGTTAGCCAAACACAATCCTAACTGATGCAGTATATTTTTCCTGTGTGTTCTGTTTTCACTTTTTACTTATTTTCTCTTAGCATGGATTACATTTTTAATTTGAAATTTGTTATGAGAAATAAAAAATATTTTGAATGTCTGACAGCTAAGGAAGAAATGACAGTAATCCAGACAGTAGAGAAATTAGTGGAAGGCATGAAATCATTTGAGAAATGTAATTTAATGTATAGCACAGCAACCACTGTATTATGATCAGGATATTGAGAACTTGAATACGTCGCACTTTATAACAAACAGACAAATAACCAGAAAAAAGAGTTGATTTAAGAAATTTATTATTTTTTTTAAAAAAGCAACTTCCAGGGTTGTCATTGTACAGGTTTTGCCCAGTCTCCTATAGCATGGTATTATGATCAGGATATTGAGGACTTGAATACGTTGCACTTTATAACAAACAGACAACCAGAAAAAAGAGTTGATTTAAGAAATTTATTATTTTTTTAAAAAAAGCAACTTCCAGGGTTGTCATTGTACAGGTTTTGCCCAGTCTCCTATAGCATGGTATAGTGATAACTGATTTTTTATAACAATGACTCAGAGGCATTGAAGATCCATAACTATCTTCTGAATTATCACAGAAAGAAGAAAGTTAGAAGAGTTTAATGTTAAGTGTATTAAAAATCATATTCTAATTCTTTTAATTTGGTTATCTGAGTATGATAATATAGGAGAGCTCAGATAACAAGAAAAGGCAATTGGTTAGAACACTCCATTCCCACAGGATGTGCATTAACAGACTTTTTACTGCATATGTCTTTATATAGTTTGCAAACTAATTCAACCATTTTACACAGCATTAATTTTTTTTTTAACTGGGTTGACATTGGGCTGAAACATTTGCTTATCATCTTATAATTATTTTTTCCTGTTCTTTAATGGATTTTACCCCCATCTGACATAGTGTTTGGACTTTAGTGTATGTGACACTTCAAGATCATCTCTGCCCATTCTGATGATAGTTACAATGAGGTTACCCATGGCCAGATATCGAAGACTATTAATTAATCCACCAGCTCTGTTCTCAACTTTGGTAAAAGAGAGATCTTGTGTCTCACTGGAGGGTGCACCAAGCTTCAGGCAAGAAACTGTGAGCTGGCTGTCAACAGAATATGGTTCTTATCAAGGTTCTTATTAATGCTGTGCAAACAAGGGTCTCGTCATTTCAGTAACTATTTGTACATTTATAAAAGCAATACAGTCATGGGAAAAACCAACAAGCACAGCTTGGTAGAATAACCTGCCATGAAATATCATCGGCTTTATAATAATTTACTACAACTGTTCTTTTTATTCACACTGGATAGGAAATGCTTCCATCTAACACATGGAATACGAATATATACAACACAAATTTGGCTTTAATAAAAAAAAAAACAGTTCAAAAGGACAATAACACGGGGGCTGAAAACAATAATTTTGTGCAGTTTCCTGATCATAATCACATGTCTCCTGCCTTTTACAGGGAATGACACAAGTATTGATGGATTTTGTAAACCAGTTAAAACATTTTCCTGCCTGTAATAGCCCACTATGAAGATATCACCTTGTTCATACAGTCTTATAGAAGTTTCTCCTTCTTAACTGTAATTCTAAATAACCGGGGATGACACACTGAGTCGGTTTAAGAACAAATCCTGCTGAGCCTTTTCAAAATCATCATACATTTGCAGTTCCCTATTCCATCAAAATGCTTTGCCGAAACAACATCTTGTAACTGCACTGGGCATATGACTGATGTGCTGAATGGTGCATTTGCACTGATGCTCACCATCTCGTTGCTCAGCAACGTCAGCATCTCGGCTTGAACTTCTGAATGGCCGCGGGAATCACGCGGCAGTGCCATGGGGTGGGTGGACTGTTTTAGACTGCCAGCAGTCAAAACAGTTGTGATGGGCTCAATGTCTCTACACTGTGAGCCTGGGGAACCCATTCTCCTATGGAATGGTTTTCAGGGGTCCAGCAATGTCACTGCAGGTGGCTGAGATATTCTGGCCCCTGCTTATGAGGAACTACATGAAAGAAGAAGCCTAGTGTTCTAAAAATTAGACAATGCGGCAGGGTTGGGGAGAGGCTGGGGGGTTGCTTTCATGAGTCTGGAAATTTCTGGTTTTAGCTCTCTGAGAAGGCTGGGAGACTCTGTTGTAGGCAGCTGTGGGAGAAGGCTAGGGTTGGAGGTACACCTGGAGATGTGTCAGTTTGGTGTTGGCACTGCAGATTCAGCGCCCGTGGTCCCTGACTAAGGCACTCTGCCTAGATCTATTTTCCCCTGACTGTACCTTTTATGCCCCCTGGCTTTCCCATTCTCCCTGGAAACTCCTGTTTGTTTTTGCTTTCTAAGATAGAGATAGCAAGTAGGGTTCATTTCTCTCATCTGACTGTTGGGTTCATCTGACTGTTGAGTGGCGGCTCTTTGGAATTGTAATTTGAGAAGGATTGTGAAGAAATCAGTGGGCTTAATAGGAAATAGTGCTGTGATTGATTAGCAATGTCTGCCATGGCCACAAAAATTGGTATTGATAAAATAAATGCATCCCAGGCCCTTATATCTCTGTTCTAAGTAAAGTGAGTGAATGAAGCTGGCTTGATGTATTTTTGAAGGATCTTTGGAGACCATAGCCCAAGCCACTAAATGTATATTTATTTTATATTCTGCCTTGTTCCAGAAAAGATCTGAGAATTTGGGTGGCTTGGGACAGGAATTTTAGGATTTGTGGAAAGCTAGAGAGAGAGATAATTTTGAATAGGCTGATGCAGGAGGTCCAAGACAATGATCTCTGTTTTTATCCCTGGGTGATGAAGCCCAGTGTTTAGCAAGTGATTATAGGGCTTATTGATTAAACAGATCCAGAAAGACCTGGATAAATGGGGTGAGTCCTAGGCATGGTGGAAATTTCAGGCAGAGCATTTCTGTGTTGCAGATCTGATGTATTTCCCCTTGGTTAACAGCTGAGGTTCTATGTCGAAAAGCCAAAGAGAAGTATATTTGTATACACACACATGCCTTATGGGGGTTAATCAAAGATCCTTATTATGTCAGGACCATTGTCTCTCAGCTCTGCCCAGAAGTCTGTGGTGCATGGCTTTACCAAGAAAAAAAACAAAAAACAAACAAACAAAAAAAACTAGTGATATTGTGTGATAGGTCCTAATGATGGTATTTTGGGAAGATCAACTTATGTTTATCTCTGGAAAACAGGATAAACTTCATACCTCAAGTGATTTAAACTGAAGCCAAACCTTGATTTTTAACATGATTCATTAACAGGTTGCTCTTCGACAATGCCATTGTCTGTTGATTTAGGGTCCATGTCTGGCCAAAGCCAGCCACCTCTAGCTGCTGATGGCCTGTGGGTTTTAGAAACTGGCTGATGCTCCCATGAATACGCCCCTGTCTATTGCACACAACTGATTTCACTTACACATCAACATAGCAACATACCTTTTCCATCAGTAAACACCTGCTCCCCTTCTCACTTGGAAACTGGAAGAATTTGCAAGGAAAAGATGCCATACATTTTTTATGTACCTGCAAATCCCAGAAGAACATCCTTCTGCATACCCGTCTGATGTTGAGTTTCTTACCACACCAGGGACCCCAGCATTTCCAAAGTTGTAGGCAAAGTTTTCCTCTTTCTTGGGTGGTGCACAGGGGTGAAGGTCCTTAGGCTCCTAGGCCAAGGGTCCAAAGTCCAGGGATGGAGGTGGAGTAGAGGCAGGAAGGCAGCATTTTAGAAACCCAGCAATGTATTTCTTATCCAACTCTGCATTTCACCTTCAGATAAATGATTTTCTTACTGGTCTCCATGAGACATAATCCTGTTGAGAGCATCTTGCAGTTTCACTGTCTCTGGAACCTTCTAGAGGTGATAGATGGCTGGCTATAAATCTGACTGTAGTTGCCTCATCATTTGTTTTCTGGCAATTTAAAATATCTGTTTCTTTCAGCTGATCATGATTGTTGGTATACTGGCATTGCCAACCAATTTTTAGAATGTGTGAAGGTCAGTGGGCTTTATCACCACTCCTCTTCTCTAACTGGAAAGACTTGTTCTAACATCTCCTGAAGTTTCTGAGAGAGCCCAGAGCAGGAACTTTGGGCTCTAGACAGAAGGCCTTGGAGGAGGGCGGGAGGGAGGAGGTGCCCTGTTGGGAGGTGGAGCCTGGGGAGGAGGGGGAAGGGTGGAAGGTGGGGACGGGATGGGAGGGGTAGGGGCGCTGGGGGGCGGGGGAGGGCAGTGGGGCGCAGGAGGTGGGGGAGTGTAGATGGGGGCAGGAGGCGGCGAGGAGGTGTGGTAGGCGTTGTTGAGTGGGTACTTGGCTGGCTGGTTGTTCTTGACCCTGGTGAAGTTGATGCAGCGCCCCTAGAAAAGAATTGGAGAGAAGGAAACGTGAGCGGACGGCCTCACATCAGGGCCTGTGGTGCTGTGGTGGGCGGCTTGCAAGCAATATGTGGAAAGCTGGCCCCTGTTGGTGACAACTCTCTAGTGGCACATAGTAGAACTTGAGGACAAGTGAGCTCCCCACTTCCTTTTCCTGGACTGTGTTGCAAAACTGTTAAAATTCATCTTTTCCTGGAGTCTAACTCTCTCAAGTGGGAGAAAGGGAATGAGACTGACCTTAACTGGGTGCTGTGTACAGAGGTCATTAAACTGAATCTCCTCAACAGCCCTGCTAACCGGGTATTATTAGCTGTTCCACTGCACAGATGAGGAAGCAGAGGTTCAGAAAAGCGGAGTTACTTTTTCAAGGCCACACAACTAGGAAGAGATGGGGTTGGTGATTCTAACCCAAAATAGACTCCAGAATTATTCTTCCTGCTGCTACTTTGCCTTCTGGAAGGGATCCTCATATTTCATAAACAAAAGTAATTTATTTTGATTAGTTCAGTTACATGCCTGGAAATGGCAGAAGGTTAACACCACGAGCTTCTCCTATATTGTAATTCAAGGATGTAGCTAGATTCTGTGATTGGAGTTGTCATGGAGGCCCTGATGCATTTACCTCGTCTGTGCCCCCTCAAACACTTGTTCCCGGTAATGAATGAAGGAGGCAGCTATCTCTACTGATGTGATCAATACAGCTTCCTCATCCACGCCTTGCCTTCTCCAAAGTGCTAGTAAATAATAAACAGTTTGTCCTGCCCTTGTTCTGGCTGTGGGAATCCCTCTTCTACACGCGGCTGCACCTGTGCAGGTAGCCTTAGTTGTTGTCACAGGAACTGACAACCTGTGTACCTTAAGAAATACAACCTGGGGACATTCTATTGCCAAGCAGGCATCTGCCCTGAATTCTGCTTTTCTCCTACCCTTCTTGGGTACTCAACTGAACAATGCAGAGAAGACCCTGGAACCCCTTAAAGCAGCCTCCTGAAAGTCAGCGTCCAAAGCCAGCCTTAAGTAGCCCTGTCTCCCCTATAGTATCTGCTCTGCTCTCCAGAGTCACAGGCATGCTTTCTCTGTCCCCCAGTAGATACCCACTAGTCTCATCTGGTACTCAGGAACTTCTGTGCAACACTCAGCTCTGCAACGGAGGGGAGACAGGGGTTCTCCTGCTCACCATGTTCCATGCTGGCGTGAGCTCTCTTCGCTTGGCCACTTGCCTGGGTGGGTACCCACCCCTCTGAGGGCTCCTGGCCTCCCTCACTTCCCATGCCTGTGGGGTATCTTATTGTTCTCTCTCTGGCATGTCTGGATGCCTACAGAATTGCTCCCCACAGCGGCTGAGGTGGGGTTGCTCCTCTCTGAGGCTGCCCTCTATGCTGGGCCTGGGGCTGGGGTGTGGAATTGTTCCTGGCCACATGCTCCAGGATGGAAGTTATCCTGTGGTGTCCAGCCTGAACGAGATATGTCCAGAGAGCACAGAGTTTCCCTTTCCAGGCCTTTTAGGGATGAGCTTGAATGAGAATGAAGAGGGTGAGGTGTGGAATTTGGGGAACAATTGCTGCTTAAATTAGCTCTAGGACAAGAGGAAAATGAGAGTGTGCTATTAGAGACTTGGCTCAGGATGGGCCACAGAAGGGACAAGCCACATGCTGAGCAAACCTTCCCTCCTTGTGCACAGCCCTGTGCATCCTTCAAGTCATAAATCATGTCCCTTTTCCCCCAAACATTTCCCCCACAGTGACTCCAGCCTCCACTTACCCTTTGCTTCCTTGAGTTCTCTAGTTACAGCCTACACCACACATTGCAGCCTGCATACTACAGTTGTTTCATCTGTAAATGCCTTGCCTCCCTGGCCAGACAAGAAACTTCTGGAAGGCTGCAGCCTTGTTTTGTGCTTTGCTGCTCCACAACTCACAGCCTCACAGGGTGTTCTGCATGGTACAGGGACTTTTGGTAAAAACGGAGTTGTTTGAGCCACTCAGGAAAAGTAGGGGGTGGGAAACCTTAGCAATAAAGTGAAAATTAATTCCTAGGACATAGCATTAGTCAGAGGGCATCTTGGTGAGGAAGGGCCAAACTTGATGGGACTGCAATTGGTTTAGGAGTTGCAATGCTATGTTTAGATGCCAGCACCCCTGTTTCTCTGAGCTTGCATTTCATGTGATTAAACCAGGTGCTAAGCCGGGGAGGCTGTGACTGGGGTTCCACCCACTGCAGAAAGAATTTACCCCCTCCTCGCTGCACTGCCCAGAGCTCCCGGGTTTATGTCCAGCCTTTCAGGCATGATGCCGATTTTGTAACCCAGTACTGTACATTCCCGGCTGTTCAAGCTGCCCTCTTTTATAGCTTTATAAATCTAAGCCTTGGTTACAGTTTATTTATGATTCTGGATAAAGCTTTCCTTTAAGATGTGAGGGCCCTAATGATTACCATCTGTGATGAATTCCCATGACGACAATTTAGAGCTGGGATTTACTGTGCTATCTGTTCTGCCCTTCGTTCCTAGACATGCAAAGTCAGACAGAGAGGCTCAAGAGATTCATGTCCTTGAAAGATGAAGGGAAACCCTCATCCTGGGGAAGGAGCTGCTGGTGCCTGGGGTTGAGTGCTCATCTGGCTTCAGATGTCTTCTAGAGCTGGCCACCAGGCTGGCCGAGAGGGGAGGCTAATTAATTAATGAATCCGGAAGCTCATGTACTTATTCTCTTCAATTGAAATAAGTCACTCTACTGTTTTTACCAGAGGCTGTTTTGTCCAGAGACAAAATCGGGAGCTCCCAGCCTTCTTCTGCCAATATCTCTGTTCATAATCCATGTTAGGATTCCCAGGGGTTTTCAAAAAAGTTGAAAGCATCCACAGACTAAAAGATGGTCTCTCACATCTGTCCCCTGAAGATGGGATGAAAGAGGGCAGTGGGGGCTGTGGGGGAGTGAGGTGGGGAGGAAGACCTGAGGTCAGCACTTCCAGCTGCCGCCGTGGTGTCTTGGCCAGAGCAGCAGAGGGATGGAGATGGGGTGGGGTAAAATGGTGATGGTGGAGGCAAAGAGTCCTCCTTCCTCTGGTCAGTAACACCCTAGGGGTACGCCCATGGGTCACCTAATCCAGAGCATTGTGCTGTGGTTCATTATAGACCCTCCCCTCACTCCCCACCACCTGGTCCTTTAGAGCTGAGCACAAAAGCCCAGAGCTCTCATCGAGCAGCCAGAGGGGAGGGGCAAGCTCAGAGCTTCTGCGTGGCCCCCACTGTGGGACACCCCACAGTGTGATGTGAAGTGGGGGTAATCATACCGCCTGTCACTTACAGGTATTAGGAGGACTCCCTTAATCAGTGTTATGAAGGGCTTGGAACAGTGCCTGGCGCATTGTGTTTAGTAGTCTAATGCTGTCTCTCTGCAGGTGGGGATGCGCAGACACAATCAGACCCTGTCTGTGGTGGAAAGGCCAGTTGGAGGTGGTATCAGGTGTTCCAACTCCTAGTTTAGTGTCTTCTGAGTGAGCTGCAGACTAGAGCTTCTATACTCCACATCTGGCTTCTATAATACAACTGGTAAATAGGAAAAAATGTAGCAAAATTGTAGGGAAAAACAAAGCAGCCCCTAGAGCCTGCACTCTTATGTTTGTTCTCTCCTCCTGTTGCCACCAAGTCCTGTAACTTATTTCTTATAGGACCTCCCACAGTGCACTGCACACAATTTGACTGATGTTGAATTTATCTTCCTGAAAAAAGGTGCAGACTCGGCATCAATAAATCCCTGGGGTAATATACAGTAAGACCCACAGTCTTTGTAAGAGGGGTGTGGTTACAATAAGTTCTTAAAACCTGGAGTCAGAGGTGCCAGCATAAACACGGTAACATTTAGACCATATAATTGGCCTAAAGATCAGTTTACACAACATCGTTTTTTGCTTGCAAGAGGATAATAGAAAGGCCAGATGTTCTCACCGTCATGTAGGCCAGCAAATCTGCACCAGTGTTTGGTTAAAAGGTTGCTAGGACGATTGGAACTCTCGCTTCATAACACTGGTCTTTGTGACCCAGTTTTATTTTCCACAGTATTGGTTTTGGGTGGTTTGATTCCGATCCAAGATTTGGCTTTGACCTCAGTTTACCTCAGCATCCTCATTTACAGGAATGAATGCCAATTATTTTCACACATTAGCAAAAATTTCTCAGATTAAATTCTAAGAAGAAAATGCAACAATATCTCCAGCTAAATGAAGGCTTAGGATGCCAGCTGGCCTTCCTCCTAGGCTTGAAAGTGCCATTTTGATTTGGGTGTATCTAATGGTGGTGGGAGGACTATTTGAAACGTCCAGGTACATTAGTGTCTTTACTTATCATCAAAACTCTGTCAGTTATGTATCAGTATTTTCATTGTACAGAAAAAAAACTAAAGTCTCACACCTATTTAAATAACTTGCTCGAGACTACACAGCCAGTAAGTGGCAGAGTGGGATTAAAACCCAGCTCTGTTTGCCTCAGGAACTCATCCTCTTTATACTGTATTCCTGAATATAGACTAAAAGTGCAAATGATTTCTTGAAAGACTTGTAGATAGCATCACACAGTGTAGCACTTGACCACAATCCAGCAGCTCTTGACATAGTCAAACGATTGTTCCCGAACCTAAGTCTGGTCAATTCACTCTCCAGCTCAAAATTCTTCAGTGATTCCCCATCACCTTTAAAATAAAAGCCAAACACCTCCACTGGCATACACAGCCCTTTGGGATCTGGTGCGTGCTTATGGCTTTCAATTGATGTCTTACTCTTTTCTTGCAAGATGTCCAGCTTGGTCCACCCTATGCCCTCCACAAATATTTGTTCAATGAGGAATATAATTTGCCATGTGGAACCCTACTCTAAATGTTTCCCATTAGAAACATTGCTCCTTAACTGGTTGGTGAGCACCTCTGAGGCACCCTCAAGGGCTTCTCCTGTGGAGCCTAGTGTTGCTCTAAAGAGCCCAACATTCAAGTTGGCACTCAACAAGTACTGCTCACACACCGGAGCTCCGAGGTGCAGCAAGATGTCTTAGAAAGCTCTGATTTTTCCCTGCAGGTTTAAGCTCTCCAAAGGTCAAGGATCCAGGAACACAGCTATGAGTTTAGGGCTTCTCAGTCACCTCCCCATGGTCTCCTTGGACATCTCCTAGGTTCTTGGAGAAAGGATAGCAAGAATCCTATGTACTTCCCTTGGCTTCCACACTTGAAAGGTTAATGTTACCTCTAAAAATACTTTTTGGGTTACCTTCGATTGCTTTATTAAAGGAAATTGTTCTCAACAAAAAGCTTTGCCTAAATTGGAGGTGACATATTCTGAAATGGTTATGATGAAATGGTCAGGATGAAAGATCTTGTTGATCAGGTTCTGGATTTCCTTGGGTTTGAACTCCAGGCATTGATGGTCTGAGGCATTTAGAGACAGGACACTGGTGCTGGGGGCTGTGGTCTGCCTTGTGGGTTGCAGTCAGGAGGCAGAGTTCTACCTCTAGTTCTGCCACTAACATACTCACTGTGAAACCTGGGGCAAGTCACTTTCTCTCTATGGGCTTCGGTTTCTTCATCTGTCCAATTAAGTTGTACCGGCTAGATGACGTTCAAGGGCCTTTCAGCCCTAATATTCTATAATTCCATCAACATTTTTTTTTTGAGATGGAGTCTCACTCTGTGAGAGTGATCTCGGCTCACTACAACCTCTGCCTCCTGGGTTCAAGCGATTCTTCTGCCTCAGCCTCCCAAGTAGCTGGAATTACAGGCGTGTGCCACCACACCTGGCTAATTTTTTTTGTATTTTTAGTAGAGACGGGGTTTCGCTATGTTGGCCAGGCTGGTCTTGAACACCTGACCTCAGGTGATCCGCCAGCCTTGGCCTCCCAAAGTGCTGGGATTATAGGTGTGAGCCACCGCACCTGGCCTCCATCAAAATTTGAATTCCTTTGAAACCTTTTCCTTGGATAATTTAATCTGAATTCTTTTGGGGCAGCCAGTTTGCACATTTCTTTATACTAATTAGTTTGGCTAATGCTTTGTATTGCATATTTTTCTGGTTGGTCATTAGATTTTTAAAAATATTAATAAATTGAAACTTCAAAATTGGAGGTCTGCCTTCTGCTTTTCTATTATTGTGGTAAGAGTTTGAGCTTGCCTGCAACTTCTGAATTTGGGTTTGTGGGATGACAGGGAGATGTGAGAAGAGGTGTGGGCCGATTGTGTGCAAAAGACTTGCCAGTGGTGAGCTCATGTGTGCTGTGTTATGAGACATCTGTTTGGGCATCAGGCACGCTCCGTGGAGAGGGAGCTGGACTTTGGAGATGGTTAAAAATATGCTATGGCTTCCACAGATTAAACCAAATAGTTTCCTATGAACAGAGGTCATCTAAGGAAAATGGATTCCACAGGAAGAACACTAAAATAATTAGATCGTAAAAGTATAACATACATGCCAAGTTTCCTCTGACAAATACCTTTTCTCTCTGGCCTAGTTCTCCCATTGATTACCTTGTTTGGAGGGCTGTAGGTATTTCTCAAGTTACTAATGAATTAGGTTTCCCAAGTCAGTTGTTTGGAATTATGAGCATAGTTTCTAACTTAAATCATTCTTGTAAACTCAGGCTAGACCACAAAACCTCATCGACATATTGAAGGCAATTGACATAATCCTGCCGAAGGTGGTGCTCTACTGATGAATTAAACACATCAACAATGAATGGATGGCTGGATTGGATGACTTAATAGTTAGCCTTCTACACTATGATTCTCTTCATTTGTTAATTTATTTATGCATTTATCCTTTTGACAAATGGGTTTTAAGTGCCGGCTATGTCCTCAAAGGTGCTGCAGACAGTATTGAGCAAATGTTGAGGTCCCTGTCCTCATGAAGAATATAGTCTAGAGGTGAAGACAGACAGTAGTTAAATGGACCCCAGCAACCACATTTGTGATCTGTGACCCTGAGCTTGGCCACAGTTGATTGGACCAGTTGATTGGACAACTATGCTGAGCTAGACCAATCAGATTCTCTCTCCTGCGAATTTGGAATGACCACTGAGTGACAGGTAGTTAGTTAGTCAGGACTGATCATTTGAATAGAGGGAATGTAAAGTGGGAAGCTGGGGATGAGGGAGCAGCCATCTTCTGCCACAGTCAGGGAGAAGCAGAGAAAGCTCTGATTCTGTTTCATAAAGATCCTTCATACTCATTCATTCTGCCCTGCCCTCATTGTTGCTCATCTTCTAACACTTGGCCACCAAGTAAACCAGTCTTCCTGCTTTCAGCCTTTCCCTTTCACTTTGATATTTTGGCTTTCCATGTAAAATTCATACACGTGTGCACACACACACATATATATAAATAAAAATGTGCATATACATACATATATATGCATGTCTACATATGTATAGATAGAGGTATGTATAAAATGTATGTATACCTGTATATATAAAAATGTGTAGATACACAGATGCATTCAAAGTTATCTTTCTGGCCAGGTGAGGTGGCTCATGCCTGTAATCTCAGCACTTTAGGAGGCCAACGCAGGTGGATCACTTTAGCCCAGGAGTTAGAGACCAGCCTGGCAACACAGTGAGACCCCGTATCTACAAAAAATAAAAAAAATTAGCCTGATGTGTGTGCCTTTAGCCCTAGCTACTTGGGAGGCTGAGGCAGAAGGATGCCCAAGAGTTTGAGGCTGCAATGGGCTATCATGGCACTGCTGCAGTGCATTCCAGCCTGGGCAACAGAGTGAGACCCTGTCTTGCTCCTTCCCCTTCCCCAAAGCTGGAGCCACGGGCAAAGAGAAGGGTGTGTTGTGAGTGGTGATGCTCTGATCCTTCTCGGCTCCCTTTTCTCCACTTAAAACTTGCCCTGCCTATAAATCTCATAATAGCCTGCCTTTTATGTGCTGTTCATGGAAAGGGATCCAAGGTCAACTCTTTTAATTGATTCATTTTGCTGACACACATACTGGCACGTTCTCCATAATAATGTCTTTGGATGCCAGAACTGAGGGTAAGATGAAAGCACACAGGAAATATTTGGTAACACGAGGAAACTAGAAAAATGAAGGAAAGGGTAGAAATAAAAATGGCATCTCTTTAGTGGGACATGTGTAAATACAAGGTCTGTCAAGAATTAATGTTGAGATATGACTTATTTAATGATAAAATCCCCTTTTTCCATCTGATTACACAGTTCTTTGTTGAAAATTTGAAAAATACACAAAAAAAGGAAGGGAGAAGGGAATGTTAAATTATAGCATTCAGAATTAATATTTTGTGCTTATCTTTACAGAACACAGACACACACCCAGTGGTGGATTTATTTACAAAAATGGGATCATCCTGTATGAAAGTTTTAAAGTAGTTTACTGTGACCATTTCTCCCCTGTCATTTTCAATGGTTGCATAATCTTCTATCACATGGAAGCACCAAATGCAGTTAAGAATTTCTTTGTTGTTGGGTATTAAGAGTGTATCTAATTTGTCTCTATTATAAACAGTGCTGTGATAAAACTATTTATCCATAAATATTTTCATACATCTGTCAATTGTTTTAGAACAAATTGTTTGAGGTAGAATTTCTGGGTCAAAGTTTATGCACATTTTAACAGTTTTTGATAATATATTGTCAAACTGTCTTCTAGAAAAAGTGATATTCATTCATAGTTCCAATACTATTTTATGAGAATTTCTATTTCCCTACACTTTCAATTACAGAGTTTTAGAATTAAAAATTTTTGCCAATTTGACTATCTGAAGGAATTGTATTATTGTTTCCCTGTTCACTGTCTTATTATTTGTGAGATGAAAGTTTTTAAAATGTGTGTGTATATATGTAAAGATATATGTGTGTATACATATACATATATACACTCACACATACACACATATATATACACAAACTCACATATATATACACACACACACTACATATGATTTGTCTGCTCATATACTTTGCCCACTTTTACTGAGGTTTTGATCTTTTTTTATTGATCTTTTTTACTGATTTGTAAGAGCTCTTTATAGAGTAATGATGAAACTGGTTGATAGGGTTAGGTTTTGTGTCCCCACCCAAATCTCATCTTGAATTGTAATCCCCACGTGTCGAGAAAGAGAAGTGATTGGGTTATGGGTGCAGTTTTCCCCATGCTGTTCTCATGATAGTGAATATGTTTCATGAGAGCTGATGGTTTTATAAAGGGCAGTTCCCCTGTGCTCGCTCACATGCTTTCTCACCTGTCGCCATGTAAGATATATTTGCTTCCCCTTCTGCCATGATTGTAAATTTCCTGAGGCCTCCCCAGCCATACAGAACTGTGAGTCAATTAAACCTCTTTTCTTTATAAATTATCTGGTCTTGGGTAGTTCTTTATAGCAGTATGAGAGCAGACTAATACACTGGTTATGTAAGCTATTTTTTTTTTTTTTTTGGTTTGTGATTTTTAAAATTTTACTGATGGTATTTTTTGATGTACAGAAGTTAAATAAGTTTATGTGGGTAGCCAATTATATCAATCCATAGAGTCTATTCTTTTTTTTTTTTTTTTTTTTTTGAGACGGGGTTTCACTCTGTGACCCAGGTTGGAGTGCAGTGGTGTGATCTCAGCTCACTGCAACCTCTGCCTCCTGGGTTCAAGTGATCCTCCCACCTCAGCCTCCCAAGTAGCTGGGACTACAGGAATGCACCACCACACCTGGCTAATTGTTTTGTATATTTGGTAGAGACAGGGTTTCACCATGTTGCCCAGGCTGGTCTCAAACTCCTGAGCTCAGATGGTCTACCAGCCTTGGTCTCCCAAAGTGCTGGGATTTACAGGCGTGAACCACTGCCCCTGGCCCATAGAGTCTATTTTTTCATATCCCTTAGAAAGGCCTTCATCAGGGCTGGGCACGGTGGCTCATGCCTGTAATCCTAGCACTTTGGGAGGCCAAGATGGGCAGATTACCTGAAGTCGGGAGTTTGAGACCAGCCTGACCAACATGGAGAAACCCTGTCTCTACTAAAAATACAAAATTAGCTGGGCGTGGTGGCACATGCCTGTAATCCCAACTACTTAGGAGGCTGAGGCAGGAGAATCGCTTGAACCCAGGAGGTGGAGGTTGCGGTGAGCCAAGATTGTGCCATTGCACTCCAGCCTGGGCAACAAGAGTGAAACTCCGTCTCAAAAAAAAAAAAAAAAAAAAAAAGCTTTCATCATTCTTTTTTTTTTTTTTTAGTTATGTTATAGTTTCACTTTTCTATGTTTATAGAATGTTTATAGAATGTGGACTAAAGAGCCAAACTACTAGGATTCAAGAGATCTGGTTCTGCAACTTACTGTGTTATCTTGGACAAATTAATTAACTTCTGTTTTCTTTTCTGTAAAATGGGTTAAATAATTGATCCTAGCTCATGAGATTATTGTAAGGATTAATGAAAATAATAAATTTTTTAAATTTTTGAGACGGAGTTTTGCTCTTGTTGCCCAGGCTGGAGTGCAATGGTGCAATCTCAGCTCACTGTAATCTCTGTCTCCCAGGTTCAAGCGATTCTCCTGCTTCAGCCTCCCAAGTAGCTGGGATTACAGGAGTGCACCACCTGGCCAATTTTGTATTTTTAGTAGAGATGGGTTTTCACCACGTTGGTCAGGCTGGTCTCGAACTCCTGACCTCAGGAGTCCTTGGCCTCCCAAAGTGCTGGGATTACAGGCATAAGTCACTGTGCCCAGACTATAAATAACTTTGAATGGTGCCTGACATATAAAATTACCCAGTAAATGTTAACTATTATCATCTGGAATATATTTTGCTATGAGGTGTGAGGTGCAAGTTCAAATTTATTTCATCTTTTTCTAAATCAGCCAATTGTGCTAACTTAGAAATACCATTTGTTAAATAATCTACCACCTTCCAACTAATTTAATGCCAGCCTTATATGGCAGATTCTCACTTGTTCTTTCATTTGTGTTTTCAGATCTCTGTTCCACTTCTCTGATGTGTCTCTCTATATCTGTAGCAGCAGTTTCCACTGTTATAGTTCCACAACATATTGTAATATTGATCTTATAAGTCTATCTTTATTATTTTTCAAAATTATCTGCACTATTCTCATCTGATTGTTCTTCCAAACAATAACTTAGAATAATGTAATTCATAAATTAAGTTGGAGAAAATGGCCTTTTATATTTTTATGTTTTCTCATCCATCAATAGCACATTCCAAATTTGTGATTTTCGAATGTAAGTTCCAGCCTTCTTTTAAACATTTATTCCTAGATTTATTTTATTGTTGCTATTGTAAAGTTTCTTTTCTCTATTTTAGCATCCTACTCTTAGTATATTTATTTTGTATTTAAATATTTTACTGAATTCTCTTACAGTATTTCTGTTGATATAATTTAATATTTTCCATTTCTAATATTTACTTATTATTACATTTTCTTGTTTTATTGCATTGATTAGAAGTGATGTCAGGTGTCCTTATCTTATTCTTGTCTTTAGTGGGAATACCTTCAGTATTTCATAATAGTTTAGATATCCTTACTTCTGTTAAAAATATACTTTAATTCCAGTTTAAGTGTTTAAAAAAATTTAAGCAAATATCAAACACCTTTTTGATATAAAGTAAGATAACCCTATTGATAGATATTTTTATTAATGTTAAGGAAATAATTTCCTATTCACAGTTGATAGTTTCAAAAAGTAATATTTTAAATTCTATCAGAATCTTTTTGATATCAAGATCATTATATTTTTCCTATATTTTCACCTACTGATATATATTTTATAAATTTTTTTCTAATAAAAATTATCTGCACATTTCTGAAACAAACTTTTGAAAAGTTCTGAAATTAATTCTCTTTGATTTAGGATTTTTGCACCCAAATTCACAGGTGAATTTGGCCATGTTTCTTTTGTTGTGAGCTACTTTTCATCAAGATTATGTTAACTTCACAAAACAATTTGGGAGGATTTTCATCTTTTTATATGTTCTGTATTTCTGAAATAGCATAAGAATTACTTGTCGTATAACAAGTACACAAGCATGAGATAATTCTCTCAAAAATTTTCTAGACATGCTGTTATTTAAAAGTATAGTTCTTTGATGCCTTTAAAAATTTTTGCCACAGATATTGATTTATTCAGGTTTTGTACTTTTTTTGAGTCAATTTCTGTAATTTATCCTTTCTTAGAAAATAATTCATCAAGATTTTAGAAGCATTTGCATAGATTTGTACTTTGTTCACAGGGCATTCTTACAGGTAAACAAATCTCCTTCGTTGTGATAGTCCTTTTGTCTTTCTTAATAATTACATATTTTCATGTTCTAACCTTCCTTTTTGGATTTGTCTTTCAAAGATTCATCGATGATACTGGTAGTTCCAAAGAAATTCTTAAAGACTTATTTCTTGCTTCTACTGATTTTGCTTTGTTTTCATTAATTTGTTTTTTATTCATAGATTCCGTGTTTCTGCTGTCTGTAGATTTGTTTCATATTATTTTCTAAGTTTTACCTAATTCTTATCTCATTTGTTTTCATTTTTTCTTGTTTAATAATGAAAGAATTTAAGGCTATGATGTTTCCAAATCCCACAAGTTTTTATTGAGATGTTCCAATTGTCATTATTTTCTAGGATCCCAGTTAATTGCAGTTTTGATTTCCTCTTGGACTGAATAGTAATTTATAAGACTGCTTTTAAAACTTCAAAGTGCTTTTTTTTTTTTTTTGGAGACAAGCTCTCGGTCTGTCGCCTAGGCTGGAGTGCAGTGGTGTCTAAGTGCTTTTTTGAAGCAAGAGTTTAATCCCTTATTGCTAAATTGTAGATTTTTATTTTTATTTTTGGTGGTATATGTGGACTCTAAAAATTATATGTTCTCTCTTTTTTCAGGTTTTCTTTGTGGCCTAAGTTATAGTTGATTTTTACAAGTTAAGAAAATAATATGAATTATTTATTTGAAGGGTGCTGTTAAATATCCATTAATCATTTTTTGATTCGATTTAATTAAAGCCTCTATATCTTTTATTTACTTTTTCATCTGCTTGCTTTATTGAAGTCCAAGGGTGGTTGTGAGTTTATTAAGTTACTTTTCTCCAACGTTTTACACAATTATATTTGCACAAACTTTGCTCTTTAATCACTGGGCCACCCAAGAGTAGCACAGAGGGTGCTCTTTCAGGGCTCTCTGGGCAGAAGGAAAATCTTCCATCCCAAATAATTCTTGCTTCCTGTTTGTGGTGGTGGTAGCTTATCTGCAAAGGTGGCTGCCATCTTTTCCCCCTGTAGTACACATGTGCTGTGGCGAGGAGGGGTCTATGCCTCTACTCCCTTGAATCTCGGTTGGCTGTGATTGTTTTGAATATAATGAAAGTGATGTGCTAGCTTTGAGCCTGCCTCTGAGGCCTGACAGTTTCTGCTTCCTGTTTTTGGTGCCCTGAGCCTCCATGTAAGAAATCCTGGCTGGCCTACTGCAGGGAGGCCTGTTGAGGTACAATGAAGGCGGTCAAAGGAGTGAAGAAGCCCTCTGGGATGTCCAATCAACCTTCCAGTGATTCCAGCCCCAGCCGCCATCTGACTGCAGCTTCATGAGAGACTCTAAATGAGAACTATCCAACTGAGCCCAATCGACCCAAAAAATGTGAGGAAAAATAGCAAATTATAGTTTAAGTCATTAGGTTTTTGGATGGTTTGTTATGGAATAATACTGAAACAAGAAGCAACTCATCTCTTTGCCTAGTGGGGTCATTCATGGTGTGTGGAAGCTGAGTATGAGTTGTAGGTTTCCCTTTTTTTTTCTGGACTCTGAACTTGGCACCCTTCCTAAAGTTGCTGCGAAGGATCCCGATCTGTGCTTTAGTCATTGCCTGATGGACTAGGACTTTATGCCACTGGAACCCAAGGTCCCCAGGAGAAAGATGGGATAACTGGATGACAGAAAGATATAACCCCAAAGGTAACCATCACACATTTCCTTTTCTGTCCTCTGGATATTATCCTGCAGTGTTCATTTTGAAATGTAGGTTATAGATTAGATAAAGAAAATGTGGTACATATACACCATGGAATACTATGCAGCCATAAAAAAGAATGAGATCATGTCTTTTGCAGGAACATGGATGGAGCTGGAGGCCATTATCCTTAGCAAACTAAAGCAGGAACAGAAAACCAAATACTGCATGTTCTCACTTACAAGTGGGAGCTAAATAATAAGAACTTATGAACACAAAGACAGAAACAACAGACACTGGAGTCTACGTGAGTGGGGAAGGTAGGAGGAGGGAGAGGAGCAAAAGAGATAACTATTGGGTACTGGGCTTAATACCTGGGTGATGAAATAATCTGTACAACAAGCCCCCATGACACATGTTTACCTATGTAACAAACCTTCACATGTACCCCCAAACCTAAAATAAAAGTTAAAAGAAATATAGATTGTTATGTTGGTGAGAAAGGGCTGAACTCAGGACTGGGAAAAATGTTGCAATCTGGAAAGGGGTTTTTGCCTATTTACACACTTGTGCATGCTTACTTGTGTAAGCTGAGCCTATGACATCCTATCACCTTCTCTCACGCTGCCAGTGGGTAGCTCAAGGTTGAAAAGTCTCTCCCGATTCTGAAGTCAGGCTACATACATATACTCAAATTGCCATTTTGACTTGAAAATCTTAAAAAATATTAATAAATACTTGGACACAGAGGAAACACAGTAAGATAAAGTAGCCGTGCCATCAAAATAGGGATGAACAAACTCTGTCCTAAGGCTATATGAAATGCTAACTCTCCATGTCTACCCTACGCGTAAAGTTACAACTACTTGCCATACAAATGAATGAAACTGTAAGGCCAAGTGGTAAAGGACTCACTCTGATGGCCCCTGAGGAAGGTCGATAAACCATTGTAGCTAAAAAAGGCAAAAATATACTAGATGACATAAGGAAATAAAACCTCCTTGTCTGATGCTTAAATCCCTTCTTTAAATCTCATAGCACTATATAAAATCATGGCATGTTTTGTTTGCACCTGTTTAGTTCTGACAAATTTCAAAAAATAAAGACAAAATAGGGTTGGAGAAAGGAGATTTAGGAAAAGTGATCAGGTGGCCAAAGTGCTGTCACTAAACAGGGACTGGCTCTGAGAATTCAAACCTTTCAAAGGGGCAAGACAAAGAATTATGCAGAGATACCCTGGGTAGTATACTTTAGAGGTGGTAGAGAAAGTTGAAAACATTAAGAGGAAGCAAATCATGCTGAGTGGTGACCCAGTGTGGCACATCCTAAATATTGTTTCTTAACTTTGCTCTTCTTAAAACCAGCCATTGGTACTGACCATCATCTCTTCATCAATGGCATCAAGTCCAATGTACACTCCTGGGTCCTGCCAAGCAGTGTAGCAATTACTTCTCCAAAGAGCCTGGTTTTAATCAACATTTTGGATGGGTCTCACTAATACTTTAGATTTAATGCACTTTTCTAAGATTAAAAAAAAAAAAAAAACCACCATGGCATGGTCATGCTGAGTGAGTGAAAGTCTGACCCAGGATGAACTAATATTATTTAGAGTCTTCCTTCTTGCCCTTTCTGTCTCACCTGTTAAGAATCTTGAGGATATTTTTCCTGTCCCCAGTTAAATGACTCTAACTACTTAGAACGACAATTAGTATAGTCTTTCAATTTATTATTTTATTTATGTTGAGGTATTTGCTTTAAATATTGGTGCCAGAAGATAAACCGACTAAGATTTTTTGGTCAAGAGCACTATTTAGCTTGGATGTGAAAATGTAAAAATTACTGATTCATCTGGTGCACAGCGCTGATATCATCCCGCTCCATATATACAAGCTCATGGATGAAGGTTTGTTTTCTTCTTTTGCACCAATCGAGGAATGCCATCTTCAGGATGAGTTCTTTTCCTATGCCAGTAGCTGTCAACACCTTTTCCCCAAAATGGAATATTAATTTTTTTAAAAAAGAACAAGTTTGCTTCTGTGCTTCCTGTATTGTTGCCAGTGAGTGGCACTGTTATGGACCGAATGTGTGTGTCTCCCCAAATCCATGTGTTGAAGCCTCAGCCTCCAGTGGGATAGTATTTGAGGGTGGGGTCTTTGGGAGGAACTTAGGGTTGGATGAGGTCATGAGGGTGCCTCCCTCATGATGGGGTTGGTCCCCTTAGAAGAAGAGTTCCCACAGGGCTTGTTTTCATTCTACTCACACATGCACCAAGAAATGGCTATGTGAGCACACAGCCTGGAAGAGGGGCCTCACCAGAACCTGATCACACTGGCACCCTGATCTCAGACCTCCAGTCTCCAGTACTGTGAGAAAATAAATTTCTGTTGTTTAAGGCCCACAGTCCATAGTATTTTGTTATGGCAGCCTGAGCACACTAAGAGAAGCATCCTAAATGGGTAGGTGTCTGCTAGGTTCTCAGCACTTCACACATGCACCTTTTTCCTATCCCACAACATTGTCACACTGGCCAAGCCCCCTACTCATATGTATTCATTTGAGGGACAAGTTGTTTGTTATGGAGTGAAAAGTTTCATACTAATCCCAAATGCCACTCACTGAGTGCTTACCCTATGCCAGGCTTGGTACTAGCTGCTTTATATTCATCAACTCATTTTGTTCTCCTAAAAGCACCATTGGTTAATATCCCCATTATCCTGATTCAAAAATGTAGAAATGGCTCAGGGGCTGCGTAATTTTCCCAGGCTATCTCTGTAAGTAAGTGACCGAGTGAAGATATAAATCGAGGTCTGTTTAGACTCTATGCTCTTTCTTTTGAGCAACATGTGCTTTTAGATTGGAATGAATCTAGGGCAGAATGAATCAAGAAGCATAGCCATGAAAAGAGTTGGCCACCAGTAATATTACCCATTTGAGAAGTTTCCACGGGTCCCAACACTTACCCAGCCTCCGTTGTTCTGTTCCAGCTTTCCATGTCTCTATTTCTTCCTTCTTTAGGATTTCAGTGCCCTGCAGCAACCCTTCCTGGAGAAGTGCCTTGTGTATCCCTATCCCTTTTTCCAATCATAATTTACTTGTCCTATGTGCCTCTCCCCTTATAATCCTCTGTGCTTTCTAAGGGACAAACCTCTAATCAGATCCACAAGCTGGGTCCACTATAGTGGTTTATTTCTTAATAGGCTCTATCTTTCCATAGACACAAAAATATACTGTGACAGAGATTGATAACTGTCTCTCATATGCATTTTCACTTTCTTCCTTTAGTAGTAGAACCCCTGAGTTTCACTGGCCACATGACCAGCCAGCAATGACTACATTTCCCAGCCTTCCTTGCAAAAGCTGCTTCAAGAGGCAGTAAATGATGCTGAGCTTGACCTAGTGTGGTGCAAGGATTGCAGGTGGGTGTGGCTTCCTTTGCATCAAGGTGTGGCCATGTAATCTATGCTCTGGCCAGCTGAATGTGAGCAGAAATTATATGTCCAAATTCTAAGCTGTGCCTTAAAGGGCACACCCTAACCCTTTTCATTCTTGGACTATGCTGACAAGAACCACACTCTTGGGGTGGTGGAGAAACAAGATGGAAGGAGCCTGGGCACCTGACAGCATGGAGCTGCCATGTTGATCCTGGACAGTTTATTCCCGGAGAGTTATATGTGAGAGGGGAAAAAAAAGTTCGATAGTTGAAGCTTGTATTATTTTGGGCTTTTGGTAGGTCAGCTGAACTTCTAACCTAAATAATATAATTCAAGAAAGGAACCTTCTGATGACAGTATTTTATTCTAAAGGAGCGGCCCCAGTGCTGGGCATTTGGGGTGCTGTGGTAGGCTCTTGTGGTGATCTTCTGGGATTAGGCTGGGCTTTGGGCAGCCTCTTACTTTTTGACCATGGAGTTGGATGCCCACCTTTGAAGAGGTGAGACCTGCCCAGCTGGCTCCCAGAAGCCTCTGGACTGTTTCCTGGACTTATCTGCTTTTTAGGTAAGGGCTGCCATGATCCTGCCAGAGTGCCTCTCAGATAAAACTAAAGGAAGACAGTAGTCAAAACCCTGAAGTATTCTGGCTGATGTCAGACAGAAAAACAGAAAATTTACAGCACTCAAAATCTGGGATTCATTTAGGAGTAAAAAAAAGCATGAAGTTATCCAACCTCAAAACTGTTTTCAGGCTTCCACTGGGCCCCAGTACTCTTCCTAATTGCAAGACCATGTAGAAGTTGGATCTGAAATAAGACCATGAGCCAGTATCAAAATGCCCCATTTTCATGGTGCACGAAATGCTTCACGAATCCAGCCTGCACTAATTAAATGTCTGTGATACTTCTCCCCAGGCTGGGCTGAGCTCGTGTTCTGTATGATCTGGGAAGAAATGGTTGTTGGACTCATATTGAGACTGTAAGAGGAATCTTTAAGAGGAAAAAAAATATATATGTTAAATCTTTTGGAAAGAGGCAGGGTAAAGCTTTGGGGGGATTTCAGCACCTGGATTATAAATAAAGAATGTCGCTAATTACCAACGAATTTTATTTGTTCATTAAAAGTGGACTCAGCAGAAAGCTCCACTTGGAGAGATGACAAACGGTATGACCTCTACTTCATTTCTTCTATTTCAATGGTTCCTCCTAGTTGCACAAACCCTTACCAGGATAACAAGGTCACCCCAAGTACCTGGATGGGCCTCTGACTCCCGAATTCTTCTCAGCCTCCTCTCACTGCTTTTGTTGCTGCTCCTGGCTTGCAGCATTTCTTACTTCTCAACCACCATTTTGGCTCCTAGGCTCTCCCATTTCCTACCGCTTGATGAGGCCTTTGGAACTAGCTTGACCTTTGCCTTCCTCCGGCCTCATGACCTGCTCCACATCCTTCCCCAATTGACTGGTCTTTCACTAGGTCCCATTCCACAGGGGATGAGGACTGGGCCCTGGAGGAGTCTCTCTGAGCTAGATCCCAGGGGCTGCTCACAGAGATCAGCCCTGGAGTGAATTCAGCCAGAGAACCCAAAGAAACTCTGTGAATCCAGACAGTCCAGGAAAAGAAAGGTGACCTCATGCTTAGTAAGAACAATCTCTGTTCAGTCTCCAAAGACCCTGCAATGAGTGGGGGTGCTCGTGGTTTGGCCCACTCCCCCGAGCTATGGCTACCAACCCCCTCATTGAGGAACAGGATTCTTGAGGCTGAGAGATGTGGCTGGGACTGAGGCAGAGGAATGCAATGGAGAGGCAGTGTGGGGACACACTGCAGTTCTGAACAGCTCACTCTGATTTTCTGGGAGTCTTAGCTATGCAGTGGTTGAAATTATGAATAAGCAAAAAGCCCAATAGTAACAGCAATACTCCTTGTCCTCTTTCCGGCCATCACAATTCCCACCTGGTCCTTTCTTGCCTTTCAGCCTTCTTTCTTTGAAGGCAGGGACTTTGTCATATTATTTGGTTTTGGCCTAAAAGAAGCTCTGGAATAGCACCCAACATTTGCTAGTGTTCAATCCATAAGCTCCCTGAAGAGGCTAAAGAACTACATTGTGAAGCTGGAGAGGGAGTTTGGGGGTTTGCATCATCAGTTTCTCTAAACCTGTTGCTTTTTCTCAGCTCGCCTCTCTCCTGCATCCCATCTCCCTTGCTTCTCCCCTACCCATGAGGTTAATGAGTGCCTCTGGTAGCGAGCTGAGCAGAACACCAAAATTTCCCTGCCTTGAGGTGTCTTCTTCCTACTCTCTGCACCCCGGACATGTCCAGACTACCAATTGGTCTGATATATGTATTTTTAAATTATTTAATAAAATAAAAAATAAATTTTTAAATTCACTTTGTCGCCCAGGCTAGAGTGCGGTGTCATGATCATGGCTCACTGCAGCCTCAACCTACTGGGCTCAAGCGATCCTTCCACTTTGGCCTCCCGAGTAGCTGGGACTACAGGCATATGCCACTGTCCCCGGCTCAGTCTGATATTTTCAACATTAGGGATCCCCTGTGGGCATCTCATGGAGACTCCTTTTAAAATGCCAGAGTGTTACCCAGGAGAGAAATTCCCTGGACACTGGCATCCAGTAACATGTGGGTTAGCCAGCATAAAGATCTATTCTTTTGAGGCCAGGGAAAGGGTGCTCGGGACTGTGAAATTTGAGTGGTGGTGATCGGGATAAAGGGACATAGGAATGTCAAATTTTGAGGGAATGGGGGGAGGCAAAAGGACCAAAGTGTGCAGAGCACTACAGAGAAGGGAAGAGAGGGGCTGGCCAGGAGGTCAGCACATGAGCTCATTCACATAGGCTGGGAACACCACAGAAAACGGAGGGAGGGTGACACTCTAGATGTCTCCAGGCAGCTTCTGACCTGGAGCTTACCTCCCCAAACTGTGCAATGAGCCCAAGAGAGACTTGTTTAATCTCCAAGAAGATTTCTTTTCATATGTTAGTCACATGGTATAATATGGACTAAGCGCAAATATTAATATTTTAGGAGGAATACTTTTGTAACAGAGAGTGGAGTTGAGACTCTTCTGCCTCTTACGTCATTTTCATGGGAAAATGACATTTTCCAAGCTGCCAGGAGCCACAGATTTTCATGTTTGGGGATGGAAGAGCAGCTGTATCTGAAGACTGCTGTGCAGGATCCTGCCAGAGTGTCTGCCAATCCTTTATGCTCTGGTCAAGAGAGGGCCTGAGCAACGGTGGGGCCCTGCAGGCTCTCTCCCTAGGGATGGAATGGAATGCAAGCCCAAGTTCTGAAACTTGGAAGTAGGGCACTTGCAGGGAGGTAGAGATTTGAGGGCAGGGAAAGGGAATAGGGAGGAAAAAGGGTGATAAAACTAAAGTGAAGAGCAGCAGCAGGACATGGTACTTCATTCTTCCCATAAACAGAACAATTTTACGGCTGATTACCTTCTGGATTACCTTTCGCCTACTTTCAAAGTGTGTTGCCACAATCTTCTGTCAACAAAAACCAACAGTGATCTCAACCTTCTGTTTCAGAAGGTTGGTAGTTACATGAACATTACTTCTGGTTTGAGTCTCTGAAATAATGATCATACACAATCTGACGATTGATGAGGATGGTATCAAAAGGAAAATTCCCAGTCTGTAAGCCTTGAAAGTGCTTCTGAGGAGATCCTATTTGTGTTTTTGGCTGGCTTATGCCAAAGATAAACTGGAATCTGTATCAGTACAGGTCATCTCTCAAAGGCTATTGGCACACTAGCTGGCTTTTTCTATTACCTTAAATGCTACTCAGGGGCCCTGGCCATGCAGTTATAGTAGACAGCATTCAACTTGTCATTGGCAGGACCGGGTGGAGATGAGAACACAGTTTATATGCCAGAGTTGAAAACTCTAAGGGAAGGGTGGAGGTGTGGTTTTTGCTTATCACATACCCAAAGGTTAACTGAAATTGGGTATACACCTACATTCGAGATCAAGCAAATCATCTGTAATTTTTAGCCGTTTCCTCCTTTAGGCAATTCATATTTCCTTAAGCAAGGTCTTGCCTGATTTTCTGATATTCTTTCTCTTAACACCTCAGTTTGATTATTCTGATTTAAAGAATCTAGCACACAATGAAGATATTAAAACCTTCTTCACTTTAAGCAAACCTCCTCAAAAATTAGAACATTTTTGGGTCATTTTTGTCATTATGATGATGACAGTGATGGTGTTGATGACAATGATGTTGGCCCTTGTTTGATCTAAGCTTCATCGGTGACCTCCCAGTTTGGATCAAACTTACTGGAGCTAAAGGAGACAATCTTGAGTTGCTTTGCTCATCTACTGAGTGCTATCCTTCCAACAACAGCTTTCCTTATTCCTCCATTTGTGTAATAAGGAAGTAGGAAAACTCAGGACTTTCATCTCTTCAGGCTGGTAAATTCGTAGGAAAGAAAAGTTACCAAACAAAAGAGAAAAGACAATGGGAGGAAGACTGCAGGGGACTTGGAGAGTGACACAGGAATTAGAGAATTTAGAATTTAGAATTCTCTTCTAAAGAGAAATTGGCTCTGAGTAAGGCATGGCATTTCCTTTGGTCTGTTAATGTCCAAGTTATAGGTCACATGAGTCTGTATAGCTTTCCTCCCTATCCATGCACACTTGAAGTGATCTCAAGTCCTGGGCCATCTGCCAGCCTGCACAGGCCTCTGGGGACCTTCTGAGTAGAGGTGACTTGAGGCTGATCACAGCTACTCCAGGCTGGAGGAGAGCCAGCTCCTTGCTTCTCCACACTGGACCTCAGGGTCCCCAAAAGGTGGGACATGCTGATAGTAAAGAGCCTCTTTCTGAAGGCAAATCATAAAGACGTGCATTCTTTAAATAAATAAAAGGATGCCACCTCCCCTCATATCTGAATGCACATTAAAGAGCACAAAAAGCATCAGTTAGAAAAAGTGATTACAAAACTGTAATTTATGCAGAATGGAACCTCACAGAAGGTTCTGGGCCATGCGAAAGTGGTTTATACACCACAAATGTCAGAGTCTCACAGCTTCAGAACATTTCCTTGTGAATGAGAAGAGTCCTCTGAGTTTCTCTTCTTGATATGCAAGGGCTGGGGCTGGGTCCCTTCTGCAGGAGTCTGAGGCAACCTGGATAAGGATGCCTCCTCCTCCAGCATCTTTTCGCTCTCCACCCCTTCTTCACCATCCAGTGACTCCAGGGTCACCCCCAGCCCCCTTCCGGTCTGCTGTTATTCTGCCTGATATTACAGTAGCCTCCTAAATGGTCTCTGGGGAAATGAAATTTTTCTTGGGTTGCTTGTTTATAACTAGAGAGTTCATTACTACTGTTACAGAGAATGACTAACTACAACTTTGCTGTGGGGGCAGATGGAGACAATGATAGTTCTGTCACTCTGGAATTAATATCTGGGAAGACATTACTGTCCACTTAAAATCACTGAAGGAATATTGAACACTGGCCTTTTAAGCTCTCAATGTTTTTCACTTTTAAAGGTTCAAATCTTGAGCCGGTCTGCTAGAAAACATTACCTCATCACACTGTCACTGGGTGAAGAAAAAAATTGTAAACTAAGTGAAGATTGAATTTCATACCAAAGCTCTGAGTCCAGAAACCTTGGGGATCACTAGACAAGGAGAATGACAAGAAGACAGGAGAGTGATTTTTAACAATGGTGAACTTGCAAATGAGTGTCCTGGGAGACCTGGGCCACAGAAGTGATGGTGGTGTTGGATGTAATGTCAGCGGAAGTGGCCACTGCAGAGAACCACTGTGTCCTGGTGTGACCAGTCACTCACACCTCCTCACTCAGGCTTTGAATTAATGGGCTGGAACATTTTTCCGAAACCCGCTAAGGAGTCTAGCTCAGACATCATAGATCTGGTTCTATAGTCATCCCTTAAAGCTCACATCTGCTTCTCTCTCTCTCCTCTTAAATTACCATTTCTTTTATTAAATAAAAGCAATTAAAGGCACTAAAAACTCTATGGAAAAAAGAGAAGAGAAAATCCTGGGCTCACTAACTCCACACAGCCATTGTTATTATTTGCAAAGTACATATTTATTTCCACATTTCATCATTTTCACATTTCAATGGATCTCCTATTTTGAGGTGATGCAACAGGAATTTTTTTTTTTTTTTTTGTAGTGGGGAAAACTAAGTTTAGGCAAAATTTAATTGACTCACTGAGAGTCTCTCTCTGGTTGTTCTGTGATCAGAACTCCACCCCTTCTTCACCATCCAGTGACTCCAGGGTCACCCCCAGCCACCTTCTGCTTTGTTATTCTGCCTGACATTACAGTAGCCTCCTAAATGGTCTCTGGGTCTCAGAACTAAGATGCTACTGAGTCTCTTTTATTTTTACTTTATTCTTAGATCCCCTTTTACTCTCACTCAAATGAAAGCTGAATTATGATATAGGGACAAAATGGGGCTTAATCTGGAGAACTGAAAAGAAATAAACTTTTGTATCAGTATATGAGCTAATAAGCCCCCCAACTCTGATATCTCCTTATGTGAGATTTTACTGTATTTTAGGTGCATAAAACTGTAAAGATACTCTTTGAAAGGTATTCTTAAATAGATCTCAATGGGAGATGACTATTTTGAGGAACAGCATCCACTGGGCTCTGCTCCTCTGTAATTGGAGAGTCCCTTTACAGCTCTTGGTCAACAGGTAGCTGTTATAAATGTGTAGTGTCATTTAAGAGCCCCATATTGTTGCAAAAAATAAAAACCCCAAACAAGCCTTCCCATATGTTTCCACTTCTCAATCTATAAATGAATATTCATTACATTTTTCTGTGGCATTCCATCCATCTCCTCTATTCCTTAAATGATGTCTTATTTAATAGGCTTTCATTTTATTAAGATGGTGCATACGAGCAGTGTTCCCAGGATATATCAAATACAATCACCCTTTCTATTTGAGGTAATAACAATCTTTTTAAGAGTTTCAAGACCATTTGATACACGGAGAGAGATCACTGGAGCATAGGGACTTCCAGGGGTCAACTGTTCCATCCTTTAGTTTCATAGTTAGCTAGGATTGGCCCCCAACAATCTGCTCAGAGAGAAGACAACTGACCCTGTCTGCACAGAGCAGAGTTGACTTGCTACATAAATTCATTCTAAGAAGTACATTCAACTTAAGCTGAGATAGAGAATATATGTTTTGAAAAGTTGTTTTAAAGAATAAATAACAATATATACATACTTGCTTTAAGAAAGATTATCATAATTCATAATCATAGAGTATAAAGAGGCCTTTTATGTTCTACATACAAGCTGTAATCTTAATGTCACACACCCAGAGATTTCAGGGCAATGCCTTGTTGCCCCATTGACAATACATGGGAAAACTCTGGAAGTCTTTGTCTATTTACCTACATTTAGACATTTCTCATCACTCCAGGCTCTAATGGTAATGTCTGGTGAATGAGGAAACCCACTTTAAGAGAAAGATACTACAACTGCAACGGTTTAATTTTGGTCAGGAAACTCAAAGTCTAGAAGAGCCTTCTCTTAAGGATCCCTTCAGCAGCTCTGTATGATGAGGAGAGAGCAAAAATCACCCTCCCCTAGGTGGAAAATCTGAGCCACAAAGAGGAAGGTCAGGGCACAGAACCAATGTTTCTTTGCAGCCATGAGACTGCCTTGGCTTCCTATATTAATATTTCTATTCACTATTTTTTCTTTTGAGTAGGTGGAACCATCAGTAACAAAAATGGTAACTAAAATAGACTTCAAGTTACTTGGCCACCCATTGCTTTAAATCATGGCTCTAGCTCTGCAGGTTTAATAAAATGCAAAAAGATACTGTCTGCAGTTTGAGACAGTTTCCCTCCAATAAAACTTTCCTTTGAGGGTATTATTTTGCTTTTCAGCAGCTAAAAGCCTGTTCAAAAAAAAATCAGGAAGGATGGAGATGCTTATGGGAGGGCTCAACACAGTGGGAAAGGGGACCCTTCTGATGGTGGAGGAGTCTGTGGGCACTTCAGTCAAGAGGTTTCGGACAAGCTGGGAAGCTTTCTAGGACAATGACTTGATCATAAGCATCCCTTGGGCCACTTGTTAAAAACAGAGGACAAAACCCCACCCTGTATCTACTGAATCATGATTACCAAGAGAATTTGTCATTTTAATATACGTTGATAACATAACACTTAATAAGTACTGCTTATAATCAGAAAGGTTTGTGATACACAAAGAAAATGAACTTGTTTAGCATATAATATAGTGCCTGGCTCATGGTGAAGGACTCAATACAACTCAGTAAGAAATACTCAATATTGCTTATTGTGGCTCATTAGCAATACAAAAAAATGGTGAATGCATAAAAGAACAAGATGTACTCATAGCCAGTTGGTTAAGGGAGATAGATAACCTAATTTTCATCAGTAGGGTGTGTGTGTGTGTGTGTGTGTGTGTGTGTGTGTGTGTCCTCCTTCTGGTGGACACTGTGATGTTACCTAGGCTAAAATTCCTTAAGTTAGAGGGATTAACCTTTCTCCTTTTGGGGAATTTCTGGCAGGTTGAGGAGATGACTACGCACACAGAAGCCTTTACAGTCACGGCAAGGGCCTACAGCCCATTTTGCTTGTGCATGCTCTAAATCAACCCCAAATCAAATAGTAGGACCACCAGAACCCAGGGACCTGGGGACTGCCTCCCAAGAAGAGGCTGGCTCTGGGGCAAGCTGCCCTTTCGTGGTGGATGAGGAGGTTATGACCTTGGGTCTTATCGTGGCTTAATTCTTTTAAGCATTCATTAAGTCCATGA
Organism: Homo sapiens; assembly: GCF_000001405.40. NCBI lineage: Eukaryota > Metazoa > Chordata > Mammalia > Primates > Hominidae > Homo > Homo sapiens. Next base: position 69,219,045 of record NC_000002.12, on the reverse strand, counting down.
AATAATAATCATAATAAAATCTCTACATCATAGCCATTGACAGAATTTAGAGTGGGTTTCCCGATGTCAAAACGGAGCAGTTATTAAGGCTCCTGGTTTGTTTTAATTGGACCTGGGCCTTTCAGACCAAAGTCGCTCCGGCCTTTGGAACCATTTATACTCCTTCTGCCTTGAGGCTTCCCACCCCAATTAAGTGGTGAGTCTAGGTGGGGCAGGGATATTTAATAGGCCTTTGGTTTTCTGTAAGCCTTTTATTAATGCTGTAAGTTACAGCGGCTACATACTCTGGGCTGGGTTTCACCTTCTGGTGCTGTGTTCCTGGCTGTCATGGTTTTGTTCCCAGTGTGATTTTCAAGTTGGTTAGTGTTAAAGCAGGAAGTACTACCCCTCCTAGAACAGCCCAGTTTCACCTAGATGGCATAAGTGCTTTAGGAAGAAGGAATGTGGCAGACAACCTTGCCCTTTCTGCAGATCTTCCCAGCAGCTCTCTGCTCTTAACCTACCCACGTCACTGTCCAGTGTATTTTCCAGTGAAAAGGGCTAACTACACCTGCATTTTCCAAGCAGTTTGAATTCCTGGCTATGGCACACTGAGTTGATTACTTTTACACCGACAACACAATGAAATCTCCCTACTGACTTGTCCTCAGTATAAAAATATAAAGGGATACCCATCCCCCCCTTTTTTTCCAGAACTGAAAATAAAACTTAAAATTCTCAGCTGTCATTTAGTATTATTGCCTTCAGCTTGAGAGCTTTTAAAAGAAATTGGCTTCAGAAAGTGACCCAGACCATCTAAAGCCCACTACAGCTGAATCTTGCCAGCTTAATTTTAATCTACAAAGGCATGGGGTGACTTTTCTGCAGTTTTCACACGAGGGCCAGGAGAATGAACTGTTAGAACCTTTGCCGCTTGGTTGACCTTGTTCATTTGAGGACCTTCCACCCGGCTCCTCTCTGCCTCCTTAACAGTTGCTCAAGGAGATGATAGGAATCCTTTGTCCTCAGATCTCTGGGGGTTAGAAGACACCCTGAAGAACCTGTCCATGAGATAACCTGTGTGCCCCTCTGAAAAGTAGCTTCCTCCAGGAATCAGCCTGGGGCCAGTCCAGTAGGGCCTTGGTTTCACCTGGGGATAGCAAATCCACAAGCCAGGTGACTGAAAGGAGACAGACATTCTCTCATAATTTCTTCTCCATGAAATTCGAGCTCTACAGGGAAGAGGATCTTTTCCATATACCGCTAGTGCCTAGAAAAAGAATTGAACTGGGTACCTATGAATAGTCCCCTCACACACAGGCCCTCCACCCAGGCCTGCTCCTTGTCCCATTCCCACCCCTGACTTGCAGTAGTTAATTAATAAGGGTATTTTCTTTTAATAATAACAATGCTGATATGCACCAGCCACTGTGCTGAGCATTTCATGCACAATATTGCATATACTAAATGCACTATATTGCATTTAGTAATCACAACCATGAGCTCCCATGGGCTCATTTTACAAGTTCAGAGTGGGTCATTAGTCAAAACCACACAGTGAGTGGTGGGGTTAGGTTTCAAACCTAGCTCTGCTAATTGGAAAGTCTCTATTCTTACACTCTCACCTAGGTGATCTTGAGCCCTGAGTTGATGTTGTTGATACAGAAATAATTACACGAAACTGAACTCTCAGATTCACATTGTGCACTTGCAATAGGCGAGTGGCCCATCCTCTCCAGTAAGGCCTCATTAGGGATGAGGGGGCCACTTGTGTGAGCTGGACACTGGCCAGCAGCAGGGATGGGAGGCCCTGAGGCCCTAAGCACTTTTGGTGGGAACTGCTGACTGGTGAGATGCATGTCAGTCCTTGGCAGGAAGCTAGGACAGATTATTAAACAGATGGCTTATAAGTTCCAAAGACAGGAAACAGTGGTCATCCCTGGGAGCAAAGGTTTGCCGAAAGCGAATTGTGCCAAACCTCATTTTTTTTGCAAGTCTCACTAGATTCATAGATGGGGGCTGACAGATGTAGTTTATCTGCATTTCAGCAGATCAGTTCACACAGTGTCTCAAAGCACATTTAGGGGAAAGATGGAAAGATGTGGGATATTTAACTGCAATTGAGATGGCTCAGAGAAGGTTGAACAGGCAGCACCCAGAGAGTGCTGGTTAACTTAGCAATGACAATGGTCACTTGTTCTGAGTGCCAAACACGGGTCAAGAATGTAGGAAGAACTGAGTAAATATTTGTTGGTAGTATTAAACTCATGGGGGAAGTCTTCAGTGGTCCCGTGAAAGGGCTCTTTCTTTGATTTGCAAACATTTACAGAATAGACAAAGAGTTTGGGAAGTGGAGGGGACAAGGTCTTGCTCCTTGATCAAGGGGAGGGAGCAGTAGGGTCTAGTGTCTTTCATTTTCTTTTGACCTCTGGAGCCCAGTCTCTGGGACATGGTGATGGGTGAGGATGACTGTGGGTCTTTCATTGTATCTGGACACACTGTGTTTCAGGAGCACTTAGTGATTCTGAGGGGGAGGTTTGAAGACTACTCTGAGAAAATCGTGTGTGTGCGTGTACATGTGTGTATATATGTGCATGCATGTATATATGTGTGTATATACATATATGTATGTGTGTATATGTATGTATATGCATGTGTGTATGTATGTATTAATAGATATGTATGTGTATGTGCATGTTTGGTTTCCCAGCCCAAACATCTAGAACCCACCTAAAACCACCTATCTAGAACCAGATTATCTCCGCTTACCTGTTTTTCATATTGGCTTTCTGGTAAGATTTCATTGAAAGAAGAAGTTTTTTGGCTCAAAAATGTTTGGAAGCCATGGAATCTGATGATATAAAAGGTTCCTTCTAGCTCTAAAAATTAATTGGTTCTTAAAAATTGTGTAGAAGGAAGCTTGCTAAAGGCAAACTCTAAAAAATACTGGTTTTGTCTGCCACTTCCTTTTCACCTCCTGGCACACACGGTCTCCCTGGCAAGCCTCTAAAAGAGCTCCCACCTCTGGGCCTGCCATCTCCTTTCTCTTAAGTGCCTCCTAGCACTCTTCAGGCCCCTGACAGTGTTCCTGTACATTCCTTGTATCAAATTGTCTTCTTAAGTGTAAATGACTGGCTTCCATTTTCTCAGTGGTGATATCTTTGTTGTTAAAAAAGCTTTGAACTGATAGAATATCTGATTAGCAGAGTTTTAAGCAATGTAGCCAAGTGAAGAATTTGAAGAAGAATGGGAGAGAGGCTCTGGGTCAGTAGAGCCTCCATTAATCTTACCTAGAGAAATGTGGCCTTTTGCCCAGGTTCATTAATTTTTTTCAAAGCCACTTTTAAAGTACCTACTATGGGCCAGCATTCTACTAGACTCTACTGGGGGCAAATATTGAGTACAAATAATCTCAGTTCCCACTCCCATATGGCTTGCAGGCTGAGGAGGGGACGCTACTTTACTTAAACATTAATTTGTTAATTCAATAATTATTCACTGAGTGCCTATCATAGCTGGGATGTAGTAGTGAATAAACCAGATGATGTCTATGCCCCATGGGGCATATCTTTAAATGGGTGGATAATTAAAATCTGAGATAAGCATGTAATGAATGTTAAAATGGAAGTTTTGACTATGCTCTGAGCTGTAAGATATTCTAATAAGTTGCCTAATAGGGAAACATCTGTAAACTGGCTTCATGATGCTTGGACTCTTCAGCCAGATGAAGGCTATAAAAGGGGCCTGGGTAGGGCGAAGGATGTATGAAGGGATTTCTTGGAGAGAAAAGTTGCTGTGCTGTGAGTCTCCAGAGACCCTTCCAGTAGAGATTTCATCAGGGCTTCCCTGGGCTTCCCCTCCAGTGCAGTGAGGCTGTCCCCATGGGGCTACTTGGAGAGCTTGGAATGGGTTCCCTGAAGATGGCGAATACAGAGTTCTCATGTCTGAGAAAGTGGAGGCAGCCTGTGCAGCAGGATGGAGGGGCTGCAATTGGGTTCGCCCATCCATGCGTCCTGTAAGTCTTTCTTGTGGACCAGATGTGGGTCGTGCAGAGGAAGTGCAGAGCAGAGTCATCTTGGATGCTGTCCAAGAGGCTATGTAATAGGACAGAGGGACTTCGGCAGTAACAAGCTGGAGGTGACTGCTAGACCCAGAGGCTATGAAAGCACCACAAGCAAACACTGGGAATAAAGAAACATCTGCCTGTGTCAAGGAAACTACTGGAAGGAAGATCCCAAAAGAGCTCCAAGGAGCACCCCAGGGGAAAAAAGAGAGTCAGTGTTAAACACAGGCTGGGCCCACAGAGCACAGACCAGCTTATAATGGGACTAGTTCAAGGAAGGTCTACTTTTTCTCCTACCTCTGCTCACCTGCCCCTACCAAGGAGGGGTAAGAAATTGGCTAACAGACTTGGGTGGGGACTAGGAGGAGAAGAGCAAAATGGAGAAACAGGGGAGAGACAACCTCATCCTGCCTTTTCACAGGGTGGGGTTGGAGTTTAGCCTAGCTGGGGGAGGAAGGAAGGTTTACCCTGGCTCAAGTTGGAGGTTTTGATTAATCTCTCGGATTGTACTTTCTATGACTGAATTTGGAGTTTGTTTTTGAGGGTGGACCTGCTTATAGCCTAAGAATACACTGAACAGTTACAGGGCCTGCCATGGCTGTATGTGGTGGCAGGAGAAAAATCTCTCTCAATGAATAAAATTTACAAGGAGTAGAAGGAAATACAAACCAAAGCTTTGTTTTGATCATGTCACTTGTCTTCTTGTCCCACAAACCAGGTACCAGTGCTCAGAAGGAGAGAAACAGTTACAGAGGAAGTGATACAGCTTGCAGGCCAGGGAATGGCTTGGTTTTCCTTAACCTGGGGATTCCAACATCATTTTCTCTTCTTCCTCTTCACAGGACCCAGAAATGCTCTCCTGGACCAGGCTGTTATGGATGTTCAGGTTCTCACCCACATTCAGCTGTTTTTCTCCTACAGGGCTGGCTGTGACTCAGTGTGGAGGCGCTGCTCTGGCCCTGGCCCCTGTCCTGCCCTGGCTGAGACTGCCTGGCTGTGGGTTGCCCTGGGGGCTGGCAGAGGGACCACAGCAGCTGGGCTGACCCCCTCCCATGCCCCACACTGGCCCATTATGCTTAGTGCCCCCACATACGTCCCAAGGCTGCTGGCAATGGGGGCATGGTCATCCACTTGCGACTTGTAAAAGTCACAGGGAATGTTGACTGGAACCCAGGCCTCCTGGCGTCCAGGCCCTGGCTCTTTCCATGACCCACATGTGGGAGACTGACTTAGGTGTTGCCCCGACACTCTGAAATGGAATTTCTGCACAAGCATGAAAGAAATACATCTAGGCATTTAACAGTGTGTTAGAGACAGGAGTCTGGCGACCCCACCAAGCTGTGCTTCCACAGGATGAGCTTTTCCAGGGTGGAGCTCTGGCAAGACCGCTGGTCTTTGCGGAAGGTAACTACATCAACAGAACTGGCATGACAGCTTACAAAGAAGAGGCTTTGTGGGAAGATATCTGTTGCATCTTGTTGACAACATGTGTCATTTTGTTTGGCACGTTTTAAATGTACAGAAAAAATAGAAGCTCTGGTCCCTTTAGGAAAATAGCTTTGTTAAACCGACTGGCCATTTTTATGTGAGTTAAAAGCAGGAAGCAGATGTGGGAATGTTTCTTGTGTCTCCCATCTCAGGCAACTGGCCATCTGGCTGACAAAGAGATTATAGGCTGCCCAGCCATGAGAAGCAGCGCTTCAGATGGTCCATGTAGTGAGTGCACTAGGCCATAGATTTGAGGTTCTAGTCACAGCTCAATCTGCTCTGTGGCTTTTAGGCCCCTCCTCTGTGAAACGAAGGCACTGGCTTTAGTGGTAGGTCTCTTGACAGTGATTGCTTTAGGGTTATATAATTTGCACTTTGTATGTTATTAATTTTGTTTAACAGTAATAGCCAGGTGTGGTGGTGGCTCATGTCTGTCATACCAGCATTCTGAGAAGCTGAGGCAGGAGGGTTGCTTGAGGCCAGGAGTTTGAGACCAGACTGGACACCATAGTGAGACCCTCTCTCTACCAAAAAAAAAAAAAAAAAAAAAAAAAGGTGATGTGCACATGTAGTCTTAGCTACTTAGGAGGCTGAGGTGAGAGGGTCACTTGAGCTCAGGAATTTGAGGCTGCAGTGAGCTATGTTCACCACTGCACTCTGGCCTGGGCAATATAGTGAGACCCCATGTTAAAAAAAGTTAGCTAGGCTTGGTGGCATGCACCTGTGATCCCAGCTACTTGGGAGGCAGAGGTAGGAGGATCACTTGAGTCCCAGAGGTCAAGGCTAGAGTGAGCTGTGATCACTCTACTGCACTCCAGCCTGAGTGATGGAGCAAGACCTTGTCTCAAAAACACCTCAGTACTAACTGGATATTGTATTATGTTGTTTACAAGAAAACCCCCAAGAAATGGATACATATGCTGTTTTCTGAATAGTACAAATATAAATATGTATCTATTTTATCATAAAGCATAGGTTAGGTTAAGGGGTCACAGTCTGCGCCTGCTCTTAGGTATTGCACTCACTGGTTAGAGCTGACACCTTATGAATGGGCACTGCCCTGCAGCTAAGTGTGGCATGGTGCCAGGAACACCTCCTGGGAGCTGCCTTGGATGGTCATATACGCAGAACCTCATGGATCTTCTTTTCCACTAAGTACTCAAGGCTGCGCTCCCTGGGCTTTGCCTCTTACCTACACTCAATCAAAGTACCACGTCCAAGGTCCTGTGAAATTCTCTTTCCCACTGTCACCTCCCTGGTTTTCTCCTCTCTTTCTCTACTCCTCCCATCCTCCTCCTCCCCTCCCCTACTTCTTTCTTTGTGATTCTCCTCTTTTATCTCCTTCCTGTTTTTCTTCTTCTTTAATAAAGAATTTACTAATTCTACCATATGCAAGGTATTAGAGATAGAGGTAGAAGCCAGCTATCAAAAGCTAAATGAGTGTGACATAAAGCAATATTAAGATGGTCTGAGGCACAAGGCATCTCCAGTCCTGGTAGGGATGAGCAAAGCTTTCCAGAGAAGAAAGGACTTGGGTTGACTTACAACGAGAGGAGTGGGTTGACTTACAATGAGAAGAGAAGGAACAGCATAATTTGGGCCGGGGGTGGTGTGAGCAGAGGTCCACAGGTGGGAATACATATGGTGAGTAGGCTGAAATAGCGTCTTGGGGGCAGTCTGCCTTGTGCAGGACTCCTGAGAAGCAGGCAGCGTCTGACTGTGGAGGGCACTAGGGGAAGCCCTTCTTAGTCAGTCCCGCATTTCCCAAAGTGCCTTTCACAGACTGTTAGTCCCAAGTGATGCTCTATGAAAACAGATCAGTAATTTACAAGTTTGGGAAATGCTGCGTATGTTCCCCCTTTGGAGATTCCCAATGCATGTTGGCTTATTAAAGCATCTTTGAAGTCCTGCAGAGAAAAAGCCCTCTTTAACACTAAGTGCAACAATTTCCAAATGTATTTGACACCTATGAACAGCTGCAGAATAATTATTCCACAAAACACACCTTGTGTGGGCAGGCAGTGGGAACCAGTGAAGGTGTTTAAGGGAGTGTAGTTCTTTGGTGTGTAGGAGTAAAAATTCCCTTATGTCAGAGAGAGATGCATGTGGAGTCTACACAGATGTGCCCAACACCTGCTGGCACAGTTGATCCCGCTCTGTGTTCTGGGGAAGAGAGTAGTTGTGCTGGTAAGTGAAGAAGGGTGGGTTTGCATTCCTTAGCACTGACAGCATGTATTGCCCTTGGGAATTAATGAAGTTCAGCCTATATGCCAAGAAAATGTTTTCACTGGCTGGAGAAGAAGTTGCATATACATATGCATGCATGTGTAAACTTTTGCTGACTGGCAACCTGTTTTGATCTCATACCCTCCCTGTTTCTCCTTGTTTAACCAGAGCCCGAGGGTATCCTCTAAGGAAAATCTTAGGTAACACCTCCTCTCTGTAGCCTTTTCGGACCAGCCCTTGCCTCTGGCTTGTCACTTCCACCCAAGATCTCTCTCTTCTTTATCTTACTGCCAGTGGCAAACAAATTATCACTTTGTGACAACCATCTGGTTCTTTTTTTTTTTTTTTTTTTTTGTGATGGAGTCTCACTCTGTCGCCCAGGCTGGAGTGCAGTGGCACGATCTCAGCTCACTGCAACCTCCACCTCCCATGTTCAAGTGATTCTTGTGCCACAGCCTGCCAAGTAGCTGGGACTATAGGCCTGTGCCACCATACCTGGCTAATTTTTGTATTTTTGTTAGAGACGGGGTTTCGCCATGTTGGCCAGGCTGGTCTCAAACTCCTGACCTCAAGTGATCCACCCCTGTCGGCCTCTGAAAGTGCTGGGATTACAGGCCTGAGCCAGCATACCCAGCCAACATCTGGTTCTTACGTACAATTTTCCTCCCCCATTCCCTACTAAGGAGTGTGTAACTATGCTGTGCTGCAGGGTGCTTTGTACATTTGCCGATGACTGCATATATGACATTGCATGCTTCTGGTTTTTTGGTTTTCAAATGGTAGTGTGTCATATGAATATGTGAACAGCTCATCTTCCTGCCAGCCAAAAGGAGAGTGAAAGAATAAAATCATTTTGGTTATTCCCACTGACACGATTTTGGAATATAGCAAGGCCTCCTTATTCACCTTGAATGTGTTTCTAAAGGTCAACATGAACAATTAAGACGCTAACAGCTAGGCAGGACAATGAATTAACAAAGCAAAACAAAGGGGTGATAAATAATGACAATCTGTCAGTGTTTCATTTTGTCTTCTGGGCATTATTACGGGGTGAACAGAAATTAGATTTCCCTGGGCAGAGTGTTTTTGGATGGACACTGCAGGAGTGAAGAGAGCTGGAGGGACAGTCAGGTGTAAAGAGGGATAAGCCATCCATCAGCCAGTCTCATTGGCTTTATCTCCAAAAAACTTCAGACTCCATCCACTTCTCACCATTTCTACTGGGTCCACACTCATCTACCACCATCGCCTCTCATCCGGGACTCCAACCTTGTCACTGATCTCCCGGCTTCACTCTGGTCTCTGTATAACTGATTCTTCCCACTTCATCCCTGGTCATCTTTGTAGAATGTTAATTAGAGGCAGGCAGTATTCAAGTGTGGAGGATGCTAGGGCACTTGTCTCCCCCCTGCTAAGCCCTCCCCTCCATGTTACATCCAGAGTAAAATCCAAATGTCTTTCCTCAGGTTACAAGCCTGCCTGCATGGCCATCTCCCCTGCTGTCTCTGACCTTACTGCCCACCCATCACCGCTGGCCTCTGAGTTCCTCCAACATGCCAAGCTCTTTCCAGCCTTGCAGGCCTTGTGCCTGCTGCTGTCCCCTGATCTTAACGTAGCAGCTCCCTCTTGTTATTCAGATCTCATCTTCAATGTCGCCTCTTTAGAGAGGGCTTTTCCCACCATGCAGCCTAGATATCTATTGTCTTTCCACTCATCACACTGTTTTGATTCTTAGTAGAGCACTTAACACTTGGGTGCTGTGAATCCTAGGATACAAACTCCATGAAAGGACCATATCCTTGTTTACTAGTGTTTAGCACAACAAATAAACATGTGTTGAAAGAATAAATGCTAGTTCCTCTGTTTATCAGCTGTGGGGCACAGGCACTCGAGCCCTCTGTAAAGATAATTTCCCAGTATGTAAAACAGGAATGGGAACAACTGTGTCACAGGGTCAGAATAAATATATTAGAAAATAATTGTAAATTATATGGCTCTCGTCAAACATGAACCATCATTATTGCTCTAGTCAACTCAGGTTCCTTTTTGTAAAGTGAGGATAATATTTGCTTCTCAGGAATTTTTCAAAGATAAAGTAGATCAGATAATCCAATAAATGTACAGATACTTAGAACAAGGTTTTAAAGGATGCAAGTTCTTCTCTGTGATGATGTTGCAGGGAAGAAGCAGTAGAGAGACCTTGAATGCTTGTTTGCTTTAATAAAACAACGTGGTAGCAGGCACCTGTAATCTCAGCTACTTGGGAGGCTGAGGCAGGAGGATCACTGGAGCCTGAGAGGTCGGGGCTGCAGTGAGCTGTGATAGTGACACTGCACTCCAGCCTGGGTTAAGAGAATGGGATGCCATCTCAAAAGAAAACACCCCAAACACCTAACATGCTGGCTTAGAGCATGCAGGACTTCTGCCTAAAAATAAGAAGTTTGGGATAGGAATTGGCCCAGAAAGGCAAAGTCACAGCTGACCTAATAGAAAACCAGAAAGGGCAGAGATCCATAATTTCTGAAATTCTTACTGTGAATAAAAACCAAAATAGTTGAAGAACTCAGGGCCTGTATGGAAATCATGTCATTCCCCCTTCTCACAAGTGTCTTCCAGACCAGTCCTCTGGACCAGCGTGTCCAACAGACACATAACATAAACCACATGGGCCTTTTAAGTTTTCTAGTAACCACATTTATAAAACATAAAAAGAGACAGGTGAAATTAACTTTACTAATATATCTTATTTAACCCAATATATGTAGAATGTTATTTCAGCTTAATATAAAAATCACTAAAGAAATATTTCCTATTCTTTTTTTCATATTACTTCCCTGAAAATCCAGAGTATATTTTGCATTTATAGCACATGTCATTTCTCACTAGCCACATTCAGGTGCTCAATAGCCACATGTGACTAGTGGCTGCCTTTTTGGATAGTCAGCTCTAGATTTTACTTTTGAGATGTTCAGGATCTAAAAACATCTTTTGCTACTTGTGGGGGTAAGAAGGGAGGCCACAATTTTTAAAAATGTGAGTCAGTTTGTAATCCCACTGACAGCAGCAGGGGGCAGACAAATGCCTAGGCAAACAGGGGTGGGTCCCCAGCAAAACCCCACCTCCAAGTTGAAAAGAATTTAAAGCCTGAAAGCCAAGCTACAAGTCAAATCCACAGACCGGATTGAGAACCCCTCTTCCTTTTTGACACAATTTCCTCTGATGGATCCCACCCTTTATCTATTTTACATATACCTACCCTTTCCTAATTGGTTTTCTACACTGTTGTGCCTACCTTTGAATGTCTTTGCTTTAACCATTTTTGCATACTCACAAACCAATCAGCATGCACTTCCCATTCTGAGTTCATAAAAAGCCCCAGACTCAGCCACACTGGGGGAGAGAGAAACCACCTGACTATGTCTCCACTAAGATCTGTTCCGTCGCTCAATAAAATTCTTCTCCACCTTCAAATTGTCAGCATATCTTTATTCTTCTTGGATGTGGGACAAGAGCTTGGGAACCGCTGAATGTGGGTACAAGCTATAACACAGGGTGGGGTGTGGGGGGTGTTGCCAGCGGAGGTCCCAGTTGGCAAATTGGCCGAGAAAAATCCTGCTTCACTACCAAGTTGCCTAGTGTTTTTCTACACATGAAGGAAAAAGCCATGGTCAACTCTTCCACTGGCCAGTGAAGAGCTTAAAAGAAAATTCTCTTAAAATTTTAAGTTCCTGTCATGGAAATATTTTTATCCTCTGATCTCCACAGATGCTTTACTACATGTAAAACTGTACGTGAAACTGCATCTCTCTCTTTTTCTCTCTCTTCGGGCAGTGCTAGGAAGATTACTCACAAAAAGTCAAATCACATCCCCCATTCTAATGTTGGTATTTCTGGGGAAGCCTTATGGAAAGCTGCGTTTTTTCATGGGGGAACAGTTTGTGCCATGGTTTTACAAAGCTAAAGAATTTCAATAGTCAAACTGTTGCCATAAAAAAATCAAACTTAGGAATAGAACTAAACATGTTATTAACAGAATAGGCTTGAGAGAGCAAGAGAATTCTTTTGGAGTAAAGTTATCCAAAGTCTATGTGTTCTCCTTTGACACATAAATCTACTATCGACCTAGTCTTGGACTTTTTTTTTGGACAGAAATTGGGTAAGTTTTGCAAAAGACAGGCACAAAGCCTGGCTGTGGATGACACCCTGAGGGTCAGAACATTCATTACAGCATTGGCGTCTACAGAAATTTGAAAACACAGCAATGTTGCTGGATAAAATTGGCATTTTCATATGGGCAGGGTAACCTTTTTGGAAGCCTTCATGTTGCTTAAGGGTGGCCTGCTGTGGGACACAGATGTATGGGTTTCTGACTTGATGCAAATTGCTTGTAAGGTCCAGTTTTTGCTAAGAGATTCTATTTTGATCCATTACTAAATATATTTGCAACTTGAGGCCCACCAGCAGTGGATCTACTGCAGAACACACTAGTGCAGCTGATGAGGTGCTGTGGGACCATGGGATATGGGCAGTTCTCATGGGCTTATTCCTGATTTTGGGGGGTGTGCTTATTGTTTACAAGCACAGAGGGTGGCCTCAGCTCTGCAGCTTCCTTGGCTATCTCTGGAGGACTGCATGGCATCCCCTAGGCCTACAGATGTGGTGGGACACTAAAGCAATGGCTTCAGGAACTCTGCTAAGCTTGCTCCCACTACACACTCATCTTTCCATTGCTCTCCACCACCATGCCTAAGACAGCCAACCTTGTTGGTCAGAACTACTTCCCTTGTTAGAGAAAGAAGGAAAATAATTTTGTTGCATAGAAACACAGATGATTCCACGGTGGACTTTCCATTAGGCCCACTTTTACTAGTTATACCACTAAGGAGAATGCTGCCCCTTATTATTTCAATTTTCCAGACTCTGTGACATTTAGGGTTTTCCATTACAATTCACCTTTAATAAGCAGGAAAGTAAATGGAAAGGCTTATAAAAGATTTATTCCCATTTAAAGCTTGTACTTAAGTCAGGGCCACAGAGTCCTTGAAACATAGGTGTTGCAGTAATTGAGGCCAGTCAATGCCTGGGTGTCAGCTGGTGGGGCCACACCATTCAGTGAAGCAACCAAATTCAGACGCTGGGGGCAAACACAGAAATGGACAGAGGTGCTGAATGCTAGAGGAATGGAATGAGCACCCTCACAACTAGCTCTGTCATCACTGTGGATTCTCAACGTGACACTGCTCTCAATGGTATCAGCCAAAAAGAAAAAAAATGGAAAAACACTAATATTAAACAAATGTTATAGGAACGAATTTGTAAAGTGAGACTGGTAAAGCCTTGGAGAGTTTTTTAAAAATGAATTTTCTATTTTCAAACAAACTTAAAGAAAAGTTATTAATAAATGGCAATGACAAAGTATGAATAGCAATTATAATAAAAGTTTAGTGTTTTAAAGTTTTAATCAGCCTCATTTTATCTGGACATGTCCCTAGAAGACCTTGTGAATTCTCTCTCCTTATTAAGAGACGGAGGATTCATTCAGATGTCCCCTTGCCTGTGACTCAAATGCAGTTTCCTATGAAGTTTGCAAACAGCTGTGGCCTGGAGGTTGCAGAAAAAAACCATACTCCCTGGGACAAGGAAACAAATTGAGCTAGGTCCTCAGTGCTGTGAGGGAAAGTTAAAAAAAAAAAAAAAAGCCATGGTTCATTCCCTCAAATTGCTTACAACTTATTCAGGGAGTGAAAAGTCAGTATTGGTTAAAATTAACTTGGTGCTAAACTTTGTGGCTGTAAGCGGAGGAGGAAGGAAGGGCCAGACAATGAGCCTTGACTGGGAGAAGGTCTTGGGCTTTGGCTGAGTACTGAGTGCCTGAAGGATTTGGGTGGACAAAGACTGGAGAAGGTGGAGCTTGCAGGTGGGGGCTGCTGCACTCCCTACCCTCCCTGGTTGCAGGCCTGTGTGTCCTCTCTCAGTTCTTCTCCCTTCTGGCCTTTTACACATGCTGTTCCTCCAACTAGAAGGCGGCCCTTCTCTCCCTGCACTGGGAGAGTTTGTCCTTCGGATCTCAGCCAAATGGTCTCTTCTCTTTGGAAGTATGCCCTGATGCCCTAGCCTGGGTTAAATCTTCTGGCTCTATGCTCCCAGAGAACTCCAAACTCCCCCTCATACTATCTACCATGTGGAGCTGTAATTTAGTGATCTTTTCTGACCACTCCAGTGTACACTCCACAAGGGCAGGGATCTCGCCTTGTTCATGCTAAATCCCCACTGCCTAGCTTGGTGCCTGCTGGAGAGTGGGAGCTCAGGATGTATTAACTGGATGAATGGAATTTCTGTCCTAGACACAGTGTTGGTGGTAAAGTGGGAGGCAGCGAGAGGTGGAATCAGGGAGAGCATGAGGTGATCTGGGAGCACAGCATCCTGTGCAGGAGAGCAGCCCCATGTGGGAGGATATCAATGGGTATGTCATCTTGGGCAGGATATAAAAATGGAAAGGTACTGGGAGGTGGGAAGAGGTAGGAGGACAGGAAGGGAAGGGATTGGGCGGCAAGGACTAACTCTGCCTTCTCCTCAAGAGATAAGGCTGAGTCTGGATGCTTATCCTCCTCTCATGGCCTGGGGTGAGGACTCAAGGAGAGCCAGGCAGTGTCGAGCTGGTGGGTTTCCAGTCTTGCCATTTCCACCAACACTCTTTGTGACCTTGAAAAGAGCAGAGATCTTATCTGAGCCTCATCTTTCCTATATTAAAAAGAGGATAAAGTAAGAAGGTGATGGGGAACAGATAAGATAATGGACCTGGGAGGGCTCGGGAATCTCTCCAGACCACCTTTCCAGACCTCAGCTTTGGTGCCTCTAAAATGAAGGGTCTGGGATTATGAGGAACTGCCAGTCCAACTCCGAGACTGAGGGTCAGGTTGAGTTGGGGTGGTCATGGAGATGCTGAACGAAGATGGGTGTGTGTGGATGTTTTATAGCAGGCTGGCTCTTCCCCACACTGTTCAAAAGCCTATTTCCTAGGTCAGATTTTGCCATCTATAATCTAACCCAATACTTTCTGGCCAGAACAGAACTTCCCACCAGCATGGATTCTGATGATTCTTAATTGAGGCCCATCACGGAGATGCTGAATGTCCCTCGAGATGATCTTTTTTGGTGCCATCAGCTGGAGGAGCAGGCCCGCAGAAGCCAAGTGGCTAGACATGATCATCATGCTTAGACAAAGTAGCAAACCTCCTAAAATATTACACACTTGGGTAAAATTCTGACCCTAGAGCTAATCCCTACCTCCCTCAATCCTGATTTTGTTTGGAAGGGAAAAAATGAGGTCGGAGAATTTGAACAGGGTTGCTTTATTCCCATCCCTGTCTGGTTCAGCCTTAGCATTTACTTCTCTGTTTGCTATTTGCAACCTGATTCCAGGACTCGACCTTCTGTTGTTGCAGCTGTTTGGGAGATGAGACAATCTGAAGTTGAAAGTCCTACAAGTTGAAATTGAAAGAAGCTACAAAATGATGATGATGATGATGATGATGGTGATAATAAGGAGGAGGAGGAATGTGTGTGAATGTGAGTGTGTAATGCTTGTGGAAAAAGGGGGATCAGATTGTGAGGATTGGAAGAGAGGGAGAGGGAGGGGGAAAGAGAGAGGGAGAGGAAGATTGCTCAACCATAGCAATTGCTTTCATACGTATTTACTCAGAGACAGTTCCTACCATGGGAGAAAGAAGTTGGTGCAAAAAAAATCCCAAGATGGTATATTTTGCAGCATCAACTTTGGGTTTAACATCTCTGAAAAAAGTTAACTTTGCAGGTTTTGGGTACAGTTGGTTTTTGCTGTGGACAGAGAGTGTTTTGAACTTTTTATTCCTTAAATTCAGCTAACTCAGCCAAAAATTCTAAGTACTCATGTCCCCCTCCAATGAGACAGCAAAGGAGAGGCTTCCAAGGGTGAGAACTGAATGAATACTACAGAGAATTCAAACATCCAGGGAAGATGGCTGTGCCAGAATAAATCACACCCTCTAGGAACATTTCCTATAATTTGCTCTTTTTTCTTCCTTTTTCTTAAAATGATCCGTTTCTTACAAAAATTTATAAAAGGTCAGGAGACTTTCCCTCCAGATCTGTTGGGACCTTATACCTGGTGTCAGATAGGAATTCTGAAGATGTCCATTTACACAACATAAAGAGCTAATGTAAACTTAATTGTTTATTGTGCAAGAAAAACGACTTTCATGTAAGACTTCAATATGTAGATAACTTGGTTCTTTTGGTCATTGCTGGTTTGAACATAAAATAATTCTGAGAAAAAGTTTTTCCTACAGGTTAAGAGGTAATTAAAATTCTCTGAAATCAATGGCAGTTTTCAGGGAGAAGGAAGGGAAGAAAATAAGCTCCCATCTTTTCAAATTATTTATACCTACCATTTTATTTAATCCTGAGACATTCACTCTGGAATGTGGAGAAGTGCTGCCAGCATAGGAGCAATGGGGTTCCCAAGGTGTGGCTGTTTCCAGGAGCTCCAGTTCCAGCTCCTCCACTCCTCCAGCCACATCACAGGGAGAACAGAGCCCATCACTTCCCACAGGGATGTCCTCACTTCCTGCCCTCTCACTCATACCTGGGATCTACAACCCATGTCACTAAGGAGGACTGGCACTTCCTCCTAAGCCCTCCAACCCCTTCTCCTAAGAGTTCCTGCAGTCTAACAGTGAGTTCTTGTCTTCAACCCCTTCCTCTACTGGATCTCTGCCACACGCACTTAATCACGCTCAAGTCTTACTAAGACAAAGAACTCTTTCCAATTCTAGATCTCCTCCAGCTACTGCCTTGGCTCTCCCTCCCATTGTTTGTTAAGCTTTGCTCCCAACCCCATCATCCCACAGAGCTCGGGTCACTAAGGGCACCATAACCTCCTTACTGCTAATCTTATTAGATGATTGCTCTCAGTTTGCATCTTAATTTCCCATCACTTGACACTCCACCCTCCTCCATAATGTATTATTTTCCCTTGGCTTCCA
Organism: Homo sapiens; assembly: GCF_000001405.40. NCBI lineage: Eukaryota > Metazoa > Chordata > Mammalia > Primates > Hominidae > Homo > Homo sapiens. Next base: position 69,202,266 of record NC_000002.12, on the reverse strand, counting down.
TGACCCCAGACTTTCCTCTTACAACTTCTCTTTCTCTTGGCTGGTCCTTCTTAGTCGTCTTCTTGCTCTATTTCTTTTCTCCACCCTGACTTAAAGGATGTGACCCTCAGGGTTCAGTGCTTAACTTCTTCTCTCTACCCCTCTCCCTGGTTTCCCCTCTAGTCACATTGGTCTCAACTGCCATGGCCAATGACTCTCAGATCTTTGCCTGCAGCCCAAAACTCTCACTGGAGCAAAACTGCCCCCTGACTAGGGTGAGGCATGCGAGGTGTCTAGGGCACAAAATTTAAGGAGGCATGTACTCGCAGGTCCCTACTTTCACACAACCCTGACAGTGAGCAACCCAGAGAGTTCCTGCCCTAGATGCCTTCATGCTTCCCCCTGGTCCTGACCTGCTGCAGGTCCTTTTTGTTTGGATGTCCCACAGGCACTGTGAACTCCACAAGTTAAAAAGTGACGTCCTCATCTTCCCTCGCAAAGCTGTCCTCATCCTGGTGAATGGCAGGCAGCACAGTCAGCAATGTCGCTTGGGCCAAATCCTGGAGGTCCTCCTTCACACTTTCTACCCTCTCATCCTCTACACCCAGGCAGTTACCAAATCTGTGATTATTTGCTCAATATCTTGTGAATCCAAGCTGTCTTCCTTGCCCACCACTCTGCACTTCAGGGTGCCAGCCTCTCTCACTGCCGCTATGTCCACACTGCAGCCAGTGCGACCTTTCTAAAATGCACATCCGATTGCGCCTCTGCTTAAAACTCTTGCAGTAAGTCTCTACTGTCCTCAGGGTGGAGTACAGCCTCGTCAGGCTGGCAGAGCAGGCTCCCACGGCCGGCAACTCAGGTTCCTCTTCACCACAGTCCCTCCTCTCAGTGCCTCCCACTCTGTCCTCCTCTGTACCCTGCTCCTTGTGTCTCCCTGAAGGAGCCACAGTCTCACCTGCAGATCTGTATGCAAGCTTCCCTGTCACTAGAATATTCTACCTCCCCAACTCCATTCCCCCTTCTTGTCTTAGCTTAAATGTCCATTCAAGAAGGCATTTGGACTCCAAGGCTGGTGAGATGCCTTTCCTGGGTATAGCTCCCACACCTCATGTGCTCAGCTCCATCACAGAGCCTTTCACACCAGGCAGTGTTTGGGAGCTTCCTGTTTGTCCCTGTTCCTCGAGGGCAGGGACAGGGCTCATTCATTAATCTTGAATATCAAGCACTAATACAGTGCTCATTGGCTCTTAGAAGACATCTAACAACTATGGGTTGAATGCATGAAGGAGTTCAGGAATCCCTAGTGTTGACTTTCAAGTCTGAAAGTCCTAAATTCAAGCCCCAGACCTCCTTACCAGCTGTGTGTCCTTGGAAAAGTTAGTAATTTTCCCTGAGCCTCAATTTCTGTTCTTTAAAATGGAGATCATCATTACCCCAAGTTACTGTGAATGGGTTTATGCTTCTGTAAACATTTGCAGTTCATACAGTGCATGACACTCTCTTCTCTTGCACACCATACATACATACATACATACATGAACTCCTGGAAGCCAGAGTTTAGTCCTCTGCTAATGGATATCCCTAGTGCTCAGCCCAGAAATGGATTCTTAGTGGGAGTGCAATTGGTTTTTGTTGAGGGAAAGCAGCCATGGCAGGCCTTAGAAATTGGCAGTGAACAGGGAAAAGAAAAAAAGGAAAGGGGTTAGAAGAAAGAGGGAATGCAGGAAATGTGAAGGAGAGAGAAGAGAGGAGAGAGAATGCAAGAGTGCAGACACTTTCTCTGAGGCCTGCTACAGGAGGCTTATCTGCTTTAGAAGGACTGGGCAGAGGATAACCTCTCTCCTGGAGGATAACCTGCCCAGGCTATTCTCGCCTCTGCGACAGTAGGGAGACATGGTGCCCATGTGACTGGCCTCACGCCCTTATTGGAAACAGCTGGGGAGGATTTCACAACCTCTGAGGCTTCAGATGAGTTTCAAACATTGTTTATGTACATTTACGTGTGTGTTTCCCTGGGTCTCTTCTGGTTGCAAGGAGATCCAGGCTTGCAAAACAAGCCCTGAGTGAGCTTTAGTATTTTGTTCTTGCAGATAGTAATGGAATGTACCGGCCTCCTGATGCCAGATCTGAAAACAGATGACATCCAAACCCAGTGGGTTCTCTGGGAGCACGTGAAGTGGGATGGAGTTCGATTTGGAGTAAAAGTGACTGGGGAGGGCTCAGGCTGGTTGGTAGATGATTGAATTCCATCCAGAAAAGACATATGAGGCTGAGTTCTATTTTCTCTTTTCCATCTTCTTTACTCAAGCAGTAGCAATGACATGGCAGCCTCAGTCTAGATTAACCATCTTCCTGATAGGAAAGGGACTGTTAAAAGCCCATGAAGAGTGTGATCAGCCTATCTTACTCTTGGGGTTTCTGAAGGAACATGGGGAGTTGCCTTTAAATTGTTTCAAAAAGGAAAGAGAAGATGCTGCCCTGAGTGAAAAAGAGGGAATTGGACCACCTCACTGCTTCTCAACCTTAGATGCCCATTAGAATCACCTGGGGAGGCTTTGTGATTCCCAGGTGATCCTATAAGTGCCCAGACCTCATCACAGAACAATTAAACAGAACCTTTAGGGGGGGACCTTGAAAGCTCTCTAGGTGATAACAATGTGCAAACACATTGAAAACCACTGGAGTCCACGCTCTGATCTCTGAATTCCCTTATGTTTCTGTGTTTGAAATTAGTAATCTAGGAACAGAATATGTGAAGATGGGAGATTTCTTCACAACTCACTGAGGCTTAATATTTAGATTTAAGGTAGACTAGTTATTCTCCAGTTGTGTCAATAGGTGCTCTATGGAGAAATATAGAAAAGGGGCGGCTTGGTGGCCAAAGCAGTATAGAAATATTGCCTAGGACCCCAGACTCTCAGGGTGAGAGGTACTCTGAAGTTTGTTTGGTTCCTTATCTTACTGGTTTTCAAAGTGTAATCCCCAGACCAGCAGCATCAGCATCACATGGGAGTTTGTTAGAAATGCTAATTCCCAGGCTCCACCCCAGAACTTCTGAATCAGAAACTCCGAGCATGGGTTCAGCAAGCTGTGCTTTAACAAACCTTCTAGGTGATTCTGATGCTCAAGTTTGAGAACCATTGATCTGCTACAGGAATCCCCTGTGTCCTGGCCTAGTGGTTAATTTGTCTTATCCGTGTTTGGTAACATTAGTTACCTGGAGCATTAGTCTCTGGGGCAGCCCGTTGTGTTGTTGAAACTTGCATCCTTCAATTCTTTCTGATGAAATTTGTTTCCCCATTGTTTCTACCTATGGGGCTAGCTCTGTTCAATGGGATGGCCCAGAGTAAATCCAAGTCACTTTCTATTAATACATCCACTTCAAGGCATTCAAGATAATTTTCTAGGACTTCTCATTTAATATAACATATGGCCCATAGCTTCCAAAGGAGCCTTTCCCAAATCTACACTAAAATACTCAGGAAGATGCAGAAAAGGTGACAATTCGCATTACCATCAAAAACAGACCGAGGGGGTGGAAGTGTGGAAGAAAATTTTTGTGAAAATGTATGTTCTCTTGAAGTAGGGGAGGCTTCTCTAAATTTGAAACAAAAGGCAGGAATCATAAATATTTATAGATTTGACTGTAAAATTGTAGAAAACTTGAATATATTTCTAAAAAGTTAAAAGGTAAATGGCAAACTAGAAAAAACTTTGGACATATATTACATGGTTAGACTTTAAATGTCATAAGGATTAAGTACCACATACTTAATGCAAGCACAGGATCTGATACATAGTAGGCTTTCAAAACATTTGATTAATATATGAATGAAGATGGGTTAAGAAAATGATCACAGGAAACCAACACTAAAATATCCAGTGGAAAAATGAGCCAAGTCAAACCAATTGACAAACGAGAAAATAAACATTAAAAAAATCGTTCTACCTCAGTAATAATAAAAAATACAAATTAGCACCTATCAATCAAATAGGTACGTTAATAATATTGAGGAGCATCTGGGGAGATGGGCGTTTCATAGGGGGCTAATGTGAGGGTTAATTTGTATAATCTTTTGAAGGGCAATTATTTGGCCATTTGTATCAAAGCTTTAAAAATTTGCACACTATTTGATCCAGTAGAAAGCTGGACCTTTTATTCTAAGGAAACATTTGTGAATGTGCACAATGATTTGGCAATAAGGATACTGACTGCAGCTTCATTTATAATAATAGATACTTGAAAATCAATCTCCAAAAAGGGAAGATATGCAATGTAATATGACATGGTCATTAAAATGATATTATTCAAGGATATGTAGTGACATGGAAAGATTATTCCTTGACAATGGTGACGTGATAAGAAACAGCTTGCAAAGTGGAATGACACGCCATATCATCATGGACCAAGTAAGTTAAAAAGCTCTCATGACCCCTTGAAGCGTTCTTTCTCAGAACATTCTAAATTCCTTCAACCATTTGCCCTTGAAAGATGAGCAAATTTTCTGAACTCAAAGAGTGGCCAAGCTGTGCAGGAAGCCTTGGGGACCATCCTGGACCATCCTGGGACAGAGGTTCTAACTTCCAAACCTTCTCACCTAGGCTCTGTCAAATGTGTTCTGCTTGGGCAATGCCCCCTTTCAAGCATGAGTCTGGCCAGCAACTTTTTGTATTTACAGGAAACTGTGGGAACAATGAACAATATTACCAAGCTAGGTTCACTCGGTAGAGAGGATGGGAAAGGCATTCCAAGCAGAGAAACCTAGCAAAGGTACAGAGACACAAAATGTCCTGGCATGTTCAGGGCATGACCAGCAATTAATTCCACGTGCTCAGAGCCCATTTGGAGGTGATGAAGGAATCTGGGGTAAGTAGCGTATGAAATGGAAAGGCTTGCCTTTCTAAATCAAGCTAAGGATTCTGGGTTTTCCCACAGTTTTTGCAAGTCTGAAGTGGAGGCATGGTGTGTTGAGGTTTGGTTTTACAAGGAGCACTGTGGTGGCTACCTACTGGGAGCAGGGGACACCATGTGCTTAGTAAATTTTAACAATCTTAGAATCAGATGTGCTACTGGTTTGCTATTTAGGTGGTTTCCTTTGGCACTTTCCCTTTTAAGTTGGCCCAAGCATTTCCTGGTGGGCTCCAAGGAACAATGGGACCATGAGCCCACCGCAGGCAAAAAGAGGGAGACGGGTGATGGCAGATGGAAAACACTCGTGTTCCCTGCTGCCACCCCTGACCTGGGGCTTGGATGGTTCTGAGGAGGTGGGTGCCAATCCCAGGGAAGGGCGGTGGCTCTAGGCTCTGGCTCCCTGAGCCCCTGCTCTGTGCTGAGCTGGAGGCCTTTCAGCAGCCTCAGAGGCTCTGTTGGTGGGCTTGTGTCTGCATCTGGAGGGCTGGGGTGGAGTAGCTGGGGGGAGGATGAAGGAGACAGGAACTAAGGAGGAAAATTTGCCAGGTTTCTGTGAGGTCAACATGTGTCTGAAGCAACTTAGAATGTAACCGAGAATGCAATTAGGTGATTTTTGTTTTTGTTTTGTTTTAAAGAAAAAATTCAGAACCTGTGACTCTTGTTCATGAGCACATGCCTGGATGGAGTCATTTTGAGTTTATGGAAAATGTGGTCAGCTCCATAAATCAGTGCTGAAGAATTCTTACAGACTCACCACCATGCAAGCAAGGCAGGCCTCTCTAGTGAGTCTCCTAAGGTTATGCAAAACAAAACAGAAGAAGCATATAGACAGAGCTACAATATTGCCCCCCCTGCCTCGCCTGGAATTCTTTCCTGAGTAGCCATAGGCAGCTATGAATTCTGGTTCTTACCTCATCTGTGACCTTTCTTGTGTAACTCCATGTGTACATCGTGTGGCTGTTGCCACGGCAACAAGGACACAATTTTCTGTATCGATTTCTCTCATGTATCTTATTTTAGCAAGACTTCCATAAAGAAAGGGCACTTAAAAGTAAACTGGATAATCATAATTTGTAACAGTGTTGAGAGTGTGTTCAAATGTATCCAAATTCTTAAGCTTCTTATATCTCAAATCTATTATTTTGCATGGCTGGAGAATAAAAGTTCAAGGTGGTATTATGTCTCTCAAAAACAGATGGAACATCTTCAGCTGTTAATACAAACTTTCATTCAGAATTGGTAAATAAGAGATTCAATTTAAGTGTGATTCATTAGAGGAAGTTCCATTTATTTTCATTCCATTGTTCTTGGATTTATATAACCAGCATTTTGCTCCCAAACAGCATTGATTCTTCTGTCTTATTAATGATAATATTTCTTTCTATCCAGCCTCTTTCCTATAACCCTCCCACTTCTTAGGTTGACCCAGTTTATGAATTGGTTTCTGCCAAACTGGTCAGTGGAAAATGGAATGTTAACATATTTTAGTGGAGATGTTTTTCAATTGCTGTGAAAAAAAAATGGGGTCATACACTGTATCAGCATCTTGTCACAAAAAAATAGTACTACTGAACCTTAGTTTAGGGATCTTATTATTATTTTTTTCTCAATCTGTCAGAGGAGTCTCATGCATGCTAAAAAAATTTCTTCATTTCCCATAGAAAGCAAATGTATACTTTATAAGACCAAACACCTCCCAGAGTACTAACTATGGCCTATGCTTGTTTCTCCTAACTGTAGAGTTTGTATTTAAAATTTCATATAGAAATTTGGTCTTGTTGACTGTCACAGACAAAAGCTCAAATTCCATATGTGATGAGGGCCAAGTCAACCCAGCATTTATATGAGCTGGTTTCACGTTTTTACTTGCCTGCCATCCTAGTCACAGCAAGAACAGCTAATTGGGCAGTGGCTCACATAAACTATGAAACTTTAGACCAAATCTTCTCAGCTACAAACCACCCACTGTCACCAGGTGCAAGGGGAGGGGGTAGCAGGGCCTGTCTATTGGGCTCTGCTCTAGTGTTCTCTAGTGTTAGCTGTGTCATGCTGGACAGTCAGGAGACCATACACACCAACTGCAATATGGCTTGAAGTTCTGTATCAACCATCCCCAGACAGCAGAACAGCACAGAGTAAATGACCATAAGGATATCTGTCATTGATTGAGCATTTTTTTTTTTCTTTTTCTTTTTTCTTTTTTTTTGAGACAGAGTCTTGCTCTGTTGCCAGGCTGGAGTGCAGTGGTGCAATTTCCACTCACTGCAACCTCCGCCTCCTGGGTTCAAGTGATTCTCCTGCCTCAACCTCCCAAGTAGCTGGGATTACAGGTGCCCACCACCACACCCAGCTAATTTTTGTATTTTTAGTAGAGACAGGATTTCACTATGTTGGCCAGGATGGTCTCGATCTCTTGCCCTTGTGATCCACCCGCCTTGGCCTCCCAAAGTGCTGGGATTACCAGTGTGAGACACCACGCCCGGCCCGAGCATTTCTTTCTTAACAAAAAATTTTTATTTTTTGAGACAGAGTCTCATTCTGTCGCCCAGGCTGGAGCAGTGGTGCGATCTCGGCTCACTGCAACCTCCACCTCCTGGGTTCAAGCAATTCTCCTGCTTCAGTCTCCTGAGTAGCTGGGATTACAGGCATGTGCCACCATACCTAGCTAATTTTTGTATTTTTAGTAGAGATGGGGTTTAACCATATTGGCCAGGCTGGTCTTGAACTCCTGACCTCAAGTGATCTACCTGCCTTTGCCTCCCAAAGTGCTGGGATTACAGGTATGAGCCACGGTGCCCATCCTGATTGAGCATTTCCGTGTGTTCAACAGTGGGCCAAATGCTTTACAAACATTACTTCTCCAACCAGCCACAGTAGGAAGAAGTCCGTGCCATCTACTTTATAAGGATGAAGTTCAGAGAGGTCAGGTGATTTGCCTGGAGCTTTCCAGCCAGGAAGGAAAGGCGGTTCAAACCCAAGTCTGCTTGATTTGAAAGGAGTTCTAAATGAGATACTTTTATTTTGTTTTTGGATTAATGTGCCTGATTCCCAAAGAAATGGATGGAAGATGCAGGTTGCTGGTAGTTGAGGGAAAACTTGGTCCTGAGTTTTGATCTGTAAAACTTGAGGAAGAGAGACTAGCTCTTACATGAAGAAATAGTGATAGTGTTGTTTCGGCAGAACTGAGGTTGTTTCCAGTGTAAGTTACTTGTTACTATTTGAAACAGAACAAGCTATTCAACTTCTCTTGTTTTTTGGAGAATGCAATTAGGTGATTTTTGTTTTTGTTTGTTTTTCTTTCTTCATTTACAAAATGAAGCCATGGGCTGGATGGTTTCTAAGGTCTCCCCTGGCTCTATCTTTCAGGACTGCTCTTGACTAGAGATATTCCAAGCTTAGCCTTGACAATGCCAAGACAAATCCTCACCTGGGGTGAAAGATCCCTCTGGTCCTGGGCTAGCTGGGCCCCACACCTGCTGGGAAGATGGTAGGTGTTTTCTGTGGCCCCTTCCTTGCCCTCACCCCATCCTTGCAGTGCTGGTACTCTGTGATGCACCACTGGCTTGTGTGGCCAGTGGCCAGCAGAGCTCCCTCCTGAAACTGCCCCAAGTAGGGGCCAGTCCTGCTTTATTCTCTCACTGTGCCTATACATTGAGAAGCTCAAATTCTAGGAAGTTAAACCCAACATATTACTGTCAAAATCCTTTTCAGAAAAGCAAATCAAAACTCAAGATCTTGTAATAACCAACATTTTGAAAATCAATGTCTGATTTGTTGCAACATGAAATAATAGCTGGATTTGTAAATCTGGAGTTATTCTAGCTCTGTTTTAGAATCCAAAGTTATTTTAGCTCTACAAAGATGGAGAGAGAAAAAGAATATGTGTGTGTGTGTGTGTGTGTGTGTGTATGTGAGAGAGAGAGAGAGAGACACCATTAATGAATTAACGAGTCCTACCGTGTCTCCTGGCTGTGGACGCATCACAGACACACGATCATATCCTTTCCTCAGTAGGACCCACAAGGCATCGAGTTTTCCCTGAAATAAAACAAATGCACCAAGATTACATATGAAACCAGACCTGTGGCTAGCCGCCGTAGGCTCACAGAACTTTCCGTGCTTCTTCAGTCATGTGAACAACACAACACTGTCAATATGGTCATGATGGGATTAGTGACTCTGCAGTCCCTTAATTCAAAACTGGAGCTTCATGAATGGAGGAGAAGAAGAGACACACAGGAGACTCTGATGCTTGTGAAGGACGCACCCTGAGGTTTGAGTGCCCCCCAAGTTTGCAAACATAACTTGATTCAAGCTTTGGGCTTTTGTCTTTATCACATTTCTGGGCATATCCTCAGACCACAAGTCAATCTTTCCAAATTTCACTAAAGTTTTTTCTTCCCACTTGGTGCCCAGAGCTCATTAGTAAAGACACTAATGATAAATTCTGGAAAATTACTAAACGTTAAGTGTTGACAGGGCAAGACCAATTAAAGGCCCCTGGAATGCACATCCCTGGCTGTCTTCTAGGCTTGCTCAGCAGCTATAACTTGCTCTGAAGCCTGGGCTTGAGAGACAAATTACCAAGCATTACAGATGACCAAAAACCACAACCCCTTTGAGGTTGTATGTAATTGGCTGAAACGGAGAAGAGTGACTATGTCAGCACAAAGGCTTTCACAACTGATGACCAAGAACGCCCCTACAGGTGACTTTTATTTGTATTCCCGGGAACCTGTGAATATGTTACCTTACATGGCAGAAAGGACTTTGCAAATGTGATTAAGGTAAGAATGTTGAGATGGGGAGAGTATCCTGGACTATCCGGTGGGCTCAGTCTAACTGCATGGGTCCTTCCTAGAAGACCCATGGTGGCTTTTGGCAGGAGGGTCAAATCCAGAGAAGGAGATGTGCGGATAGAAGCAGAGTCACAGTGATTAGGTGTGAGACGGACTCAACCCAATGTTGCCGACTTTGGAAATGGAGGGCGGCCATAAACCAGTGGGTGTGGGCAGCCTCTAGCATCTATAAAAGACAAGGAAATAAATTCTCCTCTAGAGTCTCCAAAAGGAAAACAGCTCTGCCAACACCTTGATTTTAGTCTAGTGAGACCCGTTTGGGGCTTATGACATCTGGAACTGTAAGATAATAGATTCGTGTTGATTAAACCTTTAAGTTTCTGGTAATTCATTACAGCGACAAGAGGAAATTAATACAGTCCTTCTCACTCCCTGATATATTCTATGTTAATTTGCTGATTGTCTGTGCCCCCTGGAATGCCAGCTCCATGAAAGCAGGGGTATTGATGGTTTTGTTCACTTCTGTCTGCCTATCCCTTAGGACAACATCTGGTGCTCAATATATATTTGTTGGAGGAATGAATGTAACTAAGTGGTAGGTGCTTCCATGAGTGTTCTCTAATTGAATTGTCCCAGCAGTCCCAGAGGGCTGTGGAGAGGAAATGGAGGGTCAAAGAGAGATCAAGTAACTTGCCCAAAGGCAGATGGTTTATAAACCAGAGTTGAGATTGGAATCCATGTCTGTCTAATTCCAAATCACATATGCTTTCTATTACACCAATTGCAGATTCTTCCTCATGCAGATCTTCTGGTGAAAGCGCTTTAATTTAGATCCTTTAGAACATAGGGTTTCTCAGCTGTGGGTTGCAACCCTTTAAGCCCTTATGAAATCAATTTTGTATGGGACCAGAACTTTTAAGAAATAGAATAGAAGAGAAAATAGTAATTGCACATGGTGAGGATAAGCATTATTTTGTGAAAAATTTATCTCAGTTAAGTGTGTATGGGTGTGTGTATGACTGTGTGTGCACAAACTGGGCCAAAATGTAAAATGTATTTCCTACCCAAGCCTTAGGAACGTTTGAAAATCCTGATCTTGCAGGGGTCTTTGAATGACAGTGCTGGGAAGGCTGGAGGAGTCTAAAGAGTTTAAGTTCCTGGACACAAAGCATTTATATAGGGGCAGTGTTAAGAAGCATCTCAAATATTTCATGTTCTGAAATGATTTTCTGGTGGATTATATACACATATAAAATTGTGTTCTTTAATCTTTATAAACTGTTGTTTGAGTTCTTGTGGGTTTAACTTTGTCTTGTGGGTTAAACTTTGTCTTGCCAAGTGTAGTGTTTCTCATCTATTTTGGCAAGGAATTTACAAACGCCTTGAAAAATATTTTGAAATGATTTTAGAATGCTGGATAGAACTGCTGCTGTGTGCTGCATGGTTTTCTGTATTAAGCCGTTCCAATCACCAGCTAAATGTTTTCCTTTAAGGTTCTTTTGGATAAGCATTTATATTTCAGGATGTAACCAGGTGGGTTTCCTGGATGAATGCCTCTTTTTTCTTTCCCCTTCGTTTTCAGAAGGAGAGGACTCCCAGCATTTGGGTTTGTAAATCAGCCCACCCACAGAGCTGTGTGTGCTAATCACCCAACTCTGTGACAAATGGGCAATGAGATGGGGCAGAAAGAAGAACACTGGGCTGTTGAAGGAACACATTAATTAACTCAGCAGAAATTTAAAGTTACATGCATAGCAAAAGACCAGAAACCACCTAGATGTATAATACCAGGAGAATGAGTAGAAAATGATGTTTCTTTGTGGCAACAGATCACCCTACAGTGTAGTGTTTAAGCACAAAGTGACTGAAGCCAGCCTGCCCCAGTTTGTACTGTGGGTCTCCTTTTCACCAGCTCTATGGGTTAGATGAGTAGTTTCATCTCCCTAAGCCTTACTTTTCTCATATTTAAAGTGGAGATGATAATACTGTCTACTCTACAGACTTGCTATAAGACTTAAAATTAAATATTGAAGTTAGGTACTTGCCTCATAAAAGGTATTCATTAAATGTTACCTATGATCATAGTAAAGTCATTAAAATGATCATTTGGGAGGCTCTGTAGAGAGATGGAAAAGAATGTAATACAGAGTGTAGGAATCCAGCAATTTGAACTTTGTAAGCATGCATCTGTCCATCTTCTATTCTGTGCTTCTCCAAGACTATTTTCCTCTTACCCCCAAGCCACAGTTTTTATTCCTTCTGCCCCAATCACTCCACCCAAATTGCTCTTGCTAAGGCCACCCACGGCATCCCGACTGCCAAATGCCTTGACACTCATTTTGCTTGGTTCTTTGGGGAGATCCGCTGTGCTGGGCCTCTCCCCTGCACACTCTCCCTCAGTCTCTGTGCCACGAGCTTCTACCTGCTCCCTCCGACCTCTCTGCCAAGTCCTTTTCAGCTTCTTCTGCTCCTCCCCCTCTGCCTACACCTGACATGGTGGCCTTCATTTGGCACCTCTATTCTCATCTCTCAGCTGAGTGCTCTCATCTAGTCTCATGGGTCCAACTTCCACCTATCTGCCGGCAACTCAAAAATTCTATACTCAGCCCAGTCCTCTCTTGAGCTCCAGATCTGGGTATCTATTTACCTATTAAATCTTAATTGTAATGTGGATGTATCATATCACATCACAGCTATCAAAAAGTCAAACATTATAAACTGAACTAACTCTTCTCCCCAAACCTGCTCCTCCTTTTGCACACCCTGCCTTGATTCATGGCACCACCAATCTCTCCAGATGGGCACACTGGGTACCAGGAATCATTCTAACCTCCCTTCTCTCTGCCACCTGCTCATGTCCAACATCAACCGTGTCTCGTTAATGTTCTCTCTGTAGCAGCTCTGCTGCCGCCTCTTCCCATCCACCCCTGACCCACCACCTCCACAGCTCCTGCCTGGGCCCAGGCCCTCATCATCTGTCACTCATTCTGGGAATAGTTTCCTGATTGGCCTTTCATCTCCAGGGTTCCTGTCCTCTCTCCTATTGATTAATAAAGAATTTTACTGTGAGCCCAAATGGATGCACTGCAGTCAATAAAATGAACCATGAAACATCTTACTGGCCAGTGTGAATTTGGGTAAGTTACCTAACCCCTCTGTGCTCTGGTTTTGCATTTGTAGTTTCTACTGATCTGGGTGTCTATTTACCGATGGATAAGTACTTTCTACTTTCAAGGGCTGTTATCAATAATAAAGGCATTAGTGCATAGAAAGCGCTGCCCGACTTGCAGGGCATGCTTGATCCGGGTGAGCTGCTGTCATTGGGCTCTTCTGGCCAAGGCGAGATTAGCTAGTTCCAGGTGTATCCTTAGCATTCTGAGTTCTGATTGTCCCACAAATGAACCTAAACTCTCCAGTCTGTGGCATAGAAAACAATCCAGGCAATCAATACAACCTATAACCTCTTTCTACTCCTACAACAGGTAGTTTTTATGCAAGAGCTTTAGAAAAACAGTGTTTGCAACCAAGAAGTAAGCTTTAGAAAAAACAGTGTTTACAACCAAAATCAGAATAAAAAATAACTCTCAAAATTCAATGAGCACTGCATGACAAAGGCTCTTGGAACCTTGATTTTTCTGAATGTAGGCAGAAGTCTGTCATTTAAAGACAGTAGTAGTGGGCTCGTTAATAACAACCCTTTGGGGCTAGATGTGCCATAGAAGAGTCTTCTAAACAGTCTCTGGGCTTCACCTAAAGTCTTAGAGGATCCTTCTGAGTTGCCTCCGCTTTATCTATCTCAGACTTGGATGTCTGTCATGCACAAACCTCTCCACAGCATGCACTTAAGACACTGGTCCTCACTCCCTGGCAAAATGCCCAACTGCTTCTGTGAAGCTAGGACAAAGATTTATCCACAAGCCTCAAGCCCTCTGGCAGATTGTATTAGCTGACATTTATAAATAGCTTTCTTTCATTTGAAGTTGACAAATTTTGACTATAAAATGAGAAATTTACCAATTCCATGCTCCCAAACTGTATCTTAGCCACAGAAAATACCTGCCAATTCACAAAGGCAAAGTGGAAGTTCTATGTAAACTCTAGCTTTGGTTTCTTTCTAAGCAATAAGACTGTGCTGGGAATGATTATGCAGCCAGCATTCATAGCATTCTGGAGGTAGGGAGCCGGGCACGGTGGCACATGCCTATAATCCCAACACTCTGAGAGGCTGAGGTGGGAGGATCACTTGAGAGCAGCTTGGACAACACAGTGAGATCCCCATGTTTACAAAAAATTAAAAAAATTAGCTGGGTGTGATGGCTTATATCTGTAGTCCCAGCTACTTGGGAGACTGAGGTAGGAGAATCCCTTGAACCTAGGTTGATGCTACAGTGAGCTATATGATCGCACCACTGCACTACAGCCTGGGCGACAGAACAAGACCCTATTTTTAAATCAAACAAACAAAAAACCCAAAGCACCCTGGGTCATCAGCTTTTGTGGTGGGGTTTCCTCTTTTTTTTTTTTTTTTTTTTTTTTTTTGCCAGGCAGCAGTTGTATCTTTTCTTCTGGTTTGTCTGCCTTAGCCAGCTGGAAGACAGTCAGAGATTGAGAATTCTGAGAGTAGTTCAACTTATAAGGCCACTATAAACTGACACCTGACTTTTTACACTTTGAAATACATGGTAGGCCAGGTGCGGTGGCTTATGCCTGTAATCCTAGCACTATGGGCGGCCGAGGCGGTCAGATCAAGAGGTCAAGAGATTGAGATCATCCTGGCCAACATGATGAAACCCAGTCTGTACCAAAAAAAATACAAAAATTAGCTGGATGTGGTGGCACCCGCCTGTAGTCCCAGCTACTCGGGAGGCTGAGGCAGGAGAATCACTTGAACCTGGGAGGTGGAGGTTGTAGTGAGCTGAGATTGCGCCACTGCACTCCAGCCTGGTGACAGAGTGAGACTCTGTCTCAAAAAAAAAAAAAAAAAAAAAGAAATACATGATAAATAGTGTGACCCAGCTTTCCCCCAAAGGAAATAAATTAATGGATTTAACGGATAACGTCAGAAACTTTCCCTACACACAGACACACATGCACTCATGAGTGTGTGCATGCCATGCATAGGATAGATTTTGTTGCGCTTTTTTTTTTCTTCTTTTGGTTTTTAAGAAAATTTGCCCATATAGCTGGGCATGACTTCACTTGTCTGAAATGGTCAGCTCCAATTTAATGAGAAGCACGGGGTATTGTAAATCCGGGGGTGAAAACCAAGCAAAGGAAAATGCAGGCTAAATATCAGGGAAAATTTCCCGATCATGAGTCTGGAATGAGGAAGGGGGGAAGTGTGGTTGGTGTGGTTGGTGCCTTAAATTAGACGGGGAGATGGTGGGTGGAGAAGAGCCCACTGTGGACTTCTTCCCTCCGTGTGTTCTCTCTGGGTTTGCTTGGCAAATGTGCTCACCTGCTTCTCAAAAACCCCATTTCATGTAAAGCAATGGGTCTAATGCAATGCAATTCAGTAAGTACACGATTCTGGCTCCTTTCACTGGGGAGCCATGAGTCTTTCCAATACCTGCTGACAGTTTTGTGTGAGGTAGAGCTGTTGTTCTCCTTGCTTATAGCAGAGGTACAAGGCAGGCAGCGAGTGGATGGGTCACTCTCCCTGACCTGCCGGCCCCCATCCATTCTCTGCCTGCCTTCTCCATGCCTTGGAAGCCTGCCTCTGGATCACCTAGCTGCCCTTTGGTCTTGGTCTGTAAAGAGCCAAGGATTTGCAGGGCAAGAGGCAACATTATATAGGTACTTATATAACCTTTTAAAAATGTAAAAACCATTCTTTGTTTGCAGATCATATAAAAACAGGTGGATTTAGATTGTCAACTAAAGAAACAGTTCCTGTCGAGTAGTCTCTTTGCAGGGCTACAGCTCTTTCTGGAACCCAGTAACACCATTTCCCCACATGCTCTTCAGGTGTAACAGCTCTCGCTGTTGCCAGCCCCTGGTTGCCCCATCATCCCTGGGGATTCCCTTCGCTTTGCCCACATCTCTGTTAGTTCAACTCTTTTCAGTGTGCTTTCTGTTTCCTATTAGGACCACGGTGAGTTCGGGAAAGGGAAGCAGAGTTTATGGTACCACATAAGGCTAAATGTTTTGTCCAAGGCTGAGCAAATGTCCTTAGGCATTGTGGCTAGCACGGGACTCATTGTGGATCGAACATCATGTAAAATAGGATGAACCCTGAGATTCTGGAAGCAAGCCTGCCTTACTTCTGGACGGAGAGCACACATGATTACTTTTGAATTTCTTCCTGTGCTTCTATCCTTCTTGTTGCATCTAAAACAATCTCTTTTTCTCTTCTCTCCTCAGAGAGATGGCATGAAGAATGTCAGTTTTCTGGATAGAGTATGCCAAAATGGTCTGTGTGGTTTGACTGGCAGGATGCTCTGGGGAGTGGTTTCATAATTACCGTTCATGCCTCAGCTCTTTAATAAGGGATGAGCCAGGTACAACACTGTTTACTGGGGATTCAAAGCATAGCTGGTGCCTGCGGGGGGTCAAATCTAGTGGAGAGAAGGCTCATAAACATGAGTAATCACACCAACGGCTATGTATGCATTTCCTCTACAGTAGAAGGAGCTGAGTAAGCATTGGCATTGGCTGTTCCACCAGGCAAAAGGAGGATTCATGCTCTGCACGTCCTAACGAGGGAGTCCTGCCGAGGAGCTCTTCAAGTCCACCGGCATCCTAGGTCATTTCCATCTGGCCTTTTAGTTGACTCCTAAGACACTCAGATTCCCAACCACTTAACATTAATTCAGCAGTTGTGTTTGTGGTAAAAATGGACCCAGTGTGAACATTAATGTGGCTCTCCTTGCTGAGATGCCTGAAAAATCACCGCAGTGCAATCATGGCCTCTTTGCCTATTTTAACAATCCAGGCACCACAGTTCCTGCCCTCCAAGGACTTCCTATGGAATGCTGGCTGGGACCTTTGGTGACAACTCTTCTTCTTTTTTTTTTTTTTTTCTTTTTTTATTTGAGATAGAGTCTTGCCCTGTTGCCCAGGCTGGAGTGCAATGGCACAGTCTCAGCTCACTGCAACCTCTGCCTCCTGGGTTCAAATGATTCTCCTGCCTCAGCCTCCTGAGTAGCTGGGATTACAGGCACCCACAACCACGCCCAGCTAATTTTTGTATTTTTAGTAGAGACAGGGTTTCACCATGTTGGCCGGGGCTGGTCTCAAACTCCTGACCTTGTGATCCACCCTCCTCGGCCTCCCAAAATGCTGGGATTACAGGCATGAGCCACTGCGCCCAGCTGGTGACAACTTCTTAACTCAGCTTGTTAAAACCCAGATGGCTGGGCCCCACTTCCAGCGTTTTTGATTTAGTAGATCTTAGGTGGGGCCGAAGAATGTCCATTTCTAACAAGTTCTTGGGTGATGCTGATGCTGCTGTTCCAGGGACCACCTTTGAGAGCCAGTGCTTTACTACAGAGACTAAAAAGAAGCTCAAGAGTCAGGACTGATGAAGTGATAATTGGGGCAACAGAGGCCTATCACTCAGGGAGTCTGGAAGTGAAATTAGAGAAGGGAGGCATTGTGAACAAAAGGAGTTTCACTTGATAGGAAAAGATGGGCGAATGCTGAGAGCCAGTGTGCTTTTGGAGGACTTTTGTGAGATTCTGGGTCACTGGGCCTGGGAATCTGTATTTTTTAAATCACTCTCAGGTGATTCTGACACTCAGCCGGGTTTGAAAGCCTCTGTATATTCAACATCCTACAGTGCCTGGCACACAGTAGCTGCACAATGAATACTCACTGAATTGATACTAATTCCAAGTGGGTGTTGGGAATGTTTTTAGATTTCTAAACGTATTGGCCCATATACTTATTTATCTCATCAAATTCAGTCCTAAACCGCCAGTCAATAGAGGACTATGCTCTCAAGTAGAAACCGGAGTTTTCAAACAGAATTAATGTTCTCTCAGTGTCCAAGATTACAGAAACAAAAACCTGGCTGTAACCAAAGATGTGGCGTTAGTCACAAGGTACAGATTCCTGAGAACGGCATAACAGAAAATCCCCTTTCTTCTTCATGGCTGAGAATCTGCTTGGCTCCTTCCTGTCTGCACATGCATGCACGCCACTGCATGTTCTTCATTAGAAAATAATTAGAAGCAAACAGCTGTTATTCAAGCAAGCTGCATTTTGCCCACATCTTTCCAGAGTTCAATCCATTACCCCAGAGGGCAGGCTTATCCTAAAAAAAGAATCTCACTGCTTCAAACATGGCAAACCAAAATAGAAATGCGTGGCAATTCAGGTGAGCTTGAGCTAGCTCAGCTGAGGAAAGGTAACCACCAATAACGTTTCGCTACACTGCCTGAAATGGTACTTCTTTTGATTTGTTGGAGAAGCCCTGATCCAAAATTAGCAAATTAACTCAGCGAATGATGAAAATAATCTTTGTTGCTATTGGAAGGGGGGTAAGGCTGTGTGTGTGTGTGTGTGTGAGTGTGTGTATGTGTATGGATGGTGATGGGAGCTGGCTCTATTGAGTCTTTGACTTGAGGCTTTGGAGTTGGTTCGGTTCTGTTTGCAGCTTGAAACTGGAGTCTGTAGCCCTGAGTTGGGGGCCTTGTTTTCCAGACCTCAGCAGAACAAGGACTTTGCCTATCTCAGTATGAAATCAGAGAGTGGGGACAGATTATGTCTAGAGTCTTTTCAGCTATAATTTTCCAGTGCTCTCTGACAAGTGGCATAGTGCAGATGTTTATGGGCATGGCTAAAGATTGAAGGTGTTAACTGAATCATGTGAATTCAAAGCCATTTGGACCAAGAAGAATAGAAAAGAGGCCTTCAGGCTGGGCATGGTGGCCCATGCCTGTAATCTTAGCACTTTGGGAGGCCGAGGTGGGCAGACTGCTTTATCAGGAGTGCAAGACAGGCCTGGGCAACATAGTGAAATCCGTCCCTCAAAAAAAAAAAAAAAAAAAAAAAAACAAAAATTAGCTGGGTGTGGTGGTGCGTGCCCGTAGTCCCAGCTACTTGGGGGTTGAGGTGGGAGGATGGCTTGAGCCTGGGAGGTCGAGGTTGCAGTGAGCAGAGATCACACAACTGCACTCCAGCCTGGGTGACAGAGTGAGAACCTGTCTCAAAAAATAAATAAATAGAAAATAAAAAAGAGGCCTTTAGGAAACATTAACTGCCTCCAACGGTTTACACTTCCCAATAAACCAAAGAGGATTTTAAGATCTGGAGGTGTGGGGGAAAGACAGATGGTGGAGAAAAAAGATTTGCTTACAACCAGAAAGAGTGAGTCCTAGATCCATGACCAGTGAGATTTGCTGGTGGGCCCTGATACACTGGCAGGAGGCGCAAATAAAAGGGAATGGGCTTATATTATGGCAAAAGGAGTAGAGATTAGCATTAAGGAGAAGGCTGCCATTTTTCTTAGATAGTAGATTGTCTGCTAAGTGAAGTTATGAGATGCTATGGAAATTTATAGTCACTCTCTGGGGTTACTACCCAAGTTACTTGACTCACAGTCCATGCTTTTTCCAGTACCTTGCCATGGTGATTTTTTTTTTTTTTTTAATATGGAACACTTCACGAATTTGCATGTCATCCTTGCCCAGGGGTCATGCTAATCTTCTCTATATTGTTCCAGTTTTACTATATGTGCTGCAGAAGTGAGCACCACGGTGATTTTTAAAAAGCCTAGTTTTCAACCCAGATTATGTGGAAATTGACAAAGTAATTACTAGTACTTTCAAGTCCATAATTTTAGATAATTGTTCCCCTGTGATAAGCTGGGTTTTAGGTTGGGATTTTATCATGTGGAAAGATTTTGATTCTTCACTATGTAAGTGTTTTATCAGGACTGATGATAGATTTTTTGAGTAAAGAGACACACCTTGATTGGAGAGTACCACTTCCGGGGGGAAGAAGGCCGACGCATATTGTTGTTGAGATTTCGCGGCTCAGGGAATTCATATTCCTGCTCCGGCATCTTGACTCTTGCATTCTTTGCCTTTTCCAACTTAGCACCTTCTTCTGTGGAGCCCTTTTCTCCCCAACGAACCTAAAATAAACAAAATACAATGAAATGAAATGACAAAATATGCTGCCCCTCGAGAATGAGAATGACAAATACATGCATGAGTTGCAATGTGAATGCTACCCAACCCTGGATTCCTTTGGGTTTTGAGGGCCAGGGAAGAGGGAAACTGTGGAAAAAGAGAAAAGGGGAGGACCAAAGGAGCAGAGAGCTGAGCCACATGGGTGGATATTTAGGGAGGAATTGTCCAGGCAGCGGGGACAGCACATGCAAAGACCTTGCAGGTTCAGGTACGAACTTTGGATTTTATTCCAGTGAGAAAAGAAATCACGAGGACGTTTGAGCTGATGTGTGACCTGCTCTGACTCACGGTGGGCAAGACATGGAAACGCACAGTGAAAGGCTGTCCCTCCTATCTCTCCATCCGTCTGCCTTACAATCCATATCCCCACCAGACCTCAAGGAGGTTTTCAGCAATTTGCTTTGGGTTTCTGACATTGAGTCATCAGTGTGGTCTACGGCCATACTGCCCTGGGCATGCCTGATATCTAGAGGCTAAGCAGGGTCAGGCCCGGCTGGTACCTCGATGGGAGTAGTCAGCACATAGATAAGTGTATATGAAGCTGTCCTCTTACCTCCATTCTTTTAATGCCTCCAACGCCTCTCCCACCATAATAAGAGGCGTCTACCGTTGGCCACTTTTTCTTAGGCAGACCATCATCATCTTCTTCCTGCAGAGAAATTGTGGCACATGAAGGAAGCAAAACAGCACTGCTGTGTGGACCTGCCTACTACAGCCAAGTGATTAGGAGTAGAGCTTATAGAGTCAGACTGCCTGGGTGCAATCCCAGTGCTACTGTTTCCTAGAACCTTGGGCCAATCACTGAAACCACCTAAGCTTGTTTTCCTTATCTGTAGAGTGGGAATGTAAGCAGTGCTACCTGGTAAGTTTGTGGTACAGTCCTGTTCTCTTGTTCTCTTCTACAGCTCTACTCCTTTGTGGGAATCGCATCTAACCCCACCTACATGCTAATGACTTGTGACTTTACATCTTCAGCCCTGATGCTTCTGAACTCCAACTGCTCACTTGACATTCACATTATTTGGGGGCTAAAAAACATCTCAACAACACCACAGCAGAGATGTCCTGATTTCCCTACCCTAAACATGCTCCTCCTGTAGTCTTCCCCACTGCCTCTCTCTTCTTTACTGCCTCTCCCCAACTTGTCCCAACTTGCCAGCTAGTTCTGTTGCTACTACTTAAAGATCTAAAATCTGTTGACTTCTCCATCCCCACCACCACTATCCTGGGCCCAAGCCCCCATGCACTTGCTCATGGACACTGTGGTAGCTTCCCAACTGGCCTCCTGCTGCCCTAAGACTCACCTATGATCTGTTCTCCACAAAGCAGCAGAGTAAGTGCAAACGCCAGCTCTGCCCTGTGTGTTCTGGCCTTTGCTCACCTTTCTGGCCTTCTTCCTTATCATGTGCCCCCCTCCTCCTGAGCTCCAGCCTGCCTGCCCTCTCTCAAATACTCTGGGCAAATTCCTGTCTTGGGGCCTGTGCACAGTGTCCCCTTGTCCCCTTGTCTAGGAAAGCACTTCCCCCACCCCATCTTCTGATGGATGGATTTTCATATTACTCCTCAGAGAAACCTCCCCTGGAAATTTCTTCTAAAGTAGCCGCGGTCTCTTCATTCCATCAATCTGTTTTATTTTTAGTTAAGGATCTCATCATGGCTTGATATTTACTTAATATCTGTCTCTCCACACTAGAACGTACGTTCCACAGAGGCTTTTGTTTGTCATGCTTACAATTGTATTCCCAGTCTTTAGAATAGCACTATGTTGTATGTGGTGGGTGCCCAAGAATTATCTGTTGAATTTACAAATAAGTTAAATAAGATGACTCAAATAAAGCAGTTAATTAAGTGTCTGCAACTTAGCTCAGTGACAAGAAGTTAGTGTTTATATTTTTTAAGATGAAGAAAGAAGATGAGGAACTTGTAACTGTGGATGGAAAAAGGGAGGAGATGTAGCAACTGCTCTTCATCTTGGCACTGTAATTATTCTTGTTGTGGGGAGAAAAATATCACCATTTATAGTCATGGATGGATTATAAGGAAGTGGCATGATTTCTCTCCTGGGTAGAGAAAGGAAGCTGGAAAAGGGGTTGATAAAGCAGAGGAATGAACAAAAGAGGGAGAAATTGCTCACAATGCTGAAGCCTGCTTCTCACAGCCTTGTTTTGGTGGCATTTGGGTGAAGTCCTATGCAGGGCACCACTGCGTGGGATGGGGCACCCCATGCAGGAGGCAAGGTGCAAAAAAGCAAAGGCAGGAGAGGTCAGGACAAAAGGTGACAAAGCAAAGCAGAAACATGTTGGCACATTAAGACTCCCTGAGTTACATGTTGTGCTTGGGATGGGCAGTCTTCTTTAAAATGATTTTCAAAAAATTTAATACATCTTAAAGGACAGAGAGGTCACAGCAGACTAGGACGTACAACATTCTGACAGCTGACACTTGGGTGTCTCTCTCTCTCTTACTTGGTTGCTCGCTCTCAGATTCTGCTGACCCTTGTATTCTAAGTGCAAAGTAGGTGCTCGATAAACACATATTGCATTCATGATAACACACCATTGAATTTATGCAGCCTTTCCCATGTTATGTGCCAGTCACTCTTTTGAGCACTTTAAATGTATTATTAATCCTTTAATCTTGCAACCACCCAGGAAGGTACATGGTGTTATTATTCCTATTTTAGAGAACGAGAATAGAGACGTTAAATGACTTAGGTCACCCAGCTTGTATGTGACAGAGCTGGATTTGAACTCATGCAACCTCATTCTCCTTTGATTGTTTCTCAGCATTGGCCAGTCTGGATTTTGTTCTTTTGTGGTTTGCTTTTCCAATCATTTGATGGCAACAAATACACGCTCATTTTTGACTTCTCCTTGTACCTGCTAATTTTGATAATTTTTTTTTTTTTTTGGAGACAGGGTCTCACTCTGTCACCCAGGCTGGAGTGCAGCCTCAACTACCACAGCTCAAGCAATTCTCTCACCTCAGCCTGCCTGAGTAGCTGGGACTACAGACACATATCAATGCACCCAGCTAATTTTTCTATTTTTTGTAAAGATGGGGTTTTGCCATATTGCCCAGGCCGGTCACAAACTCCTGGGCTCAAGTGATCCTCTCACCTCAGCCTCCCAATGTGCTGGGATTACAGGTGTGAGCCACCGCACATGGACTTAATTTTGATAATTTATAACTGCAAAATATAACAAAATAAAGTCCCCAACACAATAAAATATTATAGTTCATATTACTTTACCTTAGAATTTCCGAGGTTTCTTTCACCTTATGATGTGAAAGCAGGAATCTTATATGTCCTATATGTGGTTAAACTTTACATTGGAGGTGGATGTATGTTTCTGTGTAAGTGGCTGTGAACACAGATATACAAAATATGGCTCTGAAAGCCTGGGCATTCCCAGTCTGGGGCAGTTTTCCAAAGGAGATAACAGAAATTCTATCCCCTAAAGCTGAACACAGCAGCACCACGAACGTTAAGAAACTCCAAGAATAAAGCCGCTTTATTCCACAGGGGACTCAACTAGGTTCATGAGCCTCTTAATTTTTTAGGAGCTCATCTAATTAAGTCTTTTCACTGCACAGAAGAGGAGTCAGATCTAGAGAAATGAAGTGACCCCTAAAGGTGAAGTTCTGGTGTGGTTTTCTGATGCCTTGTCCAGGGGTTTTTCTCCCCCTATATTTTACGAAAAGAACTTAAAGAAGGATTTACAACTGGCTTTCTCTAATTCGCAACCCCGCTGAGTGCTCAGGATATAGTAAGATGCATGAAGCCGGTTTCCCCGCTTTCCAGGTTCCACTTGCACACGGGGGCAGTTCTCCCTCTAGTCCCTGGCCCCTCCCTCTTGCCCCTGGCCCCTCCCTCTTGCCGCTGGCCCCTCCCTCTAGTCCCTGGCTCCTCCCTCTTGTCCCTGGCCTGGGG
The DNA here is from genome assembly GCF_000001405.40 of Homo sapiens. Classification (NCBI taxonomy): domain Eukaryota; kingdom Metazoa; phylum Chordata; class Mammalia; order Primates; family Hominidae; genus Homo; species Homo sapiens. Next base: position 69,178,500 of record NC_000002.12, on the reverse strand, counting down.
AAGGAGGCGCCGCCCTCGTGCTCAAGGGCAGGGCCTGGCCTTCTCGCAACAGGAAATGCCTAGGGCTTGGGCAATCTCCACACGCTGCCGCGCCACCGAGCCCGTCGCTTAATCCCCTGACCGGAGCTGGCCTGCCAAGCTCAGACAACAGCACCAGGCAGCACAAAGGCCCAGGGGCTGACGGACGGGAGAGTCAGAGTTTCCCCTGCAGTTAGCATGGGTCTGTTTACACATTCTGGAGACAGAAGGGTTTTGCAATCCCCAGGAAGAGAAGGGAATCTTTGATGTGTCTTTCCATTTGGCCAAAAATGGACGGAGTAGAATCCCAGCCCCTCAGCAAGGCCACTAAGAAACTCGGCAGCACTGGAGGGTGGATTTTTACATCTCATTAAATCATAAAGGCTCTTGAGATCTTCCTCCTACACTGCCCTTCAAGGATGGTAGCAGGGAGGGAGAAAACACCAGTATAGAAATCCTCAGTGTGAGCTGGCTTTCCTTTAGTAAACAAAACAAAACAAAAACCTTGCTGTCCTCTATGGTTATTGGAGGATGGGGCTGGATGAGCCCAATTGCTGTGAATGAGAAATCAGGGGCTTGTGGGGAATGAGAAGATGAGCAGAACAGAGTGGGGCAGAGCTACCAGTGAACAGCTACGACCCCCAATCCCCCCGAGTGGTGGGGGTGGCCGGTGGTAAATAAGAGTCCCTTTAATATTCCGTCAGGGGTTGTGGGCTGCACTATACTTTTAAACCTTCAGTAAAATTTGCTGCGCAGTTGGATTTGTGCCAGAGCTGCTAGATCGTGTCTAGCAAACCGAGAAGATGAGATAACGCGGAAGAAGCGAGGAGTAGGAGTCAGTGGTGCCTGGGAGAAACCGCAGGGATTGGGGAGGGAGGCCGGTTTCCCATCAAGGGAAGTTGTGTTTAAATCTGAAAGGATGTGGTGGCTCCAGACGTCCAGCTGGCTGGAGCTTGGGTAACACAAATGGCAGCACATTCCTCAGATGGTAGAGGCCCCTTCTGACCTGCGTGTCCTCAGGCAGACCTGGGTGTGCCTGCAGGCACAGTGCTGTTCGAGGAAGAAACAGCTGTAGAGGATGAAGTCTGTGAACTCACTTGGTTAGCCTGTAATTGGATTAGCCCTGTGCTGTCCTCAGACCCTGAACTTTTCCCATCTTTCCCAATCATGCCAGGCTTTTGTGCAGCTCCACGCTTCAACATGCAGGGCTCCACATGCCTGGAAAGCCCTTCTCCCATTGCTTCTACCCATCCCTTAATGTTGTTTAAGCGTAACCTATTCTGCCAAGAACTCCCGGGTTCCCCAGAGAATGCAATGCTCTCGCCTCATGAGTTTCCACAACTCCACCTTCCACTCACTCAACACGTTTAACTGTTAGTTATTAAGCAAACCAGAGGGTAGAAAGGATGAATTTTCCAGATTCTGGGACTGCCTCACTCCTGCATGTATACTGTGCATGGGACAACTCCACAGACTTGATGTGAATAGCGTCCCCTGGAGTTGTGCAAAGGGTGGCCCTCTCAGACTCAATTGATAAGTTCTTTAACTTTCCTGCTTCTCTGGTATCCATTTACTAGAAGAGCCACATGGCCGGTTTGACTCAAGAAGGCTTACAACTCCCAGTTCACTGCAGGTTTCAATAGGAACTATCAATGAAAAGGAGCACATAACTGAAAGAGAATCAAACCCAAGGCAGTAGCTTTAAATCAGCTTTTAAATTAATTTTAAATGTCATTGAACTGGAGCACATCTTAAATGCATAAGCTCAACAAGAGATTTTTATTTGTCAATTATTTCACTAACTCAAGCAACTATCATTGAGTCCCCATCACCTGCCAGCACAGTGTTATATTTTGAGAAAATAAAGAGAACTCAGCTGTCGACAATATTGTTTACATTTATAGAGGAGTGAGTTTCGTGAGAATGACGACATGAATTAAAGGACTAAGGCTACAGAAACTCCCAGGTCTGGGAGGCTTCGAAGGGCAGAACTTAAAGTAGAACTGGCAGGACTGTCTCATTTGGTCTTTGGGGAGAAGTCAGGGAGATCCCCTCAATGTCAGTCTTGGAGGTAAACTCCTAGGAGTGAATTGGCAAGTCAGAAAGATCCAGCAATACTTCTGTTTGTAAATACAACACTCCAGAGGATTTAAGATTTCACCATTCTGAGCCGCATTTCACATGTCATGGCACCATTATATCTGTTTACGTAAACAAAGTGATTAAAGACAACACAAGGATTGTCCTGTATTCTTCAGTAAAGAATAAGGTGTTTATTTTCCTAGCAGCAATGTTCTTTTTTTTTTTTTTTAAAGTATTAAAACATAGAATACGGAATTTTGGGCCTTCTCTAGGACTTCTGTTTGGAGTGTATGTGTGTGTGTGTGTATGTGTGTGTGGGGGGGTGTCTGTGTATGTGTATTTAATGGTCACTGGCAAGAAGATGCCTGACAGTAGCTTGGCCCTTCATCCCTCCAGGGTGGAGGCTACTCTGGGTGTCTGTGTAGACATGGCTGGAAGGATGCCAGACCTGTTGCTATTAGGAGTTCAACTTATCTGGCCCTGTATAATTTTCCATAGCTCAGTTTTCCTATCTAAACATTTCTTGCCACAGAGAAATTTTTAGGATCAGTGAGCATAATAATAAATCTGAAAATAAGCTCATCCTTCAAAGCCAGGTGCCTATTGTTCACTGGATGGGCATCAATGCTTTCAATAGGCACCCCTCTCCCTTCAGATACAAAATACCAACCTATAGATGTCCACATATTCACATCCTTTCCCACTCTCACCCGCCCCCCAGTGCATATATACTAACCCATGATTAAAACAAGAAGACACATTCTTCTTTTTTTGGAAGAGTTGGGGTCTTGCTCTGTTGCCCAGGCTAGAGTGCAGTGGCATGAACATGGTTCACTGCAGTTTCCAGCTTCTGGGCTTAAGTGACCCTCCAGCCTCAGCCTCCCCAGTAGCTGGGACCACATGTGTGACAGCCACCATGCCAAGCTAATTTTTATTTTTGTAGATATCGGCGGCGGGGGCGGGGGGCGGTCTCCCTATGTTACCCAGGCTGGTCTCGAACTCCTGGCCCCAAGCAATCCTGCTTCAGCCTCCCAAGGTGCTGGGGTTACAGGAGTGAGTCACCATACCAAGCTCCCAGATATATTCTAAAGCTTCATGATGAGACATGGTGACATGGGAGCATGAAAGAGAAGACAGGCGGGAAACATAGGGATAAGAGAGCTAATGAGAATAGCTACACACTAGGGCCATGGACAGAGCACAGAAAATAAGTAACCATCTTTACGTCAGTCTTAAAAGGGGCTGTGTGCCCTGTGTGAGTGACACGGGTCAGAGACAGGTGACACTGCCACTCAAGAAAGGAGCACCTGATGCTCCCAACAATGAGCATCAGGAAGACTTGCTCTTGGTTGCAGGAGCTACATTGTCTTCAGGGACCAGTGAGGAAAGACTGCTCTATGCTTCTTTTTCAGGTACAAGTTTGAATCCCAGTCCCATCACTTAATAACTGAAATATTGGGGCCACTGGTATTTTAATCTCATTATACCTCAGTTTTGCATCTATAAGGTAGGGGTTCATAATAGCACACTTTTGTTTCAGGGCTGCTGAATGATAAAATGAAATGTACCACAAAAAGTGCTTCACATAATTGCCTGGATAGTTATAAATGCTCAATAAATGTCATCTTCAGTAATTAACCACTATTATTATTAATTTTCATACATTCACATGCAATATCCACCAGGAATCTCTGCCTTTCTTCCTGATTAGGACTGATTAGGTCACCAACTTTATAAATGTCCAGTTACACTCTCTCTCTCTCTCTTTTTTTTTTTGAGATAGAGTCTTGCTCTGTCGCCCAGTCTGGAATGCAGTGGTGTGATCTTGGCTCACTGCAACTTCCACCTCCCAGGTTTAAGCAATTCTTCTGCCTTAGCCTCCTGATCAGCTAGGATTACAGGAATGTGCCACCATGCCCGGGTAATTTTTTGTATTTTTAGTAGAGACAGTGTTTTGCCATGTTGGCCAGGCTGGTCTCAAGTACTCTGCCCGCCTCGGCCTCCCAAAGTGCTGGAATTACAGGCATGAGCCACTGTACCTGGCCCAGTTACACACTCTCTTAAGGCAACTCTGGCAGAGAATCTCACACTTGCTATCAGCGCACAGGAGCACTCATTCTAGAGTTGTTGAATAAATAAGATTTTTAAATATCAAAAAACATTGGGGCTACTTACATACCTTTTACCTCTACCCTATTTGACTTCTCTAATGTCCCTCAAGTCAGATTCTAAGACCTTGATTTGCTTGATGCTAAAAAGTACAATGTTTTAACTATTATTGCCTATGTCTCCAGTTTGGGTAGTTTCTTGATTTATTTCTGACATAATATTTAGTTGATTAAGCCAGAGGGTTTCAAAGGGAAATGAACAAGGGGAGGCGCTCTAGGCTCCAGGAAAGGAATGTTTTGTTTTTCATTGCAAATAAAATGTACTAGTCATCTGTCCAGCCCAGGTCTGGCCAAGGCAGTGTGATTAAGGAAGAAAATGGCAGGTGTTTCCAGAGCTATGCCTTTGATAGAGTGAGACAGGACATGGGAAAGGAAGCATCTTCTCTTTCCAGTACATTTACTTCATATGTAGGTCTGTGTGTGTCTGAGACATGGAGCTGCTTGGGGCTAAGCCATAACCCACTTTCCATTCAGTCATGGGGCTTCCTGCTATCTATTGCCTTTCAAATATGCTTGATATTGGGAACGATAGGATCTTTGAGAGCCTGTAAAAGTGGCAGATGTTGGAAGAATATGGTATGGATTCCTGGGTGTAGCTTTTATTTTGATAGTATTTAATGAGACCGAAGTTTAGTTTCTGAAACAATACTATTTCAGAGAGGCCACAGGGCCTGCACCAGGTCCATTCCTCCTTCTGAGGGGAGCTATTCTCACCATGGCCACGGGGCTTACTAGGAAGCTTCTCTTTGGCCAGATGTGACCCAAGAGCACCAGTCTGTTGGTTGGCTGTGAGCTGTGACTGATGATCTATGGTCTGGAGTGAAAAGATGAGCTGGACCAAGTATTTTCCCCTATTGGGAACTGAAAGATGGAAACTGAGAGACTCAGCTATAAGCACTGGGGGCAGATGGTGAAATGAAGACTAGAAATATCAGATGGAGTCAGGAGAGAGGGCTCTGTACAAACCAGAGTTACAAGGGCAGAGAGGCGGCCAGTAAGAGAAGGCAGAAGGGAATAAATTCCCAGAGAGAAGCAGAGCTGCTAGCAGTGAAATCGAAAGCCCATGAGGGTGGTGTCTAGAGCTGCCTCAGTTCTTTCCCCAGCCACAGTCTACCTGAGTTCTTTCATCTTGGACTAGCTTGAACTGGTCTCTGTTTTTTGCAGGCGAATGAGGCTGATAAAAACTCAAATATGGTCATAAAATCCATGGAAGGTGATTACATGCAGAACAAAACCGTCACATGAAGTGCTCCATTACTGCATTCTCCCACGAACTGCCAGTTATTTGGAGTAACTGGAGAGTTAGGGAGGGATCCCCACTGGTGCCACTTGAGAAGATTCTTAACCCAGGAAATGTCCCTCTTAGTTGTTAAAACTGAGCTTCCTTGCTTCTATTGAGCTCTTCAAGTTTCAAGTAATTTCTCTTTGTACCCTCTTCATACAAGTGTGTCACCGTTGGTTACATAGAATCTCAGCATATAGTTCCTTTTTCCATTCTGAATTTTTATATTTTCTATTAAAAAGGTCACTGAGAGCTTATTATAAAGTTATCTTCATTCTCTAAGTTTAGTTATTTAAATAGTAGACATGCCTCTCTCAGAATATGATGTTGATAGAGCTGATGAAAGTTGGGATAAATAATACTGAAGGTCTTCATATATACGGCAGAGAGTGTTTGATTTCATATAGCTATTTATTGAATGTTAGACACTGGGATTTGAATACAGGGAACTAGAGGAAAAGACTGTCTAGATTGAGACTATGATTTTCAGAGCATTGTATAAAATACGTTGCACGGGCTGTGTTAGGTTATCTGTTTCTGTGGGATTTCTTTCTTTCTTCTTCTTGTTATTTTATTTTATTTTCCTGCCAAAATACATTAGGAAGGAGATTAGGTGGCCTAACTCACAGGGCCAACACACACGCTAAGGCAATCAGCACATGCCAAAAAGCGCCTGATGCTAAAAAGTACAATGTTTAAATTTTTATTGCCTAGGTCTCCAGTTTGGGTAGTTTCTTGATTTATTTCTGACGTCATATTTAATTGATTAAGTCAGAGGGTTTCAAAGGGAAATGGAGGGGAGGGGATCTAGACTCCAGGAAGGGAATGTTTTGTTTTTCATCAGCCAATGAAATGTACTAGTCATCTGTCCAGCTCACGTCTGACCAAGTATAATCAACTGCAGGTGTTCACGTGAGTTATCCCTTTGATAGAGTGACAGGGGACAGGTGAGGAAGCTTCAGCCCAAAAACTCCTTTAAGCCTAACATAACCCTTTAGATTCAAGCATTCTGAGGTTGTCATTCTGTTTGGGAAATGAAGTCAGCTTTCTTTGGGTGTAACTACAACTTTTATGAAACAGAAAAAACTCAACTACTTCTCTTCCTTGCTTTTAGCTATCCTTCCTAGATGGTTTTCTAGTTTGGGCTTTTTTACTTGGCTCCAAAATTGTGTTGCTGGGTCCTTCATCCTAAAAGTCCCTGCTGAGCTTGTACTGTGTGTGCAACCCTAGGCTAGATGTTGGATCTGGGGTAAGTCAGAGCCCAGTCTTAACCTACATCCCCAGGTGCACTTTGGCCACTATGGCTGCCACGTCACCTTCTAAAGGCAAATACAGAGCAAGAGCCAAAAGAAAAAGCCACAACCCTTCTAACTGAACACAACAAGGGAGGGAATGTTATTTGCCTCCAGGCAAACAAAGTCCTAATAAGGGAGCTCCTTGCTCTATTTTATTTTTTATGTTTTGGAAGTCTAAGAGATAGCTGCACATAACAGAAGCAAAGCCAATTGCAGTCGTGGAACTAGCCACGGTACTTTCTCTTGAAGGATTAAGGAAAGGTTTTAATGTATGTAAAGAAGGTTTTTTCTTCTTCTTTGCACAGCAATGTAATTTCCTCCCTTGATTTCTGGGCAGAAAGTTAGCATTCCAACAAGATGCACTTTAATTGATTGCAGCTATTAAATCCCTTGGCTTACATGCGTATGGTTCAGGATATAAGAGCCACATGGAATTTTTAATTTAATCATTACTCTTTCTGTATGTAGGAAACTTGACAAATGCATTGGAAGGGGAAGGGTGAGGAACTGGCACTTGATTTGCACACAACAGACGTTAGGGATTGAGGACAAGAACTTGAAACCTTATCAATCTATCTTTTGGTCTCATTGAGTGTTTAGATATGTAACCCTGGCTTCTGAATGGGTGGATGTTACTTCTAGAGACTCCAGCTGTACTAAGAGTGATCAGATTAGCAAAGCCACTTGCTAGGCACTCTTGCCTTTCTCATGATTAGCCTTTAATGCCTCCACTGTATTCTACTCCAGGCCACCCTTGCATCAGAACAGTTTACTGGCCGATTCAGTGGTAGAGTCCAAGAATTTTTTTCTTTAGATGACGAGAATTTGAGAGGAAGGCCAGGATATTAACATATCCCTCTCCAGCGTATTTTCATTACTGCCTGGCCCATCTTTAGGTAATATTGTTTTTAAATGAAAGAAAAATGAAGAATTGGGCATCAGGTTATTCCTAGAACCAATGATTGGAGAATGTAGCAAACTGTGCCTGATCTACACACATAAAGCATTAAGTCTCTGCAGGAGAAGAGAATCTTAGGGTTTGTTTGAGAGGAAAAGTCAGTATCTCAAAGCTCCAAATAACTGTACTGATAAAAACATTTATTTCCATCTCACATTTTATCTCTGCAGGGAGAAAAACCTCCAAAACTCATTGTCTTTTCTGGCAGTTTAGTTCAGTTTCTTGTTCATCCCTGGTTAGGAAAGGCCAGACAGTTTCCTCCCTTCTGCTTCACAGGCAGGTACATTAAATCCTTTGAGCTTGACTTAGCTCTGCTCTGCAGGGGGCTAAGTGTCCAGCTGCCCAGCCAGCTCTCCACCCTACTCTGCCACCCTGCCCACCCACTGCCATCCTGCTGTGGTCACTTACCTCACTCTCCTCGGCAGGGGGTGGAGGGACCTCCTTGATAATCTGAAAAGAAAACAGAGAACAGGTCAGTGAAAAATCTCTGGCTACCTGCCTCCTAAGAGGCTTGCTGTCAGGAGGTACCGTGGTGGTGCTGCCATAATTACCATGGCAATGGCCCCAGCAAGTCGGGCTTAATCACTGCCATGAGAGGTGTCTTTGCTGGACAGAGTAGCTCTGCTAGTTAGCATATGACTCAGGCTGAGGGTTCCAGTCTCATTTGCGTCTCTTCTGGTTTTGTATAGAGAAATAAATGTTCCACAGGTCACAGTTTCATTTCCTACCCCAGATAACTATCATGCAAATTTATTCACTCATTTATTCACCGAGTCATTCACATATCAGATTATTTATTCATCCATCTATCCAATCGTCTACACATTTAACAAAGAATTGTCACACAATGGAAGTTAACATGGTGCTTTAGGGATGTGTCAAGCGTGGACCCCACGCGGGCTGCTGGCAGTCCTTCAGCTGTCACTGGTCCCCACGGGTGTCTTTGCAGGGTGGATGTGCTGCCCAGGCAGACCGAGTCCCAACAGAGGCAGCAAAGGAGTGTCCAGGGATTTCTTTCAGGGCACTGACACTTAGGGGCACAAAGCTTTAACTAACAGTGTTATAAGATTCTGACTGTCCCATCTTTGGGGCTGAAGAGAGACATGTGGAAACTCTGGATGGGCAAGTAATTGGGAGACAGTCTAACCCATGAGAGAATGATGACACATGGGATAAGGACAGAGCAGGGACAGCTGGGGCCAGTGAGCAGTCCCTCCTCCCTCTTGACCCCAACTTGTACCCCTCTGTCATAAAAGGAAAGCCCTCACCGTTAAATGGATTTAGAGTCTCTTACATGGCATTTGGCAATTATCTACTATAATTCCACTCTGTGCCTTGGAGGGCTTCCTCCTCTCACCCCAAACTTATTATCAGAATTTTGGGTCCCCTACTCAGTTCTTTTACTTAGAGGACTTCTGGCAAATCCAAAGCTCATTCCCTATCTCTTGATGCCTTAACATCAGGTGCTGCCTTTGTAGTTGGGTGCTCGGGCACAGCCCACAGGACCCATTTTTTCTTCCTCCAGTCGGGGAGCCGGGCTCTGGCTGCAGGCCAGGCTGCTTAGCTGGCAGCAAGCACCTCTTCAGCTCTCCCTACTCAGCACATGTCTCCTCTGGTTTGATGATTATTCTGGGACCTTGTTAGGGCTCCAATCCCCACGCTGTTACCCACCCTACCATTATTGATAACGTCATCTCTGCATGAGGAGGCAGGCTTCCCACTGCAGGTTCTGTTAACCTTAGCCAATGGCCCAAGACTCCAGTCCTCTGAAAGTATGGTATTCCATTAATTGAAGAGGCAGAAGTGAAGGCCTCCAGGGGTTTCAAACTCTCATTTCATCTGCCTCCACTTCCTGGCTGCTGTGAGACGCCTGGTGAAAGTCTCTGGAAAATGCAAAGCCATGATTGTGCTCACCCACTCAACCCTGGCTCAGAGTTCCTTAAGGAAATCTCTGGGGAGGATCGCTCCTGTCCAGGACTGATTTCCCATCATCCCAGAAGCAGTAAATTACTTTACAGCAGGAAATGTCTGGAAACTGGAGGGAGGGGTGAGGATCTGGGGACCAAGATCTGGAATGCATCTGTTCTCCTGGGGCAGGGGTAGGGAAGGGAGTGAGAGGGGGAACAGGATGTTTGGGAAGAGACAGATGTTGAGAGGGCAGCATATGTGGCAAGGCCCCTGGGTGTGAAGAGGTTTGGTGCTGAGCAGAGGGCTTTTGTCTCCACGGTGCTATGAGCTAAGCACAGCATAGATGTTATATGTGAATTCCAGACCTGCCTTCTCCTGACTGTCAGGATTTGATGAGTCCCTTAACCTGTCTGATCTCCACTGTCCTCATTTGTTAAATGAAGTAATAACATGAACCTTGCAGAAACTGAGTCATCATGAGCGATCATGTGTGTTAAGCATCTGGTAGTGAGTAGGTGCTCAATAGATGCTGCATGCTATTAATACTCTCCTTTCCCTTTCTTGTTGTATTTGTCTCTTACCTTGATTACATCTTTCATACCCCCCCTGCATATACTAAATGCCTTTGCATGGTGGCTTCCAGACAGAGATGCCAAGGGGCCAGCATTTCATGAACTGAGTGAGACAGGAGGCTGGTGTTCTGACAGTGGCCAAGGGTTTTGGGGGAGTCAGTAGCAGTATGCCTGGCCACATGTGTGTCAGCATATGACACTGGCTGGGGAATGCAGTTCTAGGTGGCCCAACACTCAGACCAACCCATCAATGCGGTTGCTATTTAATTTAATGTATTAAGTATTAATTGAATATCTATTCTACATCCTGCAATGTGCCAGACCCTAAGGAACCCAAAACACAATGCTAAAATCCATGATTTATTAAATATTGATAAAGAGGGGCTGGTTTATGATCCAGATTTCACATTGACGCACTGTAAGTTGGGCACCTGAGCTTCTGGAAAAAATGCCACTCTGTTCAGGTAAACAGGAATTAAGCACCTCCAACCTGGTCTCACTGGTTCGGCTTCTGGTTATGTTCAGCAGGAATGGGCAGGAAGTCTTCTCATTGCTTCAAGCCCATGCACCGAAAGCTTGCCCCTGGGGAGCA